>NC_000008.11:105089222-105714222 GCF_000001405.40 Homo sapiens
ATCTATAAAATCATGCAACTGTAATTGCTTGGAATCTCGAAGAACATGTAATTATTTTGCATTCCTTAGTGGTAGTAGCATGATTATTTTAGTATAGATGAACTCCCGTTTCACAGAGACCGAGTCTGTCTAATATCCAGAAATTTGGATTTCTAAATGATGAACATTTCATTTTTCAGGAATCTCTCTTGGCTATGAAATAACTGAAAGCCTTGAAGACTAGTTTTTATTGCAAAATGGGAAACACCTTGATAAGTACACTGAAGAACTCTTAAAATCTTCAATTTGAAATCAATCCTCAAGAGGCAGAGCCTGGGGATTGGGAAAATGTTTACTTTTGGCATGAATAATCTGTCTCTCTATGGCAAGGTGCAGTGTTTGTGGTTTTGTGAAATCAAACTGATTCACATTCTTCCTGAGAATGGAGTAAGGACTCTCGAGACATAGCACTCTGGCTTAGAGAGCTTTCAAACCTATGCATGAAGACTCAGGTATCTCCTTTTTCTTTGAAAGTTCAAATGATTTAAACAGGATAGCAGCACTGATTGTGGTATATGCTGATGTCAGTATCAAAATTAAAACCAGCTTATCTTAACGGAAACGAAAGAATCTGGATACTTCTATTAACTGAAAATCAATCCTTTCATGTGATTCAATTAAAAGCATCAATAAAAATCTTATTTCAAAAGTCACAAGTAGAGTATCTACCAATATAGCACATACCATAGACAGAAAACTGCTCAACCCCCTCTGAATCGTCGCCTGTTTTAATAAGTATTCAGAAATTATACTCAGACTTCAAAAGAAATTGTAAGGAATTGTTAGCAGGTTTATTAATGTTTTATGTTTTATTAAAAGTTTGGGTGTACATTTCACAATGAGCAACATCAAAAATCAGACTTTCTGCCTGTAATTTTGCTTCCTCCTGTCTTTCTGCCTTTGGGATTCACTCTTTTCCTTTCATCAGCTGCCATTTTCAGCAGCATGCAGTAATTTCATGGCTCATTGCAAGCGCTGAAAACCTTTGAAACCACAAATGCTAACCTACCTGGCCTGCAGCCATTTAGGAAGAGATTAATTTAGCAAACAGAAGCAAAACACTTTCTACTTCTAGCCTGTGCATAATTTCACTTCTATCTATATTTATTTTACAGTGAGCAGCGTAATGACAATTTCAGTAATTGCAACTCTATAAAAATTTGCCTACCTAGCTTATCTCACTATCACAAGACTGTGAGTCAGTCAGATTAGAAAAAGTACAGCATGTGAAACAGCACTGGTTGCCTTCCAAAAATATGGGCCTTCTATAAAAACTCAAGTGATGCTTTGCACTTGTTTGCGTTCTTATCTATTGGGTAATGGTTTCTTCCCGATGTTTTGATTGGGACGTGTGCATTCCTCTTTAATTCATAGTGATTTATGGGGGCACCCTCCTTACGAACAGACAAACGTATTTGGAAGAGTAGAAGTGCCAGCCCATTTCTGCAGACTTTGTTATAAATGACTGTTATGTTGCTGTCGAGCAATTTGAACAGAAGAGAAAGTCCATCTGGGGCAAATTTAAGCTATCGTGCTTGGAAGGATTTCAAGGACTAAATTAGCCCACAAACTGTTAGCTAAAAATAAAAGTTTTATTGTTTGTTGTCTAACTTAAAAATCCCACCATTGAAATTAACACCAATTACATCTACTGTATATGTGTATGTATAGATTCCCCTAAGGGATCATTTGTTGCTTCCATTTATTCATTTGTGTAGTGCTTACACACACACACACACACACACACACACACACACAGACACACTGTTTAGCAAAAAAGGAACCCAGGGAGAAATAATGACTCAAGCAAAATAATATTTAAGAATTAAGAGAAGATATAGTGAAAGTTGAAGCCAGCCAGTGTATCAGAAAAAATCATTTACACTATTTGACCAGTAAGAGGCATCATGAAAGAATTACATGTAATAAGTGGGGGTGGAGGAGAAAAAAATTTGGTATGAAGCTGTTGATATCAAGCCCTGTATCTGGGCAGGTGGGGGGTATGTTATCTTTGAGGGATTTTTCTATATATGTAAAGGATAGAACAAGAATGTCATATTGCTAAGGGATTTTTTTCTCTAGATCAGCTACGAGGGGGACCTCTCTTGATAAGTGACTATAATGTTTGTTGTATACAGACTAATTCAGAGATGAGAATCTAGAGTTGAGGGTTGAACATTAAGACTTGGCATGATTTTTCCTCAGGAAGAAAGGGATTTGGTAGTCACTGAATGACCCTGAACTATGATATGGTTTCTCCAGTCCTCTGATAAAAGATCATTGCTCACCATCTTAGGTTGCAAAAACTGCTGCCAGTAAAACAGGATAGTATAATAAAAGGGAGTAAAAGGAGAACAGCCAAGCAGGCTACATAAGGCATTTTGGCTTGGGTGCTGTATCTTTTCCATTTTATACATTCCTTTTTCCCAAGTAATGGCAGTTAAGCATAATTCTCCACTTCCTTACTCAGATTTGAATATTCTGTACTCCATAAAGGAAATTCTATAACATTAAATTTGTTTATGCACTGTTTTTATATTAGCTAATTCATTTATGTGTACAGATACACAGACGGCAGTAGGATGACTGGCCAACCCCCGCAGATGTACACCTCCAATCTGGCATCCCGTAACATTCATAAAATATGTCAACACAGCCTGGAATTTTTCCACGGTTTATGTTATAACATTGCTGTTCATAGCATACTGGCACAATATTTCATGTTGAAATTCATGGTAGTAAAAATGAAAAAAGGAATTTTCTCAATATTTTGAGGCCATTTGCAAAAGTACTCGATCAATATCCTTCTCATGTAATAAGCACTTAAATCAACACAAATTGAACAAGAAAAACACATTCATGTGCCTGGGTGTTGTATAATAAATAGTTATTCATTTTTTAAAACAATTGATGGTAATTATGCTGTCTTAATGATCATTTTGAACATGCAATGCATCTTTGCAGTACTGCCTAAAGAATCATAATGTTGTGTGATAGAATCAAACCAATAACAGAAACATATTTATAACCAATGTTGGTTATTCTGCAGAAATATATTTCTAAAGCAAACAATAACTTTTGGTGAAGAGTGTTACTAATATCATGAGACTCCTACTGGTGAAAAATTCACAATCACAATCAAGAATAATAGGTTCTTATTTGGGGAGATAGATTGGTGAGTTTGCATTTTCCCTTCACTGGGAGATTTTTGCATCCTTGTTGCTGGAGGTCGCATCCTGCTCAGCCACAATCCAGGAACCAGAGGCCACCAGAGGTCAGTCTTTCATGATGGGCAGTGCGAGACAGCCCTTGTTTTGTCCTCCAGGGGCCTCACATCTCAGGAAACTTCACCTTGTGTGTGTGTGTGTGTGTGTGTGTGTGTGTGTGTGTGTTCTTCTTTTATTCCCGAATATTTGAAGATGACAGTTTCAAGGATCACTTTTGTTAATTCTCAAATGTCTTGAAGGAAAAATGAAAGTACTGTGGAGTAATGGAAGGACTCAGGACTCTCAAAACTAATGGAGAAACAAACTCCACTTTTTAAATTATGCAATTTAAGCAAGTATTTTTCCTTCCTGTAATGATCTGAATGTGTGTGTCCCCCAAAATTCTTATGTTGAAATTCTAATCCTTAAGGTGACACTATTAGAAGGTGGGGCTTTGGGGAGGTGATTAGGGTTATAGGGGCAGAGCCCTCATGAATGAATTAATGCCTTTACAAAAGAAGACCAAGAAAGATTCCCTCACCCCTTCCAACATGTGAGGACACAGTAAAAATCTGCTATGAGGAAGTGGGACCTCAGGAAAGACACTGAATCTGCCCACACCTTGACCTTGGACTTCCCAGCCTCCGGAACTGTGAGAAATAAATATTTACTGTTTATAAGCCACTCATTCTATCATATTTTGTTAAAGCAGCCCAAAAGGAATAAGACACTTCCTGACCATTATTTCGTGCTCTGTAATACTGAAATAATAGCAAATTGTATGTAATTTTTACTAAGAGTCAGCATTGTTATCATCGCTATTTTGTAGCTCAGAAAACTGGGGCATAGAAATGTAAAACGTTCTGTCTGGATTCACCCGGCTAAAATGTGTTTGAATCAGGTTGTGAACCCAGGTGACCTGGCTGCAGATAACCATCATACCATCGTGCTTCACACATGTGATTTTTCTCTTTGACGATTGTTGCAAAGATTAACCATGTCTTTCCAGCTATTCTCTGCCTGAGATTTTGGTGCTTTAATAATTTAATCCTTTGTACCCCCAATCTTAAAATGTCATTTGGGACATGCCTGAATGTCTCCATCATAATTATTAAATTATTCAGGAGAATTCAGATGTGCTTTTGTACTCCCTGATGTTGGTATCAGGAAGGCAGGCAAAGAACTCTTGATGGTTTCCCATGATTGTTGATCACAACAAATTTGGGTAGTTGCCAAAGGAAAATGTTAAGTGAGAATTTATTATATAAAAAATAGATTATTGTTAAGTAAAAATATATATGTATGTGTATTACTATATAAACACACATATGTATATATGTGTATATATTTGTGTATTACTAAATACTAGAATCTTGTTTTACCCCTATATTTTATTATAGTACCCTATAGTCCTATATAAAAGACTAATTATATTAAATTTCTTAAATTTATAATTTCAAATATTTGTTTCCTTGGTTCCAGTCCTCTCAATGCAGATACTGCCTATTTTCTCTGCAATGTCTTTTTCATTTTTCTGGATCACTCTCTGAATAGAATCTCTAGTTGATGCTATTTCCTTCATTTATATCTTCTGGTGAGGTCCTGTACAAATCACAAATATTACCTTATTACCTGTATTAGGATTCTCCACAGAAACAGAACACACACACACACACACACACACACACACACACACAGAAAGAGATTTATGACAAGGTGCTGTCTCACATGATTATGGAGGCTGAGAAGTCCCATGACCTGTTGTCTGCAAGCTGGAGATGCAGGAAAGCCAGTGGTGTAGTTATAAGGTCCAAGAGCCAGAAAGCCAATGACATGGGTTCCAGTCCGCTCTCAAGGCCTGAGAACCAGTAATGAATGCTGAGGGAAAGGAGAAGATTGATATCCAGCTCAAATAGTCTGGCAGAGAGCAAATTCAACCCTTGCCAGCTTTTTGTTTTATTCAGGCCTTCAACTGATTGGATAATGCCCACCACATCAGAGAGGACCATCTGCTTTACCCAGCTCGCCAATTCAAATGCTAATCTCTTCTGGAGACACCCTCACAGACATACTTTGAAATGATGTTTAACCAGCTATCTGGGCATTCCCGTCATGGAGACATAAAGTTAAGCATCATATTACCTGTACATTTATAGGTCTTATAAACCAGGGTCTGATCTGGTGAACTTATATCCTAAAAAAAAAAAAGGCTAAAAGAATGTCATTATAATGGGATTTTAAAAAATTCCTTTTGAACTAATTGTTTTTCTACCATTTTGAGCTAATTATTTTTTCTACCATTTTTATGGTTATCTTGAGTTTGGAATTAAAAATATAAAAGTCACCAATTTATTTCCATTTACAATAATTTAAAGAACTCCTCAAAATTGAGAAACAGTTTTCCTTTTCTCGTTTGACTATAAAATTAAAGTTGTTGATATTTGAAATTAAATCTTGGACAATCTTCTATAAAAGTCAGGATCTCAATTTCCATTCATTCATAAGGAAATACTGTATTTCCTAGGCACTAGGAGAAAATAGTGAATAAGACAGAATCCTTTAGGTACCTCCTAATCTAAGGTAGAGACAAATTTTCTTTTCAATGGGGAACTATGTAGATTTAGTCTTTTGCTTTCTTATGTCCAAACAAGAGCTGTAGAGTCAGAATTTTTACTCCAAATAATTATTTTACAAAACATTTTTTTCGTTTACCAAGAGACTGTATTTGTCTAGATCAGCAGATTAACATGAGTGCCAAGTTATTGTTAAGTTTCAGGCTTTGTAGGATATAACTATGCACTGTTTATAATTTTCTACATGGATTCTAATCCTTCTTGTGTTACTAAACAGGTAATTTATTTTTTTACTAAAAAAAAAAAATCCTCATTGACAAAATTACTTGGAAGTGAAAATTAAGCCAGAAGATAGAGTCTAAATCTTACCTCTGTCCTCAAGTTAATGCAAAAAGGAGACACCATACAAAAACTTCCCATTTTTGTTTCTGACTTACCAAGACATTAGATGGGCTGTTTACTAGTGTTTTTTCTAAATTGTACTGGCCAATCTTTCACTGATGTGTTTCTGTCTTTAAATAAGGCTACGTACCTTAATCAAACAAATATCCTATTATTTACAGAATTAGAAAATATCTGTAAAAAAATTTTAACATATGCTTTTGAGGCATTTTGTAGTAAGTTACTATGGTGGCCATCCAGTTAATGAACATCAAATGTACTCAATGCTCTCCATTGTTCTAAATACAAGTGTTGAATGTGTAGGCAAGCCAATGAAGTATATGTATGTGTGTGTGCATATGTATCTGTGTCTGTGTATGTGTGCATGTTATAAAAGAGGTTTTCAAGATATATGTAGTCAAAATATAGACAGAAAAAATAGTAAAAATGCTATTTAATTTTCCAATCTGATTATTCAATAATAGCATGGCAATCAAGAAAAACCAGCTTTTGACTAAAAAAAAAAAAAAAAAAAGGCTAGTTTCAGGCTGGAGTGTATTGTCAAGACCAAGTTATAAACTTCTGAAAAACAGGAATGATAATGGAATTGCTGCTACAACCTTAAATATAACGGTGTGAATGGCTCTGCTATTTTTTACTATGGTAACGTAATAAAAGACAGCACTGTTTGGGCCATTATACTCACTGCTCTTTTTTCAGTATAAATCATTATATTTATTATCTGTCTTCTTGTATAGGGGGTCATAAGAAAGGCCAATCGAAAGCTGAGGAAACCTACTTTCCTAAAAGAAATTGAGCCTATTTCTAATTCTTTTTCTTTATCAAATACAAGGGAACAGAGAATTTTTTGTGAAAAATTGTTTCATGTAAGAGTAAAGTGTAGATTATTGGTGAGAAATGACATTCACTTCTAGACATCTTTTAGATCCCTGGGAGATATTGCCAGTCTCTCTCTGATATTTTTACCTTTCTTCCTTGGAGGATTTGTTTCCTGGCAGGTTTTGAGCAGTGGGTGCTGGAGCTTTTATTCTGTTCTGGAGACTTGTGTTATTATTTATTGATTGATAACTAAAGCTATGATCTTAGCAAAATAACTCCTTTTGAGTGAATTTTATTTAAACATCAGAAATGTGTCCTACACAGCTTTTCTCCCTTCTTTTACAGAAATACTACAAACTGTACTTGTTTTCTTTTGCTTGAATGATTAGCTAAAATATTTCATCATACTTTATTTATAAAAATTCCAGAAACAAGTGTAATTCAACTTCACTAATAATTTGATTGCATATTGTTTGGGAATATGTCCTCACTTACATCACGACCCAGGCCCCCATTGTGAACAAATATGACTTTCTGAAGAATGACAGGCTCTCTATTTTCAACTCTCTGAAGGGCAGTCATGAACCCACCACCTCTGGATATAAGGTTTAGAGGACCAAGGTACCTGGGAGATTTGAGGCTGAGAATGAATGGTAGGAGTATCATAGATGACAGCTCAAGGGCCCCTTTCTTACTTCCAGGAAAAAGAAAAGTGAATATAAAATAGAACTAAAATAACTTTTTTCCAGATGGAAGCTGAACCTCACATTGAAATGCTTCTAAACCAAATGGGGCATATAGGCAGGAGTCTGGTGATAACTTGTAAAAGAAAGGAATGTTACTATCCCCATAAGCGAATATTCATTACTGAGAACTCCAGTGTAGTGAGCACCCTGAGGAAATAAATTTAGAGGTACTTTTCCCACCTAACCAAAAGCATGAATCCTTTCACATAAATGCAATATGCTATCAACTATAGCCAACTCATGAGAGCTGGTTGAGAATAAATTATGCCTACAGCAGCTCATACTCATGTATCCTAGGGGATAGAAAAACAGAGTAAACAGATCATATTTTTAAAAATAGAGTAAATCTCAGGCTCTGCATCTCTTTTATGTTAGTTTTTCTTGAGTGTATTGGTGTACTGAACAACTATTTTTCTTAGGCTAATGATGGGATTAGAATTATCTAGAAAGGTCATTTTCAAACATTTCCATTTTATTTCCAAAAGAAGCATCTTGGAATATAAATGATAATGGGTACATTGGACACAACTCAGCTGGTTTTAAAAGTAAGGATGTAACCCTAGCCTGGAGCTGTGAATACCTGTTCTGTGGCTCAGAGTATTCATCACTGGCACCCTTTCCTAAGAGGGCCCGAAAGTACCTGTGAGCAGTTGCTGATGTTCTACCAGCGATGTCATGAAAGAGCTATCTGACATCACAGCCCCATTTGCTTTCATTCATAATGAAAGTCCGTTCCCAGACACCCCTGCTCTCTTTTGATAGGATGATCTACATTTAATTTAAATCTAAATACTAGTTGCATATACTTACTTAGAAAGCCTTTACACAATATCAGCACTTAGACTCTGTCTGAAATCAATTGAATAAGGCTCTCTGGGGATGGAACCCAAGCATTGGCTCTCACTTCCCCTCCTCATACCCACTCCCAAGCAACGTGGCACCAGAGCTTTTTCCCTAACCATGGTGCCAGTCTGCCACCAACAAACACAAAAACAACAAACTGTGGTTACATCCGTCCCCACTTCTACACACACCGTCAGCAGGCTTTTCTCTCCAGGCCTTTGCCTGTATTATCCTTGTTGTCTGTGCTGGTGACTTCCTGCCATATACATCCTCTCTTATCACCACTATCTTCCATACACATGCACGTACGCGCGCACACACACACACACACACACACACACACACACACACACAGTGTATCTAACTCCTACGCATTCTTAGTTTTAGTCACCTCTTTCGTCTTACCTCACAGCAAGCCTTCTAGACACTCCACTGACCCCAAGCTTGGGTTATCTGTTCCTTCTATATGTATTCATAGGTTACAGTGCTTATCATTTTTACAGTGTATTGAAATTGACTTTTCTGTTTCTCCCAATAGAATTGGAAGCTCTGAATGAGTCTGAATGACCTGCTCACCACTGTAATCCCAGTCTCTGCCCAGTTTTCTTGGTCTTACCCTGTGCTGTGACTTTCAGTGTCCTGTGCTGAGTCTTATGAGATCATAACAAACATATTGCGCATTTGCCACTGAATGGTTTCTTAGATGGCATGCTGAATAGGAGCATAATAATAGTAATAAACTTTGATTATGTCCTAGATTTCAAGAACAGATCCATAGTGATCCTATGAAGTGGGTGCTGTTTTTATCCCCCTTTTACAAATGTTGAAACTAAATCTCAGAATTTTAGTAAATTTCTGAGGGTCACACAGCTAGTAAGTAGTAGAGTTAGTACTTGTACCAAGACCTGTCTGATCCCAAAATGCATAGCCTTAGCTACTGGGCTGTCACTACCTTGAGAAAACTAGAGTCTCTCTACTTTTGACATGCCAGAAGGTGTGCAGAACAAGAACCCTGGGCTTTAGTGGCACCGTGCTTGACCAAATGACTTAGATTCTAGCAATTCCACTGGGAAAATGAAGTTGATGTAGATCCTGCCTAGAGTGAACTTCCCCTCTCTGCTACAATTGTTTCCCTGACAATTTTCATTCCCTACCAGCTAATTTTCTATAGTCCAACCTAAGCCATGTTATGGGATTTCTCACTAAGGACATTAGTATGTATACAGATGTGCACTTAAAACTAGCAGCACAGTCCCAGTGAGGAACACAGGAGGTGGCTTAGGAGTTAGGTTTCCCTCTTAGCTATTCAGCCATGAACAGCAAACCTCTGGTCTAGTTGACAGTAACCCTCTGCAGAAGAGGATACAGTGTGCATATCTTTCTCTTTTTTTCTAGAGACTAGCTCCACTGATGTATTCATATAATAAACGGTATTAGCATTTTCTTGATTTTATGTTACATTAACTTTATAGTATGTTTCATGTTCAACAATGCAAAGGTAATTTATTAAAATATGTTTTGGAGGTATGATGAGTCAACATTAATATTGATGACAACGAGGTTATTATCATGTTGACAACTTTTCTTAATTCAGTAAATAATTCCTGGCATAGTCAACACTGGCCACAAAGCCTGTAGTTAATACAAAGCAGGTAAATTGATTGACAGAGTCTGGAGATCCAGGATTCTATGAGTATATAGATCAGTAGTTTGCTGATAACTACTGGTGAGGTGGGGCTGGGGGCACTAATGTGAACTTGACCAGTTAAGTCAATCTCTACAAATTCTACTTGATAAAATATTACTTCTGAACTGGCTTTCAGACAGATTTACTAATCTGTTCAGCGGCTTTTCATGGCAGAAGACAAAAAATGCAACGGTTACTATGAAAACATTTGAAATACCTGAATTTGCTTAATACACAGCTTTATTTACTAGAAGCTTGCAGCTAAAATAAAATTCCCAATAATAGGAGGATTCTATATAAATGTTAAAAGTTACATTTTATTATACAGGGAGACCTTGAAGAAGAGGGCTAAGAAAATGTTATTTATGCTATCTGTTATTATCTGAAAGTATGTCAATAGTATGTGCTTCAAAAGAACTGACGGGAAATGTTTATCAGGCGACAATGAAGCCAAATAGATTGTTTATGACAACATGCGGAATATATTTCTTGGCAAGGTTTTGAAGTATAGACATGAGGGTCATTCTCATGGCTGCTTTGGATGACATTCATCATTGCTGAATATCTAGATTTTAAAGTACAACATATTTTTGTATAGAGAGAATTGCTAGGTAGTGTATATTGTGTTTATATTAGCCTTGATGGCACATTCATGTAGAAATGTAGAAATCTATGTTATTATTTTAATATGTGGTCATTTGCCTGCAATTTACTGTTGCTTGTGCCCTATTTTTCGTGTTTATAAGGGCTTATTTAATGCTACAACCAGATAGGCTTATTTGGATATCTTAACTCCGTTTATTCGTCTACAGATCTGTGACTTAAAAGATTAGCATTCATTGACTAGTACTTTTCAGACATCAAACCTGCTGTTAATTAGTCAGGTCATATCATATGGAAGTATAAAAAAATTATATATTTGAGATATGGTCTATTTGAATATTTTTAGTCCATTACTAAGTTTTTGTTGTAATTTAATTTTGAAAAAAGCATATACAAAATTTCAAAGAAGGCAAACAAGGTAGCAAATCTGATTAGTAAATATTGAGAATCATGATTTTCACATACGTGTATGTGCATATATATATATTTAACAGTAATTTTTTAAATATCTATTTTCTGTTTTAATTTCTATGTTATTGTCTAATGTAGAAAACAGGCCTTTGGATAGTCTATTCAAGAGCTGGATGAGCCACTGAAAAGTGGGTCAACTGTGGAAAGCAGCCCTGAATTTATTCATTTTTGGATCAAAGACTCTTATGGAAGTGCTTTTAAAAAACATGGACAGTGATAATTAATGATAACTTATTAATCATTCCAGAGAGATTGCTGCGACATTATTCTAAAAAAATACATAACTGTAGAGCCAGTAGGTGATTTATTGAATGTCATAGTCTGATATTGGCAACAGGGCTGCAAAATGAGTCCAGTTCCTGACTATGAGTCATGGAGTCATCCAACTTCCTGTGCACCATTCATTACAACAAAAATTCTTTAAGAAATCTTAGCCACCTGCCCATGGGAGCAGAAATACATGGGGTTTTGAAGTCCTTGATTTATACAGTATAAAACAAGGACTTCAAAATCCCATAGATGTCTAACATGACTTAGAAATACAAGATTTCTAAGTCATATATTTCTAATGTGACAGAAATCTTAAGAAATACTGAACTTCATGTTGTTTTTCTTTAACTCTGCACAATAGAAATGCTCAAATTGGTAAAAAAAGAAAAATATTCTATTCATGAGTCTTCTCCTAGATGAAATGAAGGATCCAAAGAATAAGGAGGCTCTGGCCTCATGGCCATTATAACTTAAGGAGATCAGACAGAAACAACAAAAGTGGAGTGTAATTAGTATATGCCATATCCTAGATGTATAAAAAGGGCTGTAGGGATGAATTTTACCTGGGGAGATCAGGAAAGTTTTCTTAGCAAAAGTGTGAATAATCTGAGGATTAAAGCGTGGAAACAAACAATAGGGAAGGAGGTCCTAGACAGAAAGAAGCTACTAAGTAGAGATGTTAAAAGGATGGTGTTTGCTCAGGAAGGAGTAGGGAGTTGGTTGAGCTAAAAGCTTAAGTGTGTGAGGAGGGTGTAATGGACTGGATGTGTGCATCCCAAACTTCCTGGCAAGGCTCTGATAGCCAGGTACAGTTTATGCAACTGTGCCTGTCTCTAAGGCTTAGAGGGAGTGGATTGGTGTCTGTTAAACTGTTTCCTCAGAAGACACAGAAAACATAGAAATCATTGAGTCTGCCCTGAAAATAGGCAGGATTCAGGAAAGTAAGCTAGCGCATATGTTCATGAATACAGCATAATCAGTATTGACTCTCATAATTCCTTTACAAAATATTCTTTAATTCTTAGGTGTTGTCCAAATGATTTTATGCAAAATGGAGGTTTGTGCTTAAAAAGCCTTCTTTCCTTAATAAGCCTTAGTGAGATTTGAGTCTTTTTTTTTTTTAGCCAAAGCAGGGCAGTTGATTTAGGACAAGTTACATTACTCCCTTATTCTTATTTTAAAAGAAAATTTCCATTGATTATTTGCCTATGGTTAAGTTATTCATTATTTCTACCATATGTCACTTATTCTCTGCCTTCAACTTAAGGTATTAGGAGCTTTTACTTTGGGGAGATCAATTTTGGCTATTAAATTGGACTCCTTGCTTCTTCCTCCTGGGTCTTAGCCATCAGGTAATTTTGGGTACAGGATAATAGGTGCCATTTTGGCTACAACTCACCCAGCATTATGAATGGTTTTCTGGCTGAATAATTTTAACCAGAGCCTCCACTCTTAAGTATAAAGGATGTTGGTGTCATTGACACATAATCATCCTTTTTCTTTCTATGTACAACCCAATTTCAATAGAGTGTTTGTCTCTCTGTATATATGTACTTTGTACTATTCCCTTTGTGGATTATCTACACCAATATTTTGAAACCTGACTATCCCTCTCACCCAGAATACTCACTCCCAGAGCAGCTTCTCTCAGTTTTAATAGGAAAGTGTGGAATAAATTTACTATTTGTAATTCAGCATAGCGTTATTGAAGGTTACTATGTGCCAGGAACTCTGCAAAGACTTAAAGAGAGACACAAAGATAGTTTTCAGCCAGGGTGGGAATTATCTATTATCTATACTGATAGTTAATGTCTTACCCGTTCGCCCTGGGGATTTCATCCACTCCAGCCACTATTTAGCCACCTTGTAACTCACTCCTGGAATGTAGACTTCCCCATGGTCCAGCAACTAAAGGGCTAATAAGGGGCTCACAGCAGTAGGACTCCAGGTCCCACCCCTACAGCAACTAGGCCTAGGCCAGCCCTCAGCTCCAGTGGGCCCACGCCCAAGCCAATGTCTCCCTGGGCACACAAACAGATGGAACATGCTCTCTGACCTTTAATTGCCAATATTCTTGGAGGGGAAACAAATATACAATTGCCAAACGATGTGCTTTAAATATTTGTACAGTTCTATTATCTATCTATCTGTCTATGCATCTATCAGTCAATCATCTATCTGAAGAGAATGAGAAAAAGACGAGAAAAATTACATTTAAAACATATAACCATCTTAGAAAGTTAATGATAAATGACACTGTTTTGTTTCTATCTATAGGCATAATTAAAAATAGATGTTCTCAACAACACCACATGGATATTTTTAAAATAAATAATAAAATATCACTCAGCTCTTTTTCAATACAGTAAAACACAGTTTTAGCCTATCTACTTACATTCAGGTAACATATATTCACAATTAAATTATGTCTTCTCAAATTGGTACATGCTAGATATTACAAAATGAAGGCACCTTGAGCTCAGACACAGGTTCATTCATTTTAGCTTTCTTAAGGAGCCCATTCTCCATCTTTGGAAGATGCTGCCCAAATTACTGAATTGAATTAGCTTATAAATTGTTAAGTCCTTGGACAGCAGTGATATATAAAGATTCGTTCTCGATATTTTTGGTACTCAAACTAAATGTAAAGTGTCCAAGATATCTGCTATTTCTAATACTTTGACAATAAATCACATGTATTTGCAGAACAGGATTTTACTACAAAACTTGTGTTAACCAAAGATAAAACAACATTAACCATTAATAATTTTTTTCATTACACTGTCCTGTTATGAAAAAAATATATTTTAAAAATCAGCTGGTTTCAGGCATTAAGGACAAAATAAAATTCCTAAGGACCCAAAGATCGGGAGAGTTTCAGACTCAACTGCTGCAGCATGAATTCCATCGTTACAGTTAGAATTGCTACTTAACAGGTAGTTAAATCCCAATTAATCTTAAGATTTAATTAGTTTTTGAGTAGAGCAGGAATGCAGGATTTTTCCCTTCATCTGCCATTAACTAGGATATTAATGTAACCTAGAACTTTTATTCTCTGATGTTCTGGATGTTCAAGGTTTAATATCTTATTATCAAAATATGCAGTACATTTATGTAAAATTTAAGAGTCTAAGCATTTTCACACATATCATCTAACTCTATTTAAATCTCATAATTACAATTACCTTACGATATAGGTTTTGTTAGTACTGTTTTACAGATGGAATCAACAAAAGCCCAGGAATATTAGTGGGCTTGCCAATGTCTTAAGAACTAGAACTGGAATCCAAGTCTGCTGATTTTTCATGACTTTGGGGGTGAGCGGGAGATCACATTTGTTGCAGTTACCACACAAGAGCAAATGTCACTTTACGTAATTTTTTTTTTACCAAATTTCTCCAAGGTTAAAATTTTTATGAAGGCCTTCTTTTAGGAATGTATACAAAAACTCTCCTAAACATTTTATCTACTATAGGAATAAATAGATAATAAGCAATGAGCTATTATTTAATGCAATAAGAGCACAGAAATACCTTATTTTTACATTTATAAGATTCTGGATTATTTTGTAGGTCACTTCAGGAAGCTTTCTGCAATACCAGCCAACTGTTCACAATGTGTTTAAACCACACAACTCTATCACAAGTCTTCCTAAATACAGAAAATACAATTGTATCTTCCATCAGTCAGCAGTCAAAAATCAGCATAATTAGGCTGGGTGTGGTGGCTCACGCCTGTAGTTCCAGTTACTCGGAAGGTTGAGGCAGGAGAATCGCTTGACCTGGGAGGCGGAGGTTGCAGTGAGCCGAGATCGTGCCGCTGCACTACAACCTGGGCAACAGTGAGACTCTGTCTCAAAAAAAAAAAAAAAGAAAAGAAAAGAAAAGAAAAGAAAAATATATCAGCATAATTTTGCATCATTAGAGGAAATGAAACAACAACCAGGTCCTGATAGAATGTTTAGGAGCCCCAAATGAATGCTTATAATAACTCAAAGGAGGAGCTTTTCTTTTTATTCAGAAATATTACACTGGCCAAGATGTTGGTAGAAAGGTAATTCACTCAGTTCCACTAACACTTAGTGAGCAACTATAGTACAGTGGACATTGTGTCCCAGAGGCTCAAAGATGAAGTAGAAAACAGATCTAAACATTTGTTTAGTACCTCAAAGCCCTATGCTAAAAAAGCTAATTTTTGTTGTTATTCAAACTTTTGTGTATAGTGTGATTTCCCAATATTGGGTGTAGAAAAATGTCACCGATTATTGATATGACTTCAATGATTTTTTTTTTTTTTTTTTGAGATGGAGTTTCACTCTTGTCACCTAGGCTGGAGTGCAATGGTGCGACGATCTCAGCTCATTGCAACCTCTGCCTCCCAGGTTCAAGTGATTCTCCTGCCTCAGCCTGCCAGGTAGCTAGGATTACAGATGCCTGCCACCACGCCTAGCTAAATTTTGTATTTTTAGTAGAGACGGGGTTTCATTATGTTGGCCAGGCTGGCCTCAAACTCCTGTCCTCAGGTGATCCACCTGCCTCGGCCTCCCAAAGTGCTGGGATTACAGGTGTGAGCCACCACCCTCAGCTGACTTCAATGATTTAATATTAAAATCTTGGTTACACTTTCTACAAAAGAATTCTTTTTACCTCTAACACTTCAATATTTTAATAATTAATGAAATGGACAATTTTTTTTTTTTTAGTTTTTAAAAGGAAAACACATTAGCTGTTTGACAATTTCCTGAGATTTTTTTGGACAGGTATTTTTAAAGTTTTATTCCTTTTTTTTCCAAATTTTCTAGTTCTTTGAAAACAATAACAAATATCATTAAGGGTGTGTGTGTGTGTATGTGCATGTGTGTGCGTGTATGCGTATGTGTGTGTGTGTATGTTTGTAGCATATAATTCAGTGGTTGTAATTCCAAAGTGAGTGAGATCATGTCCTGTTTTTCTCCTGGCCTAGAGGTGCCTTTCATAGCCTTTCATTTCCATATTGACTCTACTGCAGACCTAGCTGCAGGTTCAATCAGTGAAATAAAATTACATTACAATTATTTCTACTTAAGAAATATGACAGCTAGAATTTTTATGTTAATTAATCTTTTTTTAATTATTGTGTGACTATGTGTCATAAATTTTCTTGTAATCCAGTTTTGGTACATACTATAAATTATTTTCATTTATTCCAGCGTTAACCTGACTTGCAAATGGTTAAATGTGCACTGAGTCTTTCATGCTCTAAATCCTGGTATGCTCTATATTAACATCAGAAGAAATGGTTTTGATAATCAGAAATAATTGTACTAGCAGGAATAAACCACAATTCACTGAATTCATGGTCAGATTATATTTTTGTTATCATGTTAGATTCTACGTAAGTAAATTAGTACATATTAAACATGATGCACAGTAATTCACAAACATACTGATATTTTCCTCAGACTCGGACTAAAGAACAAACAGGTCGCTGCCATTCTTGTTGTGCATCCCACAGCCAAATGAGGAAGCTCCTGCTTCCTCACCTGCATACCCAGTTAAGCACCATCTGTTTCCTGTTTTAATGTGATATCTCACATAGTTTTTCCAAAGCTTTCACATCAGTAAACACAATCCTAATAGACAGTTAATATGAATTAAGAAGCATGTTTTCACTAAAGCTGTGTTCTACCTTTCTCTCTTATTTTCTAAAATGTGTAACACTATGCTGGCAGCTCCAAACCCATTTCCATAGCATGAAATTCCCAAGATTCATACAGGTCATTTTGAGTGTATTGATGAGATGCTATATTCAGATGCTGGGTGATGGGTAGCATAGAGGCATATGTGCCTAATAAGGAATTTAACATTTTAATTTTGTGTGGAAGGAACTATCTGTTATCTCATCTTGCCAGCTTTTCTAATAGTTTAATTCTTCCTGGCACTCCCATCCCAGTCTCTTACCATATGGAATTATCAAAATTTTGAGTATCTGAGCAACCAGGTCAATAGTACATTTACTTTCTGCACCCTTTTTACTGGTTGTTACTGTTTTCATTCTTGACCTGACTGGCTGAAGCCAAATCAATCAGGTAATACAGACTTCGCTTTCCTATAGTTCCAGAGAACAAATCTGTTTTCTATTGGAAAACTGTTTTGGGTCCTATGAAATAAATCAACAAAATGTTGTGCAAAAGACTCTCAGCTTTACTTGGATTCCAAACATCTTCTTGCCTTCCATTCTCAGAAGGATATGCTATTGATGTTTTTTTATTGAGTTTCCTTAGCCAAAAAGTCCACCAGTTAAATCATGAATGTCAAACATGTTGTTATTATGGAGGAAGTGTAGTTCTCAAACTTCAGCGCTAAAAGCACCCAAAATGTTTGTTAAAACACAGAATGTTGGGTCCTATCCCCAGAGTTTCTGATTCAGTAGTTCTATTATGCAGCCCAATAATTTGTATTTGTAACAAGTTACCAGGGAATGCTGATGCTACTGGTTCCAGGACCACACATTGAGAACCGCTAGTGATTATGTAGAGCTTGGAGGATGGAGCTGGATTTACCTGTCCTTTAGTCCTGGCTCTGTCCCTTAACAGCTGTGTGACCTTGGGAAAGTTATTAACCTCTCAAAACCTCAGTTTGCTCAGCTGTAAAATGAAGGTAATACCCAACTCATAGGGTTGTGGTGAGATTAAATAAGATGATGCATGCAAAATGCTAAGCCCAGTGCCTGACAAAAATAGCTATTCAATAAACGTCAGCATCTTGCTCTTGATCTGTTTAGGAAACAGAATGCAATGTGGGCCATTTCTGTATTTCTATATTACATTCTACTGCGATCTAAGGGAGGGAGAGAAAGCACAGACAAGTAATGCAAGAATATATAAAAATAGACTCTCCAAGAGTTAAAACAAGTTATTCCTTTGAGAACATGTGGCTCAAAAAGTAGTTGTTTTGTATCCTTGCCACTGGAATCCCATCCCAGGATTTTTTTTCCATACCCAATATTAGATTTTATGTTGATTTTACTCTGCTGCTTGGTTTTGGAAATCTCTAGACATGAATTAATGTGTGTTTATTAAATCCAAACCATCTTCAGATTCACTCAGTAAATTATATTAGTTGCAAATTTGAAAATATAAAAATAATGAGTGTTCATATATATACACTATTGTAGTAGTATTGATATTAATTTATACCAGTAATTTTTTCTCAATAACATCGAAACTCTTCATTAGCATGAATAATCAAAATTTCTGTGTCATTCTAAAATAAACTTGTGGGACTAGAAGAAATCTTTATTTTTTGATTGACAGAAGAAATCTTATTGATTGATTTTCTAATATAAACTCTGAATAAGTCGCATGCCTCATAAAAACACAGATGCTTTTACCAAAGTGCTTGTAACTAAAACATGTCTTATTTTCCATTACCAAATCCATTTTAATGAGAACAAGCATTTTCATCCCCATTTTGCAGGTGAGGCCACTGAGGTATAATGTAAATGTTGTGTCAGATGATACAAATAATTAGAGCAAAAGATAGAAGTGAAACCAAAATTTCTTAAATCCAAGCAAATTTTCCACTAGAATTATTATTTCTTGTGTATCAAACTATTCGTTCAGTCACTTACCCACCATTTTCACCGAGTGCCCCACTATGTGCCAGCACAGGCATCAGATGTAATGCTAGCATCCCATTCATGTGACATCAAGAATTATTTATTCAAGCAAGTCATTTTTATTTTTCACTAGTTATTTGTGTAATGGTTGATTTTATGCAATGCTGGCATCCCATTGGTTTGAAATCAAGAATTATTTCTTCAAGCGAGTCATTTTCATTTTTCATTAGTTATTTGTGTAATGGTTGATTTTAGGTGTCAACTTGGCTGGATTAAGGGATACTCAGATAGCTGGTAAAGCATTATTGCTGGGTATATCTGTGAGATATTATTTCCAGAAGAGACTGGCATTTGAATCAGTGAACGGAGTAGGGAAAATCCATCCTCACCCAGTGTGGGCAGGCACCATCCATTTGCCTGAGGTCCCAGATAGAACCCCGCAAAAGCAGAGGAAAGGCAATTTTGTTTTCAAATTTGTACTCGCTTTCTGTCTGTCTCTCTCTCCCCTCTCTCTCTTCTCTCTCTCTTTCTCTCTCCCTCTCTCCCTCTCCCTGTTTCTCTGTCTCTTGGAACTACTGGGATGCCCTTCTTCTCCTGCCCTTGAATATCTCAACTCCAGGTTCTCCAGCCTTTGTATTCTGGGGATTGCACTAGTGGCCCTCTGAGTTCTGAGGCCTTCTGCCTGGGACTTACAATTATACCATTTGCTCCCCTGGTTCTGAGGCCTTTAGACTCAATCATTGGACTGAATCATGCTGCCAGAATCCCAGAGTTTCCAGCTTGCAGATGGCCTGTCCTGGAACTTCTCCTTCTCCCTAATCACACGAGCCATTTCCCCTAATAAATTCCCTTTCATATATCTATATCTACTATCTATTAATTTATCTATATGTCTGTCTCATTGGTTCCGTTTTTCTGGAGAATCCTAACACACATAATATGTATCACGTATAAACTGTGCTTCCAAGTTAAATTTTGCAACCATAACTGAAACTAGAATCACCTCCAAAAATAAAATCTACTGAAAACCCTACTTCGAAATCTATTGTATGACCCTTCCTGAAAATAAACTGAATGTTTATTTCATCAAAGCCTATACCCTAAAGTAAGAATATTTGCAAATTTAAGACTTAAAGTGAGTCTTCCAGGCCAGGTATGGTGGCTCATGCCTGTAATCCCAGCACTTTAGGAGGCTGAGATGGGCAAATCACTTGCGTCCAGGAGTTCAAGACCAGCCTGGGCAACATGGTGAAAACCCTTCTCTACAAAGATACAAAAATTATCCTAGCACAGTGGCCTCAGCCTGAGATCCCAACTACTTGGGAGGCTGAGGTGGGAGGATCGCTTAAGCCTGGGAGGCAGAGGTTGCAGTGAGCCTAGCTCTTGGCACTGCATTCCAGCCTGTGCAACAGAGTGAGACCCTATCTCAAAACAAAAACAAACACAAACAAACAAAAAAGTGAGTCTTCTGATATTTATATGCAGTTATTTCTTGAATTTTAAAATGTTGGCACTGGGCTTGCTAATCGCTGAGATTCCTTACATTTCTAATATTTCGTTCTGGGATTCTAAAATATTTAGGAAATAAATATGTATTGTGTTGGTTTGCCACATATTTTGACCTCAGTAAATGTTCATATTTATTATAAGCTTTGTATTTCATAATTTTTCTTTTTAGAAAATTATTTTCAAAGGAATTGATACCACAATCTCCATAGCACTAAAATTCCAGTATGGAGCTCTTATTTTGAGAATGTCATATAAACTGTCACATGGTATGATACCTTTCATGTCTGGCTTCTTTTACTTAGCAAAATAATTTTGATATTCATTCATATTGTTGCAGTATTAGTAATTTGTTGCTTTTTATTGCTGAGTAGTATTCTATTGTATGGCTGTTCATAATATTCACCATATTTTATCCAAATATGGAATATTTTATATGTGCCCAAATATTCATCATATTTTGTCTAAATATGATGGACATATGGGTTGTTTCCAGTTTGAGACTATTGTGAAAATGCTTCTATGAATATTTGCATAGACATCTTTGTGTGGACATACGTTTTCTTTTGTCAGTAGTAAACATCTAGGAGTAGAATTATTGGGTCATATGGTAAGTAAATGTTTAACTTTAAAAGGGATTTTTCTGAAGTAGCTGTATCATTTGTATTCCCACCAGCAATAGATGAGAGATAAGAATAAGGAACACTATTTGATGTTATCACATTGTATTTCTATTCATATAATCATATATATTTATCAGATATTTAATCATATTGAATATCAATAGATAGCATTCATCATATTATCAAACCATAGGAATATATTCTATATTATTTACTTTATGCAAAATGTTGTGATTCATTTTTAGTTGTCCTTTCCTTTGCCTACCTGTAGAGGTATTTTTTTCTAATTATCACTCTGCCCTCACAACCAGAGTACATGTTTGTAGTAACAAAATATCTTGCTACCACAATGAGCTAAAGGTAAAGTATGATTGAAAAAATGTTTTCTATGTCAAGGATGGCAGAAAAAGAGTGGACCAAGGAAGTTTATACCAAACAGCCAGTAGAAAGAAGAATGGGAATGTCTCTTTCCTAAAGTCACAAAGTGTGTGATGTGGAGAGCACAGTGTCCTGGCCAAGGTTGGGCCAGAGTCCTCTACATTAATGAGTCATCAGAACTAGAGGACTGAAGTGGGCTGGGAGCAGTGGCTCACGCCTGTAATCCCAGCACTTTGGGAAGCCAAGGCAGGCAGATCATTTGAGGTCAGGATTTCAAGACTGGCCTGGCCAACATGGTGAAACCCTGTCTCTACTAAAAATACAAAAATTACCTAGGTGTGGTGGTGGTGCGCGCCTGTAGTCCCAGCTACTCAGGAAGCTGAGTCATGAGAATTGCTTAAACCCAGGAGACGGAGGTTGCAGTGAGCTGAGATCGTGCCAGTGCACTCCAGCTTTGGTGACAGAGTGAGATCTTGTCTCCAAAAAAAAAGAAAAAAAAGGCCTTAATTGAAAATTAGAAACCAGCTTTTAAGGTGAAGCAGGAGTTAAAGAGCCAGAGGGCAATGATGACAAGGAGTATTGGGAGTGGGTGCATAGAATGGCAAAGGCTGGGCAAATTCTGGAAATAAAAGAGGCTGACACCCTCAGTTCAGTTTCTATGCATTCTTTGCATGCATGTGATGGTAAGTCTAGGTGATTCAAAGAGGGCAGGTGGACACTTGAAGACAATAGGTATTTCCAACATTTAAAGACATAAGAGCATATTTCCCACTCAAAGGTATATTATATGTATTAATTTAGCTCACAATTGAGTCTAACCAACCACCTAAATCCCTATATCTACACAAATCAGGCATTTCTTATTCATCACTGTCAACCTATAAATCTCATAGAGATAAAGCCTGATGCTTTATGAAAAAATGGTTCCTATAAGAAATTTGGGTCACAGTGGTTTTTAAGAATTTGGCAATTCTAGGTTTCAGGAGATATTCCTTATTCTTGTTAAGAATCTCCTTTTGTCAGCAATTCCTCTACTTTGTCATATATTAATTACAAAATCCAACTTCTGGATGGCTACTCTAGAAACAAGGCTGATATGCCCTGGGAATAGAAAGCAGCAAGGATGGAAGAGGAGATGAGAGATATGTTGATGACTGTGTACTGAGAAAGCACCCCTTTGATTTCTGTAAAGTGACCACTTACCCCCCACCTATGACTCAGATTTTTACTGTGCTCAAGGTTAGAGACAGAAGAAAACAGAGTTTTGTGACTAAACATCACTGGGCTGGTTGGATCCATCCACCTGGCTCTAATCATCCAATTCATGCACCTGTGCTTCCCTCATTTATTCCTTATGCTTGATTTAGTTTCTGTATAAGAACCTGATTTCTCTAAACTGGGGTTCTTTACTGACACTTTTTCCAGAGGATAACAGGGAGAATAGTATAACCTCTGTGGCTGGATCCCACATACTTTCCGCCTGTGGGATCTTCATGGGCTGCCATTTTGCCTTTCTAGGCCCAGCTGACTCTCCTAAGGCCATGTTTCTCTGAAATTCTAATCCACAAGAGTCTCTGATTACTCCTCTCTGTTCTTGGGGTTTCCCAAATAGTCTTCTCCATCCAGCTGCTGCTGCAGATGGGCTTCTATTACCTTCTATTGGTCAGTTGTAGCAGATCTGCCTATTTTTCTGGTCTCAGCCATCCCTTTCTTGTTTCAATGCCAATTAAGCCATGATACTAAGAAAAGGGAGAATGGGTATGACTGTGTCTATGTATGAAGGTGCATACGTGTTTAGGGAGGGAGAATGGAGGCTTGAGATAAGTGAGGGAGAGGAGTGGCATAGTAGAAGATACCATTTGAGAGACAGTCAGAAAAAGACTGGGAGGAGGAAAGAGAGGAGAAGAGCCTTTGATAGTATACAGCAGATCCTCAACAAATGATAAAGCAAAACAATAAAAAGCAATAGAAAGAAGCAAAACAGACCTTAGGAAAAATAGTGGACAAAGAATTGGAAGAAATAAGGATAAAAAGAACTGGAGCCTAACAATATAGAAAACAGAGTAAGTGATGTGAATGACAGACACCAAACTATAGAGGAGGGCTCTGGAAGGCTATATTTACTAAATTAATACTTGAAATTAATTTAATTATTTTTCTGTCACCAATTTACATAATTCTGTTTCAAATGATATTTCTGTTCTTTACTAGAACATAAGCTGAATTCTGTTAGTGTTGTCGACTCTACGCACTTATAAATACCCCTTAGCTGAAGTCAAAGGAAAGAAATCATTTCTTTCTGATGTCTAATTTATCTGCTTTTCAATATTTCTGTGAGACGGCCTGATTTTGGGAGGAGACAAAAATATATAAAATAAAACTGTTCTTTTGTTTTAAAAAAAGAAAAGTAATGACATTTTCTACTTAGTTTGAAAGCTAGAAAATGTTTCACTCCACTTTTTCTTTGGGGTGATATCTTATTAAAAGAAAGAAACTACAGGGTAAAAAGAGTTGTTCTACCATGTGCCTGGTCTTAGAAACAGTTCCCGTAAGTTCTACCTACTGGAACAAAGCAGCCTTTCTAGAGGCCCAGTTCTTAACTTCAGAACATGCAAAGGCAAGGCCTGAAGGAACAAAGGTGACTGATGTCATGAGACATTTCCTATATCCTTTCAATCCCTGACATACATTCCAGGTAGAAAACAAATTAATTCTAGTTCGAACTTCTCCCCATTGAAAGTCCCATCTGGTGTGTATAAGTCACACTGCATCTTGCTGACTAACACATCATCTCGAATAATAAAGATCCTGGAGTAAGACTTTAGCTGCCAATTTTCTTCAAAGGTGCAAGGTAGGCAAGAAGAGAGCCCTTCCTCAGCTGAGCTATACTGGCCCCACCAAGGTGATTTTGTCAATCAGCTGCATCCTGCTAGCATTGCATGTGCCACAGGAGGGATTTCAATCTGCCATTTCTAATTACACCCCCCGACTGTGGTAATACTTAAAGAGGAGGAAGAGTGTAGTTCATTGGGAGTTTTGTTTCTAGCCCTAATGAAGCTGGAGCAAGTTGGCGACAATGGGCTATAAATTGAAGACCTTTCCCTATAAATGATCATAGTGTCCCCATTTAGTTAGCATCTTTCAGTCAAAGATCTTCACATTATGCACAGTTCTCATCACATTTCTCTGAGGAAGGCGATGTGAAAGAGTCAAGCATATGAAAATCTGATAGTGATTCAAGAGTTGAGGTTCCTAATTGAGCCCTTAGAGGCATTTACATTTCCAAGGTTTTTTCCTGGTCCTGAAGGAAAAATGTGAAAAACATGGGTTAGAAACTGGAGGAAGGGTGGCAGAGAAGTTTTGCTTGGAAGCAAAAAGGAATTGGGATGAAAAGAAAGAATGGGTGTATTCTGTGGAGGATGTTAGTGCATGCTTTCTGCTTCTCCCCCTCTCCTTTCCACCAACTGAAATGTAGATGTAATGGCAGGGACTGCAGCAGCCATCTTAAAACACAAGGCGAAAGCCATGTGCTGACAATGGCTAAGCAACAAGAGACAGAAGCCTGTTTTTGCACAAACGTATCAGCCCTCAACTGATTATGCTCAGCTTATTGCATGAAAGAGGAATTAACCTAATCTTGTTTAAATCAGGCTATTTGGGGGTTCCTTTGTAACAGAAACTTAATTGTCCTAAGTAATATAAAATCTATTCCTGGCAGACAATCATTTTTTGAGGTCCCAATTCTGCTTCTCTGAAACATGTATTTTTGTCCCACTTTTTTTTTTTTTTTTTTTTTTTATTTGAGACAGAGTTTCACTCTTGTTGCCCAGGCTGGAGTGCAATGGCACGATCTTGGCTCACCTCAACCTCCACCTTCTGGGTTCAATTGATTCTCCTGCCTCAGCCTCCCAAGTAGCTGGGATTACAGGCATGTGCCACCACACCCAGCTAATTTTTTATATTTTTAGTAGAGACGCAGTTTCTCCATGTTGGTCAGTTGTCATTCCAATTGCCTTGCCTATTTTGGCCCGTCCCTTCTTTATGGTCACATGCTTCTTAGATGTCAGCTTCTCAGCAAGGCTTTCCCTGGCTCCCAGGAAGAGTGTGGTAAATGTACCACATAACCATGAGAGTAGGGGTGAGATTGTAATTCTAGCTTTGCATGGGTATCGCTACCCCTGCATTCACTGTGTGCAAGCATCTGGCCCCTGGTAGGCACTAGTTAAACATGAACTCTTATTAAATAAATGATTTCTCCAAGCCACCATGAACTTATTTTTCCTTAAATTTTCATTTATTCCAATTTTATCTACCACAAAATTTAGCACTTGATTAATTTCCATGTTTTAAGACTTTTCAAAAGTTTTGGTTGTTTATTTATATACCCCAGAGTTTTCAGTAACAGGCAACCAGCAGTCATGGGCCATCTTGCCTCGAAAGACCACAATTAAGGATTGTTCTCCATAAATCTCTATTTCACAGTCACCATAAAATGGAAAACAATTTCATTTTAAAAGCCTGCTTTATATGTAGCATTGGTTGTCTTTGTTACAATGCATTCACTCACTGAAGAAATTGTGAATTTATTTATTGAGCACTATTATATACTAGGCACTGTTCTAGGTGCTTAGGATTCATTTGAGAACAAAATGAAACTTTGCTGTCATGGAACTTTTTCCCCTAGACAGAAACAGCTTTTTAAACTCAACTTCTTTTATTAAAAACAGACACTTTTCAAATGAACAATTTTAAACACCAGGCAATAGGATTCAGTATCTTTGCACGCTATCAATTTCATAAATTCTACATTTGGTTTATAAGCAGTAGGAAAGCATGATGTAAAATGTAAAGCTTTGTCTAGCCCTAAGGGCTCATCTTGTAAACGATTAAATGTATGAGTTGACAAGGAACATCAATTAAAAATAGATGACAGACTGGCAAACACAGTAAGAGTACTTCTCACTTTGGGCCCCATCACCTGGAAAAGGTGTATTTCAGTTGGTTAATTACAAAAAAAAAAATCCCATGAATGTGGATTTAGAATGAAGACATATGTGTAACTTCTAGTTTGTCCTAATATCTACTCTCCTTTAAGAATATGGTTTAAGTCCCCTTCTAATATGCCAAACAAGGCCAACCATTATTCACTTTATTATTCTTATAAAATAACTATAAATTACATTTAAAAATAATTTCAAGAAAATTGCATAAATTAAGCTATTTTAGCATAATTTAGCTACTGCTAACACATTAATGGGTTAACCTGAAATTTTGAAACAGAGGTAAAATAATTTATCAGCAAAAAATTCTGTATTTTTAAAGAAATAAATGATAGGCAATTTTAAGCTTCCTCTGGTATTTTACAAATAAATACATCTAGAAAGATTAATAATGTAATGTTTTTAAATGACAAAGATGTGGAAATTTTTTTATAAGCATGGTCGTTGATATGAGTAACTAAATATCAATGTCCTCTAGAAACATTTTTCCATGGAACAAATCACTTTTTTTCCGGCAGAATACTTCTTGATGCTTAATGAAAGTGTTTCCCAATAGATATCCATCTTTGAGATCAGATTTTATTTCTCTGCCTGATTTCCAAAAATACAGTCTGATTTCATGAGGATATAGGCCAATGGACCAGTAAATGACTGTTGTAGTATGTATCAAAAATGGTCACAACTTATGATGCAAAATCTGCCTCGTACTTCTTTCTTTCCATCTGAGAGTTGTAATTCCAACACCATGCCATGTACATGGATTGAGTGCAGAGATCAGCCCCAGGCAGGTTTAAATAAAACATTGACATTTTGAAAAATGATCCAAGTGTTTCCTTTTCTCACCTTCTGTGTTTTTTTTTTTTTTTCACTTTGCTATTTCAGGTAGTATCAAACAGTGTGTGTGTGTGTGTGTGTGTGTGTGTGTGTGTTTTGTTTGTTTTTTTACTGTGTCTCCAATCTCTAATCATTGAGTAGATTTCATATTCTCCAGAGTATAATAGTGCAATGGCAATTTGTAAACCGTGAAAGATAAAGTTGTAGAATTGGGAGAAGTTGGTTTTTATTTCATCATATTGTCTTCTTTCCTTAAAAACTGAACCTGAAAAACTAATTCTGTGCTCATGGGCGGAAGCTCTCTCTCTCTCATACATATATATATATATATATATATATATATATATACACATATATATATATATATATAAACACACACACACATATATATAATATATGTATGTATGTATGTAATAGTCACCCCATATATAATGCATCAGCCATTATTGAAGGTAATTTCAAGACATACAATTGAAGACAATTATTTCCTTTTATTCCAACTTTCTAATTTTATTAGGATTTTATTATGAATGTTTTGATAGTACATACATATTTTACAGCACACCTCGTTGTTCTTAAGAGATAAGCAAATTTACTGTGACACTGTATTAGCAGGGACTGTGTCCTTGTCAAGGAACTGGTAGATGGGGTAGCATATTCCAAGAGACTACAGCCACTGCCTCTGACCTGAAAACAGATATATTGGATTTAGTTTGTTGGACATAAGTTAATTATCAAGTTTCATTATATAAATTGTCTTCACAGAGAAAAGGCAGTAGGATGGCTCATTACTGCAGAATCCCTTGCTCGACTTCACTGAAGCCCTTGCTCTCTAATGCCAAGAGCCACAGCCTCTGATGGAGACTTTAATTCATGGTGATACTGCAATACAGTTCATTTCAGGATCTCTATTGTTGTGTCCCTGAGGGTTCATTCTTCTCAGTAATGGGAATGGCTCTGCTCTATAGGAGGTTAAACATACAGAACCCTAGTGGCTTGCATGATTACTGACTTCAGAATAGTCCCTGGCACACAGATGATGTGAAAGAAGCTGTTTTTTTTGGTTTTTGTTTTTTTTTTTTTTTTTTTGGTTTTTGTTTTCCCCTGGCCTGGCAAGCAATACCACCTAATGTAGAGTTTTCTCAAAAGTCCTTTATGAGATGAAAGCTAAAAGTACACATATACATGCATATATGCAACTGGGATAAAAATATATATACAAAAGATTCCAGGCTTATTTCACACTGAAGGAATCAAATCAGTACAGCTAATCATCAAGTTCCTCTGTAAGTATTCCTTCAGGAGGGGATTTTCACATAGAAGTTTCATACTTGTTTGTTTAAAGCCTTAGTATAAATTTGCAGGTGATGAGAGCAACCTTCACTCTGATAAAAGAACAGGCCAAGCTACTGATTGGAGAAAATTACATGAAGTTTTTTAATCAAAGTCTCTGTGGTCGACTGTCTGATTTTCTAGGCCAGATGTCAAATGTTTTTCACTGATGTCAATGTTGAAGTAATCACTAAACCAATTCCAAGAATGAGTAAGTGAGATGGCAATAATGTTTCATTTCAGTACTACATAAGGTCTCTTTCCCAGCCATGTACAAAGTAACAGGACCTCTCCGATGCCATATAATTACATAAACGATTACTTTGAATTTTTATATAGTTTTATTTCTTCAGAGTATGTGACTTTCTTATGAATGTGGGAATATGGCATGTATCTGGATGCTTTCAGCAAAATGTGAAACAAACTGCACTTACCAATTTGTTTATATTTTCAAGATTCACATTTAATTTAAAATGCAATTACACGTTTATTGTTTAATCTATTTTATGCGGTTTTTCTTTTCTGTGACAATAGTAACCAGTTATTTCTCAGATCCTAGAGCTTGCTAGAAAAGCACATTTTCTGTTGTTTGATATGCTGGGGCAATGAGTAGTTAATCTGATATATGCAGGTTTGGGGGACGGGGGGTTGTTATGTTTTATTTTTTGGATCAGTAAAGCAATCGGGATGAGACAGAAATTAGACTAAAGTAAGATGCTGAAGTTTTGATTCAGAGTTTTAGTCAAGATATTTAATACACTACTTTTTCTATGTTCTGCATTGGCACAAATCTCCTTTCTCTGAAAACAGCAATGTCACAGAAGACACGGTTTTATTTAGGAGGCCAAATACTTCCCCAAACTTGTTTGAAATCAATGTTGGGATATTTTGAAGTTGTCTAAAAGAATGTGCCATATCCCCCACTGACAGGTACAACTCAGCCCAAAGAAATTCCTTTGGCATTGTCCTCTCCTGTGGTGACACCTGGTTTCATTCCTAGAATTCTCCACCTTTTTCTCCTGCCCATCATATCATTAGCCTAAGAGGAATAAAATGCCTAGAGAAAACAGAAACTTTAAGTCTCCTCTGAATAGAGATTCTTTGAAAAACAAAAGAATCAGGCAAAAATAATTTAAAGTAAGTTAAACTGGTATTAGTAGCTATGGATGGAACCTAAGAAGTGCTCCTCCCTACCAAAATACATTAGGATTTTCCCAACAGTGATAATTAGTAAAACTGCACCATCCCGCCCCCAACCATGTGATCATAACATCCCTATCCTCACAATATGCCAATCTCGAATGTCCACCCATCAGCTAACAAGTTCATTTCTTCCAGACAAATGTCAGGCTTTCTCATGAGGTCATTTTGATGAGTGAAAAATTTCCCATGTCATTTTCATTATTTTATATCTTTATTTTCTACTAGACTGTTGCTAAGCCTTTTTGGTTTTTAGGTGTCAGTTCATTACTTATTGCTGCAAACAGGTCATTCTAAATTTTAGTGACAAAATAGTAACAATTACTTTATTATTATCGTTCACAGTTCTGGGGGTTGACTGTGTTCACCTGGACAATTCTCAGTTGGAACCTGGGGCTGGCATCATTTCAAAGGTTTTCCCAATCACAGTCTGGTGGTTGGTGCTGGCTGTTGACTTGAGCCTCAGCTAGAACTGTCATGGCCTCTCCATGTGACCTTGGCTTTCTCACATCAGACAGGAAGTAGAAGCTCTCAGTTCCATACATCCTGGGGTTACACAGGCACAGAGTCACTTCTATCATATCCTGTTGGCCAAGCAGTTACAGAGCCTGAATTCAAGGAGAAGGGACACAGACTCCACTTCTTAATTGAAGGAGTATCAAAGAATTTTAGGCCATTTTTGAAAAAACGCCTTATTATATTTTACCCTCAGTACACAACACAGTATAAATTGTTAAACATTTGATATATGTATGATGACAATAAATTAAGTTGAAGCAAAATATGACAAGTGTCTAAATTAGGTCAGAATTAGTGTCAATAGATAAAAGAGGATACATATATGCAAGAGATTTCTAGAGAGAAAAACAGAACTAAAAAGAATTGCTCTATACTATGTCTCAAGTGATTGGCTACATGTCTTGGGTGATCAGGAAGCCATTATCTGATGTTTCAGAAAAACCCTGAATTAGAATCACTCAGAAGAAGGTTTGGATCTCTGTACCACCGTCAATCTTGGGCATAATAGTTTATGTTTCTCAGTCTCAGTTAAATAGTATCTATAAGTGAGGATAATAATGATTATCTTCCAGAGTTTTTGGAAAGATTAGAAATCATGCCTGGTAACTATTCAGCACACAATAAGTTATACAAATATAGACAATCCAGTGATTCAAAGAAAACAATTAAGAAACTTTTAGCATATGTTAGTTTCTTTTGAATAATGTTTTCTATTGAAATGACATGATTAAATCTTTTAATTTTGTGTTATTGTAATGAATTAATCTTTCATAGCCTTTGATGAGAAGCTTAATATCTTGATTTAATTGTGGAAATAGTCTACATACTGTGCATTCCATCAAATATTGAACTTGTGAATTGCTAACGTTATCTAAACCTGGTCAGTCAATTTAACAATTACTTTTTTTAATTTAACAAATTTTTTAAATTTAACAGTTTAAAAAATTATTAAATTTAACAATTTAAAAAATTATTAAATTTCCTTATGAATATTTGCTATCCTAAAAATTATTTGTCTGTTTTGATCTCTTTCATGATTTTGGATATCAATAATTATGCCTCACAAGAGTATATTTTGTTTACAAGATATTTATTGACAACATATCTATAAGATCAATGCTGATGAAACACAATTACAAATCCTAAATTTTAGTAATTTTTTAATTTGAGAGAGGTTATCTTCTAAAGTTTTAAATTAAATTGTATTTTTACTCTGTGAGAAGAATTTTGTATCATCTTTGCTTCTTTACATCTCCTAGACGTATGCTGATGCAGAGAAAAGTAGGTATAGTCAGCAGAACTTATTCAATAATTTCAACAACACAGAAAGAACTTGTTTCATATGCACAAATCCTATCCTGATTTTTTAATATCCAAAATAGACAATTTGGTTGAACATTAATATATGCAAACTAAATCCATTGTCACTTCAGGTTTTTAAAAAACAATTATAATAGTCACTTTGGGAAGAAAGGGGCATGTATTCCATGGCCTTTTTATAGAACTATTGACTGCCTTTAAGAGTGTATAGAAACCATTATCCTTGCCATATTGCAGGTTACTTTTTCAACTTAAAAATAAAATCTATAGACCATGTTGAATAATCTCTCTTGCAAGACCATCATCCTACCTCATTGAAACACTGTGATAAGATATTCAATGGGTATGAATACACTTTACTTATCATTGAGTTTTTTAAAAGGTTCATGTAACTAGATTCACATTTTATGCTGAACTGGACTCCATTTTTAATTCCTATGGCCATTGATGGATGAAACACACAAAAAAGGATAAATCTGTAGCCGGTGAGTCTCATATTTATAACTTCTGAAAAAGCAGATTCAGAACACTCAAAAAGTTAGAATGACATATGGAGATTTCCTCAATTACATGTGAATCAGATGATCTGTGGTATTTAATTACTTTAATAAAATGCTTTTCTTAACCACGGTCTCAAGAGAAGAAAATTATAACTGCAAGACACAATTGCTACTTGACTTTTTAGGTGATAAACAAGAATAATAGTTGGTCATTTATTATTTATAAAAAGGCAACATGATTCTATACAAATAACACAGGTCTTGTAATAAAAATCCCTAAGTTAAATTCCTCCTGTCTCTTTGGGACGGGTTTGGGGTATCGGTTTCATTTTTTGCTGCTTGTTTGTTTATTTGCTTGCTTTTGAAAGATGGAGATACTATAATATGTCAAAAATATTTTGTGAGCGTCTACTAAGTTAACAAACGAGAATGATTCTAACATAGTTCTGGCCCATGGTAGATAGTAAACAAATGTTAATTTTTTGATTACTTTATATTAGATGGTAGGTATGGGTGCTATTCTCTAGCAGAAATCTGATTTTTTTTCCCTAAATTTAGGCAAGGTGGAAACACAGCACATCCCCCTCTTCTTGAAGCAAGGGGAGGCCTTATGACTTCTTTTGGCAATGAAATGTGGGTAGATGTGATGGTTGGTGGAAATGCCATATATCACTTCTGGATAGAAGCATTAAATTGCTAATATTCCACACTCTAGTTTATGCTTCACTCTGTGAATATGATAGTGAAATGTGTGTTGATAAGAGGTGTTGGAAATTTAAAGCCACCTAAAATGCTGAACCAACCCATGTGTATGTCTGCTGTTGAATACTACCTGGACTAGAAATAGTCTTTGGGTAAGCTAAAAATAAGTATTTGGTATATAAACCACCTATGGCCAGGCGCGGTGGCTCATGCCTGTAATCCTAGCACTTTGGGAGGCTGAGGTGGGCAGATCATAAGGTCAGGAGATCGAGACCATCCTGGCTAACACAGTGAAACCCCATCTCTACTAAAAATACAAAAAAATTAGCCGGGCGTGGTGGTGCGTGCCTGTGGTCCCAGCTACTAGGGAGGCTGAGGCAGGAGAATGGCTTGAACCCGGGAGGCAGAGCTTGCAGTGAGCCGAGATTACACCACTGCACTCCAGCCTGGGTGACAGAGCGAGACTCCGTCTCAAAACAAACAAACAAACAAAAACAAAAAAAACACACTTCTATTTTGAAGATTGTTACTTCAATATAGTCTAGTCAATCTTGAATTATCTTACCTAATTCAATGTTTTCACTTATATCTCACTTATAGTAAATAAATATCTAGTAAATATGCTCACCATTTAGAATTTAAAAAATAGAAGATTTTACAATGTAGAAAATAAACACTGAAAAACCCAAGTCATTAATCTGAGAAAATGTGGGTTAAATAAATTTTTTTCACTGCTATATTTTGTTTAAAAATGACTTAGTAGGGTTCTAAATATAATTATTCTGAAATCTGTTTTTTATATTTTGCACTTCTAACCATACATCAGGACATGTCAGTAGTTATCGAGTAATTATTATATCTCCCTTATATGAGAAAGGAGAAAATTTTTCCTTTAAGTTTGAAATTTTAGGAAATGCAAATCTTGAAATGAAATCTTGAAATATTTTCATTAAGTATGAAAATCATCTCTATTGGATAATAAAGACTATAGAGTTATAAAACATAAGGGCTGGAAAAAAACTGACATGTAATTTGGCCCCTAAATTCCACTTTATAAATTAAGAATCAGAGATCCTAGGCCATTAATTAATTGACTTGGCCAAAATTGGTTATATAGGGACAGTCTGCTGCCAAAAATCAACCTCCATAAGGACTCTATTCTTAGCATATAAGGTCAAAGTTTCTTAGATTGCATTTAACCTCAGACCACTATTATCACAATCTAATGTCACAACTGCGCTAAACAGCCCACCATTGCCTGAACAAAATGGACTCTCTCCTTTCTTTATGTCTTTGCAAATGCTTATCTTTATCTTCTATCTAGAATACCATTCCCATTTTATCACCCTGACAAACTCCTACTGAACTTGCAAGACCCAGCTCAAGTACCACTTACCCCCGCCTTCATTACCACCAAACGCTGTATTTGGATGACCCCATTGCGGTTATTCAGACCACAGTTTATATTTGCTCACCTTGTTTTCTATTTATAATTAGTTATGTTTTTATTTCCATTTTTTTAATCTCCTCCCTGTGAGAGAATTAATTCTTCATGCTTACCTCTTGCCCCACAACCTTCAGTGCCTTTCTATGGGGTGGGTTTCTTACTCTGTTGTTATCAGCTTTGGCCACATGGCTTGCTTTGGTTAATGAAATTTGTGTGGAGGTTACATGTGTCACAAAGAAGCATTAAAAGCCTTTTTTCCCCCTCCAGTTATGTTACAAAAATGACATGTCTCAAGTGGAGCCTTGTCCTTCAGTCTCAATCCTGGAATGAAAAAGCTATGTTGGGTAAAGCCATGGCCAATTCATAGCCAATACAGTCAATATTTAATGTGAGAGATAAAGTAGGATCCTGAGATTTGAGGATTTTTTATAACTGCAGCATTATCTAATGAAAGATAATACATAGGTGTGCACATATTTCCCTCTGGTACTATTAAAGTAAACATCTTAAGGGCAGGCACTATGTCTCATTTATTTTTTGTATTTCAAACTTCTTGTTCAATTTCTGATACATAAGAGGTGCTCAATGTTTTATGAATAAATGGATGGAGTCTTATTACATGATGCTGTAGCTGTAATGTCTGAGGATTCATATCTTCCAATGGTTTACAATCTGAATAAATTTACAGTGATACAGAAAAACAAAAGATTTGCAGTGGTCTCTCATTGTTTATGAAGGATACATTCCAAGACCCCCAGTAGATGCCTGAAACCACAGATAGTATTGAATCCTATATGTACTGTGTTTTTTCCTGTACATACATACCTATGATAAAGTTTAGTTTATAAATCAGGCACAGTGAGAGATTAATAATAATAATAATAATAATAAGCCAAAACAACTATAATAATATCAGAATGGCACCCAATTTAAAACTTATAAATTATTCCTTTCTGAACATTTTTATTTAGTATTTTCAGATCACAGTCTACCACAGGTAGCTGAAACCATGGACAGAGAAGCTGTGGATAAGGGGACTACTGTATAAAACAGAATAAGAATGTTGCACAGATGCATCCAGGGGCAATAGAATTATTCACAGGATATTCTGGTCATCTGCAAGTTGGAAAGAAGTCAATTGTAAATTTTTTGCTGGGGGTTGAAGAATAAGAGGAGTAGAGCTTAAACTTCGAGGTTGAGATAAATTGGGTCCAGTAAAAATCATTAATCTCTTTCTGATCAATCTAGATGGATTTATAGAGGATGTGGATTTTTAGGGGTCATCTGCAGAACAAAGAGATATATGGTTATGTTAATAAGAGGCAGAAAGATTCACATAGTTTTAATGTGGGAAATAAGATATTTTACATAATTTTGGTATTACACACAAATGTAAAATGAATAAGGTAAAATAAGATCATGTAATATATTTTTTATCTTTTTCTAGAAGTATTTCACCGCTTATTTTCTAGGTTCAGTACTCCAGCAGAAATGTATTACCAAATATTAATTTAAAAATAAAGTTATAAGCCAGGCGTGGTGGCTCACGCCAGTAATCCCAGCACACGAGGTCAGGAGATCGAGACCATCCTGGCTAACACGGTGAAACCACGTCTCTACCAAAAATTAAAAAAAAAAAAAAAAAAAATTGGCTGGGCGTGGTGGCAGGCGCCTGCAGTCCCAGCTACTCGGGAGGCAGAGGCAGGAGAATGGCGTGAACCCGGGAGGCGGAGCTTGCAGTGCGCCGAGATCGCGCCACTGCACTCCAGCCTGGGCAACACAGCGAGACTCCGTCTCAAAAAAAATAAAAATAAAAAAGTTATAAATCAAGCTTCAATTTTTAAATCAAAAGTATGCCCATTTGTTTTTCTCAAAGATTTTTCTAAAGTTTTTTATTCTATCTGTATTTTAATTTTTAGTTTATGTATTATCTTTTGGAAAGTTGGGGCTCTGTTGTTTAGAGCAGTCAAATGTCCAAATTAAGTAAATATACTCTCATCTATTTCTATTTTATTCACTGATTTCAATGATTGATTTAAAATATAATCACTAAAATGTTTGAAATAATTTAGGCATATACTAATAAGCACTCAATAGAGGATCTGATCAGTGTGTAGTTTCACAAACTTCACACTGGGCAACAGTTGTGAAACTTAATAGGAGACATATGTGATGAAAGCTAGAGTAGAGAACGTATTTGTAGTTAAGCCAAACACAATCTCACCTATGAGCTTAGTTCTCACTCATTTGGGACTGTGCTAAATCAGAATCAAGGCAGTCTGCATGAAGAGTATTGATTTTTATTTTAGAGACTATTGCATGACTTACCAAACTGATAAGAAATATCATTAGGAAGTGATATAATATGCTCTTAAGAGTCCACTTGTGAAAGTTCCATAGATAGAAAATCATATCTCATGCTTAGCCAACATTACATCATGCTGTATTCCAACAGGCATTATGGAAGAATTTCTGGGACTTTGATGAAAATCTGCTAGTCATATTTGTAGATATAATCATGTCACTCTGGGCAGAATGAACTGTTTACAATTAGACATTTAGAAGTTCTCAAAATTTAACTCCTTTAATCTGCTTGAAAATCTGTATTCTCTTTGCCCAACCATACACCACAATAATTATTTCTGTAGGTGAACTAACTCCTACTCTATATATTTGGTAATTTCTAGGCTGAATAGTACTTACGTGAATTTTAGGAAATTTGGATTTCTTCACAATACACAGCATGGATCATCTGTGATTTGTTTAATAATGTATCATTTGATGCACACGTTTCATGCATTGTTTCTCATGACTGTGTTTTTTATGGGTTAAAGTTAGACTTTGGGAAAAAAGAACATTGAGATATGCAAAAAGCATCATTTCTAACATGGAGGATAATGAGCCACTGTGGTATGTGTAGACATTAAAAATTCATCTGAAAATTTGCTATTGGTTTATATCTCCAAATGCACCATGGGGGCAATTATGGAATCCTACAAGTTTCACATTGTATTCAATATCTCTATGCCATACTTTTTAACAAAAAAGAATTAATAGGGAATATAAATTAAATGCAGTAGAGAATATTGCTTCTACTGAAGGAAAAAAGCAATAACTAAAACGCTATTTGTATATTACTAGTGAATTTTTCTCATTGCTCTTATTGTATTAGACATTTCTGTTTACCATCTTCTGAAAAAAAAATCTGTTGAATTTTTCTCACTACTGAAATTTCCAAATTTGTTGTTATTTATATAAACATATAAACAAATAAAAACAACAAAAATATATCAGAGTGCTGGACCCCATGTAATGATTGGCCAAAGTAAAACAAACTGACAAAAACTATTTCAAGTATTACATATTATCTGTAATATGACACAATTTTAGCATCTAAAAAATTGTTGAAATTATCTCACGTTAAATATTAGCGTATAATGTCCAAGACAGCTATAAAGTTATTAAACTTAATATAGAAAATTCATATTTAAAATTGTATTTCCTTTTTGTTTTATGTGTGTATGGGGGGTGCATAAAATAGTTAAATTCTTTAAAAAATAAGTTGTTTTAATCAATTAAGAAGTTTAATCCTATAAAACAAAAAGTAACTAGAGATTTTGTTTAAGTTAGTGAACATTTTCTCATGCAGTTCTCAGCCTAGAAGTCATTCTTTTATTGCTAAAAATTAAAGTCATCTGTACTACACATACATTTTACAAAACCCTCCACACACAGAAACACATGCACACACACAGAGACATACAGTGGGCCAGCAGCTTTGTAAATGTCACACTTGGAAATTGTGGAACACCTCATGTTCCAATCTTTCTACCAGTCTATTCAGTAGCATCCCCTCAAAATGAAATAAAACACTAAAACAACAAACAGTGTAATTACCGCTAAACAATAATTTCATGATAAATCTTTATAATACCTATGGGACCTGGAGCAATTGCTAGTAGAGAGTTAAGATTTCTTGACTACCAGTGAATCATCACTGATGGAAGGAACTGACCAGATCAATGTAGGATATGGACTGGCCTGGGCACAGAAAACAAGCAGTGGGTGATGAAAGTGCGGGGTGATAATGGAAGGAAAGGACAACGACCACACGTTCCCTTTAATGCCCCTGACTAGGGGATCACTCATATTTTAGAGAGGAGGAATTATAACAACATTTGAAAACCACTCTTGTTCTATGTATACATTATTTATGGGCAATATGATGTACTGCTTAAATACTGTTTTGAAATCAGTGAGTCCTGCGTTTAATTTTGGTCCTAATATTTACAGTTATGCAAACTAGACTACTTATTGCCTCTACACCCTCCTTTCCTTATTGGATGAATTATCAATAGTAAAATAAACCACCCAGCTAGGGTTCATGAATCTCAAACCAGCAAAAGGTCCTCAGATACACAGCACCTGTGCCTGGCTCTTTAAGTGCCCCTGGTCATCCTAGTCATCTTAGGAGATCTAGCTCTTCAGCAAACTGTTTATAATTCATGGCATAATTCTATTGCATGAGGTTGATTTTATTTCTAAATCTATTTTTTTCCATTTGTATGGTTGTTATATTATGAGGACTCAAGTTAAATGAACTTCATGTATTTTTTAAAAAAAGGTAGCTGAACCAAGTAGAAATAAATAATCCTACTTCCCAAATATAGCAGGAAGAGCACCACTTCCTCAGACATATTTTTAATATGCCACTGATTATATAATGTGTATATTTTATTTATAAAATACAATACACACAGTCAGACATTTATAACCTGAGTATCATCTAAATTCAGATTAATGTTAAATGGATATCCTTTACATTCCATATTTCTTTTTGACTACATTACAAATCATGCAAATTTAGTCCTAAAGGTATCAATATTATAATTAACTGCACAGTTGAACTTTCTTATTGGCTTTAGATTTTTTTAAGACAAAGAATAGAGCAGAATAAACAGACAACCTTCTGATAACTTTTTGTAAACCAAAATAGAGTTGGAAATGGCAGTAGTCCAAACTCATCACACTGGAGATCACACAGATGGGGAGATAAAAGTTGCCCACGTGAGCCCCTTGACAATGCTCAGTATTTTGTTCAGAATCTCAGGTAAGCCACCTGCATGCTGATGACATCACAAAAATAAAGGCCAAGGGCTGATTACTGGCTGGGTGCTCTTTATTATCATATATCAGGTGTCACCTGCAATTTCATGTCTCTGGCAATGCGACAGAATCCATCTGTCATCCCTCCTGTGGATCTTAGTCCATTTTCTCTGCTCTTTGGAAACAAGCTCTTACATTGTGTGGGAGTACTAAGGAGCTGGCCCATTTTCTGAGACTGGCTGTGAAATAAATAAGACAACGGTTAAAGAAAACAAGCTGATGTTTTCTACCCAGTGCCAGCAAAGGAAATGTCCTGTTTCTCTGTAGTATTAGTATATCAAACTATACCTGTTTCAGGACTTCAGGGATGTTGTTGACCTGTCCCAGTATGGAGCCCAGACACTCAATGAAGCAGAGACCTTTACGCACAGGGGTGTGTTAAAAATGCAATTGTATCATAACAAAGCCTGTGAAGCATTCCTAGTGATGCACCTTCTCAGACAGGCTTCAAACAAGACAGATACTTTACTGGAAGAATTCTGGGTGTTTCACTTTTTATGAACAAGCACCTAAAGAATGGGGGGTGGGGGGATGGTAAAACTTATCTTAAGTACAAATCACATTTCCCATTGAGGTTCACTCTACTAGAGAGATACAGAACAGGACCCCTTTCTGTCTGCAAAATTTGCGCTGTCCCCACAAAGCCTCCCTTAATAAGCTTATCTGTATCTTCAAAGAAAAAAGGCCAAGATATAGAGTTCATGAAATTTCAGATTCTGGAAATGTTCTACTAATGGCTAATTTAAAACGAAAAATCAGGAGCAAACTACATATCGGTATGTAGAGAAAAAGAACATTTCTGTATACAAAAATAGTGCTTTGTAGCCTCTGAACAAACAGGAGTTAATAAATAAAAGGAACCACTGGAATAACATGGGATGATTTGTCTATCATTTTTAACTGGGATGTCATTAAAATGAACACTTGAAACAGATTTTACATGCTTTTGAAAATGTGAGAATAGGAGGGAGCCTTGTCTATTCACAGTAAAGGATGATGAGCTCTACTTGGGTGCAGGAGAATGTTCATGCAGCAGTCACACTAGAGATAAAGCACCATTTCCTTTTATAGAGAGTCACATGCTGAAATGCAGAAAGCTATGTTTTATCCAGATGAGTTGAAAACTGTTGAGCAAGTTCTGGGATTTCTTCACCATATTGTGCAAGCTGGAGAACTTATTATCAAGTAAGTTTTGTCATAGTAGGTAAAAACACATTTGTATTAAAAGTAATTCAGAATGTGCAGTGGACTCCTCAATTCTGAATTAGAGTGGACAGTTATGGAGTTGGTATTCCAATACATGTTGCATTACAATAGTCTTGATTCTGTAAGAAGCTTTAAGTCTCTTTCAATGTCAATTACCAGGCAGGGTTTCCAAACCTTGCATTTGTCACAATTATATTTGAACTTGTTTCTGGTTGATTGGTGGGTTGTCTGAAACTACTCAGATGGTGAAACCCAAGGTGGAAAGAAAAGGTAAGGTGGGGACTACAAAAGATCAAGGGGACCTCAGTTTCACTAAGGTTCTAGTTTCTAAAGCCTATATGACAAAGAATAAATCCTAAGGAATAGAATCAGGGAAGCCCTGGTGTAAGATGTCATAATGAAATATTCATGATTGGAAACAAAACTAATGCTTCAGAGAAACCAAAGTGAAAATCTGTTATGGAGATATATTTTTAATTATTAGTAATCAATCTCTTATTTGAACCATACTGATCATGTTCACTGGTGGCAGGTTTTGTCTCTTAATGATGGATTTGATTTTGGATAATAGTAATTTTCTTTTCGTATCCCATTTTCTCTTCTTTCACAAAATTCAATATTTTTTAATACATGAATATAGTATTTAAGAACACAGTATTTTGGACCCTAGGCCTCTGATCATTGAAATAGATTCTCTTTTATCTGCCCTGGCACTCATGTCCACCATGTGGTATACTGGGGAGAGAAGAGGGAGGGGCAATATCGTTATATTCACTTACTTAAGAACACACCCCTGAATCATTATATATTAAAAGTTTGGATTTTTCATATGTGAATTCTCAAAACCATGGTTGTCAAAGATTTTGCAGTATATGCATGTGTGATGAAAATATAATATTTATGCATAGTGCATCTAAGGCTCGTTTCCCCAACCCCCAGCCTAGTTAGAGAAAGTTATAGGTACATTTTTCACGAATCACAACAAAGCCAATAGTTTCTCACTACCAGTGCGAGTGCTAGAAGCCTAAATCCTCTCTCTCCCCTTGGCCTGCTCCCAGTATCCCAGGGCAGTGTGCTCCTAGCAGGTCTTTGAAATCCATCCCTCCAACTTCCTGCTTTTGTCAGCACTGTGAACTGTGCAGCACCAGGCCCAGCTTAGGATCTCAACACTGGGGTTCCATGGGACAGTTCTTCACTTCTACTTGTTTTCTATGGCTGCTTTGAGTTACTGTCACCACGTTCGAGATTGCTGCTGTACACTATCAAGGAAATTTTTGTTGTTCCTTGAATTCAGAAACTTCCTGAACTCCCAAGATGATGGCACCATCTTTTCCATGCTGGGGATAAATAGGGAAGTCTCTTTTTTAACCAAGCATCATTATTTATGTGACTCATTCAGGGACAGGACTGTATTGAAACAGAGCTGGGGCTACCTCTCCTTGGCTTGACTGAAGCCAAGTGTAAGAGCTTAGAGACCCCACATTTGCAAAGGAATTGGATTTAGTCTCTCAAGTTATTTTCCACTCCCTTTGTCCCTCCTCCATTCTGGAACAAGATTTCTCCCATCTTGTATCTTGGATTTGGCCTCACATCCACCCTTTAAGAAAGACAGAGAGAAGGAGAGACTTTTATAGACTTAAAAAGAGTGAAGGCAATTGTTTTCCTCTAAGAGCATTAACCTTCAAAGTTGATTACCACTTTCAACTGTAAATAAATCTTTTTCTCAAGAGTAGATGTTACTTTACTAGTGTCTATTTTTTCCTCTGTTATTTTCTGCAGTTGTGAGGTGGAATTCAAAGTATATATCATACTGTATGTTACCTTAGTAAAGAAGTCAAATTTATTAATTAGCTATGGTACTGTCTGTTTTAATACTATAAGTAGAGTGACTACTTTAAAAAGCATTAACACATTTATACATATTACAAAATAATATATTTTGTCATTTTATTGAGTAAATAGAAGCAAAAATGCTATTCATTTTTTATGGTACCCATGAATAGGAGTCTATGTCCTTTTGGCCCAGCAATTTCACTTTTAGAAATCTGTCTTACAGGCATATTCACATAAGTGGACATAAATAATATGTTAAAAAATTCTCATTGCGATATCGTATGCATAAAAATGAAATATGCAGCCTAATGGATAATACAGGGTAGCTCTATAGATGTATAGGTGCTTTCATAGAAAGAAGTTTAAGAAATATTATTTGCAAAAAACAAATTGCAAAACTTTTAGTGTGTCATGATTCCATTTGTGTAAGAAAAGTATGAACACAAATACATTTCCATATATGTAGAATATTTCTAAAACTATATGTATATAAGATGTGTTCTAACATTCTTATGGATGGTACTGGATAAATGGGGAAGACCACATTTACTTTTATTTCTACACTGCTTAAATACTTTATTATGGGCTTGTACAATTTAATAATAAACATTAATTAAATAAAAAACATAATCTGAATTCAGTAAATGCTGTAGTAAAACACTGGGAAATCTCCCTATTTCAAGGCACTCTGGAGAAGAACATTTTGTTTTGTATGATATACCTCTGGTTGAGTAAGTTAATTTATTTCATTCACTTGTGATAAATGTGAACGTGGAGAGGTTACATAATAGAAGCTAGGCTGGTGAAAAAGTAATTGCGGTTTTTGCTATTTTTTTAATGGCCCACAATTACTTTTGCATCATCTATCTGGGATGCCTCTTAGAATTCCCCCAGTCCTTTCTCTTACCTGTAAGTCACCTTCTCCCTTACCCAGATGTGATTTTTCCCTAATCAAACCTTTTTAAAGATCAAAGAAATTGCTAAACAAACGGAAAAACCTGCTAACTTGGGGGGAAAGGATTGTGAACACAATCTGGATTTTTGCTTCTGCCCCCAAATTTGAATCATGTTGCGGTTACTTGCCAGTTGCCCCCAGATCCCAGAACTGACCTTGATCTGAACCAGGAGGAACAGACTTTACTTGAGTCCTCCTTCTGAAACTGTCCCTAACCCGTTGTTACCTTTGAAAACAACGTTCCCATCTTGCTCCAAAGCCCCAGGCCAGATTTCTGCTTTGGTTGCTGTCATGTAGATTCCTTTCTAATGCCCACCCAGGTATCCAGGTTTCCTTTAGGACTGAGGTCGTGCCTTCCTCTACCCAATCCCCAGGCACCAGATTTCTAGGCACCAATGACTAGGGACTTATTTCCCGTCAACAAGTTTCCAGACACTGCATGTCTGCCTCCTGTCTTTTGAGCCATCCATTAATTAACTGTTGTACTCTGCTTATCGATTGAGATATTTAATGCATGGTCTTTACCCATCTGCTACCAACTGATCTGTGACACTCTTTCATTTATTTATTCATTCATTTATTTGTTTAATAAATATGTATTGAATGCTCACCACGTGCCAAGCACTATGTAACACAGGGGAATGTATTGTGAACCAGACGCTCCTGTTGTCAAGGAAACTAATTTTTTGTCATATTGATCATCAAGAACAATAACTTATTTTCCTTCCCTTTCCCCTTCCCCTTCCCACTTTTCCCTTTCTACCCCCTGTTCCTCTTTCTCCTCCTCCTTCTTCCTCTTTCTGTTGCAACAGAATTATATTTTTTCATATGCAGTCTAACAGAACTCCAAATAAAAGTAAAGGCTAGAGTCAGATTGTGAGTCTACTCTGTTCCTCCTCAATTTCAAACCTGTCCTGTAGCACTCTAGGGATCCCTGAGTTAATCTTCCCTGGATCTTACGTGTTTTCTGCCAGACTCAGTTTCCATTCCTGTAGGGCCTCTTCTGGGTTCCTGGCCCACTGCAATGGTCTTGATTTAACTCTCTGCCTCTATCCACACCAACCTTAAGTTCCTGCTACTCATATCCAGCCATTCCTGGCTGAATCTAAACATGTGGCATCCAGGTCAGAAAAGGAAACTAAGAAGAATTTAATATAACATCAAGAAAAAAATGTGCTTAATGTCTCAAATTTAGACAAATTTTGCAAGTGGACGGCATGTACGAAGCTCACAGTTTTAGAATTGACTCATACTTTCACTCCTGCTATCAAACCTGAGTCAAATTTTGGCATATGCTTCCATTTTTTAAAAATACAAATATAAGAATGTTTTTTCTTCAATCAAGAACGCAGAGGTTAAAGAAATATGTAATCAAATGCAACAATGATCCAAAATTATATTCTAGGGGAAATTTTTGTGTATTCTCTTCTCTTTTACATTTTTCAAAAACATACTGAAAATATAAAAGATAAAGGAAAATGCTTTTTCTATTATAATGCTTATCTCTCAGTCACTACTCTTTTTCTCCCTTGAAACAGCCTTAAGAGATCTCTTAAGAAAAACATAATATCCTCCTCAGGCCCAACAAAAGGGAAATAAAAGCTGTAGCAATGGCTTGCCACTGGCTGGGGTAAAGAAAAATGAAAGCAAGTGTGCATCTGTCCTTCATAACAGCTAAGCTGTTTTAAACATCACCCTCTTTCTTATACCTCTATTACATCCTTGGGTTGCCTGAGTCAGGACAAGGTGGTCTCCAGAGAAACTTCAACTTTTGGGGTACCACAATCTGGAATGGTAGCATATTTCTCTTTTTTTTTTTGGACAAAGCTTTGTCTAACATCTGAGCCTGAGACTAGAAATAAAAACAAATCCGTAAATGTAAAATGAAAGTTCCTTTTGATTACTTGAACATTATTTTCTACTATTTTTTAGTCATTTTCTGAGAAGTGGTTGCCACTCTGAAAGTAATTCTGTGTTTAAACTATTAAGGCCTTGCAAATAAAGGAAGACAAAGTAAAAAATTCAATTTCCAATTAATATTCGTAGTAATTGTGGTTTATAATTTTGGATGCTTCTAGTAAATGAGGAACATAATCACAAAGATTAATGAGGGTTAGCAAAGGTGGAAAATCCAGATGCTAGGCAGATTCCCATTGTCTAAGTTATAGTGAGAATAGCAGAGAAATATGAGAGTAAATATGATAATTAATAGAAAGGTCATACTCAGTGTCCAAGTTTGAATTTATTTTTTAAAGGTGATAAACTTCTAAATATGTTCTTAGAATTTAGAAGAGAATTCAATCAATAGACAAGCTTATAGAACATTTGTTTTCTCTACTTGGCAGTGAGGTAGATGCACAGAGATGCTGGGTAAGAAGAGATCCCTGTTCCCTAATCTCAGGTTGCTTATAATCTATATAGGGGATGAAAACCTATACATATGTATTGAATGTTATTGGTCAAGATGATACCATGCAAGTAAAGCCCTAAGTTGGGTGGAATGAACATAAATTCCTCAAGTCTTGGGCCCGCAATTCATCTAACAGAACTTGGACTGCCATTGGATAAATGTTTGACAAATATAGGTCTAAAAGAATGAATTATGATAGCATGGAAAATAATGAAGATTGGGGAATTAACTGGAAGTGAACTGTTAAAAAAGGAATGAATAAGTAAGCAGGATGAAGAGAGAAACATATTCCTGGTAAATAATCCAGACAGGGATTCATAGGTAGAGCACAGACCAGCCTGATTCAAATGGAATTGTGCTTATTTTTGTTTCAACAAAATGTAATACTGTGGATTATATTTTCTATGTGCTGACAGTATAGAAATAACTGAAGAAAGTTCTGCTCAGGTTAAGATACCCCTGCTACACCCACACCAGTGGATACTTAGAGAGGAGCTTTGAAAATAAGGTTGAAAAGGCATAGTTAAATGAAAGAATCTTCAAATTCCAGACCAAGAGTTGATGTTCCATTTAATCCGATCTTTTTAACAATGGAAATATTTTGTCAGCATGATAGAAACATAATGAAAGATTATAAATATAATTTCTAAAATATTAGAGTAAGAAAAATAAGGAGAGAATGATTACTGCCATCCCTACCTTAGATATACAGTTAATATTCTTACACATTGTGTCTAATTTTGGTTAACATACTTGGGTCATATTACAAACACTGCAACATATATGGCACTCACTGTGTCTATTCAGTACATACTTCCTGTGTGAACTGTGTAATCCAGGAAAGCAATGAATATTTCAAACGGGAAATGTAGACTGTCTTCCATTGGCACACTGCTCCATGTGGATTAATATCTGAGTAGTTTCATACAGCACCTGAACCCATTATGTTGCTACTCAGTCACCTTAATAGGCATTGCAAGAATAAGACAAATGCTCATTAAAGCACTTTGGATGGATGTTACGTTGGTATTCCATGAATGCAAAGCCTTCTTATTCTGATCAGAAATCATAATTTGAAGCAATCTCTGGTTTTACTTTACACTTGCTTGTTAGGCAACAAAGCTCGGTGAAATCACTTGCTGTAATAAGAATGCTTCAGTTTCTTCATCTCTAAATGGCTACATTAAAAGAAAAGAAGAAAACCTTCCAGGTTCTCAGGGTTATGCATAAAATGGCAAGTTTTATTCTATGAAAATTATTTTGAAACAATATAGATAGAAGCAATATTCCATGGAAAGGAATTAACAGATGTAATTAATATAATAGATTATACACACACCATCTAAATTGGTGCCTCTCCTTGATAGTCACATGTAAATCTTGGGATGGCCAAAGTTAGAATTGGAGCAATGCTATAGTCCACAGACTTATAGGCCTATGTAGCTCATCCTGTCTATTCATGATTGGTAGTCCCTGTGCCTGGCATTAGCAAGTACTCAAGAGCAAGTGGCATTATCACAATATTGGTGGTGTTAGGGAAAGAAATAGCAAATTAGGAAAATTTACAGATGGGCCTGATACTCCAGATTATCAGCACACTTGTGTTGTTGTTAAATAAAATACTCTCCAACTGTTTCCATAGCTCTTTTGCATTACTGTTGAAGAAAAGGGTATTCTATAGGCTCCATTTTAAGCCCAGCTATTATAATGACAGTGGTTTATTCTATTTTAAAGGCCAGGTAAAAGTGACAGATGACACTATACTGAAAATATTAATTCATAAAACAGAAATTATTTAAAATTAAGCAACTTTCTTTACCCATTTCCCAATTTCTAATGAGGTTTACTTGAAATTTGTTAAAATTTTGTTTTTCTTCTTCTTCAAAGAATGCTCACAGCCAGGTATGATTTAAAAAAAGATATTAATAACTTCAAAGATGTGCTGGGTTTCCCTTCACATCTAGGTAAGCTGAAGACATATTTTCCCAACCGCTCTCATGTCTCTCTTCAATCTTACTAAGGCTTTAAAAAATACAACAGGAAGAGAAATTGATCTGAATCCTATGAAATCCCCTTTACTTCAAATCTATAAGTCTTTATGGTAGACCAGTTCAACAACAAGAAAAATTTAGTCTTGCACCTGGAAAAAAAATCAATTTTGTGGTGCACTATTGACTAGAGCTGTGTAACCCACGGCAGTGGTAATTTGGATTCCTATATATGTAAATAAATGTGCTGCAAAGATTTAATAGCATAGTTGGGTGTATCCCTTCTTATATCTCTGAAACGTAAACATGGTAGCTCTTCCTGCTGTCCGTTTTGTTTTGCCATCAACCCCGAATAAAAGAATTTCTAAGTTGAATGCTGGTTTCCTTTGGAGTAGTCATGACAGATAAATCTTACCCTCAAAACTGATCAGGGCTCTCGTTGGTCATTCAATAGTTATCAAGAGTACAGTCTTTTCTTGGCAAGTGTGGACAGAAGGACATTGATCTTCAGATGGCAAGGGTTAGGTATTCTCTACAAGCTCCTATTTTTTTCTTATTATTATGACTTTCAAAATTGATGAAAAACTGACATGCAGAATGAAATCTCTGATGCTAAATCTTTTACTGTGGGCAAAACTATGGAAATGTATATTACTTCTCCTCATGATAAGTAGACAAAGTATACATATATATCATACATACATTTGATATATATCAAACATATACTTTATCTCTTTATGTCTGATGGGTCTGGCATTTTAAAATGGAGAAATTGTCTTTTAATTCTGTGACTCCTTTCAAAACTGATGTTTAAATAAATTAATATGGGGGCCGGGCGCGGTGGCTCACGCCTGTAGTCCCAACACTTCGGGTGGCTGAGGCTCGCAGATCAGGAGGTCAAGAGATCGAGACCATCCTGGCAAACATGGTGAAACCCCGTCTCTACTAAAAATACAAAAATTAGCTGGGTGTGGTGGCGCATGCCTGTAGTCCCTGTTACTCTGGAGGTGAGGCAGGAGAATCACTTGAACCCGGGAGGCGGAGGTTGCAGTGAGCTGAGATCGTGCCACTGCACTCCAGCCTAGGGACAGAGTGAGACTCCATCTCAAAAAATAAAATAATAAGTTAATATGGAGAAAAATACTCCAGTAAATAATCCTGTAGTATCAGGTAGCTATTACTTTTCTTGGGTAAAAATAATTTATGTTTTTACCTTTGAATAACACATTATTTTAGATTTTAGAGAGTTTTGTTATCAAGTATCCTGCATTTGAAATACTATTTAATTATGATTTGCTTCCTTGGGGATTATATCATCATGTGATTTAATTTGGTATCTACCCTAAGGGAGAGCATATTTCAATTATAAAATATTTCCTCCAGAAACAATAGTGATTCAATGATTTATTTCAGGATATCTGTTATTAAATGGTTTATTCAACTAGAATTTGAATGAAATTGAGTTTTAAAATATAGCATGAGTACCCCCAAACGCATGAGAAATAAACACAAGTGCTTTGGGGCTCACACATAAAAATTATATATTTTTCAGTCTTTTTATAATACTTCAATTATTATATCTTGAGAAAAGAACTTGCTGAGAGCTATGAAACATTTATATTATTATCTCTTCAAAAAGTTCATTTTTGGACAAGTATCATTTGGATAGGGATTAACTTAATCAGAGATTTTGAATCTTCTCTACTTTAATTTTAATCTCTTTTTTAAAAATATGTCTGAATCTTTAAAAGACCTAAACCTGTAGTCACAAAGCACTGCTTCAAAAAAGGAAAAAAAAAAAAAAAAAAAAGAAAGAAAAAGAAGGGAAAGTTTTTAAAGCAGCCACCGGCTGTAAGAGAGATAGTGCAGGCAGCAGATTTGTGACAGAGTGGAGCATGAAACCCATCAGCTGATGAGTGAAAATCCCTGGTTTCTAATTAATCGAGGTACACAGGCCAAGGGATGAAGAGGATCAGGGAAATGAAATCAGGAAAAAGATACCATCAGTCATTTCTGCGGCCCATTGTCATACTTCAGAATCTGCTGTAATGAATCACTCAGGCATTCCACAGATACATTCAAATGGTGAAGAAAATTCATTGTCCGGTGAAGAGCGTTTGATAAAAATCTTTCTTTTCCCCCCCTCTTTGTCAGAAGCCTATGATCAGAAAAGGAAATCCAGACAGCACAACAGGTGTGCTTTTTGCAAGCCTGGTGAAATCTGCAAATGAACCAAGTATGGAAGAATTTTTTGTATTAATTTTTTTCTCCAAAATGTGTGTGGGGAGGGTGGTGGGATGGAGCATTCAGTAAAGGGGGGTTTTGTCATTAAAAAGGATTGCAAAAAAGCGTAAGATTAAGAGAAGCAGAGGAATCTCTTCCTGCAGTGGAGAAATGAATGTTCCTGTAACATCTTAACTAGGGAAATAAGGGACAACATTGGGAAATATAGTAATAGTTTATTTAATTGAATGTATGAAGAAAGACATTTCCTTTGAAAGGCAATTAGTCCAATCAAAGCATTATGGATTACATCCTGGCTCTGATCAGAAAAGAAAAACCTCATCCACAAAGTCAGACATGCTCTTAGGCCCATGGTTTCTGGGGTTTCCTAGAGAACGGGCTTGCTTTAAAGTCCGTGAGACTTACCTACGATGAATGCTCATTTCAGCCTGAAGGTTTTGTTCAAAAGTTTCCTAATTCAGGCCTGCATTCCTTCTGGGTTAGAGCTCACTTTTGTGGTGGTCACGTATTTTAATGGAGAAAATATTCATCGTGGCACATAAGACACAGTATCTGTGTATTTAGACTAGGCAGCAGCATTGTGACCCAGAACAATCCCTGGGAGCAGCTCCAAGTGCTGTCTGGCATTAGGTGACATGCAAAGATAATTGTTTTCAAATAATCAGGTACTATACTGAGACATATAAGGATGGCTGATTCATTTTAAATTTAATTACTATAATATAGGGTTTCGCTGTCTATATTATCAATCACCAAGACACTTTGGAGTTGATAATATTAAAATTGCAACAATAATGAGAATTCTACTTCATGATGAAAATAATTTTAATCATGGGTAGATTACAAATCCATTTACAGTTATGGTTACTGAGAATTCTATTATCTACCTTCTCTTGTAAAAGATGTTAAGACATGTTTTCAGGAAAGTATAAAAGATGACAGAAGTATGCTGCATCTATAAAGTTTCAGCACAGGCTTTCAGAAAACCTTGAGAGAGCTCCCAAATTATCAAGACTTATGGGGCATGATATAGGGCAGAGAAGACAGCTGTGATGACAGGTGGATGTAAAGCTTTCTGTCTTTCTGGCTCCTGTTTGCTTTATTCTTTCAATGAAAAATTATTTTTGAGAACCCTCTACGTAACAGGCACTGGGCTAGGTGCTGGGGAGGCAGGAGACCAAAAGCAGCATGGTTCCTGCCCCACGTTGCTCATAGCCTAGTTTGCTTTGATGACTGCCCTAGTCTTGAAGATATTTGGGGCTTTCAATGGACTTCGATGGAGGGCAATGAATGAACCTAGCCAGACTGTTCATCAACTCTGGCTGAACATTAGAATTTCCTGGGAAGTTAAAAAAATTATATATCTGGGGTGTGGCTCAGGCATAAGTATTTTTAAAAAGCTTCCCAGAGGATTCTATTGTGCAGCCAGGGTTAAAAAACACTGGACCACCCAGCGAGAACCACATCTAAAGAACCACCTGTCGCTCTGGATATTAACTGAGATGACCCTCTGCTCATCTTGTAAGCCTGGAATAAATTGTTTTCTAGTGTCTAACTGAATTGAACTAGCTCTTAATATTTTGATCCTAGAAGAATATCAGTTTCTCAGGAATCCAAGAGTTCTCAGTAATTTATTTTGCTAAGAAAATGAAACTTTATATAATAGTTTAGGGTCATCTTGGGAAGCTAGCTCTGATATCTCTCTCCTTCTAATATAAAAAAATCACCAGATTTGGTCTGATAATTTGTCCTAGCAAGAATTATTCATCACTGCTCATGGATTATTCAATATCATTTATTCATTTTAATTTAATTTTTATTTTTTTGACACGGGGTCTTGCTCTGTTGCCTAGGCTGGAGTGCAGTGGTGGAATCATAGCTCACTGTAACCTCGAACTTCTTGGCTTCAAGCAGTCTTCTTGCCTCAGGCTCCCAAGTAGCTCAGACTACAGAGACATGCCACCACCCCTGGCTATTTTTTTTTTTTTATTATTCACTTTTTGTGGACATAGGTCTTGTATGTTGCCTAGGCTGGTTTGGAAATTCTGGCTTCAAGTGATTGTCCTGCCTCAGCCTCCCAAAGTGCTGGCATTATAGGCATAAGCCAGGGCATCCAGCTCCTCAGTATCTTTTATCTAGGAACTTCAAAGGGGTAGGTTTTATCATAGTAGGAGTGCATTTAAGAAGCTAGGTCAAAGAGAAGCTAAATACGTTTTCTGGGGACTAAATGGTAGGAAGGTGGTAGAAATTAAATAGTATTGGATGGCCAAATTATCCCAACTGTATTCCCCTATTTCATGTGGCTGTACTCCAAAATCCCTAGTAAATTATATTCTGCTCTGAGAAATCTGTGGTTTCCTTATGCATTTGGAGAACTGTTGGTGTAGGGACATACACTTGAATTATTTTCTGTAGGTTCCTATATATATATATATTTAATATCTTACATGTATACATTTATACAATAACAAGACATAATTATAATTTCTACTGTCACAATTACAATTTTCTCTTCCTCATATTTTTATTCTCTTGTTCTCTTTAGTGGGATTTTCTCTCTTTTCTTTCCCTTTCTTCACCCTTAACCCAGCCCCCATTCGAGTATTTTTTTTTCTGATTTTATTTTTCCTCCACTCTCAGAAACTAACAAAGTCCCTAATCACAAATATCTCTAAACATTTGCTCGATCCTTTACTCAGTGTTTGTTTTTGATAATATTCATATATACTAGTGTATGTGCGTCCATATGCATAGACATGGAAATAATTAGTTTTAAAAAATCAGTCTATTATAGTCACTGTCACTTAAAACATTCCCACAAGCGTGTAAACTGCGCCCCACACTGGTTCCCTGCTTTGGTGGAACTCTATGAATAAATTACATTTCTAGAGTCTGCCAGCTTTCTAATTCAGTTTACTGCACTTTGGAACATCTTTCCTTTATGTGTTGTATAATTTTTGTCTTTCCAGGTTTATATTTATCTTTCTGTTTCTCTAGCTCACCAATAACTCTTCAGTAAGAAATGGCCTCTCTCATGGCCGGAGAGCTTGTTCGGGCTTATGTCTGTAATTAGGTCAAATTATTTGAGTGACAATTAAAACAGCAAAACCAACTTCCATGGCATCCAGTCAGGAGTATCATTATTTAACATATGTGTTTACATTTTAATTTTCAGAATTAGAAATCACATGGATACAAATGTAAGATTGAATTCGATTTTCTTTAAAGCAATAAACTAGGTTTATTGTAGTCTTTTGGCATTTAGAGAAATACAAGGCATTGAGCTGTCAGATTTTACAATGACAATACAGAATTGCGAATTCTGATTTTGAGGTGCAGACATTGCAATCATTAACTTAACATTTATAAAATGAGTTGGCAAAGGGAATAGAAACAAAAACTTGTAGGTAAGTTAAATGATTTGAGAAGATAGCACAGCCGTTGCACAGCCACCATTTTAATCCAGCCACTTTGCAAAATGAAGGCTATTTGGACATGTTTCATAAAAAATGAAACTGACCAGATAGTCCACAGGTGATCAGTTCCAAAGCCTCCTCTAGAGTCAGCCCTCCAAATATTTATCATATATGTATGTATGTTTGCTTGGATCATGATAAGGTACCAATTTGGGATTTTTGGAAACCGAGCTTGAATGTCACCTGAGACGTCTCTCTGATTTGGACTGGGTTCAGAAGCAAAGTGCCTGAGAGGCCAAAAGAGAAAGAGAGGGTGAGCAGGAGAGCAAGCCGGAATGGACAGCCCGTGTCGCCAGCTCTAATATCCCAGTGCAATTATTTTGTGGACATCCACTCCTTGCCTGCACAGGAGATAGGGCTATAAGTGTATGTTATTTTTTAATTACAAGGGGGTAGAAAAAATCCTGATGATGGGCTGGAAGGTGCCATTGCATTGTTATTTTTTCCTCTCCCTTCGTTTGCTGATTATGTGAGCCGGGCTCCTTTGCTAGCCGATGATAAGCAGAATTTCCATGTTCTCTGCATAATTAATCCATCTCTGCCTCTCTTCATGCCAACTCGCCCGTTATCGCCGGCACATGCCTGAATTGCAAAAGAATCCGCTCTTCAATTGGAACTTATTGATATTCTAAGAAAAAAAAAAAGAGAGAAGGGGGAAAAAACTGAAAATCCTTAAGTTTAAGCCGCAGATTTTTAAATGGATTAATTTCGCTGCAATCGCAGCCATCTAAGGCGGGAAGGCAGGCAGAGCAAATTGAAAGCGTCTCCATGTTTGCAGAATTGGGTCCAGAACGCTGAAATGTACTGGCACAGCTCTCTTTTAAAGTCAGAAAATTACCATTCATTTACATCACATGAAATACTTTTTTATGCTAGAAATATTCAAGAGACGTTCTTTAAATGCCTGCTAATGCTTGATAACATTTCTAACTTTCAACGTTTTGCTAGACTTTGATATGACATGATAGGAATGCCTTCCAGTAGAGAATATTATATCTCTCTTTATCACATATTAGATTACATCATCTTTTTCTTAATCATTCCCAAGTAGTCTTTAAACAATGAAGTCTGTCATTGGCTATGTAGGATTTTGTGTGCTGATGGAGGTCAAGGTTACTCAGTTATTTTTTTGAGTCTACCTACAAATGAAATGTTTGTTTTTGTTTAATCTTTCTTCTTCAAATGCCTAGAGACCTTGGGCAAAAATAATAACAATATAATAATCATAATATTTTCTCAGTAGTCATTGTTTTGACTATTTTCCTCAGTCTTACGATAAACTTTTATTTTTTAGAGACTTGCTTCCTTCTCATTTTAACTTGTAAATAGTTACACTTTGAAATCCCCTTTGACTTAGAAAAGGGTCAGTAGTGGGAGTCATTCCACCAAGTGTGCAGTTCAAAAAATCACAAATATAGGAACTTTCACTTCCAGGATTCTTGCAATTTCCAGATAGAATTAAATCTTGCTTAGTTGTTAATGCCTTCTTTTAAAATTTTGAAATAAATATATTGTATGTTAATTCTCTAACTCCTGGACTAGAACACTGGCCAGCACTGAAAGTGTTCTTAATAGTCTAGTTTAGCTTCAGCAATGCATTCTTCCTGCGGTTAGATGCTCACAAATCTGCAGTTTATGCTGGTCTGCATGACAAGGCTGACGTGCTTTCTTAGCTTAGAGAAGAGTTGCTAATATTGACCAGGATAGAAAATGTGCATTTGAATATCTAAAAATATTCACCATTAAGTAGTTTTTATTCATTTTGAATTCAGTAGAACTTCAAAAGAGAAAATAATACTAATTTTTTAAATACCAACTAAGTTGGGTGATGCATTTCCTAGGGAAAATGAAGCAGTAAGCAGTGATATTCTTTGAAGATATTTGTTTCGGTTACAAAACAAGGATCTCCATAACTACAGGTCATCTTAACATAAAATATTGGCATTGATGTGCAAAGGTCTGTCTATTAGTGAGCAATTTAAATATTGACATTGTAGTTTTTCCTCAGAAACAAACCAAAACAAAGAGGTAAGAAACACATTTAAGAGGAAAATATTTTATAGTAATAGTAAAATAATTTAAAAAATGACGATTACTATAAACATAAGAACAATCAAATTATATAATTTTAACTTAATCATCTTAACTGTAAAATCTTAAATAATTCCTATGCTACCTAGGCTTGTAAATGGAGTAAACTGCTAGTTTCACATTGAGTAATTTTGTATAGTCAGCTAAACAGTTTAAACCAATTTTAAAAATGAGATGAAAAATATGACCCTTCTTAAAATAGATGTAGCAAAAACATTTCAACCATAAATAACAATTTCACTGACCTTGTATACTCAACCCTTTCATTTAAAGGCGTGAATTAAAAGGACTTGAAAATTGCAGGTATATTTAGGGAAAGGAAACTTCTCCCGGGTATTCTGTCTTGAAAAGGAAAATTTTGATATAAAACTCAAATATGCTACAGTATGCATTTAGTTCATATTTTGAACTTTCTATATAAGGTAGTTATAAATATATCAATTGTAAATTTGTTCTCATACAAAGTATATTTTATACTTATGCTCTGATCCACAATCATTGGTGTTTTATCTATACATAATTAATAGTTGTAACTTAGTTCATGTAGTTTAACACAAATTTTTTCTTATGACATATGAGTTATGCTGTTTTCACTATTATATTCTAAATTCACTGAGTATTTGAAATAAATATAAGGTATCACATTCCTAATTATGACCATATGTGCAGATCATAGCAAGAAGAGTGATGCAAATGGTTTTGAGATGTTCTGTGTTGGATGACAGGCTAAATCAACAGCAGTGATTCACTATGAAGTGGTGACTACAAATACGATATGAATTAGCTATTTCACTGAAAAAACTAAGACACTGACACGGATTCATAAATGATGAACTGACATGATAGAAACAATTAAATGGGGTTTTCTCTTTCTTTTAAATTTAAGGATGAATTGAAAAGTGAAGAAGGCTATTACAAATGGTTTCCTTGGTGTCAAAAATTACTAAATAGTTCTTTTTTCGACATTAGGAAAATGAGTGACAGGCCTTTATTTGTATTGTGCATGATGGATGGATTCCTTCATCACTCCCATTCTCCTTCCTCTTTTCTTTGTAATTGGATGGAATTAAACTATTTACCACCTCTAAATTGGCTTTTTTCTCATCAGATGCCACCTATTCTAAAACTTAAACCTCTCCTACACTTGCAATCAAAGAGCCAGATGTGTCAATTACATGTTTCTCACAGATGTAGAGTTATCATGTACATCTTCAAAAATGAAATATTTAATGATTCTTTCTTTATCCATTGCCTTTTCTTGCTCTAACTCCAAGAGGTTTAAACTTACTCAGTCCTGGAGAAAACATACTTGAACACTTTTCCCCTTTCTGTTAATTCCTCTCAGATCAGGTAGTTCTTTTGATAAGGAAAAAAGGTTCAAAGTGCTTTTAATTGTTCATATTTTGTGCCAAACTCTCTAATATATTGTTCCTCACACCAGCTTCTCAAAAGCTATCACCATGGGTCACTGAATATTGGCATTCATCAATCTAAAGTAGCCATTGAGAATCTTCTATTTATCCTTACACTGCTCTGGGCACCAAAGAGGGATCATAATTTTGTTACTTGCCTAAATGCATTAAGTGGTCTTTCCTGGGCAACAGTTTGCTGTAAAATGTCCACATTTTGGTTAACTCTAACAAGATACATTCTATTCGTATCCAATTATTCTTTCATATGAATCTAGAGTTCACTTCTTTGAAGATACTTGAAGACATTTTCCAAATTGGTAATTCTCAAGTATAAACAGCTTAACCATATCTTTGATTGATATCACGTACCCAAAATTTTACACGTATAGTATAGACATCTATATTTAAAAATAGTCGAATTAGAGTCACTCAGGGAACATCAAGTTGTGCTTGAAAAAAAAGGGCAACTGGAACAGAAAGGCCTTCCCAGATACCTGGGCTGGAGAATGATACTTAAACCAAATAACATTCCCCTATCTTCAAAATCTCCCTGGAAAATCTTCCACAGCCTTTTATGTAATAACTGCAGTCTTTATTAATCAAAAGAAGTTTAGGTGTTTTCTTTTCTCTACTAAGGAAATAACTAAAGAAAAACAGCTGTTGTTTCTAATTGTGACTGATCATATATCATCTTTAAGATGTTAATAATAGGGCTTGATTTCCTCACTTTTATAATTACAAAAATAATACCAACATCCAGGAGTGACAATAATAGTATATTTCCTGAAGCATTGTCATGAAGTTAGTATCCTTATGTGTTGACATTTGGTCATTATTTTATAAGAGACCTACTACTGGAAGAAAAGAAGGGGCTGAAAAAAATATGTGTGTGTGTGTGTGTGTGTGTGTGTGTGTTTGTATTCTGTCTTACATATATTAGGTATTTCTATTCAAACACTTGGTAGAAATAAAATTTAATTTTTTTTTGTTTTTTTCAGGTACTTAAATAACCAGTGTAATCTTCTAAAATAGTCTCTCTATATTTAATGCAAATCTCATAAAATATTTAAAAATTAGAGAAGAAATAATAATTTGTTGACACTACTGCTTTCATATAAAACGACTTATTGTCATCAGAACTTCTGGTTCTTAATTTGTAACCTCTATAGCAGTAGGCTGGAATTCGGGATCAAAACTGTGATTTTGGAGTACAGGTAAATAGTTAATTTGAATCATATATATTTTACGAATATAATTTTGAAAGATACGAGAAGGAATTATTAAGGAAAAACTAGTGTTTAAAAAGATGTGTCATTGTAAGAAGTCCAGAATTAAAATATAAGCTAAATCATTTTTATTTTCTAAAATGTTCATTTATATTTTAGAAAAGTACACATTTAAATAAATACTTATCTTGTGTAAAAATAAAAGCAAAACTAATGCATGGTTTTTGTTTTTAAAAATACTTCAGTTGAAAAATTAAAATTGTATATATTTATGGTGTACAACATGATGTTATGAAATATGCATACACTGTGGAATGGCTACATCAAGCTAATTAACATATACATCACTTCATATGTTTATTTTTTGTGGTGAGAACACTTAAAATCTACTCTTTTAGCAATTTTCAAATACATAGTATGTTGTTGTTAACTATAGTCACCAGGATATAAAGTAGATCTCTTGAACTTATCCCTCCTGTTTAACTGAAATTTTGTACCCTTTGCCCAGTCTCTCCCAATCCCAAGGTTCCTAACCCTAGCCCCAGGTAGCCACCATTCTATTCTCTGCTTCTATGAGTTAAAATTTTTTTAGATTCTGCATGTAAGTGAGATCATGTGATATTTACCTTTCAATGCCTGGGTTATATCACTTAACATAACGTCCTCCAGGTGTATCCATGTTGTCACAAATGACAGGATCTCCTTTGTTTTTTAGGTCTGAATAGTATTTCATTGTATATATATACATACCACATTTTCTTGATCTAATTTCAGATGCATCTTTTTGTTGTTGTTTTAACTTTTATTTTTATTTTAGGTTCAGGGGTATACATGCAGGTTTGTTATATGGGTAAACTGCATGTCACAGGGGTTTGGTGTACAGATTATTTCATTACCCACATAATAAGCATAGTACCTGACAGGTAGTTTTTCAGTCCTTACCCTCCTTCCCACTGTCCACTATCAAGTAGGCCTCAGTGTCTGTCATTTTCTTCTTTGTGTCCCTGTGTACTCAATGTTTAGCTCCCACTTATAAGCTAGAACATGCGGCATTTGGTTTTCTGTTCCTGTCAGTTCCGCTATCTATCTCTGTCCATGTTGCTGCAAAAGACAACAAATGCATGCTTTTATTTGTAAATACTTGATTCACATGCAACGAAGGGCTTATTAAGGAAATGATCAATTAAGATTCCTCTAGTTCTTGGTTTGTATTATTATTTTTATAACTGATTATATCATATATTATTATTACATACTTATTGGCCCAGATTATTATAAAGATTGGTTACATTCATAGAAACCTCTTGTTATTAGGACCCACATCAGAAACCACTATTTTCTTAAAAATATGTAACTACAACATAATAGATTTTTTATTTTAAATGTTTATGATAAAACAATTAAAATATTAATTAATAACTTATTTAATGAGCAACTACCATGTGGAAATCTCTGAAGATAAATAATTATAATCTAATTATACCATAGGGAGAATATGATGATTTCCAAGTTCCATGACAACACAAATTAATTCCAACTTTAATGACATGTGTTGCTCTGAAATATTGTGGAATTTGCATCCCATTTCCACCTCACTCTATATTTGTCTCTGGGTTTTATTGAGTCTTACTTGAAAGAGGTGGACCACTCACCAACATTTGAGTCTCTTTGGTCCATCCACAATCATCATCACAATGACATTGTGACAATAAAACTTGATCAATATAAACAAAAATACCTAGTCCATGTTGAGGTAATACAAAGTAAAGACAGGGTCATGGCTGACAGGGTATGGCTGTGTCCACACCCAAATCTCACCTTGAATTGTAATATTCCCCATGTGTCAAGGAGCGGGGCCAGGTGGAGAAAATTAAATCATGGGGGCAGTTTCCTGCATACTGTCCTCCTGATAATGAACAAGTCTCACGAGATCTGATGGTTTTAGAAATGCGAGTCCCCCTGCAAAAGCCCTCTAGCCTGCCGCCATATAAGACGCGTCTTTGCTTCTCCTTTGCCTTCCACTGTCATTGTGAAGCCTTCCCAGCCATGCTGAGCTGTGAGTTCATTAAACCTTTTTCCTTTATAAATTACCCAGTCTTGGATATGTCTTTATTAGCAGCGTGAGAACAGACTAATACAATGGCTAACAGGAATTATAAAAGTAAGTCTTTCCAGAAAGGTACATTTTGATTTGAATTTTTGTAAAGAAGAAAGAGCCATGGCATGGATACACAGGAGCATAAGTAAGAATGCATAGAGGGAGAAAGACTGGGGGAATGTGGTTCTTAGCTAGAACCTTAAACCAATATTAGACATTTGGGTAAAGGAAACAATAGAATATATGTAAGTTGATGCCTGGGAAAAATTGAAAGGGAGCGAGAGATTTGAAGAAATTATTTTCACTTTGGATATAGGAAGGAGTAGAGATTGGAGGCCGGCAGCAGGGGCACTGTCAGACTGTCAGTACCAATATCGGGATTCGAAGGTCGTTCCGCACTGCAACCACAAGGTAATGCTTCTGAGATAGATAATTGAATGAAAGATTCCACAGCAGACAAAGAATATATGGGCATAGACTTTTATTTTACTTAAGTGACAGGCTAATTTAACAGATTTAATTTGAAGACTGAAAATAAAACCACATAATTTTCTAACATTAAATGAGGAAAGTAAACACACATAACCCCATTTTACAGATGAAAAAGTATTCTTGTCATTACAATGTATTTATTTGTTGCATAGTTGAAAAAAAAGTCCAAGTATTAGGAAAATATTCCTAGCTTCTAGACTTACAGTATGTTGCTTTAACTAAAGATAAATAAATGTGCATGTTTTATTTTAAAAAATTCATTCCTACAAGTAATTCAATATACCTATTGAAATACTTAATATGAAAATTCACTTTGCAAAATTTGAGATCTCATTAGCAATTTTCCCCCAATTTTTTTCCCTGAAAATGTGTTATTTCTTTTGTTAGTTTACTTCTATGCTTTCAATTCTCAGTCTTAAAGTTGTGATTTAACTATATGGTCTCTGGTGCCAGACTGCTTGGTTTAAATCCCAGCTGTACCACGCACTAGCTGTGTGATGCCAGGCAGATTACTTACCTCTCTTTGGGCTTGTTTTCTCATCTATGCAATAGAGATAATAATGGAATGCACCTTAAAGAATTGTGAGGAATTGCTGTGAATCATTTCATACATATGAAGCAATTAGAATGGGGCCTGACATACACTATGCACTTAATAAAATTAGCTTTTATTATTAGCCTTTGCCCTTAAAATGTCAACTTCTTCCAATAAATGCTAATAGGTGTGATTGTGTGTGTGTTTGCACGTGTGTGTACATGCATTTTTTGGTGTGTGTTGTGATATATTGGATAGGGGGACCCATGCAAACTGCAAACATTTAGAGAGTGATAAGATCTATTCAATAAGCTGTGCTTTCTGTGTTTCTTCAGTTTTAAATAATAATGTCCCAAATAAAAGTAACTTGGCTGGTTTTCGTGATGGGGTAATTATTAGTATACCCACCCCAAAAGAAGTGCCTATTTGTGTTATCCTCATTAATGTTATTGTCATGCCAGCCCCACCTCTTTTTGGTATCTATATTCCAGGAAAAATATCCCAGTCCTTTTCACTGAGAACTGTAGTTCATTCATCTCACTTCTGAGGGATGCTGTCCAGAACTGAAGTTCAGGTCTGGTCTGACCACTGGACAACTTCATGAGGCTATTTTGTCCCCTGTTCTAAGCACCAGTATCCCATGCCACTTGCATGTTGATTATGTTTTTGGTTTATGTTTCACTATTAATTAACTAAATCCCTTGGGTCTTTCGTCACATTGAAACTGTTGGCCAATTATGACATGCCACCCATCCCTAGTTCATCTTTTCTAATGTAAAGAATTCAAATGGAAGAAACAATTTAACAGCTGTTATAAGTTGGTAACATTTTAAAAGGCATAATGTCTAATTTTTGAATATGAAAAGTGAAATGGTGGTACACTAATTCTGTATTACTTAAAGTAACACCAGTTGCTGTAATAAACAACCAAAAAAACATGCAATGATGAGAAGATGAAAAAAATTTATTTCTTATTCATGTAAGGTCCCTTCTCTAACTGATGATTCAGGTCTCAGGATCTTTCAGTCTTGTAGCTTTATCATTTTTAACTTGAGATTTTCAAAATTACTCCAAGGTGAGAGAGGAAAGTGCATGGAAAATCACACATGGGACACTCTCATCTCTTTCATTCATTTTCCAATGGCTATAACTTAGTCACAGAGCTGCCTTTAGCTGCAAAGAAATGTAGCTAGCTGTGTGCCCAGGAAGAAAAGGAAATGGAGGTATTATGCAGCAGTCAGTCTCAGTCAGTCTCTGTCATACATAAGCTGTTTGTGAGAGTATAACTGAATTTATGCTAGGTAGTACTAAATGCTATGTTGATGGAAATTTAATGACATGAAACTATATTCATTTTTAGATTAAATAAGCATGTTACAAAACAGATTAACATCATAATTCAATTTCATTTAAAAATATGTTCACATGTATATGTACTAATTGTACATGAAGCATGTATACATATGTGTATGTATTATGAAGATATTCAGACCTATACATATGATACAAAGACTATATTGTTATAGTAGAATTAAAGATGATATTTCATTTTTTATTTTTGCTTTTCCAATTTCTGATCTGTCAACATAAGTATATATTATTCTAAAATAAAATTATACTTGTAAATATAAATAGTATTTAGCTTGAGCTCTCAAATTGTATCATTTTAATTTAGGTCATTTGTTCCATTTGTCAAAATATTTTTCTCTTTCGACTTACCATCCCACATATTTGTATTTCCTTCTAGCTTTGTTCTATCTGGAGTACTCAAAGTGTGCCATATATTGCATGTAAGTCAGTGATAAAAACATTGAAAGGAGCAGGGCCTCTGTCATTATACTGAGACCTTTTATCTTTCCATCTCTGTGCCCCACTTCAGGGCTTGGTACATGCTATGTACTCAGTTAACATTTATTTAAATAAATGAATGGATATTGCTGATAGTAATTCATTAATCAGTACTACTTATTTATTTGTGTTCATTCAATCCACACAAATACAGATGGTTTAACTTACGATTTTTCAACGTTAAGATGGTGTAAAAGCAATATGCATTCAGTATGCACCTAATCCTATGATGGTTCAGATAAGCCCATTGTAAGTTGATTTAGGATATCTTAAATTAATGATGAGTTTATTGGGACTGCATAATAAATCGGGGAACATCTGTATACATATTTGTAGTTTCCTAAAATTTGTTTCTCCACTTTGTCCTAATTTGAGACATGTTAACGGCGATAATAAAAGTTAACATTTATTCTCCTAACTTTGCTCCGGACACTATTCTAAGTTCTTTATAGGAAGATTCATCTAATCTTCCCAGCAAACCCATGATATAGGTTCTATTATTTTTTCATTTTTATATTAAAAGGTACAGAGAAATTAGGTGATTTGCCCAAAGTCACGCAGTAAATGGCAAAACCAGACAGTCTAGCTCCAGAATCTATTCTTTGAATTCATCATCTTCTATTCCCTTAATCCTCCATGAGGCTTTTAATTGTTTTATACAAGTTTTTTCAAAGTTTTCACATTATGTGGCCATCTACTACAAGTTGGTCTGTTGGATTTGTGCACACAGTCACACAATTAGGAATTGAAAGAACTGAAATATACTGTTGTCCTTTTTCTACAGTATTTACGTGCTAACAGAAATTCCATTAGTGGTGCACAGCTTATTCATGATGAACCTCTGCTGACTCCTAATGATCATTGCTTTCTTTTCTAAATGTTTTATTTTATTTTATTTTATCTATTTGTTTTGAGACAGGGTCTCACTCTGTCATGCAGGCTGAAGTGCAGTGGCGCAATCACAGCTCACTGTAACCTCAAGCTCTTGGGCTCCAGCAATCCTCCTACCTCAACCTCCCGAGTAGCTAAGAGTGTAGGCGTGTGCCACCACATCCAGCTAATTTTGTTTTGTTTTTGTTTTTTGTAGAGATAGGGTCTCACTCTGTTGCCCAGGCTGATCTGTAGCTCCTCCACTTAAGCAATCCTCTGCTCAAAGTGCCTCAGCCTCCTAATTGTGTCTTTCTAGGCTGAGAGACTGGAACTCCTTTTTACAGCATTTTGGCACTTGGCTATCTAGTCACCTATCTTAGGTTTCAGTTCCTTCAACCGTGTTTGTTATACCTTTCTCAGTTTAAAAGTCATTCTCTTTGATGGAAAATAGGAGTAAAATAGAAGTGCATTCATTTTCTTTCATTCATTAACTTTACATTGTCTATTGCATGAGACAGACCGATTCCTTCTTGTTCTTGCCCCAGATGTATGTAAAAAGGACGTCTCTATTATTGTTAGCATTGCACTATTATTATTAGAATGGGCATTTTTGAAAGTCTCTCTACTTCTGGTTTTATATTTTCTTGAGGCAATCCTTAGTTGTTCATACAACGTTTTTGGAATGCATTTTTTGTGTGTGTGTACATGCCTCTTATTCCATCTTTTATTGCTATCATTTGAAGTCCCAGTGTGTCAGAGATAGCCATAATGAATCAGGCAAACAAATGTCCATTTTTAAGAGCTTTCCTCTATTTTAAAACTCAATGAACATATCTAATTGTTTAGGAAAGATGGTTTGCATTATCCTTTGCAGATGTTACAGTATTCACACAGGAAAGAAACTATTGCTTTGCTCAATCAAAAATCTAGCTACTTTGGCCACTTCTCAGTTAATACTTCATTATATTATTTACAGTTGAGACCTATGTTGAAATGTATTTTAGTGATCTAGAAATACTTTCATATTGGTCAATGCGCTTTTGGATTTTCTCAGTGTTTGGGTTTGTTTTGTCATTTTTGATCAACCAATTTATTATTTTAGCTTTTAGTACAAAATATACTTCTAGCTAGATAATCCATTTATCATTGAAATATCTGCAAGGAAAAAAGTTTGTTATGATGAATCTGTCACTGTCTAGGGCCTAACCTCTTCTATTGTCTCTAAAACAATTATTTTTGCAATACAATTTTTGATAGCTAAGAGTTTAGGGGAAATGAAACCATTGTGTTGTAGCAAAACAGATGGTAACTAATGTATTATCAGGGAACAGAATCAGATTTTGGGGGGATACTTCTCCATTTCTCTAATACTGAGATTATTTGTATTTGTGATTTTATAGTTAGAATTTATTTGATTTAGAATTTTCTAGCATTATTGAATTATGTTTCTCTAAATAAATGCTGGCTATGAAACTATTGCTATAGTTTGATCCGAACAATGTAACTTTACCCAGTATTTTTCTCAGTATTTTGACCTTTAAGAAAACATCATGGTAAAGTCTCTTCATGTTTCTATCATGAGTACTTCTCAAAGTGATTCATGTTGGTTGAACAGTCTCCATCAATATGAATTAGGACTTGTTCATGACAAGTAACCAAAATCTTAGCAAACAAAGGAAATATTTGGCTCCCTAACTGGAAAGAGGAGGGGTGAGGTTAGTATCAGGCATGCTTGGCTCTGATGTCAGCATCAAGGGCTCATTCTCTCTTTTCATGACCTGGCTCCACTCCCCTACCCAGGCTCCATTTTCAGTCAGGCTTTCTCAGGTGGCATGGAAGATGGCTCCTGGTACTCTTACAGCTTAAGATGAGAGAGAGAGAGAGAGAGAGAGAGAGAGAGAGAGACCGACCGACCCACCCTCTTTTTCCAAGTCAGAGAAGATATTGGTTAGTTCTGCCTAGGTGACTTGCCCGTCCTTGAGCCAGTTTTTGTACTATGGGGGGATGCAGCACTCTTCTTTGCTAGACTGAATCATCACCTTACCCATGTAGCCAGGGATTAAAGCACCATTAGTGACAGCCCAACTCAAAGAACATGATATAGAAATTCATTAATTGCATATAAAGAACAATAGGGTGCTACCACCAAAAGAAAGGAGAAACAATGCCGTCGCATGCTAAGATAAGAGATATCTCCTTTACTCACGCTGACTCTTTAATCTTCTGGTTGAGAGTATAGCACAGCAAGTTCAGGTGCCTTGCTTTATCAGAATGTGGTTTCCAAGTAAATTAAGTTGTTTCCAATTCCTACTGTGAGGTAAGCATTGTGCTAAAACAATGGTTTATCCAAAATACAAGTTTCCTGTATCCTACACACTGTTTTTAAACAGTTCGAGTATTATAATCTATATTAGAAAGTATCATTACTCTCCTGCTTAGCCAAATACTTCTTATGAGTGTCTTATTTATTGCTGTGTAACAAACTCTCTTAAAACATAATGGGTTATTTAGCTCACAAATCTGCAAATTGTGTAGGAGTCTGTGACAGTACCTTACCTCTGCTCCATTTGTCAACATCTTGGGCAGTTTGAAGGATGGGTAATATAATCATCCTAAGGCTTATTTCTCACTCACATGTCTAGTGGTTGATACTAGTCATTGTATAAGACTTTAGTTGTGGCTGTTGCCTGGAATATTTGCATGTGACCTCTCCATGTGGTCTGGGCTTCCTCACACTATGGTGGCTGGGCTCCAATGGTGAGCATCCAAGAGAAAGAGCCAGGTGAAAGCTATGTTAATTTTCATAACTTAGCCTTGGAAGTCACTCAGGATCACTTCTGCTACATTTTATAATTAAAACACCTACAAAGAGTCATTCAATTAGAAGGGGAAGAGAGATAGAATCCAATTCTTTGCTGAGAGGATTATAAGGTTCTGGAAGAGCATTTGAGAAAGATCATGTGAAACTGGACATATTTCTGTGGCCATTTTCAGAAAATGCAATCTGCTGCACTGATACCCCTAAGAATGATAATGTAACTTGCTTGTGCTTCTTTGTCCTTTATCTTCTTCCAAGGACTATTTATCACTCTCTGTGCGACCTTCTGCATCATGATCTAATTTTTCTCCAATAAATATGAAACATGTATTTACTGTTGTAAAACACAAGGAAAATACAAATATGAGAAAGACTGAATAGCTAACTTCAGAGAGTTTACCTATGCCGGACCTCCTATATCAGAGGAAGAGGTATTCAATGAGAAATTTCTTCTAATTATAATATCATCATTAGAATGAAGACCATATTTTTGCCTTCTTAAAGATAGCATTTTATATTTCTTTATTTATTGTATCCTATGGATTGAAATTTAAGTGCATAAATACAAATGACTTGTTTCAAAATTCCTTTTCTACTTTTTTCCCTAAGGAAATACTTCTTTACTACATTTTTCTCTCTATCATATGTGTTGTCTATGGCATAGAAATTCATACTTTTATTCAAATCACTCTTCAAGTCGAAATTCTTCTAGATAAATAAGTCACTCAGTCTTCCTTATTTTCTCATCTGTAAACATTGCCATTTTTGCTCTACAAATTCATCTCTTCTGTAAATATGTCTTTCTTAAGAAACAACATTTATCTACATTTGTCAACATCATCCTGTTCCTATGCTGGTTAAGCTAAAGTATTAATAATGAACAACTCTGCTTTCTCTGTTTTCTCCATATTGAGAACTTCAGAGGCCTGAGTGACCAATTATGTTGACTCAAAAATAAAGATTGTCACTGTGGCAGGTGCCATACTCTATCAAAAAGATATACAATATCCTGATGATACCAGAAACATTTTCATATATGTCAGATTTTTAATAGATATGGTGAAAAATTATTTTTTAAAGGCTTGGTTTATTTGATGGCACAGGGTGGGATGCTTCACAGAGCCATATGCAGCTCTTTCTTGGAAGCCTCTTTTCCAGATTTTTCTCCCACCTGTTATGCTGCATCTTCAAAATCCCACTTATCTCTATACTTCTACTTCTTCCTTCAAGGGTCACAGGAGGGTCACTGAACACATCTTCATACTCAGCAGTCTGTAATTTTATACATAATTTAGTACAATTATCAAGGTCACCCCCATTCAGCCCTTTAAAGCTACCCCCTCTGGTCAGACACAGCCTTGCAAAGGTAAAGGCATGGAGAGGTGCACACAGACTGAATTTCAGCCCTCACTACCCTTGTCAGACCAGCTAGAAGGGGCAGCCCTGCATCTCTGGTGACTCCTGCAGGGCTAGAACCCAGTGAGCATTTCAGAGCTATGAAGTATGCCAGATTCAGTCTGTAGGCAAGGACAGCTATAGTCTTTGTTCTAAAGAATGTGTTTTAGGAAATCATTTATGTCTTTCTCTCTAAACCCTGAGCCAGCACAATATGCAAAACAATCAGCTGAAGGGAAATCTTATTTTTGAAACTATGTTTATTAAGAAAACCAAACCAAACCAAACCAAACAAAAATCCCCTCACATCAATAGAGGACGGAGCCAGAGTGCAGCCTTTGGGTGCCAGATGTTGGTGAATTCTGATGGGTCAGCTTGTCTCTTTGGAACGGGGAACACATAAACCTGCTGTTTGGGTTAAAGGGATCCATTACTAAGCAGATAATGGGCCAGAAAGGAGAGAAGAAAAAGTACTGACAATTGGGCAAATCAAAAAGGGGGGTGCAATTCTCAGAAGCTTAAGGGAAAACTAATAAGCAGGTTGTTTATTGTATGTCACTGTAGACAAACAGGGACAAGTATGTCACTGTAGACAAACTCCTAATTTAATAAATAAATAAATATACAAGATGGTACAACTGAAGCCCCTCACCAAACTGCAGAATGTAATATTTGATGTATTTGGAAAGGGGGTGAGGGATGAGCTATTTTGCCAATAAAATTCAATTTGGGAAATTATCTCTTATTAATTTATAAAAGGTCGAATTCTCTACTAATGACCTCATTTCTGTCTTTTTATGGTGGCTTTTGTGCAATGCCAGCCACTGAAGAATTAAATGTTGCATAATGTAGTTTGAAAATAAAAAAGACCTATAACTTTATTTTAGATTTACAAATAATAGTAAATAAATCATAGTAGCTACTATTTCAATGTTTACCACGAGCTGCACATTACACATTACATTTGTTATTTCATTTAATTTTTACAACAAACTTATAGATAATTTCCAATTTCAGATCAGCAAACCACAGCTTAGTGAGTCTAAGAAACTTGCCCAGGGTCACTCAGCTGATAAGTGGAGAACTGGGATTACAACTCAGTTTGGTCTAACACCAAAACCCATGCTCTTAGCTTCTCAATGGACTCCCTTACTGCATTGAAATTCTTTAGTACCAACCCATGTGCTTTGGTTTTAATATTTTTGCAGTCTTACTCAGTTTGGATAATTTGCAGGTCAAATTACCTACTGATGTGTAGCTAGCTGATTGAGGAGTTTGAACTCAGTAGGGTATAAATGATTTGCTTCCTTTTCATCATTGCTTTCACTTGTACTCCGTGGAATTGCCCTGTCCTGTGTTTTTAATGAATTCTTGGGCAGATTTCCTAACTTTCTGGTCATTCTTGGTTATTAAAATTTAATCCAGTCTACTTTATACATTTCCTGTTCAATCCAGAGTTTTCCTCTCCCCCATGCTGATCAAGTTTGTCATTAGAGGATAGGATTCTGGAGGGGCAGTTCTGTTTTACTATTTCTCCGCCTCCTCCCCCAACCGGCCCACAAAGTCTTTTTTTGGGCCCAGCTCCTACACAGTTGGTAGCTGAAAGCTACATCATCAATATGGAGGTTTCCTCTGCCTGGCTCTGCCTCCCTCAGGTTCTGCTTAGGGCTAATGTGTTGTATAATTTCTTTAGATCATCCAGCACCTTTCATCACTGAAATCTCCCTCTAAAAGCCATTTTCTCCTTTTGGTCTCTGCCAGCAATTCCATGTGGTTTACTCCCGTAACGGTGAGAGGACAACTCCTGTTGCTCTCTGGGCCCCTCCACATGCATCAAGGGCCTTCTACCTTCCTATACTGCGTTGCAGTTCCCCCTCCTCCTATGGCAACACTATCAGCATCTCTCCTACTTTTAGGACTATCCAGACAGGGAACATATGTCACTTTCTCAGTTATCTCTCCCCATGCTCAGCTCCCTTCTAATGGAGTCAAGACCCAGAAAGACAAACATTCAGACAAGGACCAAGGCACAGTACCACCTTCTAGAATTTTCTACTTCACTTGCTCTTTGTGGGAGATAATGTACCATTAAAGAGGAGGAGAAGAGGGCAGGAAAAAGCTTCTCAGCTAAACTCTGCGCTCACTCCCCTGGCTCGTCACTCTGAGAACTCTCTCTGTGTCTGGAAGGTGGTAGGTGGGAGGGAATTATGATTGTGTTAGTGGGCTGGTTCTTTTGCATCTTCTGTGAGTTGTGAGGAAGGTTCTGGCTCCAGCTTTCAGTAGCTTAGTAATAGTTTTTAAAATATGTGTGACTTAAATTCTCCTGTATTCAACTTTGGGGCAATTCAGCTTTGGAGCAACCACAATTTCATCAGAGGAGAAAAAAAACAAGATTCAACAATATATTAAGACATAGAAAAAGTAATTGAGAGTGGGAGTGGGTGTAATTTTTTTTCATCAAGAAATATTTTATGTTTTAAAGAAAATAAAAAATTATTCCAGAAGTGCTAAGTAAAAGTGCTCACATGGGTAATAATACATCCCTCTTAAGTATCTTAATTTACATTTTTGAATCGCAACAATTATGCATTGGAGATGAAGTATCATTATCAACATTTTACAGATGAGACCACTGAGGCTTATACTGGTAAACAATTTTTCTAAAGTCTCACTCTTAAACTGGCAGTGCTGGATATTTGTGTGTGTGTGTGTATGTTTTATTATACTTTAAGTTCTGGGATACATGTGCAGAATGTACAGGTTACATAGGTATACATGTGCCATGGTGGTTTGCTGCACCCATCAACCCATCATCTAGGTTTTAAGCCCCACATGCATTAAGTATTTGTCCTAATGCTCTCCTTCCCCTTGCCCCCGCCACTGACAGGTCCCAATGTGTGATGTACCCCTCCATGTGTCCATGTGTTCTCATTGTTCAACTCCCACTTATGAGTGAGAACATGCAGTGTTTGGTTTTCTGTTCCTGTGTTAGTTTGCTGAGAATGATGGTTTCCAGCTTCATCCATGTCCCTGCAAAGGACATGAACTCATTCTTTTTTATGGCTGCATAGTATTCCATGGTGTATATGTGCCACATTTTCTTTATCCAGCACTGGATATTTGACTCAATGCATTGCTCAATCTTTATGTACTTAGCTTAGAAGGGTTTCCTAGAGCATGGGCCCCCAACCCCTAGGCCATGGACAGTGGCCTGTTAGGAACCGGGCCACACAGCAGGAGGAGAGCAGCCAGCAAAAGAGTGAAGTTTCATCTGTATTTACAGCTGCTTCCCATTGCTGGCATTACTGCCTGAGTCTGGCATTAGATTCTCATAGAAGGGTTAACCCCGTTGTGAACTGTGCATGCAAAGAAATCTAGGTTGCGCACTCCTTATGGGAATCTAAATGCCTGATGATCTGTCACTGTCTCCCATCACTCCCAGATAGGACTGTCTAGTTGCAGAAAAACAAGCTCAGGGCTCCCACTGATTCTACATTATGGTGAGTTCTATAATTATTTCATTATATATTACAATGTAATAATAAAAACAAAGTGCACAGTAAATATAGTGCACTTGAATCATCCTAAAACCATCCCGACACCCCCAGGTCCATAGAAAAATTGTCTTCTACAAAACCGGTCACTGATGCCAAAAAGGCTGGGGACCAGTGTCCTAGAGGAATAACCTGAGAATTGGACTCATGTGCTGGAGAATTAAGTTGTGCTCCTGGGAGAAATCTGTACTGGAATGAGGGAAGCAAAACAGAAAAGGGGAAGAAGTTCAACAAGGAGGTGGTGTCTGGAGAAACCTAGACTCAGCCTGAGCCCAAAGGGAGCACTACAGTGTAGGTTACACCATAGAGTTTGCTGGCCCTTTACACAAGGAGCTGAATCTTTGTGCCCCGTACCACTCAGTCACTGGCCATTGGTTGCCCTACAGAGAGTGGATTGGGGGATGCAGTAACTCACTGCCACCTCAGAGTGAATGGGGGCATCAACAGAGCTGACTACAATAATACTACTCTGCTTTTCACCATGTTAGTAGTTAATGGAGATGTATAAGACAACCAAAGAGAAGACAAAGGGAGATGTCCTAGAATAAAATTCAAAAGGTCAAGGAAAATGGCAGTATTGTTATATTGCCCTTTGTTTGAATAAATACATTTACTCTAGCTTTACCTGGTATTTTCAGTATAGATAAACTGATCATTAAAATTTGTTATTTCTTAGAAAGACTTTTTGAAACACAACTCAACTAGATTACAATGAATAAGTATTTGTTGAAGGAAAATACCCAATTTTATGACTTTCTCTTCTAACTTAGGCAAAGAAGAGTTCAAATGCAAAGCAAATTATGAGATTCAAGGCTATGTCTTTAATGAAAAGGCAATTTTGGCTCAATAGGGTGAAATTACATGGTAAGTTTGAATGAAAATGTATTATTCTTCACTTTAAATATATTCTGTGCATACACCTTAGCCATTATCGCTAGGTATTTTTAATAGACAAAAAATTAATATGACCAACCTTCTTTAAGACAATTATTCATATTTATTTAAGGCACCTAACCAAGTCCCATTACTTTAACTTGAATTCATGATAAATTAACGTTTTAAACTACTTCATTCAAACAACCATTGTAGTATAATTATATCACAACATCAATTTTTAACACATATTGATAGCAGGATGTGGCAGGTGATATTCGAAGTGCTGCATCTGTCATAATTTATTTGATCTTTATAACAATCATGGAGAATGGGTACTATTATCATTTGTCTTCTACAGATGAAGAAACTGAGGCAGATTCAATAACTTGCCCAGTGTCATATGGTTGGTGGGTGAAGGAGTCAATATTTGAACTCAGGCAGCATGGTTCTAGGGCCCTGCACTGAGTATTAAAAAATACTGAAATACAGGTTATTGATATTCATAAATTCTGGTGTTCATTTTTACCATGTGTTGTTTTGACTCCCTGTTTGTAGATTTTACAAATTAAATATTTAGAGAAAATCAATAATACAGTTGACAAAAACAAAACTTAGAGAATCAATAAGATAATAACTAGACAAGGACAAGATACATGGTGGTTATAAAAAAATGAATGATTTTATTATGTAAATATATTTAATCTTATATGTTTATAATTCAAATTCCATTGCTCTGTATTTTTGTTTTTATAATTTTCTATAGTTTATAAAAAGTTATCAGAGCATCAATTTTTAATAGTTTGATTATAAAATGTACCCTTATTCTTTCTTATGTTTCCCAAATAGTTCCTAGATCCTACATCTGCTCTTCCTTAAAAACAACACATGTGCACATACACACACATAATTATGTATGTATGTGTAGGCAATTACAAGTAAACAATGAAGGCTTAGTGGAATATCTGAGCTGGGATGAAGTGGGAAATGGTTCATTTACCCCATCCTGACCTCAGCTCAACAGTTTCCTTTAATGTATTAGATGTCTTTTGGTGTCATATTTTAAACTATATTGTAACAATCCATCCATCCCTTTTCTTTCCTTCTTTCCTTCCTTCTTCCTTTCCTCTCTTCCTTCCTTCCTCTCTCCCTCTCTTCTTTTTTCCTTCCTTCTTCGCCACTTAATGAGCTCATGCTCTACAAATACGTGTAAAACCAAGGCATGTGAATTATATTCCAGGCCCCTAAGGAATATACAGCCTAACACTTGGAGGGCCTTAGGTGTTTGGGCTTTGAATGGTTGCTGGTTGCAACTGATTTGTGTGAAACTGGGGCAAAGCACTTTTGTTTTCTCTTTTGGAAACTGAAGTGTTTGGATGGCTTCTAAAGTCCCCTGAAGTTTTGAAAACAAAAATTTTAAGAATAATTTATAGTTTCATAATCTAAGTAAGAATAAACAGAGAATGAGAAATGTCAGCAAAGTAAGTATGTAAGCAAAAGCCATGATTAATAAAATGGTTAATAAACTAGTTTTCCTATTAATGTAAGAGAATAAGCCAAATGCAATCAATAGGCACTATCAGGAAATTTGAAATGAAGACCCATAGTGAATATATAAAGGTGGATGTATTAAGAATGGACAATGGAGATTTGCCTGAAATATATTTCTTTGAGCTCTAATTCCTGGATTATTAGAAACTCTATCCTAATTTCCCACACGTCCAATTTCACATGTAAGTCAACCCTACTCTTAGCTTGTCCTTTTGCCATATTATTCTAACACAAAAAACGAAAGACATCCATAGATTATTTATAATATTATAGCTTGCAGAAACGTTTTCAAACATCTTTGAAGCACCTTACTCTATAACTATTATTGTAAATATTTTTCCATATGAAAGTTAATTTAGAAACATATATCTTATTATGTAATTATAACTGCTTTACTATCAGAACAAAGTTTACATTGATTGTAGAATGTATTGCTACGTTCTTCCCATAAAGCATATCAAGTGAAATATAGACTTTTTTGTATTACCAAATATCATTGACAAATACAAGATGTTTTATAAGTGGCACTCGCATTCTATATATTCATTTATAAGTGAGACTTGTATTCCACATATACATAATATAAAAAGTTAGGAATATGTTTTAATCATTTAATGATGAACTCTAAATGATAAACCTAAAACGTATTTTTACCAGTCAAGAAAACATTTATAATGCACAAGGTATTTTTATTAGTTTTGACATAGCTTATTTTTTCACAGTGTGTTTTAAGGTTTATATACAACTTGAATTTTAATGTCCTCACCTGAAATTTCATACATTGTTAGCCAACTCTCAAATCAGGGGATTTTTAAGGGATCAATCACGTTTGCTTTTTTGCCAAAGCAAACAATGCCAAGATCTCAGTTTATTAATAATGAAAGAGACCAGAAAGCCAGGACATGGATATTTGTAATTATGTTTCACAATATTGATTTTTGTTAAGTAGCATCATATGGTATAGCATGTATTTAGTTTGCAAATGAAAATGAATTGAGATTCTTTTCATGATGAGGATAGAAAAAAGATTTTAAAGAAAAAAAAAAGGAGATTCTTCAGGATTTCTGAGACCAGTAAGGATCTGGGTCCATCTATGAATGAGCATCACTTTTCTGCCAGGAGTAATGATTGAGCTGCATTTCTGCAAGGAGTTATAAAAATCAACATCAATGTTTAGAACTCAAAAGTGAGGTTACAGTTATTGGTGACTCCTTGATTTTTTTTTAACAGTGTTCCAGTTTTTTCAATTTATTTCCAACTCTGTGTCTTCCCGGCCACTGAGGCCTGTGCTGTAACTCTGCATCCAGACATATTCTAGGCTATAGTCATTTGCCAGGGTTGCCTCTCACGCAAGAAGAGAAACTCATGTGTTAAGTTCCCTCACATTAAACTATATGGGTCTGATTCCTCATAAAACAAAAATGATGAACTTGGAATGGTGACACCCGGTGACTAATATGAAATATTAGTATCTCTCAGGTTCCCTTCCAAAGAGATGATTTTGAGGATGTCATTGTATTCTAGTCTACTAAATGGACAAGCTTTTGTATTAAGAACCAGGACTGTTGGCAGAGAGGAACCAGGGATGTGTCATTAAAAGATTGGAAGGGTTTCATAGCGGATCTAACCCAATCCTAATTTTAGAGGGTCAAACATAGGAATAAATGATACCTTTTATTTACCTTAGTGTTTCCTTACTTTGAAAATCTTGTTTCCTAATAGATCATTCTTTGGTCAGTAAATTACTGTTTGAGAGTTGAATGTAATTTCAACAGCATTTTCATGGCACTTTAAAAATAAGGAATGATAATTTTAAATCCTTTAGAAATGAAACTAGCTTGTTATATTTTGATCCCTCTGAAAGAGGCATAAGGAGAGATTTATTAACATCAATTTTCCACTTTTGATGCCCTCTGTAGGAGGTGCTAGTAAAATTCAGATATGTTCCCAAGGCCTCAATTTGAGTGTCCTGCTGAATGACTTACTCAGATGGAAGTGATAGAACTGTCCTTCCTCATCATGTGACAAGTGAGCTTATTGAGGATTTATGCTAAATAGAGCCCTTGATTAGAAAGAGAGCATTTTAAACTCTTTTTAAACTTTCCTGCTTATATGCAACCATGCTGCTTAGGTTCCCTGACATTTCTGGTATGGCCAAGAATGTATCTATTGGCCACTCAGGAAAAATACTTCCCTTCAGAAGGCCCTTTTTAAAGTGGTAGGCTGTGTTGCTCCTGGCTACCTTTAATTATTCAAATAACTTCTATATCTTGAAATTGATGTTGTTCTCAGAATCCAGATGGCATGGAACATATTTTCTGTACATCTATGATCAAATATGCAGTTAAGAATTTTTTTTCAGAGTAGACCATATTGTCCAACTTATTAAATTTATTAATTTCAATAATACATTGGCCAGTAGGAGTATTACATATTTTGCATCTGAGAAAAATGTATTAGTATTAATAAGTTTATAAACAATTCATCACCTACTCAGATGGTATAATGTAGCAATTTATTGTATACTAGGTGAATTTTGTTAACAGGGAATCCCCTGATGAAAAAAATAGCTTAATATTAATTACTAGCTCCATCTGTGCAAAACCATAGATAAACCAATATTTTAATACAATGACTTCATGCATGTCAGTTATCTTCAACATTAAATGCTACAGTTTTGTTGATGCAGTTTACCTGTCTATTAATTTAAATAATGCGTGTCCTTACAGAGGTTAAAATTATGAATAAATGAATTAAAATTAAATATAATGAAACATTTAAATAGGTGTAACATGAATCTGATTCATTCTCCAGGAATATATCCTGTATGCATGTATGTATATACAAATTACTGTACCATCTGCTAGGTTTTTACAGGTTGCGTATGAATTTTCTTTCCACACCTGAAAGGCATATTGTGAATTCCTTGTAGTGAAAAGATTGTTGAAAAGGTTGAGACAATTGGTGTAACTAATGCCTGGCAGTGGTCAGACTCAAAGAGTACCTTCAAAAGATAGGGGCAGAGGTCATCATAAGAAAGATCATTTTCTATTTAAATTTTGAGCTCTCAAGCTAACATTTTGCTAATTATGACAACGGATGCTGCTCCAAGCACCAAGGGACCCCCTTTCATCCGTCCTTTTAAACTGCCGTAACCTGCCACCTGGTATGGTCTTTTTATATCCACTTTATGTTCTGGCTTCAATAAATATTTATTGAAAAAATTAATGAAATATTCTGGAGAAGGGAATGGTGAGCAAAGAGGCTTTTCTTAGCTGTCAGTACAAGTCATCCCCGTAGTTCACTTATTTAGACAGTTTAGTACCTCACGCTGCCAAAATTCTCATACTAACCAAGGCGTAGTCTTCAGAGCCTCAGAGGACTTAAGGTATGGCTGGTAATCATTATTGCTAGAAAACATATGGACAACCAGTAGACTTTTCATTTAGGGAGTCTCTTGGGAGATAGTAACCAATTAATCCAAACTTTTCATTAAATAACACTGAGCAATGCAAATCAAACTCCCTTAGTTTACCGTGTTCTGCTGCAGCTAGGAAGAAATCCTCAGGTCTTTAGGCTCCACCAGCTTCTCAGATAGTAAAATTCTCTGTGGAGAGGGGATGATATTGACATTCCACTATGAGTATTTAGCGCTGACTCAGAATTGTCGTTTATTGTTTAAAGCTGTATCTTATATGTATGTTTCTTTAGACATTATTTTGGGATGAGCTTTAAGGGTGGCTTCACTAAACAGTGTAGCGTTTTTAGAACACAGGTACCATACTCCTGGGTGATTTGATTCAAAAATTGATTTTTCAGTTTCATAATTGTGTGACCTTAGATATAATTTTCAAATTACTTAACTTCTATCTCTAACATATAGTAACATATAGTCATCCTTATACAATGGAAATGGGGCTGCTTACCTCTCACTAAGTATATGCTATAGAGTGAGATAGATATCGTGACATCATTAATTATTATTTATTGCTCATCCATTGAGGTACATAAATTAGAAGATTAAAAAGGATATTGGCCTTTTAAAAAGTGTGTGAATGGGCAATCACAGAATAAATATTAATGCAAATATAGATGCAGTTTCCCAAAGTCATTAGTAGTAAGCAAAAGTAAAATTAGAGAACACAGGATAATTTTTCTCCGCAGATTGTAGTATATGGTATAGCCAAAAGTATGAGGCAGTAGGCACCCTCAGACACCATGAGAAGGCAGGAGTAATGACTCATCTTTTGAGGGAGAGAAATTTAAAAGCACCTCAAAACTGTAAATTTAAAAGTGTAGGCTTTTTGACCTAGAAATTTTACTTTTAGAAATCTATTCTAAGGTGATTTTTAGCCCCATGTGGAACAAATGTGGATGTCCCCTTAACCTCTCAAACCCCTCAGAAAAACATGATAAAAAACCGTGCTAGTACAAAATAACAAATGCATAATAATCAAGTTCAAAAAGAAAGACATACACAAACGCACAGACATACGCATGCACGTAAGTGAAATAAGATAGCCTCAGTTTCCAAAATTAAAAAGAGAACTGAAAATCCAGCATGAAAAGTAGATAATAGCTCATATGAATTTTGATCTGGGAGCACTGAGGTTTTTATTCCCTCTAATGCACAGGAGACTTAACTTCTGGTTAAATGAGACAATGGGCTGGAACAAAGATTCTGATATAACACTTCCAACTGAAAAGGGGAGCCCTAGGAAAAGTGGATAAGAAAAACTCTATCCATTTTGTCCTTTCAAAGTATCCAAAGAACTCTGTCTTTTCAGTGTAGTCAGAAAAAGAAAGAAAGAAAGAAAAGAACAGAAAAAAACTCTAATGTAAGGGCTTGGAGGCAAAATCTACAGCATTAGCCATCTATATTTTAAGTGGTGGAGGCAGGATTTAAAAACCTAAAAGTGTTTTCAAGTTTCACTTATCCTTAATTCATAAATTTGCTTTTTTTCTTATAAAATTTATAGCCATATAACCAACTATATCTCTTATTTTGGGGGAGAAATAAAAATGAAGCCGAGAGATAACTTTTCCACTAAATTATAACAGTTGTATAGAATTTCATGACCAGGTTAAAAATCTAACAAGTCTGGCTCCAGAGACTTTTACCTAAATCATTTATGAAAACAACCCAGGCTGAAATGAGTTAGCAGATGCAACAAAAATTATAGTACTCTCAAAACCAGGAGAAAACTAAACAATTTAAAATAAATTATTATTTTAAATATTTTTAAATGATTGAAGATACATAAGAGGGAATAGAAATCTTAACGAAAGAATATGATACCGGCCGGGCGCGGTGGCTCACGCCTGTAATCCCAGCACTTTGGGAGGCCGAGGCGGGTGGATCATGAGGTCAGGAGATCGAGACCATCCTGGCTAACAAGGTGAAACCCCGTCTCTACTAAAAATACAAAAAATTAGCCGGGCGCGGTGGCGGGTGCCTGTAGTCCCAGCTACTCGGGAGGCTGAGGCAGGAGAATGGCGTGAACCCGGGAAGTGGAGCTTGCAAGTGAGCCGAGATTGCGCCACTGCAGTCCGCAGTCCGGCCTGGGTGACAGAGCGAGACTCCGTCTCAAAAAAAAAAAAAAAAAAAAAAAAAAAGAATATGATACCACAAAAAATACTAGACAGACTTCAAACAAATAAGGTAGAACATCTGAAAGTAAAATATATATATATATATATATATATATATATATATATATATATATATATATATATATATATAAAATTAAAATAGAAAATGCAATGGACTGCTTAAGTGATAGCCAGGCACAGCTAAACAGGGGGTGAGAAAATGGGGAGACAGATCTCAGAAAAAGTCCTAAAATGCAACCAAGAGCAATAAGAGGTTGGACACATGAAAAACAGTTAAGTGACGTGGACAATAAAATGAAAATATTAAGCATTCATCTAAGTTTGTGTGTGTGAGAATAGAGAGGGAAGAAATATCTTTGGGAAAAAATAGCAGCAAATATCCAGAACTGAAAAAGACATGGTTATTCAGATTGAGTTCTGAGTAAGAGAAATAGAGCAGAAATCTTCCTCACTGAGTGAGTTCTCTTGACTTACTCAGAGACTCAGCCAATCAGTGGGTTTTTTCCATTCTCTCTTGCCAGTTCTTATAGTGTACTTCACACTTAAAACTAGGAAGTCACTATATAGTACATCAGTGCACTCTTGCTCCTACCAGTTGAATTCTATTTTTATTTATTTATTTATTTATTTATTTATTTAGTTTTTTGAGACGGAGTCTCACTCTGTTGCCCAGGCTGGGGGCTAGGGTGCAGTGGCGCAATCTCGTCTCACTGCAACCTCCAGCTCCCGGGTTCATGCCATTCTCCTGCCTCAGCCTCCCGAGTAGCTGGGACTGCAGGAGCCCCCCACCATGCCCAGCTAATTTTTTTTTTTTTGTATTTTTAGTAGAGATGGGGTTTCACTGTGTTAGCCAGGACGGTCTCGATCTCCTGACCTCGTGATCCGCCCACCTCGGCCTCCCAAAGTGCTGGGATTACAGGCGTGAGCCACTGCGCCCAGCCTTGAATTCTATTTTTAAAAATTCAGTTCTGTTTTGTCTGTAACTGTTAAGGAGAGTTGCACATGTTATTTTTATTATCCAGACCAATAAAATATCAACATAAAAGAAAAAATTGTGTCAAGAAAAACTAAATTGAATGTTTTGGGAGAATTCCATAAAGGTATGCCACTTAAATAAAGCAGCTATAAAATTAGGTTTTGGAAGGAAGTCAAAAGTCATAAATATCTGGAATATGGTGAACACAACTGCTTCCTATAATGTCTTTTAGGTTCTTGCATTCACTGTAGAGACACTGGAATTGGAAATTGTAGAGAATGCATAATGATGCATAATGTGTGTAGTTCATGAAGGAAAGATAAGATAAAAATAAGACCAGTAGGCCTGTCTCGAAGGGACTCGTCTATTTTAAAACATTTCCTAACAGTATAAATTAAATGCTTAAGATAGCTGGAGTGCAATGGTATGATCTCCGCTCACTGCAACCTCTGCCTCACGGGTTCAAGTGATTATTGTGCCTCAGCCTCCCAAGTAGCTGAGATTACAGGCATGTACCACCACGTTCGGCTAACTTTTTGTATTTTTTAGTAGAGACAGGGTTTCACCATGTTGGTCAGGCTGGTCTTGAACTCCTGACCTCAGGCAATCCACTGGCCTCGGCCTCCCAAAGTGCTGGGATTACAGGTGTGAGCCACCAAGGCAGGCCTAATTGTTGTTTTAAATGATTCCCACCTTTAGCAAATTTTCCATTTCTCCAGTGAGCTAATGGCTATAATAAGAAATCTTCCTCTAAAAACAACAACAACTACAGGACATCCAAGTCAGGAACAGAAAGGAAATTACTTACCAAGAGAGAAAAAAAAAAAAACCCAAAACAATAGCAGAGTTCAAATCAGCAACTGTATCTATGATTCCACCGCTAAATCTAAGGTCATGATTTCCCCTATAACTTCTTCTAGGAGTTACAATTTTTAGCCCTTGCATTTAGGTTGTTGTACCAGCACCATTAGTTGAAGACTATTCTTTCTCCTTTGAATGGATGTGGCAACCTTGTCAAATATCAATAGGCCATGGATTTATAGATTGATTCCTGGACTTTCAATTCTTTTTTTAAATTTATTTTTTATTTCAATAGGTTTTTAGGGAGTAGGTGGTGTTTACTATACGGATAAGTTCTTTAATGACGATTTCTAAGATTTTGGTGCACCCATCACCCAGGCAATGTACACTGTATCCAACATGTAGTCTTTTATCTCTCACCCGCCTCCCACTCTTTCCCCCTAAGTCCCCAAAGTCCAATGCCTCATTCTTATGTCTTTGTGGTGGACTCTCAATTCTATTCCATTGTTTTACATGTCTGTTCTTATGCCAGTATCATACTGGTTTGATTACTGTAACTTTGTAGTAAGTTTTAAAATTGGGAAGTATGAGTTCTCCAACTTTGTTTTTCATTTTTTAATATTGTTTTTGCTATCGAGGGCTCCTCGCAATTCCATATGAATTTGAGAGTCAATTTTTCCATTTCTGCAAAATGGCTATTGCAATTTCAATAAAGATTGCCCTAAATTTGTAGTCACTTGAGGTAGATATTAACATCTTAACAACATTAAGTCTTTCAGTTCCTGGACACAGGATATCTTTCCATTATTTTAGGTCTTCTTCAATTTATTTCAGCTACGTGTTATGGTTTTCGTTATACGAGTCTTTCACCTCCTTAGCTAAACTTATTCCCTGGTATTTTATTCTTTTAGATACTACTGTAAATAAATTTTTTTGTTTTCTTTGTTGAGTGCTCATTGCAAGTATATAAAAATACAACTGATTTGTGTCTATTGATCTTGTACCCTATAATTTTCCTGCATTTGTTTATTAGCTCTAGTAGCTTTCTGGTGGATTATTTGGGATATTCTTTTTGTAGGCTTATGCTATCTGTAAATAGAAATAGTTTTACTTGTTTTTTAAAAGATTTGGATGCCATTTACTTCTTTTTCTTGTCAAATTGCTCTGGCTAGAACTTCCAGTGTAATGGTGAATAGCAGTGTTCAAGAAGCCATCCTTATCTTGTTCTTGATCTTAGGAAGAAAGTTTTCAGTCTTTCATCATTGAATCTTTCATTACGTTAGCTGCAGGGTTTTCATAAATGCCCTTTATTATGTTGGTGCACTGGCTTATAAAAATGTAACACTATTTGGGTATTTTTAAAAACAGAAGAAAAGGTCAGAAAACTCAGTTATTTCAAAGGAGATTGAAATTAAAGCATTCTAATATCCTCAGATTTTTCTGAAGGAGATAGACAATTGGTCAACACTTGTAGACTTTATTATGTATTCTTTTAGTGCTTAATTTAAGTGTTTAACATGCTCACTTGACTTATCACAGTTTATATAAATAAGGAGGAAAACGCAGGAAATAGAAAATAAACAAATGTGATTACTCGGATCAAAGGAATTTTTACAAAGAGAAATTCTAAGATTTGCCTTTTAAAAAATCAATAGAATGTAACTGAATAGTATATAATTACGAAGGGGACATCTGGAATATATTGAGAAAATGTGAGTTAAATAGATGAAAAAAATACTAGGAAAATAACGGAAAGAAAGTTGTTCTACAATTTTAATAACAGGCACAATGGGCTTTATGGAATTTTAGTCTACCTGACATTGGAAGGATGCAGCTCCCAGAGTCAATGACAGCAGGAAGAAGACGACTGGGAACACCAGGAAAAAAGGAAGCTCAGAAGGAATTCAGGAAGCAGGAAACATTGCAACACACTTAGGCAGGAATAGCCTGGTCAGTATGTTGCCACAGCTGCTGCTGCTGTCATCACCTCTGTTACTGCTGCTACTGTGAGGGTTCTGGCCTTCAAAATTTCTAGATTTCTTGTTTCTCTCACGTACAGTTCAGAGTCTCGGAAGCATGGTATGAGGGCCTTGTAGGAAGGCACAGATTATATGGTGGAGGCAGGCAGTAGGAATTGGTCTCTAGCCAACATCATCAATAGTGGAAAGCAGAAATTCACCAAAAAGAAACTAGGGAGACTTTACATAGAATAATATATGAGAATTTTTAAAAGTGTCTGGAAAGAGATGAGAATTAGAAGCAATTACTAATGTAGAAGGAAAAAGATAGACCAATCAGAATTTTTAAAATTCTATATATTTATGTAGGTTTTTACATATTTTATGATAAAATTGCACTCATGCATGGCTTGTGTATTCTTTAAAAATATGTCCTAAAATTATATTTAAAAAAGAACATTTGCCTTTAAGAGTTGGAAGTATCTACTCACAGCACTTTTAAATTTTCACGGGAATAATTGATGAAAATCCTGCTTCAGCAAAATTCAACGAAGGAGAAATCTTCCTGGGACTGTAGAAATTTCACCGTTGGCTAATCTACTTTTTTTTTTTTTTTCCTTGAAATGCACTGGCTTCATCTACCTTTAGAAGTTCCTTCTGTTAAAAACTCTAGATGATTTTTTCCTCCCTCTGAAGCCAGCTAGATACTTTGTAGTCAAACAAATTATCAGAAAAATTGCTGAATCTGGAGATTTTGCTGTAGTAAAAATGTGGCCACTGCCTTCTCAAAGTAGCTCACCATTTGGGATTATATATGAAAACCCATGTAAAATAAAAGCTGTCAAAATGACAAAAAAATTATGTCATGTTCGAATTATCATATTTCTATGGAAATTTAGTTTTATAGGTGTGTAGGGGTGTTGTCTGTGTCTATATCTGAGAAAGAAGGAGCAGGGAGAGAGAGAGAAACAGACAAAGAGACAAAGACAAACAGACTGACTCACTTCAACTCTGTAAGGCCAATGTAGCTATTTGTATTCCAGGAAAAACAATCTGGAGTATAAAATGGACTGAAATATGTACCTTTACTAATAATACTTATCTAACACTGTAACTGAAGTTAATTGTCTATGACATAAATCAAGAGAGTCACATTTTGGAGGTTTCTTTCTGTGATACTTGTGGATCCATTCACTGGTATTTGATTCATTTATTTATCCCTTTAGCAAACCTCCATTAAGTGTCTCTTGTGTGGCAGTTTTTTGGTTTTTTGTTTGTTTGTTTGTTTGTGTGGGTTTTTTTGAGACAAAGTCTCACTCTGTCACCCAGGCTGGAGTGCAGTGGCGTGACCTCGGCTCACTCCAACCTCCGCCTCCTGGGTTCAAGCATTTCTCCTGCCTCAGCCTGCCAAGTAGTTGGGACTACAGGCACAGGTATGTGCCTCCACGCCCGGCTGATTTTTTTTTTTTTGTATTTTTAGTAGAGACAGGATTTCACCATGTTAGCCAGGAAGATCTCGATCTCCTGACCTCATGATCCACCCGCCTCAGCCTCCCAAAGTGCTGGGATTACAGGCGTGAGCCACCATGCCCAGCCGTGTGGTAGTTTTTATACTAGACAATAAGGACCAGAGTGAATCGAACACAGGATGAGGAGAGACACACAAGAAGCCAGGGAACCAATATAGGACAATGTGATCTGTGCTAGGATGTCCAGAAAGCTTTGGGGGCTCAGAAAGAAGACAATTACTAGATGGGAGTGAAGATTTGGTAAAGGAACATGTTAGGATCAAGAAATAAGCGAATGGAGTCTAAAGGATAAAAACTCCAGTAGAAAAAGTAAAGAGATTTTAAGTAACGTTAATTGATAGGATATGATCTCTGGGAGATTCTGGGGCAATGAGGCAGAGTACTTTAGGAATATCATTATTTCTAGTGGGTAGGACAGAGTTTTGCTTGCAGCATGTGTGATTCTGGGTTGATGAGAGGGGAGCTGTAGTGGCCATCAGCTGTTTTTACTGTCCAGTGTCTATTAACCTTCTTTCAGGGAACATTAACCTGAACCCCATTCCATTTGGGGAATTAGCTCCTTCCCCACTTCTGGTCCCTTTGGCTTTGTAGAATCTGACACATATCTTGTACACACATGTACAAAGACACATACATGCACACTCACACTCTCAGCATTCCTGAGGGGAGCACAGGATCTTGGACCAACCACTACTGTTCATGCCTTCAGCGGTTGTAATTGGTCAAGACATGGGCATGTGACTTAATCAGAACTAAAGCAGAACTTATTTGGTAAATTTCCAGGGATGAGGTATTCACTTTTTTCTGTTAGGCCTGAAGCCTGGAGAATACTGGGGCTGGAGCTCCAAGCAACCCCTTGCTATCACGTGGCACTTTAAACTGAAGCCAGTATGACAGAAGGCATAGTAAAGAGATGGAGAGAAACCAACTCCTAATTATATTTTCTGGGCCCTGAATCCAGTCTTTCATTTTATGTGAGCCAATAAGTTCCCTTTTTTGCCTGAGTTGAGTTGTATTTTCTTTCACTTGTAACTAAGAATCCAATTGACGCAGCCCCCAAAGAGGAAACAGTAGGGTGGGGAATGGAAGAGAACATGCTAATATTTATTAAGCAACTATTTTGTCCCCACCATGTAAAGCTAAGTACTGCTACTTTTTGTTTTTCAGTAAAGTTCACAATATTCCAGCAAACTAAATGACAGAACCGATCTCAATCCAAAGGTCTGCCTAATTCCAAATTCTATTCCTTTTACCTAACACTGTGCTATCGGTTTGGGCTTTTCTCCAGGCCAGCATTTCCAAAACTGTGTTTCAGGGAATACTGGTGTTCTTTGAGATGTTAATAAATGTTATGTGGGGAACAATTCTATTTTTGTCTTAGAAACCCTTAATTTAGAAGAAAATATCAAGCATATTTATGTATTGATGTTTTTGTTTCATATGTCTTAAGTGAATCAAAGGGTCTGATGAGACATCACCCGCAGAATGAATTATGGATGGCTAAAAATTATACATTGGTGCACAGGCAGTGTTTTCAAAATACACAGTTGATATGGTTTGGCTCTGTGTCCCCACCCAAATCTCACTTTGAATTGTAATAATTCCCATGTGTCAAGACTGGACCAGGTGCGGATAATGAATCATGGGGGCGGTTTCCCCCATGCTGTTCTCATGATAGTGAGTGAGTTCTCATGAGCTCTGATGGTTTCATAAGGGGCTGCCCCCTTTGTTCAGCACTCATTCTTTCTCCTGCCACCCTGTGAAGAGGTGCCTTCCACCTTGATTGTAAGTCTCCTGAGGATTCTGCAGCTTAAGAACAAAGTAACACAACAATGTACTGATTTATAATTTTTATATCTTTATTTGAGGACTTAAGTTTGTGCATCCAACTTGTTCTGGGGATCTTATTCTATGTATTGCTGTTAGAGGTTTATACCACATGTGGCTATGTGGCTGTCAAAGGGAAGTTTTGAATAAAAAAAAACCTAATTGTTCTCAAATAAAACAATAAAGAAAACCAGAATTATTCTAAGTGAATGTGATTAATGGCAACTATAAACTCACCCTAAAAATTGTGAGGTAAACTTTTTAAGAAGAAATAATTACGTATTTTGGAAACTGCCATTTTTAAGCGTTAAAACATTAAATTTGTGTTATTCTCTTTGCTACAATTTACTTTTGAAAAATGAGAATTTTGGAATATCCTGGAAGTTAGACAAAATATTGGAATATATTTGATGCTGTGCTGAAAATGAAGATCTGACTCAGAAATATTCTTACTATGTAGTAACTGCATGAGAAAAGACATAGAAACGCTGTTCTGTTACAAAGGATGCATAATTTAATGCCATGTTACATTATAAAAATGTATAAATATGGTTTACTTAATGTAGATATTTTAATTCCTTTTGTTCTTAATTTTTAAAAATAGTTTAGTATCTTTAAAGGCACTTTAGTTCCATTATAAAATTTTGAAGACATACAAATAATTTCTATTTCTTACAGAAATTATTTCACCTGAGACCCTTTTGGTTGTCTTTTACAATGTAAGGGAGACTTTTTTTTTTTTGTATCTATTATTAGTTTTGCAAGTGGAAGGAATTGCCTGATGATTTCTCTGCCCTTAAAAATGTGAGGAGGTTGTGTAGGAGGCTCCTTATTCTACTGCCACATCTCTGGACAGTCGCTGTCCTGCCCTCTATCAAAGGGACTTATGAGAATCTTGGGCTGTTGGCAGCTTGGGTACTTTCCTCAGAGGCTCAGTTGAAAGACAATGGAATACAGTCTTGTCTGCTGGATGATCAATGTGAAATGGGTTGCTTCTCTCTGAGAGGTTCTAGACAGGGTGAGTTTCATGAACTTGCCACCTCTGCATTTAATTTAATGCTGAGCTGCTACTGTCTTGAGATTCTTAATAATTTTGAACATGGTTCCCTGCATTTTCGTCTTGCACTGTGCCCCATAAATTATATAGCTCTTCCTGCTTATAAGGAGCTGAGTATATATAGTAAATAAAGTGGACAAAAATAGTTGTTTTCATGAGACTTACATTCTGTTAGAGGAGAGAGAAAATAAACAGCATAAAGAAGTATGAAATTTAAAAGGTTTTAAATAGAAGATCAAAACTTGTGTATATGGGTGGAGTTTGAAGTTTTAGACAGGGTGGCTAAGAAGTCTTTAATGAGAATGTGACATTTGAATAATGACCTGAACATAATGAAGGAGTAAATCACAGTAAGACATGATAGAAAAGTCTTCCAGGCAAAGGGACCAGCTTGCGCAAAGCCTGAGGGAAGAGGGTACGTAGAACAGTAAGCTGACCAAGGTAGCTGGAGAGATAAATGAGCAGAAGAGTAATTGAAGATGAGGTCAGAGAAGGTAATAAAAGACTTTGGATTTATTCTAAGTGTAATGGGAAGCCACAGGATGGTTTGGGCAGAAGAATGACATAATCCAAAAGGATCACAGTGGCTGCTGTGTTGAGAATAGACTGAGGGAACAGAACTGACTGGATAAGAAGAATAGCTAATGGCACCTCAGTGAAGATAATGTAAGTCATCCACTCAATAGAAACTACATAGTCTGTGGTCCATATGCTCCTAGATGCTGTTGAATTATGAATCTTGCTCTAGTGGGTGCTTGAGTAGAGGTGGATTTTTCTAGATTTTAACTTGGCTTCTGTCTTCTGGTCTAGTCATCTTATCTCAGGCCTGTTGACCTTTCTCCTTCTATACAACCTCTCTATATCTTACCACTCCAACTGGGAATCATTTCCAGTCTGTGGGCAGAGAGAAGTTGGGTCCTACCAATGTTACGCATCCAAACAGTCTCCTACTCGAAAGTGAACTGGCTACTTAACCCAAGCCTCACTAGTGAAAGCTAGGAATAGAGCTGTGGAAAAAAAAAAAATATGTCAATGAGGGCTGGGCATGGTGGCTCATGCCTGTAATCCCAGCACTTTGGGAGGCTGAGGCCGTTGGATCACCTGAGGTCAGGAGTTTGAGACCAGCCTGGCAACATGGTGAAACCCTGTCCTTACTAAAAGTATAAAAATTGGCCGGGCGTGGTCATAGGCACCTGTAATCCCAGCTACTCAGGAGGCTGAGGCAGGAGAATTGCTTGAACCTGGGAGGCAGAGGTTGCAGTGAGCCAAGATCGCGCCACTGCACTCCAGCCTGTGTGACAAGAGTGAAACTCCATCTAAAAAAAAAAAAAAAAATAGGTCTATGAGAAGACGAAGTCCCCACTACTCAGTTCTCTGAATGCTTGGGAGTCATTTGAAAAAGCAGATTCTGAGGAAGAAGAGTGAGGAAATGGTCAGCACGACTAGCGAATGGGAGCTTCTTGTCAAAGTGAGGAGAATTTCCATGAGTGGCAATGGAAGGATATACCCTCATGGCCCTGTTTCCTGTTATATGGGAATGTACAACATATTAGCAGGTTACTACAGGAAGGGCATATGCATATATGATTCCAGTGGGCTGGGGGTTGGTGAAAATATCCCATCTCTTCCCCTTTCTATTTTCTGATCACCAGTCTTTTCTGTACATTTCTTTTTTTTTTTTTTCTTTTGAGATGGAGTTTCACTCTTATTGCCCAGGCTGGAGTGCGAAGGAGCGATCGTCGCTCACTGCAACCTCCGCCTCCCAGGTTCGAGCGATTCTCCTACCTTAGCCTCCCAAATAGCTGGGATTATAGGCATGCGCCTCCATGCATTTCTTTACCCACCTGGCTGCCGTGGCACTCACCCAGGCATTCACTCTATATTTTATCAAGCTCCAGTGCTCAGTGCACATTTGGTAATTGCAAGTAAAAGACCTCAGTTTAAAATTTCTCATAGAGAAAACTTGATTGACCGAATTTGGGTAAAATTTCCAACTCTGACCAAGGAAGTTTTAGTCATTGGGATCAAGATCAGCACAGCTTTCTGGGAGTGGTGGGTCATACAATTTATTTAAGAAGAGTTTTGCCTGAAAGGAATGCTGAAGTTCCCTAAATTACTGTCTAATCATTTTATGCATTCTATTGTATAAACATAGTAAAAGGTGTTTTAGAAGCTATTCTACAGTTGTGGAGTCTATACAGTCTAGGGATATACATGTAGAGAAAAAGTGGTTTTTTTTATTATTTTTTTAACTTTGGATTATGGCAAAGACTCACTCTATAACTCTGTCTTGACACTGTGATAAATTTCATTTATAAAGTAAATCAGTTGCTTAGATGACCACATTAATTAACATGATCAATTATTCTTTTTTAATCATATATGCTTAGGAGCAAATTTTTTTCAACTTTTATTTTAGATTCAGGGGGTACATGTGCAAGTTTGTTAAAAGGGTATATTGCGTGATGCAGAGGTTTGGAAGACAATTCATTCCATCCCCCATATACTGAGCATGCTACTGAAAAGTTCGTTTTTCAAACTTTGTCCCCCTCTCTTCCTCCTGCCTTGAGCAATTTTCAGTGTCTAATATTTATATCTTTGTGTCCCTGAGTGCCCAAGGTTTAGCTCCAACTTATAAATGATAATGTGCAGTATTTGTTTTTCTGGTCCTACTTTAATTTGCTTAGGATAATGGCCGCCAGCTGCATCCGTGTTACTACAAACGTGATTTTATTATTTTTTTTATGGCTGCATAGTATGCAGTGTTATATATGTATCACATTTTCTTTGTCCAATCCACTGTTAATGGGCACCTAGATTGATTCCATGTCTTTGCTATTATGAATAGTGCTGCGATGAACATACAAGTGCATGTGTCTTTTTGGTAAAACAATTTGTTTTCCTTTGGATATATACTCAATTGTGGGATTGCTGGTTTGAATGGTAGTTCTGCTTTCTGAGAAATCTCCAAACTTATTTCTTTGAGAAAAAAAGAACTCTCCAACTGGTTTCCACAGTGGTTGAACTAATTTACATTCTCATAAACAGTGTATAAGTATTCCTCCTTTTCCACACCCTTGCCAGCACCTGTTATTTTCTGCCTTTTTAATAACCATTCTGACTGGTGTGAGATGGAATCTCATTTGTGGTTTTGATTAGCAATTATCTGGTGATTAGTGATGTGGGGCATTTTTTCATGTTTTTTGGCCACTAGTATGTCTTCTTTTGAGAAGTATCTGTTCATATCTCTCTCATTTTTCAATGGGATTATTTGTTTTTTGTTTGTTGAGTTGTTTAAGTTCCTTATAGATTCTGGTTGTTAGACCTTTGTTGGATGCATAGCTTATGAATATTTTCTTCTATCCTGTAAATTATCTGTTTACTCTGTTGATAGTTTATTTTGCTGTGCAGAAGCTCCTTAGTTTAATTAGGTACCACTTGTCCATTTTTTGTTTTGTTGAAATTGACTTTGACAACTTAGTCATACATTCTTTCCCAAGGTCGATGTCCAGAATGGTGTTTACTAGGTTTTCTTCTAGGATTCTTATAGTTCGAGGTCTTACATTTAGGACTCTAATCGATCTGAAGTTAATTTTTGTATATAGTGACAGGTAAGGGTCCAGTTTCATACTTCTGCATGTGGTTAGCCAACTATCTCAGGACTCTTTATTGAAAAGAGAGTCCTTTTCCCATTGCTTATTTTTGTCAAATATGTCAGAGATCAGATGGTCATAGGTGTGTGGCTTTACTTCTGAGTTCTCTATTCTTTTTCATTGGTCTACATGTATGTTTTCATACCAGTACCACGCTGTTTTGGTTACCATAGGCATATAGTATAGTTTGAAGTCAGGTAATGTGATGCCTTCTGTTTTTTTTTTTTTTTCTTTTTGCTTAGGATTGCTTTGGCTATTTAGAATAGTTGTTTCTACTTAAAGAAAAATAACATTGATAGTTTTGTAGGAATAATGTTGAATCTCTAGATTTCTTTGGAGAGTATGACCATTTTAATGATATTGACTCTTCCCATACATGACTATTGAATGGTTTTCCATTTGTTTCTGTTATCTATGATTCCTTTTAGCAGTGTCATGTAGTTCTCCTTGTAAATCTCTTTTGCCTCCTTGGTTGACTGTATTTCTAGGTATTTTATTATTTTGTGGCTATTGTAAATGGGGTTGCATTGTTGATTTGGCTCTCAGCTTGGTTTTTGGTGTATAGAAATGCTACTAATTTTTGTAAGTTGATTTTGTATCTTGAAACTTTGCTGAAATCATTTATCAGTTCTAGGAGCCTTTTGGTGGAGTCTTTGGTGTTTTCTATGCATAGAATCATATTGTCTGCAAAGAGAAATCATTTGAATTCTTCTTTTCCTATGCAGATGCATTTTGTTTCTTTCTCCTGGGTGATTACTCTGGCTTGCACTTTCAGTACATGTTAAATAGAAATGGTAGGAGTGGGCATCTTTGTCTTGTTATAGTTCTCAGGAGAAATCCCTCCAGTTTTTGCCCATTCAGTATGATGTTGGCTGTAGGTTTGTGATAGATGGTTCTTATTATTTTAATAAGATAGTAAGAGGGCTCTTATTATCTTATTATATCCTTTTGATGCCTAGTTTCTTGTGGGTTTTTATCATGAAGGGATGTTGGATTTTATCAAAAGCCTTTTCCATGTCTATTGAGATGATCATATGGTTTTTGTTTTTAATTTTTTAATGTGGTGAATCACATTTATTGATTTGCAAATATTGAATCAACCTAGTATCCCATGAATGTAGCCCACTTGATCATGGTGAATTAACTTTTTAATGTGTTGTTGGATTCAATTTGCTAGTATTTTGTTTAGGATTTTTGTGGCAATGTTCATCAGGGATATTGGCCTGCAGTTTTATTTTTTTGTTGTGTTTTGCCAGGTTTTGTTATCAGGTTGATGGTAGCTTTGTAGAATGAGTTATGGAAGAGTCCTTCCTCCTCAGTTTTTGGAATAGTTTCAGTAGAATTGGTACCAGCTCTTCTTTGTACATCTGGTAGAATTCGGCTGTGAATCTATTTGATGAAGGGTGTTTTTGATTGGTGGATTTTTTTATTACTACTTCCATTTTCGAACTTGATATTGGTATGTGATATAGTTTAAATATTTGTCCTAGCCTAAATTTCCTGTTGAATTCTAATCCCTAATGTTGGAAGTGGGGCCTGATGGGAGATGTGTGGATTATGGAGATACATCTTTTATTAATGGCTTAGGCCATCCCCTTGGTGAAAAGTGAGCTATTGTTCTAAATCCATATAAGATCTGATAATTTAAAAGTGTGTGGCACCTCCCACTCTCTCTCTTTTGATCCCACTCTGGCCATGTGACATGCTTGCTTCCCATTTGCCTTCTGCCATGATTGTAAGCTTCTTGAGGCTTCTCCAGAAGCTGAGCAGATGCCAGCACCATGCTTCCTGTAAAGCCTGCAGAACCATGAGCCAATTAAACCTCTTTTCTTTATAAATTACACAGTCTCAGGTATTTCTTTATAGCAATACAAAAACAGCCTAACACATTCTGTTTAGTGTTTCCATTTTTTCTTCATTCAATCTTGGGAGATTGTGTGTTTCCAGGAATTTATCCACTTCCTCTAGGTTTTCTAGTTTCTTGCATAGAGATGTTCATAATAATCTTGAGGGTCTTTTTTTAATTTTTATAAGATTGGTTGTAATGTCATCTTTGTTGTTTTCAATTGTGCTTTTTTGGTTCTTCTCTTTTTCCCTCTGTTAATTTATCTACTGGTCTACTGATCTTGTTTATCCCTTCAAATAACAAACTTTTGGTTTTGTTAATTCCTTATATGGATTTTTGGATCTCAATTTCATTCAGTTCTACTCCAATATTATTTCTTTTCTTCTGCTAACTTTGGGTTTAGTCTGTTCTTGTATTTTTGCTGCCTCTAGGTGTGATGTTAAATTGTTAATTTGAGATCTTTCTGACTTTCTAAGGTATATATTTAGTGGTATAAGCTTTCCTCTTAACACTGCTTTTGCTACGTCCCAGAGATTTTGGTACATTGCGTCTCCCTATTCATTTATTTTAATGAATTTGATAATTCCTGACCTAATTTCATTGTTTACTCAAAAGCCATTCAGGAGCAAATCGTTTAACTTCTAGGTAGTTGTATAATTTTGAGAGATCTTCTTAGTATTGGTTTCCATTTTATTCCACTGTGGTCCAAGAATATGGTTGGCATTATTTCAGTTTTTTTGAATTTATTGAGATTTGCTTTATGACCAAGCATGTGTTTGATCTTGGAGTTTATTGTGTGTGCAAATTAGAAGAATATAATACTGTGGTTGATGGGTGCAGTATTCTTTGGATGTTTATTAGGACCAGTTGGTCAAGTGTCCAATTTAAATCCAGAATTTGTTTGTTTTCTGCCTTGATGATCTAACTAATACTGTCAGGGGGGTGTTGAAGCCCTCCACTATTATTTTGTAGCTGTCTAAGCCTTTTTGTAGGTCTAGAAATACTGATTTTATCAATCTGGATGCTCCAATGTTGGGTACATATATATTTGGGATAGTTAAGCCTTCTTGTTGAATTGAATACTTTATCATTATGTAACACCCATCTTTGTCTTTTTTACTGTAGTTGGTTCAAAGTCTGTTTTATCTTATGTAGGAATTATAAACCTTGCTCTTTGTTTATTTTCTGTTTGCATGGTAGATCTTTCTCTAATGCTTTACTTTGAACCTGTGGGTATCATTACATGTGAGACTGGTCTACTGAAGACAGTAAGTGGATGAGTCTTTTTTTTTAATCCAACTTGCCAGTCTGTGCCTTTTAAGTGAGGCATTTAAAACATTTACATTGAAGATTAATATTGATATGTGAAGTTTTGATCCTGTTGCTAAGTTGTTAGATGGTTATTTACAGTTTTTACTGTGTGGTTGCTTTATAGGATCTGTGGGTTAGGTACTTAAGTGTGTTTTTGTGGTAGCAGGTATTTTTTGGTTTTGTTTCCAAGTTTAGAATTCTCTTAAGTATCTCTTATAAGGCTGATCTAGTGGTAACAAATTCCCTTAGCACATGATTGTATGAAAAAGATTTTATTTCTTAATGATGTTTGTTTTGTGTAGTATCTTGCCAATTTTCTCAGGAATTCTTTTATCTGGATGTTAATCTCTCTAGCAAGATGAGGAAAATTTTCTTGAATTACTGCCATATGTTTTCCAGCTTGTTTCCTTTTTTTCCTTTTCTCTCTGAAATGCCAATGATTCATAGATTAGGTAACTTTACATAATCTCATATTTCTTGAAGAGTTTTTTTCACTTTAAAAATTCCTTTTCTTAAATTTTTGTCTGACAGAGTTAGTTCAAAGGAGTGGTCTTCAAGCTCTGAAATTCTCTCCTCTGCTTGGCCCAGTCTGCTTTCAAGTATATTTTGATATTCCTTAAGTGAGTTTTTTAATTCTAGAAACTGAAATTGATTGCTTTTTAGGATGTTTAGCTCCTCCTTTATTTCCTGGATCGCTTTAGAAGTTTCTTTGTGTTGATTTTCAACTTTGTCTTGGATCTCTTTGAGCTTCATTGCAATCCATACTTTGAATTCTCTATCTATCAGTTCTGAGTTTCCATCTTCCTTAGGGACCACTGCTGGAGAGCAAGTGTGATCCTTTGGTGGTGACACAATATTCAGGTTTTTCATGGTGCCAGAATTCTTGTGGAGATTCCCTCTCATCTGGAGATGCTGGCACTTCTAATTTTTGTATGCATTTTTTGGCATGATAGATTTTTATTTTTCTTTCTTTCCATACAATATTATTATTTGTTTATTCTTTCCTTTTCCCTTTCTTCCCTCCCTAGAGGGTGTGAACTTAGAAGATGCTGGGTAGGGTCTTTTGGCTTTGCTTCTATAGCCCTGTGCACTTCTGATGGCAACTTTTATACTGGGCCGTTCAGTTTGACCTATAAGCTAGCAGATGGCACTTATAGGGAGGAGCTGGCTTCAGTCAATGTGGCTGGCTATGTACTTTTCCTGGTTTACCAGGAGAAGCTCTCTGTTACCTCAGGCAATGGGCTTATTTGTGGAGTTCACAGTGATCTTAGCTCCTTGCTCAGTTCTGGAGGAGCAGGGGCCAAGATTAGCAGGTAGGTCTGCCTCCCTGTGCTTCTCCAGTGGCAGGGAGAAGCACCAGCACTAAGGGAGAAGCCAATGGGTGGCTACCAAGTGCCCAGAGGTGTGCCTAGGCATGGAGCTGGTAAACCTAAGCCCCAAGTTCTCCACTTGGGGATGAGGGGCATCCCAACTTTTAATCCATGAGAATGGGTGAACCAGATACCTGGAGATATGCCTGGGTGTGTAGCAGAGAGGGCCCCCTTTCACCAGAATCTCTGCACAGGAAGGGTGGGGCAGTACAGGCTGCTGTTCCAGACAAGTGGCTGCCCTCCATGCCTAAAGATCTGCCTCAGTCTACAGCATAGAGGACACCCTGCACCCAGTTCTTTGCTCAAAAAAGGCAGTTTGTCTCGGGCTGCTCAGTTAGGTGAGGTGGTACTCCAGATACCTAGAAATTTGCATGCACATGGAGCAAAGAAAGACTTGCTGCACCACAATCTAGGTCCAGGAAGGGCAGGGCAGCTCAAGCTGCTAAACTAGGTGAATGGGTGCTCTAAATGCCTGGATATCTTCCTGGGCACGGAGTGGAGAGGGCCCCACTGCACCTTGATCTATGTTCATGAAGGGTGAGACAGCTCATGCTGATGATTCAGGCAATCAGGTGCTCTAAATGCCTGGATATATGCCTGGGGGTGGAGTGGAGATGGCCCCATTTCACCGTGATTTCAGGGAAGCAGGCTGGGGCACCCAGCAATGGCATCCACAGACTGGTTCCAGGTCACTGAACTGGCTCTACCTGCAAGTCTCACTGCCTAGGATAAACTGCAGCTTTAGAAGCTCTCCCCACCCTAGACTTGTCACAAGGAAGAGCACAATTCCAGCGCCTACTGTTGAGGTGCTTTCCACAGTTCTGGCTGTGGAGGCCACAACCCGGCCCCAGAGCAGGCACTCCAATGTCTGGCCTGAGACTCAAATGTCTGTGTGACCATGCTGCCAGGTTACCAAAGAATGGCTGACCAGATCATGCAACCAGATTAAAAATGTTGTCCTCCTCTCAATCCCAGGTCTAGGAAAATGTCTGAAGCTTTTCCCACTGTCTTTCCCTCATGGCATCTCCAAGCCTCTCCTCAAGTTAGTTTCAGGGTTTGAGAGAAACAAAGTGCTCTCCCTTGGGTTGCTCAGATCCCTAGTGGAAAGGTGAGTCATATAGGGCAGCTCTCTGCATCTCTCACTTACTGAGGCTTCACTTACTTTTGTCAGGCAGATGCCATCATTGGGATTTTTGCCAGCATTCTCTCTGAGATCTTGGATGCTTTTCATTATTTCAGTAGATTCCTGTTTTCCTTCTTGAATTAACACTGAGTTTATCTTTATGCACTATCTGTCTATTTCCAAATGGCTGAGGCATGGTAAAAGCATATAATCTAGCATCTTTGGAAAAAATGGAAGCAAAATTATGTAAGTTTTGAATACCATGTTGTAGGATAATAATATAGATGTATTTTTGCTTAAAGCCAAACTTTTTTATGTTGTGTTGTCATTGTTGTGGGGTTTATTTGTTTACTAAACTCTGCAAGAGGTAAAATCAGATTACACTGTAATATTTGCTATATGAGATATTTTCTTCTACTAATTGCAAGCTAAAAATAAGTTAACCAATGGCTCCCTGTTAGGAAATTAAAAATACAATTTCATATGTTTCTTACGAGGACTAAAGAACCATAAACCTCTTCTTTGCGTATAAGGATGGCAAAGAGCTCAATTTTTTTCTGAGCAATTTTGTTCCCTTTTCTGAATGGTAAATTTAGTATTATTGAATAATAGACTACAACGATTTAATCTTGAATTATTTTATCAAAGGACACTTAGGTTATTTTATTTATTTCCAAGAGTATTTCTTGTATTTAGTTTATGTTTGCTTATACGTGATAGAACATATATGAATCTATTCTGGATTACCAATATTGAATAACAAAAAGGATGTTTGGCAGATTATAGACAAATATTTTAGAAAGCATATTCTGCTTAAAATTTTATTTTTCATACAGTCACGAGTAATCAACTCATAACTAACCTATAACTTAATGTCGATGCCCCAAAGCTAAAGAGAAGGTCCATAGGAAAATAAGAAAATAGATGTAAAAAGAAGTACTTCTAGAGACATGAAATTTCAGTACAACAAATAGATAAATCTAAAACTTCCTTTAGAATTATTTTCCATCTATAATTTGACTTATCAGCACCATTTGTTGATATCACACAATAAAAAAAGACTTCAAAATTCAGAATATAAAATTCTAAACCCTGCCCGATACTAATCAGGAGTAAAAACAAAATAAAATATTTTAAGGCTTTCAAATCTTGAATTTACCTCTCATGTTCCTTTTCTGAGGATGGTTCTTAATGATATCATTCGTGATAATGAATCAGAAAACAGAAACAGAAACTAAGAAAGACAAATTGTGCAATATAAGAAGCGAGGAAATTCACCCTGGAAGCTAAAGAAAACAGACTCTAGAATGACAGCGTTTGGTAAACACAGAAAATAATTGGCAGTCTTAGAATAGGAATTTAGTGGGCTACAAGACAAACATCTTTGGAGGAATTAAATGGACATCAGCAAGATGATTGAATAGGGAGCCCTAGCCTCTCTTTCCTCTAAGGAGAAAGCAATTCAACAACAATACAGACCATTTCCCTTTGTGAGAAATCCAGAAACCAACTAAAAGGTTCCAGCATCCCAGGCAAACACAAACCCAGCTGCACCAATGCCAGTAGGAAGATTCATGGCAAACACTTACCATAGGCCCTCTTCCTCAGTGCAATGCAATTGAGAGAAAACTCCCAGATCTCAGTTTCTCCCTTGGAATGGAAAGAGAAGACTGAAACATATGTCCAATGTTGAGACTTTTTCAGGAGCTGCCCAAGGGACTGGTTTATGTCCTGACTAGAAGAACACTGACAGGAAGGGGTGCCAAGTTGAGAGCTGCTGAGAACAAAGGCAAAAATTTGGACCCTTCACTGGCCATGGTCGCTTCCTCTGGCTCAGTAAATAAAGAGTAGAAGAAAACCTCTAACTCCTTGCTTCCTCCTGGAGAGGAAAAGAAATAAAACCAGCAACCAAATTTCTGGCTTTTGGCAGCCTATCTGAGAGGACTAGTTTTTATCTTGCTATCTCAGAGCCATATATGACAAGCCCATAGCTAACATCTTGCTCAACAGTTAAAAACTGAAAAATTTTCCTCTCAAATCAGGAACAAGGCAAGAATGCCCAATCTTGTCACTTCTATTTAACATAGTTCTTGAAGTCCTAGCTAGAGCAAATAAGCAAGACAAAGAAATAAAAGGCATTCAAGTCAGAAAGGAAGATGTAAAATGATCTCTATTAGTAGATTACATGGGTACACAAAAAATTCTCAAGATTCCACAAAAAAAAACCTGTTAGAACTAATAAATTCAGCAACATTGCAGGATCCAAAATTATCACAAAAATTACTTATGTGGCTATACACTAACAATGAAATATCCAAAAAGAAAATTAAGAAAACAATCCTTACAATACTTACAATACTTACAATAGCATCAATAAATATAAAATACTTAGGAATAAACTTAACCAAAGAAGTGAAAGTCTTCTACACTGAAAAACTATAAAACATTACTGAAAGAAATTAAAGAAGACACAAATAAATGGAAAGACATCCCATGTTCATAGATTAAAAGACAAGATTGTAAAAATGCCCATATTGCCCAAAGAGATCTATAGGTTCAATGGAATCCCTATCAAAATCTCAGTGGCATTTGTTGCACAAATAAAAAAGCATCCTTAACCTCATATGGAACCATAAGAGAGCCGAACTAACCAAAGTAAAATTGAGAAAAAATAACAAAAAAAAAAAGCCTCACACTTTGTGACTTCAAAACGTATTACGAAGTTATAGTGATTAAAAATTTGTATATGGGACTGGCATTACAGACATATAGACCAGTGTAACAGATTAGAATGGCCACAAATAAATCTACATATATATGATTAACAAGCATGACATCCTTCAACAAGGATGTCAAGATGTCATCATTGTTGACATCCTTCAACAAGGATGTCAAGATGGCACTATGGGAAAAGGATAGTCCCTTCAGCAAATGGTGTTGGGAAAGGTGGCCATTCACATGCAAAAGATAGAAATTGGACCTTTATCTCACACCAAACACAGAAATCAATTCAAAATAGTCTGTGATTTGTCTTTTTCTGTTTTGTTTCCTTTTAAATTTTTGTGGGTACGTAGCATGTGTATATATTTATGGGGCACATGAGATATTTTGATACAGGCATACAATGCATAGTAATCACATCAGAATAAGTGGCATATTCATTACCTCAAATATTTATACTTTATTCGTGTTACAAACAACCCAATTATGCTCTTTTAGTTATTTTTAAATGTACAATAGATTATTGCTAACTGTAGTCATCCTGTTGTTTTATCAAATACTAGATCATATTTATTCTATTTTTTGTACACGTTAATCATCCTTTATGCTTCACCCCTACCCAAAACCCTTCCCAGCCTCTCATAATCATCCTTCTACTTTCTATCTACATAAATTCAATTGTTTTCATTTTTAGCCTCCACAAATAAGTGAGAACAGGCAAAGTTTGTCTTTCTGTGTCTGGCTTATTTCACTTAACATAATGACATCCAGTTCCATCCATGTTGTTAAAAATGACAGAAATAACAGTCTTTTTTTTTTTTGCGTCTGAATAGTACTTCATTGTGTATATGTACCACATTTTCTTTATCCACTTATCTGTTGATAGACAGTTACATTGCTTCCAAATCTTGGGTATTGGAATACTGCTGCAATAAATGGGAGTGCAGATACATCTTATATCTTTGATATACTAATTTCCTTTCTTTTGAGTATATACCTAGTAGTGGGACTGCTGGATTCTATGGTAGTTCTATTTTTAGTTTTTTGAGAAACCTCCAAACTGTACTCCATAGTAGTCATACTAATATACATTTCCACCAACAGTGTACAAAGGTTCCTTTTTCTCCATATCCTTGCCAGCATTTGTTATTGACTATATTTTGGATACAAGCTATTTTAATTGGGGTGAGGCAATATCTCACTGTAGTTTTTATTTGCATTTCTCTGATGATCATTGATGCGGAGCACCTCTTCATACATCTATTTGCCATTTATATGTCTTTATTTGAGAAATGTCTTTTCAGATATTTTGACCATTGTTTAATTGTATTATTAGATATTTTCTTAGAGTTATTTCAGTTCCTTATATATTCTGGTTATTAATCCATTGTCTTATCAATAGTTGCAAATATTTTCTCCCATTCTGAAAATTGTCTCTTCACTTTGTTGATGGTTTCCTTTGCTGTGCAGAAGCTTTTTAACTTGATGTGATCCCATTTGTCCGCATTTGCTTTGGTTGCCTGTGCTTGTGGAGTATTACTCAAGGAATCTTTGCCCAGTACAATGTCCTGAAGAGTTTCCCCAAGGTTTTTTTTTTTTAGTAGTTACATAGTTTGAGATTTTATATTTAAGTCTTTAAGTCATTTTGATTTAATTTTTGTATACAGTGAGAGATAGAGGTGTAGTTTCATTCTTGTGCATATAGGTATTTTGTTTTCCCAGCACCATTTATTGAAGAGACTGTCTTTTCCCCAATGTATGTCTTGGCACCTTGTTAAAAATGAGCTCACTGTAGGTGTGTGGTTTTATTTCTGGGTTCTGTATTCTGTTCCATTGGTCTATGTGTCTGTTTTCATGCCAGTGTCATGCTGTTTTGGTTACTATAGCTCTGTAGTGTAATTTAAAGTAAGGTAATGTGATTCCTCCAGTTTTGTTATTTTTGCTCAGGATAGCTTTGGCTATGCTAGATCCTTTGTGATTCCATATAAATTTTAAGGTTGTTTTTTCTATATCTGTGAAAAATATCATTGGCATTTTGACAGGGATTGCATTCAATCTATAGATTGCTTTGGGTGGTATGGGGATTTTAACAATATTTATTCTTCCATTCCATGAACATGGAATATCTTTCAATGTTTTTGTCCTCTTTAATTTCTTTTGTCAGTGTTTATAGTTTTCATTGTAGAGAACTTTCACTTCTTTGGTTAATTCCTAGAAATTTAATTGTATTTGTGGCTACTGCAAATGGAGTTACTTTCTTGATCTCTTTTACATATTCTATACTCTTGACATATAGAAATACTACTGATTTTTGTATATTGATACTGTATCCTGCAACTTTACTGAATGTATCAGTTCTAATAGTTTTTTGGTGGAGCCTTTTGGATTTTCCAAATACAAGATCATATCTGCAAAGAGGGATAATTTGACTTCTTCCTTTCTAACTTATATGCTCTTTCTTTCTTTGTCTTGTCTGATTGCTCTAGCTAGGACTTCCAGTGCTATGTGGAATGCTGTTGAACGTGAGCATCTGTGTCATTTTCCAGATTTTAGAGAAAAGGCTTTCAGTTTCTCTATTCAGTATGATACTAACTGTGGGTATGTCACATATGGCATTTATCATGTTATGTTCCTTCCATACCCAGGTTTTTGATGGTTTTTTTCAATAAGTGATGTTGAACTTTATCAAATGCTTTTTCGACATCAATTGAAATGATCATATGGTTTTTATCCTTCATTCTGTTGATATGATCTATCACATTGATTTGCATATGATGAGCCATCTTTGCATCCCTGGGATAAATTCTGCTTGATCATGATGAATGACCTTTTTAATGTATTGTGGAATTCAGTTTGCTAGTAATTTTTTGAGTATTTTTGCATCAATATTTATCAGAGATATTGGCCTGTCATTTTTTTATGTGTCATTGGTTTTGGTATCAGGGTAATACAAGCCTTATAGAATGAGTTTGGAGATATTCTGTCCTCCTCTATTTTTTGGAACAATTTGAGTAGAATTGGTATTCGTTCCTCTGTAAAAGTGTGGCAGAATTAAGCAGTCCATTGGGTTCTGGGATCTTATTTACTGAGAGACTTTTTATTGCAGCTTCAATCTCATTGCTTGTCATTCATCTGTTCAAATTTTGGATTTCCTCATGGTTCAACCTTGCTAGATTTTATGTGTCTAGGAATTTGTCCATTTCTTCTAGATTTCTTAATTTGTTGGCATATAGTTTTTCATAGTAGCCACTAATGACCCTTTGAATTTCTACAGTATCAATTGTAATATCTCCTTTTTCATCTCAGATTTTATTTACTTAGGTGCTTTCTTTTTTCTTATTCTGTCTAATGTTTGTCAAGTTTATATTTTCAAAAAACCAACTTTTTGTTTTATTGATCTTTTATATTGTTTGCATTTCAAATTCACTTATTTCTGCTCTGATTCTTATTTCTTCTCTTCTCCTAATTTGGGATTTGGTTTGTTCTTGCTTTTCTTGTTCCTTAAGATGCATTGTTAGGTTGTTTATTTGAAGTTTTTCTTCTTTTTTGATGTAGGCACTTATAGCTATAAATTTTCCTCCGAGTGCTGCTTTTGCTATATCTCATAGATTTCAGTAGTTCTGTTTCCACTAAAATTTGTTTCAAAAATTTTTTCACTTTCCTTCTTAATTTCTTCATTGACCACTGGTCATTAAGAAGCATATTGTTTAATCTGCATGTGCTTGTATAGTTTCAAAAATTCCTCTTGATATTGATTTCTAGTTTTATTCCATTATGGTCAGAGAAGATGTTTGATATTATTTCAAAATTTTGAATGTTTTAAGTCTTGTTTTGTCACCTGATATATGGTCTATCCTTGAGACTGACCCTTATGCTGAGGAGAAGAATATGTATTCCATAGCCACTGGATGAAATGTTCTGTAAATTGGTATTAGGTTCATTTATCCTACAGTGCAGAGTAAGCCCAATATTTCCTTATTGATTTTCTGTCCGGAAGATCTCTCCAAAGATGAAAGTGGGTTGTTAAAGTCTCCAGCTCTTATTATATTGGGGTCTATCTCTCTGTGTGTCTCTAATAATATTTGCTCTACATGTTGGGATGCTGTAGTGTTGGGAGCATATATATTTATAACCATTGTATCGTCTTGCTGAATTTACCTCTTTATCATTACATAATGACCTTCTTTGTCTTCTCTTATTGTCTTTGTCTTGAAATCTATTTTGTCTAAATATAGCTACTCCTGCTCTTTTCTGTTTTCCATTGTCATGGAATATATTTTTCTATCCCTTTATTTTCAGTCTATGTGTGTCTTTGTAAGTGAAGTGTGTTTCTGGTAGGCAACAAACCGTTGAGTCTTATCATTTTTATTTAATCCATTCAGCCAGTCTATGTCTTCTGATTGGAGAGTTTAATCTATTTGTGTTCAATGTTATTATTGATAAGTAATGACTAACTTCTGCATTTTATTTGTTTTCTGGGTTTTCTTTTGTAGTTTTATCTTCCTTCATTCCTTCCTTCCTGTCTTATTTTTGGTGAAGGTGAGTTTGTCAGATAGTATGTTTTAATTGCTTGTTTTATTTTTTGTGTATACGTTGTATGTTTTTTGGTTTGAGGTTACCATGAGGTTTGCAAATAATACCTTATAACCCGTTATTTTAAACTAATAACAACTGAACTTTAATTGTATAAACAAAGAAACCAACAAAGAAGCAAAAGAAAAACTAATAAAAACTTCACACTTTATCTTCCCACTTTTAAACTTTCTGTTGTTTCTATTTATATCTTATTGTACTGTCTATGTCTTAAAAAGTTGTTGTAGTTATTATTTTTGATTGGTTCCCCTTTTATCTTTCTAGTCAAGATATGACTAGTTTATGATGTTATAATATTCTGTTTTTCTGTGTATTTACTATTACCAGTGAACTCTGAAACTTCAGATAATTACTTATTGCTCATTAACATTCTTTTCTTTCAGCAGTATACTTCAGATGAGATTGGTGTGTTCAGGGTGGTATGGACGTAGACACAGCTGTATACTTCAGATTTTTGGTTCATGTTAAGTAACTGTTTAAGATTCACATTCCAAAGAAAATCATGCTACACAAAAATTATCCAAGATTTTCGCCCTAAAAAATTATTGGATAAAATATAAAAAGTACTATTGTAATTGTGTCTCTTGTGAATAAAACATCATTCTATATGTAAACAGATTCACTCAACCCTTTGGTTGTAGAAAACTTCAGAGTCGGTAAGTTGCTGTCTAACTTCCTGTTGCATGCACTTGCCAGAGAAAAGTGAACAATGCCTTCTGTGCCAGCATCATTTGGGGATGAAAAGAATCATTTCACATAGCTGAAGGGGGCAGCCTGGTGCTTCCAGAGAAAGGCAATGAAAACCACAGGGAATAAAGTACTGAACACCGCATTGCAAGTTTGCATGAGGGGGGCCACACTGTTGGCTACCATGGAGAAAAAGACCAAAAGGACTGCCATGACAGCAAGGAGGATGTCGATGACTTTGTCCAGAAGATTCCAGGCAGTGGCATTCTCCAGCCCTTCTAGCTCCACCACCTGCTAGTGCTGCATCATGAATATCCAGCTCCATCTTAGAAACGCAGGTCTGGCATGCCTCCTGGATTTCCCAGGCCCATCCTGATATGCAAATTTTTTCCCTGCTGACCAGTTCCTGCTTCAAGTTCAAGATTTCATTCTGGTGAAGCTCCTTTAGGTCATTCCTTCTTCAAGTTCAAGATTTCATTCTGGCGAAGCTCCTTTAGGTCATTTCGTTCTTCTTCTAATCATTCACATCTATTTCACTCCTCCCATAAGGTCTTCATTATTAACAAATTGTCCCTCTGGTAATGTTCCTTGAGAGTGTCAAAGGATTTCTCTAGCCTGGCCTGGGTTTCCCAGATCTCCTGGATCTCATGTAATAGTGCATCAAACCCCAGGCTTTGTATGTGCAGGGTATTCTTTTTGGAGCTGGATGTTCCTACAGTTATGCCACCAGTGGTGCTGTTGACTCCCACTGAGCCTAAAATAGTCCTAGGACAATCTTCCTGACTGCCATATTGTGGGCATCACTGAAAGTTCAAAATCACTCCCAAAGCCTTCCCCTCATCATCCACTTGCCCTACCTCTAAACAGTACTTTAGGTTACAGATGTCGTCTGTACTGCCAAATCTGTTCCAAATCATTGAGGCAAAATCTCTGGGTTTTGAGACCATGGTCCCTATTGCTGAATAGCTGGCCTGAGAGAAACTGGAAAATCTACCTTTGACACCACCTGCCACACCTTCACTGAAGCCAGTCACCTTCACTCCCACATCCTTCAGACCCTGCTGCATGTTCCTAAAGACATCCTTTGGTTGCTGGGGGATCCCATTCTACTCCACCTCTTACAGCATCCTGTGGTAGTGCTCAAGCTTCTTTTGTACCTGGAGGATGATTTGGGCAGATTTCTGGTTCTTCTTCTCGAAGTCCTGCTTGATTCAGCCAGCCTACTACTTGTCCGAGCTGTTGGCAAGCTTCAAGTACTCAGCAATGCTGTCATCCCAGGCTGTGCAATCTTGATCTGTTATGTGAGCATCAGGATCTTCTGCTGCAGGTGAAAAATAGCAGGATTTTTTTTTTCACTGAGGGTCTGCTGTTCCATCCATGGAGTCTGTGTGAATGCTGTCATTAGTACTGGAGACCACTGCACTGGATGTCTGAGTGAGGCTGCTTACTTCCAACCACTTAATCCACTCTGCAGTTCCCTCCTCTCTTGGCAGACATGCAGCAGCAGCAGCACATGTTATTTCCATTATAGTGAAGCTGATAGGGGCATCAGCTGTGGATGAAGACCTGGGTTGACCTGACTGCATAACAGCTGTCATCTCCTAGCCATATTTCCTGATTTGGGAACTTCCCTTGGGGCTTCTGGCTTGTCCTACCTACTACGCAGGCTTGTTCCTCTCTTCATCTAAGGTGGCATTTTAATCTTCTGTAGGACATGATTCAGAGCTGTGGAGTGGGTGGAGACACCATCAGTCTCAGCACATGCATTCTGGCTTTCCAGATCCATTTCAGGTTCTGGATTGGCCTGAATTTGCTGCACATGGTATGGAGACACTGATGTCCTCCTGTGCTGGTGCTGGAAGAGATCCTTCAGGCCTTAGCCAATCACATTAACGTTTTTCATAACATTGTGGGTCATTTTAGACAACTTTTTTCCTGATTCTATATGCTTTCCAGCCTCTGCATCTTGTTGTTTGCCTCTAGGATCAGAGTCCTCATGTATTCACTGCCCACAGGCTCCATCAGTAGACTTAATATGCTTATTTGCAAACTTATTTTCTTTAACACACCAAGAGTGTTAAATTATGTAGGCATTTGCTTCAACAATGACTGTGCATGCAGCCATGAGATTAAGGGTTCATGCCGCCTTCATTACTCTTCCTCAAGCACTTCTAAGGTATATGAGAATCATTTTAGGAAAAGCTCCTAAAAATCCCAACAATAGCTTTACTTTCTTTGCATAGATAAGGATGAACAATTGTAATCCAAAATGTTTCCCAAAAAGTTCTCTTAAAAAATCATAGAAACAGAAGATCCATATGAAAAGAGAACCAATCTAGGAGGATGGATATTGTGTCTTCTAAATCTTGTGACCAAGAGCAACTGTTCACCAAATGTTAGCATCTGTAGAAAGTACTAACTGTGAATGTGTTTTCTCCAGAAATTACTACTGGTGGGGAGGGGAGAAGCAGCCAGAGTCTTCACAAGCACCATCTTTCAAGCTCAAGTGCTGCCTCCAGCCACTGATGCCATGTCCCCTGGTTGATCCCTTCCAAGCAACCTCCTCATGCATCTTGCCCCAACCACCTCAGTCACCACTGCTTGTGACTTATCCTAATTCTTTTGCCATTGTCTTTCATAAGGCAGGAGTTTTTAATTTTAATGAAGTCCAACTTATCAATTATTTCTCGTATGGATCATGCCTTTGGTGTTTTATCTAAAAAGTCATTACTATTTCCGGGATCATTTAAATTTTATTTTAGCTTATCTTCTACAGTTTTATAGTTTGTATTTTAAATTTATGTTGATCATCCATTTTGAGTTAATTTCTGTGAAAGATGTTAAGTGTGTATCTAAGATTTATATTTTGCATGTAGATGTTCAGTTGTTCCAGCATCATTTGTTGAAGAGACCATCCTTGTTCTATTGTATTGCCTTCACTCTTTTGCAAAAGATCAGTTGACCATATTTATGTGGGCCTATTTCTTGGCCCTGTATTCTGTTCCATTGATCTACTTGTTCATTCTTTTGCCAACAACACATTGTCTTGACTACTGTAGCTTTATAGTAAATCTTGAAGTTATGTAGTGTCAGCCATCTGATTTTGTTCTTCTGCTTTAACATTGTGTTGGCTATTCTGGGTGTTCTGCCTCTCCATATGAACCTTACAATCAGTTTGTTATCTACACAATAACTTGCTGAGTTTTAAAATTGAGATTGCATCAAATCTATAGATCAACTTGAAAAGAACTGACAATATTAAGCCTTCCTATGCATGAGCATGGTATATCTTTTTATTTATTTAGTTATTCTTTATATGTGTTATCAGAATTTCACAGTGTTTCTCACATAGATCTTATACATATTTTGTTAGATTTATACCTAAGTATTTCACTTTGGGAGGTGTTAATGTAAATGGTAAAGTGTCTTTAATTTCAAGTTTCACTTGTACATTTTTGCATCTGTGTTTATATGTAGAAAAGTGATTAACTTTTGTATGTTAACCTAGTATCCTGCAATCTTACTTTAGTTATTTATTAGTTTCAGGAGTTTTGTTGATTATTTGGATTTTCTACATAGATGATCAATTCATCTGTGACCATAGTTTTATTTCTTCCTTCCAATTTTATTTCCTTTTCTTGTCTTATTGCATTAGCCAGATATCCAGTATGATAGTAGAAAGCAGTGCTGAGAGGAGACATCCTTGCTTTCTCCCTGATCTTAGTGGAAAATCTGCAAGTTTCTTACCAATAAATATGATGTTAGCTGTAGATTTTTTGTAAATATTCTTTTCTTAGTTTGCTGTGAGTTTTTACCACGCATAGGTGTTGGATTTTGTCAAATACATTTTCTGCATTTGTTGATATAATCATGTGGCTTTTCTTCTTTAGTTCGTTGATATGATACATTGCATTATTTTATTTTAAATGTTAAATCAGCTTTGCATACCTGGTATAAAACCCACTTGGTCATGGTGTACAATTTTTTTAGACATTGCTGGATATGATTTGTTAATATTTTGTTGAGAATTTTTGCATATATGTTCATGAGCAATATTGGTCTTTAGCTTGGTTGTGTGTTTGTTTTTTCCTCGTGATGCCTTTTGTCTTGTTTTGGTGTTTGAGTAATGCTGGTGTCACAGGATGTGTTCAAAAATACTTTTTCTGCATCATCTTCTGGAATAGATTATAGAAAATTGGCATAATTCTTCCTTACATGTTGGGTAGACTTCATGAATAAAACAGTTTGGACCTGGTGATTTCTATTTTGGGAGGCAATAAATTATTGATTCAAATTATTTACTAGATTAGCCATGCTCATATTGTCAACTTTTTCTTGATTAAATTTTGTAATATTATATGTTTCAGCAATTGGCTCATTTCATCTAGGTTATAAAATCTGTGGGTATAGAGTTGTTCATAATTCTTTATTATCCTTTAAGTTTCAATAGGATCTGTGGTGATCTTACAATACTAGTAATTTGTGTCTTCTCTCTCTCTCTCTCTCTCTCTCTCTCTCTCTTACTTTCTCCCTCTGCCTCCCTCTTCTCCCACTCCCTCTTCCCTTCTCTCTGTTAGCCTGGCTAGAGACTTATCGATTTTTTTTATTTTTTCTTTTGTTTTGAGGCAGAGTCTTTCTCTGTTGCCCAGGCTGCAGTACAGTGGCACAATCCCAGCTCACTGCAACCTCTGCCTCCCGGGTTTGAGCAATTTTCCTGCCTCAACCTCCTGAGTAGCTAGGACTACAGGCATGTGCCACCGTGCCCGGATAATTTTTGTATTTTTAGTAGAGACTGGATTTCACCATGTTGGCCAGACTGGTCTCGAACTCCTTGGCCAGACTGGTCTCAAACTCTTGACCTTGTGATCTGCCCACCTCGGCCTCCCAAAGTGCTGGAATTACAGGTGTGAGCCACCATGCCCACCCAAGACTTATCAATTTTAATGATGCTTCCAAAGAACCAGCTTTCAGTTTTGTTGATTTTTTTCTATTGGTTTTATTTTTTCAATTTCGTTGATTTCTGCTCTAATTTTTATTATTTATCTTCTTCTCCTTACTTTGGATTTAATTTAAACCTTTTCCCCTAGTTTCTTAAGGTGGAGGCTTAAGTGATTAATCTTACATTTTTCTTTTTCTGTAAACATGTATTCAATACTATAAATATTCCTCTGAACATTCATTTCATTGTATTCCACACATTTTGATAAATTGTATTTTCATTCTCATTTAGTTCAACATATCTTAAAATTTCTCTTAAGATTTCTTCTTTGATCCATGGGTTACATAGAGGTGTGTTGTTTAATCTCCAAATATTTGGAGATTTTTCAGATAACTTTCTGTTTTTTTCGATATTATTATTATTTTTAAGTTCTGGGATACATGTGCAAGATGTGCAGGTTTGTTGCATAGGCAAACGTGTGCCATGGAAGTTTGCTGCACCTATCAACCCGTCACCTAGGTATTAAGCCTAGCATGCGTTAACTCTCTGCCCTAATGCTCTCCCTGCCACCCACCCTCTCCTGACAGGCCCAGTGAGTGTTGTTTCTCTCCCTATGTTCATATGTTGTCATTGTTCAGCTCCTACTTATAAATGAGAACATGTGGTGTTTGTTTTTCTGTGCCTGTGTTAGTTTGCTGAGGATAATGGCTTCCAACTCCATCCATGTGCCTGCAAAGGAAATGATCTCATTTCTTTTTATAGCTGCATAGTATTCCATGGTGGATATGTACCACATGTATCCAATCTATAATTGATGGGCATTTGGGTTGATTCCATGTCTTTGCTATTGTGAATAGTGCTGCGCTGAACATATGCGTGCATGTATCTCATAATAGGCTGATTTATATTCCTTTGGGTATATACCCAATAATGGGATTGCTGGGTCAAATGGTATTTCTGGTTCTAAATCTTTAAGGAGTCACCACACTGTCTTCAGCAATGGTTAAGCTAATTTACATTCCCACCAACAGTGTAAAAGCATTCCTATTTCTTTGCAATCTTGCCAGCATCTGCTGTGTCTTGACTTTTTAATCCCCATTCTGACTTGCGTGAGAGGGTATCTCATTGTGGTTTTGATTTGCATTTATCTAATGAACAGTGATGCTGAGCTTTTTTTCATGTTTGTTGGCTGCATATATGTCTTTTTTTGAGAAATGTCTGTTCATGTCCTTTGCCTACTTTTTAATGGAGTTGTTTATTGAATCCTCAATAAAATTTACAAGAAAATTGTAAATTTGCTTAAGTTCCTTGTAGATTCTGGATATTAGGCCTTTGTCAGATGGATAGATTGCAGAAATACCTCTTTGCAAGTAAACTGGAAAATCGAGAAGAAATGGATAAATTCCTGGACACATAGACTCTCCCAAGACTGAACCAGGAAGAAGTTGAATCCCTGAATAGACCAAAACCAAGTTCTGAAATTGAGGCAGTAATAAATAGCCTACCAACCCCCCAAAAAAAAGCCCAGGTTCAGATGCATTTACACCTGAATTCTACCAGAGGTACAAAGAGGAGCTGGTACTGTTTCTTCTGAAATGAAAAGGAGGGACTCCTCCCTAACTCATTTTATGAGGCCAGCATCACCCTGATAACAGAACCTGGCAGATATACTACAACAAAAACAACAAAAATAAAACTTCAGGCCAATATTTCTGATGAACGTTGATGGAAAAATCCTCAATAAAATACTTGCAAACTGATTCCAGCTGTACATCAAAAAGCTTATACGCTACCATCAAGTCAGCTTCATCCCTGGGATGCAAGGCTGTTTCAACATATGCAAATCAGTAAATGTAATTCATCACATAAACAGAACTAAAGACAAAAACCACATAATTATCTCAAAAGATGCAGAAAAGACCTTCAATAAAATTCAACATCCCTTCATGTTAAAAACTCTCAATAAACTATATATTGAAGGAACATACCTCAAAATAATGGCCATTTATGATAAACCCACAGCCAATATTATATTGAATGGGCAAAAGCTGGAAGCTTTCCCCTTGAAAACTGGCACAAGACAAGGATGCCCTCTCTCACCACTCTTATTCAACATAATGTTGGAAGTTCTGGCCAGGGCAATCAGGCAAGAGAAAGAAATAAAGCGTAGTCAAATAGGAAGAGAGGAAGTTGAATTATCTTTCTTTGCAGATGACATAATCCTATATCTAGAAAACCCCATCGACTCAGCCCAAAAGTTTCTTAAGCTGATAAGAAACTTCAGCAAAGTCTCAGGATACAAAATCATTGTGCAGAAATCAGAAGCATTCCTATACATCAACAACAGACAAACCAAATCATAAATGAACTCCCATGCATAATTGCCACAAAGAGAATAAAATACCTAGGAATACAGCTAACAAAGGAAGTGAAGAGCCTCTTCAAGGAAAACTATAAACCACTGCTTAAGGAAATCAGAGAGGATACAAGCAGATGGAAAAACATTCCATGCTCATGGATAAGAAGAGTCAATTTGTGAAAATGGCCATACTGCCAAAAGCAATTCATAGATTCCATGCTACTCTGTTATTAATTATAGTTTAATTCTACTGTGGTAGAACAGAATATTGTATGATTTATATTCATTTAAACTTGTTAAGGTGTTATTTTCTTATCCAGCATGTGGTCTGTCTTGGTGAATGTTCTGCGTAAACTTGAGAAGAAGATAATCTCCTGTTTGTGATAAAGTGGCCTATAGACCTCAGTTAAATACAGTTTATTAACAATGATGTTCAGTTAGACCATCCTTATTTTCTGCCTGCTGGATCTGTCCATTTCTGACAAAGGGGTGTGAAAGTCACCAACTATAATAGTGAATTCATCTATTTCTCTACACAGTTATATCAGATTTTGCCTCATGTATTTTGATGTTCTATTGTTAAGTGCATACATATACACATTAAGGATCATTATGTCTTTTTTAAGTATTTGCCCAACTATCATTAGGTAATGCTCCACTGTCCCTGACAACTTTCCTTGCAGTGAAGTCAGCTCTGTCTGAAACTACTCTTTCTTTTGGTCACTGTTAGCATGGCATATCTTTGTTTACTTTTTATCTATATGTGTCTTTATAATTAAAGTGGGTTTCCTACAGACAACATATAGTTGAGTCTTGTTTTTGATCCAATTTGGCAATCTCTGTGTTTTCTTTGATGTATTTAGGCCACTGATACTTAAGATAATTATTGATATATTTGTATTAATATCTATTGTACTTTTTGCACTTTAATATTTGTTGTACTTGTTCTTGGTTCTTATTTTTGTCTTCCACATTTTTTTTCTTTTTGTGGTTTTAAGTGCATTTTAAATTATTCCCTTTTCTCCCCTTTCTTGAAATATTCATTATACTTTTTTATATTTTTTTAGTCATTGCACTAGAGTTTGCAATATACTTTTGCAACAACTAATACAGGTCCACTTTTTTGTTGTTTGTTTGTTTTTTTTGAGATGGAGTCCCACTCTGTCCCCAGGCTGGAGTGCAGTGGCATGATCTCGGCTCACTGCAACCTCTGCCTTCCAGGTTCAAGCAATTCTGCCTCAGCCTCCCAAGTAGCTGGGACTACAGGAGCGTGCCACCATGCCCAGCTAATTTTTTGTATTTTTAGTAGAGATGGGGTTTCACCATGTTGGCCCGGATGATCTCAATCTCTTGACCTCGTGATCTGCCCACCTAGGCCTCCCAAAGTGCTGGGATTACAGGCGTGAGCCACCGTGCCTGGCCGGGTCCACTTTTGAATAACATTATACCACTTCATGGGTTATGCAAGTGCCTTGTAATTTAAAAAAAATCTCAAATTTCTCCCTTCTGTCCCTTGTATCATTGCTGTAATTTATTTTACTTATACATGAACATACAAAAGCATATATACAGGCATACCTTGGTGATATTGTAGGTTCAGTTCCATGCCACTGCAACAACGTAAATGTCACATAAAGCAAGTCGTGAATTTTTTGGTTTCTGAGCGCATTTAAAAGTCATGTCTACACTATACTGTAGTATATTAAGTATGCAATAGCATTATATCTAAAATGATGTACAAATCTTAATTAAAATAGTTTATTGAGGCCAGGTGCGGTGGCTCACGCCTGTAATCCCAGCACTTTGGGAGGCCAAGGCGAGCGGATCACGAGGTCAGGAGATCGAGACCATTCTGGCTAACACGGTGAAACCCCATCTCTACTAAAAAATACAAAAAAAAAAAAATTAGCCGGGCATGGTGGCGGGTGCCTGTAGTCCCAGCTACTCAGGACGCTGAGGCAGAAGAACAGCGTGAACCTGGGAGGTGGAGCTTGCAGTGAGCTGAGATCACGCCACTGCCCTCCAGCCTGGGCGACAGAGCAAGACTCTGTCTAAAAAAAAAAAAAAAAAAAAAAAGTTTATTGCTTAAAAATGCTTGTAATTATCTGAGCCTTCAGTGAGTCATAATAATTTTGCTAGTGGAAGTTCCTGTCTCAGTGTTGATGGCTGCTGACTGATCAGGGTAATGGTTGTTGTAGGTTGGGGTGGGCTGTGGCAATTTTTAAAAATAAGGTGATAATGAAAATTGCTACATTAATTAATTTTTCCTTCATGAAAGATTTCTCTGTAGCATGCAATGCCATTTGAAAGCATTTTACCCATAGTAGAACCTCTTTCAAAATTGAAATCAATCCTCTCAAACCCTGCTGCTACTTTATCAAATATGTGATGTAATATTCTAAGTCCTCTGTTGTCATTTCAGTAATGTTTACAGCATCTTCACCAGCAGTTGATTCAATCTTAAGAAACCACTTTCTTTGCTCATCCTTAAGAAGCAACTCCTCATCCATTCAAGTTTGGTCATAAGAGTGCAGCAATTCAGTCACATCTTTAGGCTCCACTTCTAATTCTAGTTCTGTTGCTGTTTCCACCACATCTGCAATTACTTCCTCCACTAAAATCTTGAACCCCTCAAAGTCATCCATGAGGATTGGAATCAGCTTAGTCCAAGCTCCTGTTAATGTTGACATTTTGACCTCCTTATATGAATCATGTTCCTAGTAGCATCTAGAATGGTAAACTCCAGAAATTTTTTAATTTACCTTGTCCAGATCCATCAGAGGAATAACTGTCTATGGCAACTATAATCTTACAAAATGTGTTTCTTAAATGATAAGACTTGAAAGCTACTTGATCCCTGGGCTACTGAATGGATGTTATGTTAGCAGGCATGAAAACACTCTTACGGAGGCATGAAAACATTAATCTTTTTGCACATCTACATCCAAGCTTTTAGATGACCAGCTGAATTGTCAATGAGCAATAATATTTTGAAAAGAATCTTTTTTTCTGAGCGGTAGGTCTCAACAGTGGGCTTAAAATATTGGATAAGCCATGCTCCAAATAAATGTTCTCTCATATAGTCTTTGTCATTCCATTTATGTTACACAAACAGAGTATATTTCACACAATTCTTAAGACCCTTAAGAATTTTGGAACAGTAAATGGACATTGGCTTCAACTTAAAGTCACCATCTGCATTAACCCCTAATGAGAGAGTCATCCTGTCCTTTGAAGCATTGAAGCCAGATTGATTTCTCTTTAGCTATGAAAGTCCTAGATGGCATCTTTTTCCAGTAGAAGACTGTTTTGTCTGCATTGAAAATCTATTGTTTAGATTTTCACCAATGATTTTGTTTAGATCTTCTGGATAACTTGCCTCTTATACTTTATCATTTTTTCAGTTTGCTCTTTCTTGTTACGGAGATGGCTTCTTTCCTTAAACCTCATGAATCGATCAATAATAGCTTCCAACTTTCCTGCTGTAACTTCCTCTCCTCTTTCAGTCTTTATATAATTGAAGAGAGTTGGGGCATTGGTGTGGACTAGGCTTTCATGTAAGGGAATGTTGATGCTGATTTGACCTTCAATCCAGATCACTCAAACATTCTTCATATCAGCAATTAGGCTGTTTTGCTTTCTTATTATTCCTGGGATCACTGGAGTAGTGCTTTTAATTTTCTTCAAAAACTTTTCCTTTGTGTTCACTACTTGACTAGCTGGTGCAAGAGGCCTAGCTTTCAGCCTGTCTTTGCTTCTGACATGCCTTCCTTCCTAAGCTTAATCATTTCTAAGTTTTGACTTAAAGTGGGAGATGTGAAATGCCTCCTTTCACTTGAATACTTAGAGGTCATGTAAGGTAACAATTTGCCTAATTTCAATATTGTGTCTCAGAGAATAGAGAGGCTGAAGAAAAGGGAGAGAGACAAGACAAGGGAACGATCAGTTGGTGGAACAATTAGAGCACACACAACATTTATCAATAAATTTCACTCTCTTATATGGTGCAGTTTGTGGCACCCCAAAACAATTACAATGGTAACATAAATGTTCACCGATCACAGATCACAAGAACAGATAAAATAATAATGAAAAAGTTTGAAACATTGCAAGAATTGCCAAAATGTGACACAGAGACACAAAATAAGTATATACTCTTGGAAAAATGGTGCCAATAGACTTTGTCAATACATAGTTGCCACAAACATTCAGTTTGTAAAAAGCACAATATCTTTAAAGCACAATAAAGGGAAGCAATAAAAAGACGTATGCCTGTATACATGTACATAAGCGTACATAATTGTACATATTGTTGCTATTTTTTGCAAAAATTGTTATCTGTTATATCAACCAATAATAAGACAAATAAAGTAAAAGTTTTTATTTACCTTCACTTATTCATTCTCCAATGTTTTTCTTTTCTTTATGTGGGCCTGAAGTTCTGATCTATATTACTTTGGTTATTTCTGTAGAACTTCTTTTTAACATTTCTCACAAGGCAGGTCTACTGGCAATAGTTCTATCAATTTTTGTTTATCTAAGAAAGCATTTCTCTTTCACTTCTGATGGATAATTTTGCAGTGTACAGAATTCTAGGTTGGTGGTTTTTCTCTGTTAATGCCAAATATTTCACTCCACTCTTTTCTTGCTTTCATAATTTCTAAGAAGTAAGATGTAATTTTTATCTTTGCCTATCTGCAGCTAAGGTTGTTTTCTTTTATTTTTTAACCTCTGCCTTCTCTATTCTGTTCCATTGATGTGGAACAGAATATTTTTATATCAGTCTATTTTTATATCAATACCATGCTGTTTTGGTTACTATAGGCTTGCAGTATAATTTGAAACTAAGTAATGTGATACCTCTAGCTTTGTTGTTTTTGCATAGTATATTGGCTATTCAGGCTCCTTTTTTTGTTCCATATGAATTTCATGATTTTTTCCTAAGGCCACATATCCACAGCCAACTCATCTTTGAAAAAGTAAATAGAAATATGTAATGAGGAAGGACACCCTTTTCAATAAATAGTGCTGGGAAAATTGGATTGCCATGTGGAGAAGAATGAAACTGAACTCCTATCTCTCACCATATGCAAAAATCAATTCAATATAGATCAAAGACTTAAATATAAGACATGAAACTATAAAAATACTAGAAGAAAACCTAGGGGAAACTTTTTTGGACATTGGTCTAGACAAAGAATTCATAATTAAGACTTCAAAATCAAATGCAACAACAACAAAACACAGACAAATGAGACTGACTTAAACTAAAAAGTTTCTGCACAGCAAAAATAGAATGAACAGACAACCTGCAGACTGAGAGAAAATATTTGCCAATTATGCATTTGACAGGGGACTAGTATCCAGAATTTAAAAGAAACTCAAGCAACTTTACAAAAGAGATTCAAATACCTCCATTAAAAAGTGAGCAAAGGACAGAAGTAGACATTTTTCAAAAGAAGACATACAAATGGCTAATAAACATATGAAAAATTCTTTACATCGCTAATCATCAGAGAAGTACAAATTAAAACCACAATGAGATAGCATCTTATAACAATCAGAATGCCTATTACTAAAAAGTCAACATTAATAGATGTTGGCAAGGATATGGAGAAAAGGGGAGGCTTATATGCTGTTGGTGGGAATGTCAATTAGTACAACCTCTGTGGAAAACAATATGGAGACTTCTCAAAGAACTAAAAATGGAACTATCATTTGATCCAGTAATCTCACTACTGGGTATATAACAAAAGGAAAAGAAATCATTAAATCAAAAAGATACCTGTGCTCATATGTTTATCACAGCACTATTCAAAATAGCAAAGACATGAAATCAACCTAAGTGTCCATTATTGGATGATTGGATGAAGAAACTTACAGATCCATTGGTAGTTCTATTTTTAATTCTTTGAGAAATCTCCAAATTGTTTTCTATAGAGGTTGCACTGATTGACATTTCCACAAACAGTGTATAAGCATTCCCTTTTCTCAACATCCTCGTTAACATCTGTTATTTTTTAACATATATGTATGTGTGTGTATATACACACACACACACACACACACACACCACATTTATATATCACATTTTCTTTATCCAATCATCCACTTGATTTGGGGAAAATTCTCAGTCATTATTGTTTCAAATATTGCTTCTGTTCCTTTTTCTCTTTCTTCTTTTGGTATCAACATTAAATATGCATTACACTTTTTGTACATGTTCCATAGTTCTTGGATATTCTGTACTTCTGTTTCTATTCTTCTTTCTCTTTGCCTTTCAGTTTTGGAAGTTTCCGTTATCATATCATCAAGCATAAAGACTCTTTCCTCAGGTGTGTCCAGTCTACTAATGAGCCCATCAAAAGCATTTTTCAGTTCAATTACATTTTTTTTAATCTCTAGCACTTCTTTTTTTTTTTCTTAGAATTTCTATCTTCTGCTTTCATTCTGTTGTTGCATAGGCTATCTACTTTTTCCAGTAACTCCCTTAGCACATTAGTCATAGTGTAAAAAAAAATTTCTGGCCTGATAATTCCAACATTCCTGCCATATCTGACTCTGGCATGAATCTTATCAGTCTATCTTATGATTAATTCTCCATCTTTTGGTGAGCCTGTGCCCCTGGTCTGTAAACTTCACTGTTATTTCTCAGGTTTTTTTGTTTTCTATTGCTGCTTTGTTTGCCACTTAGGTGGAGCAGGATGGCTGGAGTGGGCTGGAGTTGTGTATTTCCCCTTTCCTATGTGGAAGGCTAGAAGAATGTTCATGATTTTTTTTTAAATTTGGCATAAAATTCTTCCTTCAAGGGGAATTTTTATAACTCTTAACATATGTCCTTTGAAAATCCTGATATTTTTCTCGGCAAAAATGTTTTTATTTTATTTATTCATTCTTGAATGAGTATAAATTACAGAATTCTAGTTTGACAGCTTTTCATTAGCAGCACTGTGAAGATGTTGTTCCATTTGTCCTGAACTCTATTTTGCTTTTGAAATATTTGCTGTCCCATAATATGAATTTTCCAAGTTTTTTCCTATAATTTAAGTTCTAATTAATCTGCACTGTGGCAGAAAAAAAAAATGCACTATATCAAGCCTTTGAAATGTATAAGCCTTGCATAAGTGCTCTATGATCCATTTTGATAAATGTTTCAAATGTACTTGAAAAACATGTATATTCTGTAATTAATTGGCATATTCGAATATGCCAATTAGATCAAGTTGGTTAATGGTATTATTCAAAACTTTGACATCCTTATTGCTCTTTTTTTGTTTGCCTATTCTATCAGTTATTAAGAGAGGTGTGTTAAATTCTTCAACTAAGATTTTGGATTGTCTATCATTTTAAATCTTAACTTTTGGTTTACATATTTTAAAGCAGTTTTCAAGTGCCTGCAAATTTAAAATTGTTAAATATTCCTATTGATTCAAATGTTTTATAATTATAAAATATTTTATAATTATAAAATATCTTTATTTCTCTTAATATGTTTTGCTTTAAAGTCTATGTTGACTGATAATATATTCACACTAGCTTTCTTTTGAATAATGTATTTATGGCACAACTTTTCCATCAGTTATGTTTCAAACTGTCTGTATTTATATTTAGAGAGTATGTTTTGCAGACAACCTTCAGAATGGGAGAAAATTTTTACAATCTATCTATCTGACAAAGGTCTAATATCCAGAATCTACAAGGAACTTAAGCAAATTTACAAGAAAATAAACCAACCCCATTAAAAACTAAGCGAAAGACATGAACAGACACCTCTCAAAAGAAGACACAAATGTGGCTAACAAACATATGGAAAAAGCCTCAACATCACTGATCATTAGAGAAATGCAAATCAGAACCACAATGAGGTACCATCTCACACCAGTCAGAATGGCTATTATTAAAAACTTAAAAAATGACAGATGCTGGAGTACTTGTAGAGCAAAAGAAATGTTTTTAAACTGTTGGTGGGAGTGTAAATTAGTTCAACTATTGTAAAAGACAGTGTGGTAATTCCTCAAAGACCTAGAGGCAGAGATACCATTTGACGCAGCAATCCCATTGCTGAGTGTATACCCCCCAAAATATAAATTATTTTATAATAAAGATACATGCATGCATATATTCATTGCAGTAGTATCCACAATAGCAAAGATACGGAATCAACCTAAATGCCCATCAGTGATAGAATGGATAAGAAAACGTGGTATATCTACATTATGGAACACTATGCAGCTATAAAAAGGAATGAGATCATGTTCTTTTCAGGGACATGGATGGAATTGGAAGCCATTATCCTCAGCAAACTAACACAGGAACAGAAAACAAAACACCACATGTTCTCACTTATAAGTAGGAGCTGAATGATGGGAACACATGGACAATTGAGGGTAAATAACACACTGGAGCTTGTGGAAGCTGGGGGAGGTAGAGCCTCAGGAAGAATAGCTAATGGATGCTGGGTTTAATACAGAGGTGATGGGATGATCTGTACAGCAAACCACCATGGCACATATTTACCTATGTAATAAACCCACTCATCCTGCACATGTACCCCTGAACTTAAAAGTTGAAGGAAAAAAAAAGAGCATGCTTTGTAAATGGCATATAGATGGATCTTTTTTTAAAAAAAAGGCTAATGTGGCAATCTTTGTCTTTTTATTGACATATTCCATCAATATGTTTGATGCAATTATTGATATAGTTGAATTTTAGTCTACTATCTTAATAATTTTGTTTTAATTTATACCATCTATTATTTGTTCTTCTTTATTTCTTTCCTTTTAAAATCAGTGATTTATTTGTATTCCATTTTTATTTGTTTTTTCTTTTTTTTTCTTTTTTTTGAGATGGTGTCTCACTCTGTTGCCCAGGCTGGAGTGCAGTGGTGCAATCTCAGCTCACTGCAACCTCTGCCTTTCAGATTCAAGTGATTCTCCTACCTCAGCCTCCTGAGTAGCTGGTATTACAGGCATGCCACCATGCCTGGCTAATTTTTGTGTTTTTAGTAGAGATGGGGTTTCACCATATTGGCCAGTCTAGTCTTGAACTCCTGACCACGTGATCCACCCGCCTCAGCCTCCCAAAGCCATTTTATTTCTTAAATTAGCTTTTTTATGTCTTTTGTCTTATTATTGTATTTTTATTGTTTCTTTAGAAATTGCTAATGTTTCCTTACTTTATTTAAAAAACTTCTATAAATTTATATTTTTATCATATTTCTAAGAAAGAATCTTACTAAATTGTTGTTTAGATCTATTTACCTTTGTTTTTTAAACATACCTTTTTTTTTTTTTTAAACACTTAGGCTATTGCCATGTATTTTACTTTCATACTTTTTAGGTCCCTTAGAGATTGTGGTTACCATTGCTTTAGACAGTAAGAAATCTTATATATTTTTCCACATATCTACCCTTTCTGGTGCTATTATTTTTTTTTCACGTAGATTCTGTTCTCTGGAATCATTTTACTCAACTGAAGAACTTTCTTCAGTAGATTTTCTAGTGCAAATTTGCTAATATTTCATTTCCTCAGTTTTTGTCTGAGGGAATCTTTATTTTGCTTTTATTTGTAAAGAATTTTTTCACTACATATTGAAATTTAAGTTAAGGTTTCTGGTTTTGTTTTGCTTTCCTTTTGGTTCTTCAGCATTTCAAAGAGGCAATTCCATCATCTTCTGGCTCCCAAAGGTTCTGTTAAGAAAATTATTTCTTTCTAGTTTTTTTTTCCTCTAAAGAAAATATGACTCTGTTCTATGGTCATTTTAAATATTTTTACTTAAGTTTTATTTTTTAGTAATTTAATTTGATATTTACTTATGACGATTAGGATTTGCAGAGCATTTTATGAGTTAATGCCTTCATCAGAATTGGAAATTGCGGGGATGCAGTGGGGGCAGTTATTTTGCCAAATATTGTTTCTGTTCCATTTCTTTTCTTTTCACCTCTTGAAAGTAAGCGTACACATATGTTAGACCTTTTACCTAAGTTTTACCTCATTTTTACATTCAGTTATATGTGTGTTTTTTTTTTTTTTAGGTATTTTCTGTATCTGTCCTTGACCATTAATTCTGTCTTCTCCTCTATTATGCTTTTAATCCTTTTCAAAAACATCTCAATGTCAGATGTATTTAGCAGTTATAGACTATTCACTTGATCCTTTTTAAATTGTGTGCTAGGCATTGTTAATGTTACATGTTAGAATTCTGGATTATGTTATTTTCCACTAAAGAGTGTTTATTTTTATTCTGGGTGGTAGATCAATTACTAGTAGATCACATTGATGCTGTCAAAGTTTGGTTTGGGGATTTGAAATAGTGGTTCTATTTCCCTTACTCCTACTGTGTAGCCCTTAATCATAGGGAATGACCTTTCTGGGATCTCACCTCAATGTTTAGGCTCTTCATCAAGGTCTCTATACTCGCTGGAGCTGATCTTCAATGTCTCTCCAAAACATGTGATTTCTGAAGTCTCTGCTTAGCTCTCAACTTCATAGCAAACATTGCTCCTAGGTCTCACATGGGTCTCATCTTTGGTATGTGCAGTTTAAGAGTTACCAATGATGCAAGGAGAAACTTTTTGCATAGTTTGGCTTCATCCTCTCCGTATTCTGCCCTTAAAATTACAACTGCTTTAGCAGCCCCAAAATCCAGTATGTGTATCATCCACTCAGTAAAGCTGCTGTATTCTATTTCTTTGGTCATATTTTGGCAATTCCCTCAAGGAGACAAGTGGGGTGAATGTGAAGCTTAGTGTGTATGCTGACCTTCTCCCAATGATGTTTCTCAGTACCTGCAAACACTTGTTTTATATATTTTATCCAACTCTGATAGAAATTATTACAGCAAGAGATTTAGTCTTATATCAGCGATACCATTGTGTTTACTAATGGAATTCCTTCTTTTGTATTTTTTCTTTGTAACACCTTTATTGAGGCATGATTGACAAACACTAAACATACATATTTAAGCTGTACAATTTGATGAATTTTAATATTTGAATATTCCAGGAAGCAATCACCAAAATCAATATAATAAATAAAACAATTATTTATAAGTTTTCTTGTGTCCCTTTGTAGTTTCTCCTTCTTCAAGACAATCACTGATCTGCTGTCAATATATATTAATTTACATTCTATAGAATTTTACATCTATAGAATCACACAATAAGTACTCTTTTTATTAACCTGGCTTCTTTCATTCAGCATAATTATTTTAAGATTCATCTATGTTATATGTATGTGTAAATATTTTATTCCTTTTTATTACTGACTACAATTCTATTGTATATAAATACCATATATATTAAATTTTTAAAAATTTTTAAATTGAAATTTATAGTTCGTGGCACAAAGAAAAGAACACTTAGAACTATACTTAGTAATACTTTCTAAAGTTTCAGAGAATATTTCCTTTAAAAATTTCAAAACTCACCATTTTAAAATAAAATTACTTATACCCTACATCCATACCATTTTAATTACATTGATAATTTTCAGATTGGTATTTTTGATGCACTCTATCATGCCTTAATAACTAATTACATGGAAGGCAATATTAGCCGCTTTTGCCTGAGTCTGAATTTAAAGAATTAATGTGAATATAATACTATCCTCTAAAATATTGAACCAGTTAATTTTAACCAGCACATTTTTTCCTAAAGGGAATCTCTTATTCTCCTGAAAAAAAACTAGTCTAAGACTGGAAAATATATTGAGAATAAAATGAGTGAAACTTTGAAAATGTTTCTCACCACATGTGAGTAAGGCTATATTTGAAAGATTGCAAACAAGATGGGACATTCAAAATCTAGCAAATGTTAATGGACCACGTCTTATACGTCTAATGATATATAGTGAACTCAAGTACAATAACATTATAAAAGTTTTGATGTGTCTGATAAAAATTGAGTTTTTACTATTATTATCAATGTTACCATCCAGCATTTCAAAAAAAGTGGAGTTACACCAAGTATGTGGTCATAGTGAATGCAATAACCCCATTAAAAAAAAAATCTCTGCAGCGTTATCCTAAGGAGTATAATTAATATTTTTCTCTTTTAACCATATTGCACTGGTTAAAAATTTCAGTATTAAGTTCTGTGACATAGCAGTCATTGTTTCCTGAGACTATGGAATTGTAAATCTCACTTACTGTTCTACCTCGTTATTAGATGCAAAAAGAAAATGTACTATCATTGACTGCAAAAGTTAATATTCATTTGTTGCAAGCAAAGAAAGTTGAGTATGACTATTTCAAGCAAAATGGAATTTAAGCAAAATGGAAGAAAGCAGGTGATGAACTAGAGATGCTATTAGGGTACTATATATATATATATATATACAGAATATATATACAGAATATATATATACAGAATATATATACAGAATATATATATACAGAATATATATATAGAATATATATAGAATATATATACAGAATACATATATAGAATATATATATATAGAATATATATATAGGGTACTATATATAGTGTATATATATAGTGGGAACTAAATATATAGTTAAAGAAACTGAGAAAATCATAAATGGGCATAAAGTATCTACGTGGAATGAGTAGATGAAGGAAAGGGACATATTTTAAGTTATTTGCTGTAGGAATGAGAACTAGAGTTGTATCAGCAATATCCATACTTATTCCTTATTACTCTTTGGTAGTCTAGAAAAATGCATCCTATTCAAATATAAGGGTCAGCAAGGTTCCTATTCAAAATGGGTAACATGAGGAGAGTTTAATCAAGGAACTATTTTCAAGGGTGTGGACTATTTACAACAGCTGTTATCATCCTTGGCCTGAAGGGGCAACTAATGGTAGGAGTTTCCAGAATTTGAAAGAGAGAGACATGTAGAAAGAGCTGCCTTGAGATGAAATGTGACTTCCACAGGAAGCAGTCAGGGGAATAATTCATTGGCCTCTTTGTTCTTCCTCATTCCAGTCTCCTACTGGAGCTCTGTATTGGCTAAATCCAACTAGTAACCAAATTCAAGGGAGGTTACTGATAAAGTCAATGCAGGTGAACATGCTGGGGGTGAGAGCGGAATGGAGAATGATGGAAAATGTCCTGAGTAGGGGGAGACAACTAGCACAATTTTATATCTTGAAGAAATATCCGTACTTATTCCTTATTACTCTTTGGTAATCTACAAAAATGCATCTTATTCAAATATAAGTTACAGAAAATAAATTTAATCTGCCTCTAAACTAAAAAAAAAAAATTAAACAAAGGAAAATAGCAATATATATTTCTTATATGTGATAAAAACTCATCGGTAAAATGTTTCTACTAAGGAGGTAAAAAGCAAGATGAAACATTCCAATCTGAGTTAAAAACAAAAGAAAATAAAAACGTGAAATAACCACTGCTAAACAGGAACATGAAATACAAAAATACAAAGTTTCTGAGAAAAGATGACCACATAACAGGAAAATGTGAAAAAAGGCTAACAGAATTCAGTTAAAAAAAAAAAAAAAGAAGTAACAGGCTAAATCATTTAGGAAATAAGAAGTATATTAAAAAGAGCACAAAGAAAAATCATGGAAAGATCAGCAGGTGACAGAGAATAATATAAATAAAGATGAAAAAATGAAGCAAAAGTAAAGAGAAGAAAAGGGTTTAGGAAGAGATACATACAAAGTGTTGAGGGAAGTCAGGGACCCCAAATGGAGGGACTGGCTGAAGCCGTGGCAGAAGAACATAAATTTTGAAGATTTCATGGACATTTATTAGTTCCCCAAATTAATACTTTTATAATTTCTTATGCCTGTCTTTACTGCAATCTCTGAACATAAATTGTGAAGATTTCATGGACATTTATCACTTCCCCAATCAACAGTCTTATAATTTCCTATGCCTGTCTTTAATCTCTTAATCCTGTCATCTTTGTCAACTGAGGATGTATGTTGCCTCAGGACCCTGTGATGATTGCCTTAACTGCACACATTGTTTGTAAAACATGTGTGTTTGAACAATATGAAATCTGGGCATCCTAAAAAAGAACAGGTTAGCAGCGATTTTCAGGAAACAAGGGAGATAACCATAAGGTCTGACTGCCTGCGGGTCCGGGCAGAACAGACTCATATTTCTCTTCTTGCAGAAAGTGAATAGAAGAAATATCGCTGAATTCCTTTACCAGCAAGGAATAACCCTGGGGAAGGAATGCATTCTCAGGGGTAGGTCTGTTGACGGCAACTCTGGGAGTGTCTGTCTTATGCAGTTGAATATAAGGGATGAAATATGCCCTTGTCTCCTGCAGTGCCCTCACGCTTGCTAGGATTAGGAAATTCCAGCCTGGCAAATTCTAGTCAGACCGGTTGTCTGCTCTCTAACCCTGTTTCCTGTTAAGATGTTTATCAAGACAATGCGTGCCCAGCGAGACATGGAACCTCATCAGTAATTCTGATTTCTCCCTGGCCTTGTGATCTTGCTCTGCCCTACTGCTCTTTTGATCTTTTATTGCCCTTTGAAGCATGTGATATTTGTGACTTACTTCCTGTTCGTACCCCCCTCCCCTTTTGAAATCCCTAATAAAAACTTGCTGGTTTTGTGGCTCAAGGGGCATCATGGAACCTACCAACATGTGATGTCACCCCCAGAGGCCCAGCTGTAAAATTTCTCTCTTTGTACTCTTTCTCTTTATTTCTCAGACCAGCCGACACTTAGGGAAAACAGAAAAGAACCTACGTTAAAATACTGGGGTTATTTCAACCCCAATATTCAATAAATACTGGTTCCCATTGAAGGGAGTGCAAAGGAGATACAACCAACCTATAATTGCAATCAGCAATCAATAACACTAAAACCATGAGATAAGTAGGTAGATGATAGATTATAGATATGCGATAGATGATTGATGATAGATAGGTAGATGTTAGATATGTTTCTCATCAGGATTCAAGCAACTACTCCCTCTCTTGCCTCTTTAGGCCCCCTCCAAGGGTCCACGGTGGCCATCCCCTGGATGCTAATTGTCCCCTTTAGTTTCCCTAAACACTATAACTTTTAAAATTAGTACTTTTACTTTGTCTTCTTTTGAGAACTGTCTGTTCATCTCCTTTGCCCACTTTTTAATGAAGTTATTTGGATTTTTCTTTCTTGATTTGTTTAGTTTCCCTATAGATTCTAGATATTAGCCCTTTGTCAGATGCGTAGTTTGCAAATATTTTCTCCCATTGTGTGGGTTGTCTGTTTACTCTGTTGATCATTTATTTTGTTGTGTGGAAGCTCTTTAGTTTAATTAGGTCCCACTTGTCAATTTTTATTTTGTTGCAATTGCTTTTGAGGACTTAGTTATAAATTCTTTGTCAGAAAGGTATTTCCCAGGTTTTCTTCCAGGATGTTTATAGCTTCAGGTCTTGCATTTAGGTCTTCAATCCATCTTGTGTTAATTTTTTCTATCTGGTGATAGGTAGGTACCCAGTTTCATTCTTCTGTGTATGGCTAGCCAGTTTTCCTAGAACTATTGATTGAATAGGCAGACCTTTCCCCATTTCTTATTTTTTCCAACTCTATTGGAGATAAGTTGGTTGTAGTTTTGCAGCTTTATTTCTGGGTTCTCTATTATGTCACATTGGTCTATGTGTCTATTTTTGCTGGTGGTAATGTAAATTAGTTCAGCCACTGTAGAGAGCAGTTTGAAGATTTCTCAAACAGCTAAAAACAGACCTATTGTTGAGCCCAGCAATTCCTTTACTGGGTGTATATCCAAAAGAAAATAAATTATTCTACCTAAAAGATGCATGAACTTTTATGTTTATTGCAGCACTATGCATAATAGCAAAGTCATGAGATCGATCTAAGTGCCCATTATTGCTGGACTGCATAAGGAAAATGTGGTACATATACACTGTGAGATGCTATGCAGTCATAAAAAAGAACAAAATCATTTTCTTTGCAAAAACATGGGTGTAGCTGGAGGCCATTATCCTAAGTAGCTTAACACAGAAACAGAAAACCTAATATTACGTGTTCTCACTTACATGTGGAAGCTAAACCTTGGCTACACATAAACACAAAGATGGGAACAACAGACACCAGGGACATGAAAAGGAGGGAGGGAAGAAGAGAGAGAGGGAAGCAAGGGCGGAAAAACTTGCTATTAGATACTAGCTGCACGATGGGATCAATAGAAGCCCAAACCTCACATCACACAATATTCCCTTGTAACAAACCTGCACATGTACCCCCAAATCTAAAATAAAAATGTAAATTAAAAAATAAAAATAGTAGTTTTACTCTGTCTTGAAATCATCTCATGCATTTGTATCTCTAGCTATGACCTTTCTCATAAACCTCAGATTTGTATACAAAACCACTCACTTGATATTTCCTTTTGGAAGTTCTTTTGGAAACATTATCAAATTAGCATGCAGATAACTGAACTGGTGGAATTTCCTCAAAAACCATCTCTACATAGCCTTCCCAATGTTAGTTAGTGTCAACTCAATCCATGCAGTTGTTTAGGCTCAAATCTCTTTTAATCTCCACATTCAACCCAGTAGAGATACTATCGGAGTATCCTCAAAGTATATGCAGAATCTGCTCATTTCTCACTTCTTTCACTAGCAATTTCCTTGCCAAGATGTACATGACTCTTGTGAAAAAATTATAAAACTAGATTCAAGAGTCCTTAAAGATGACGTAAATAAATGGAGCAATATGCTTGCTCTTAGATTCGAAGACTCAGTATCATAAAATGAAAATCTATACCACACATATTGATTCTATATAATCTCAATCAAACTTCTACTTTTTGAGGGGTTTGTGGAATTATTTTGAAAATTGCAAGCAGGTTCTAAAATTTATATGGAAAGGCAAAGGGCCAATTATAGGATAGATACTTTGGAAAGAAAGAATTCAGAAATAGGAAGAAGATATCAAAAGTTACCCTAAGTCAATATAAATTATGAAAAATTTAATGTTAACCCAAAGAGAGAAAATTTAATCAAACAGAAAAAAATGAGCCCAGAAACAGACCAATTGATAATTGATGAAGATAGCATGAAGAGTATTGATTAAAGGAAAGTATTTGCATTAAATGGCTCTAGGGAAAAAAAATCATTTTTAATTAAACAAAAATTAATTTCAGGTAGATTAATGTTCTAGCCTTAGGAGTGAGAAATAATTTCTTAACTAGCAATTTTAAAAAGCAATAACCTTAATATAAAAGGTTGATAAAGTATCTACACTAAAATGAAGATCTGTTCATCAAATGTCACCAGTTACACGTACCTAGCAAAGACCAACATTTAGAATATATAAAGAATTCATAAGAATCAATTTTTTAAAAAAAAAGATTTGAATAAATACTTTGCATAAAAAATACAAAGGGCCAATAAAAACATGAAACTATTCGTAACTTCATATCAGTGAAATAAAAACTAAAACCACAATGAGCTATCATTTTGTTTTTCATATAGAAGATAGAGAAATAAAGAGTCTAAGAATACCAACATTATTGAGGAAAAGAGAAACAACAAATTTGCCAGTGGAGATGTAAATTTGTACAAATGCTTTAGAGAACAATTTGTCAATAACCATTAATCATATTCTGTGACCCAGCAATTTCTTTATTAGTTGTACCTTCCTGAGAAATACTTTCATATGTGCCCCAGAAGGCATGCAAAAGAATGTTCAGAGAAGCCCTGTTTATAATTGCTACAATGAAAAAACAACCCAAATTGTACCAAAAATAGACTTGATAAATAAATTATTTATTTAAATGGAATAGTATAAAGCACTGAAAATGAGTGAGCCACATAGGTTGCAGACACACGAATGGAATTCTCAAACCTAAGATTAAGTTAAAAAAGACTTAAGAAAATGTATATATAGTTTTAAAACAGTAAAAGTTAAAACATATTTTTAATATTTCAAACCTAGATGATAAACCTATAAGGAAAAGCAAAGAAATTGGTGTAACAAAAGTCAAAATATGTTTATATTTGGTTGGAGAAAGAAAAAAAGGGCTCAGAGGCCAGGCGCAGGGGCTCACGCCTGTTATCCCAGCACTTTGGGAGGCCGAGGCATGCAGATCACCTGAGGTCAGGAGTTTGAGACCAGCCTGACCAACATGGAGAAACCCCATCTCTACTAAAAATACAAAATTAGCTGAGCATTGTGGTATATGCCTGTAATTCCAGTTACTCAGGAGACTGAGGCAGGAGAATTGCTTGAATCCGGGAGGCCAAGGTTGGGGTGAGCTGAGATCATGCCATTGCACTCCAGCCTGGGCAACAAGAGCGAAACTCCATCTCAAAAAAAAAAAAAAAAAAAAGGAAAAAGAAAGAAAAAAAGAAAAAGAAAAAAAGGGCTCAGGTTAAAAAGAGTTGGGAATATACACACACACATATACATACATATATATATACACACACACACACCTATATATATATACATATATATATTGTATTCTCTTGTACAAGAATAATGTATCTCAAAATGTTTAAATTCACAAAGAATAGGATACACTGTTGTTGAAGACATCTAATTTATCTCCACACACAAAACAGTATTCTATTCTTGTAAAGTACAACAATTTTAAAAGGTTCTAAGTTTTACTTGAGAGATAATTTGAGAGATTATAAGAGAAAAACCTGAAAAAAGTGAGAATAGAGGATATTGACTATTATAAACTGCAAGAGTTAAAGAACTGGGGGTCTAGCACAGGAATATGAAATGAAACCGGTAGAATAGGATATACAGGCAAGAAAAAGATTCTTTGGCTAAAAAGATTCTTTGGCTCATAAGTTTTTAATAGCTGATAATGAAGGCAAGGCAAACTGATGGGAAACGAATTATGTTGGAAGAACTGATTCGAAATATTTAAATGTTTAAAAGCTCTCACTTTATAACGTATGCTAGAAAAAAATTTAGGTACATTTTAAATAATTCTCTTTCAAATGCAATGAAACAGAAGATAAACACTTATTGGAAGCATTGACATTTTCTAAATTAAGGTGATAGCAAATTACTCATGAAAATCTTTTAATATGTAAACATTTTAAATTTCTCTAGGTAAAATAATAGAAACAAAAAGTGAAAAATTATCTGGGAAGTTATTGGACAAATGTTTTACCTTTTTATCAATATGAAGAGATTATAGAAATTGATTAGAAATTACTTTCTGATAATGTGTTTATCAAGAGATTTTAATGTAGAAATTCAAAAATTTGCAATATATGTATAATATAGTCAGTACAACAATCATAATAACATAAGCAAAGGACATGTCACACATGTAACACATAAATAACACATAAAAAGTACTAGAAACCAAGCATATGTAAGATGTTCAGTCTTATCAATTTTCCTTCTACCTAAAAAAATTCAAATTAATATATCAATAAGCCATAATGATAATAATCAGTATGGCAAAAGCATGATAAAATCAGCATGTAAACGTTGCTGCTATCATAAAATTATTTAAAAGCATTGTATAATGTTTCATAAAAATATCTCTAACTAATGACCAAATAATACCCTATTTGGGGATCTATCCAAAGGAAATAGCAATGCAAACTGCAGAGAAATATCTTCAAGAATAAAGATATTAATTATTGCTTAAATATGCAGTGATTATTATCATGTACTAATAGCACGATATAAGAATCTATCTGGATATTCAATGATGGGAATGGTAAAGTACATCACCTTGATGTGATATTATTCCAAAAGCAAAGTGAATACACTAACTAAAAGCAAAGGTTAAAACACTAACATGTAGAAACAACACGTATGTATCACAACACTCATGTTGTGATAAGTAAGATCAGGTATGAAATTATATATATGCTGTCAACAGATAGAATGATCACACAATTACTGGAAGAAAAACACCAACATGCTAACAATAATATTTAAATAGAGTGACATTCTGGGCAACTTTTCCATTTTTCAATAATTTCATTATTAAGTTTATATGACCTTCACTCTTCAAATATATAAATAAAATGGTATTGCTGATATCTATAATCAATTATCTAAGTCTTTGTACACTATATGCATGCACTTGTCTGAGTAGTACTCCACACAGAATATTTTCTTGCAAGTTTAACCAATAAATCTCATTGAGTCATTTGCATTTTCTGAATAACCTTGAACTGACAAATATAAGAACACTTAAAAAATAGAGAATGCTTGATGATAACCTACTTGAGCGAATCTCATAAATCTTAGCATGCCAAGTAATCACAGTTTAATGATCATCAAAAAGGCATTTTCTAAGTGCCTCTGAAAAGCAGAACTACACAGTAAATGTCCCATAAAGACAATATTGTAGCAGCATGTATATGCATTGCCACAGAAATGAAGAAAACATTCTGTGAGTAAGCACTGGGAATTGATGGAAATATTTTGAGTATTGGTGTGCTTTTCAGTGAAAACAGACCCTTGACTGTGTCCCTAAAATGTTAAACTGAAGATGATTTAAGTTTATGTCCCCAAAGAAGTGAGAATAGGGAGGAGGGGAACAACGACGGTAACAAAAAGTCTTCTGATCCTTCTCAAGGCATATTATAAACATTGCTGTGTTTGCCAGGCCAGCCATGTCACTAGTAATAACATCTGCCTTCATATGCATCACTGATGATCCTATGCTATCCACAGACCAGTAGGGGTAAGATTCGCCCAGGAACATAGCACTAGTTACCTCTATACCATCTTAAACGGGAAAACACTTCAAGGCTTTCGAAAGAATTTTGAACTTCAATTCACAGAAATATTTTTAAATGATGTTATTCCAAAACTACAAGTTCCTTGCTGGATGCATTAGATATTTGCTTTAATATTCTTTTCTAAGTAGAATCCAACACAAGGTACATCTTGTATCTTGAGTACAAGATGAGTACAGATTCATCTTGTACTCATACAACTCATTTAAAAAGAAAGAAAGAAAAACTAGAATGGATTTACAACTAGCATTACAGGGCAAGTCTGTGGGTTTTTTGTGGTATTTAATAAGTATTTTAAAAGCATATACAATATTCTTTATTGTTTATACATTTATATAGTTCCAGTTTTTGTATTTTTCATATCCAGTTTATCTCTACTTTAATAATGAGCATTCCTTTATTAGACTGTAATTTATGAAGCATCTACAGTGTGCACAGTGGATGCAGTAATGGATAAAATAGACAAAGTCCCTGGCCTCAGGGAACTTACATTTCAATGAAAGTGGGAGTTCAATTTAAAGTATACTAAAAGTTATATAAATACAGTGTCAGCTACACATGCTGTAAAGGAAAATAAACAGTGTCAGGGACGGAGAAAAGCAACACGGTGATCAGAAAAGCAACACAGTATCAGAAGGCAATATGTCTCTGAGTTGGTGACATTTGAACAGAGATCTGAATGAATTAATATGGGGGAAGCACATTTTAGACAGAAAGAATAGCTAAGTACAAGAGCTCTGAGGTGAGAAGTAGACTAGGGCGTCTGTAGCAGAGCAAAAGAGATGGAGAAAAGGAAAAGAACAGAGAGTATGCAAGTGAGAGGGGTATTTAGGTATTATTATACTTTAAATATGACTCTTTAATGCTTTATGTGGAAAACCCAAGCAAATTAAGAAACAAAGAACTGGCCAGGCATGGTGGCTCACGCTTGTAATCCCAACACTTTAGGAGGCCAAGGCAGGCAGATCACTTGAGGTCAGGAGTTCAAGACCAGCCTGACCAACATGGAGAAACCCTGTCTCTACTAAAATACAAACAGCCAGCGTGGTGGCATGCACCTGTAATCCCAGCTACTCGGGAGGCTGAGGCAGAAGAGTTGCTTGAACCCAGGAGGCAGAGGCTCCAGTGAGCTGAGATCGCCCCACTGCACTCCAGCCTGGGCGACAGAGCAAGACTCTGTCTCTAAATGAATAAATAATAAATAAATAAATAAATAAATAAATAAATAAATAAATAAATAAAATAAAGAACCCCTGCTTTTGTAGAATTTTTTGGAAGGAGGTAATTAACACATAAATAATGGCTATTTGGTTTTGCTGCCAAAATATACATTGTGAGGACTGTGAGCACACAGTTTGCATGTATTAGATCATAAGGTTTTGCTGGAAAGGAAGGTAATAGTGAATACAGTGTTGTCTGATATTTTAGCAGTAGGGACATTTTCATAGCAGTTGGAGGTACAGAGACACTGGTGTTAGAAAAGTCAGACACATATTTCTAAATAAGTTAGGATTTGCTTAACATTTATTTTGATCAGAGCTGCAGCCAGTCATTTGCCAGAGATTTGAATCCTGCCAAACAAGCCCCTCCAGGCTCACTTGGAAAGGTTTGCATACTTCTTTCCACGCCCAGCAGACTCGGCTTGAAGCACAACCCTGGGAGCTGCCAATATTTTTACATTAGAGTCAGTTATTTTATCTGAAAGTGTGACCATTCAGGGAAAGAGAGGGAGATTTTTAACACCTTGTTTCTCTAACATGGGGGATAAATGGCAGATCTACATTTACCTCACTGACTTCGATCTAAAACAAGTGTTAAATAGATCCCAAGAAGACAAAAACAAAAAGAAAACTTTCATATGATGTATATTTTGGGACTTTAAAAGATGTGTAATTTTTAGAGCTCTGGTTTAGAATCTGCTATAAACAAAGTGTTCCTTGGAGTATCATTTGAGTGTAGCATCTTGCATCATTTTTAGTGATGATTATAATGCTTTTTAATTTTTCAAAATGTAAAAAGAACATTATTTATTTTTAAGTTATTTAAAACTCCCTGGGATACAGCATAATAGGTGTATCATAAAATACACCATGCTAACTGCCTATATTTCTCTATTATAAAAAAGTAAGATGTAATTCATGTTCAGTCCCATGATTTAACAAACTTGAAATTGAAAAACACCTTTGCCTTTTTATAACCTGATATTAGTAGCCTTCAGAGCCAGTACAACCTGCTGTGAAAGCCAAGGACTTACTTAAAAATAGTACCATAAACCATGTCAGTAATGTAGAAATTTATTTCTGGACTAAAAATTTTATTAAAACTTAAAAGGAGAAAAATCTGAATATCACATAAATTACATTCGTAGCAAATACATGTTTGTCTGCAATAAAAATAAATGTTTCAAAGATCATACAATCCTTAATTTTGTATTTCTTTGCTTTACTTTCTGCTTAAGTGTTATTAACTATTTAATAAACCTATTTACAACCCAAACAATTTATGTGGTTTTATTTTGCATACAGATATAACAGGAGAGACCCCAAAAGTCTAAAAGTGTAGTGAATTAGAAATGAGTCCAGGGAAGTGTGAACTCTGAGGAGAAGTGAATTATTATATTTTATATTGTTTGCCTAATAAGCTTAAATCATCCTAAAACTTTATCCATTTTATCCTCATAGATTCCTTGAGAAGGTCTTGGAAAAGGCTTTATTATCTCCCTTTGAGTAAGAAGGAAATTCAATGTGACATTTACTGGCATTTTGTTTTAAATTTACTACTATTATTAGTAGAAGTTGAAATGAATTTGATGTATTTCAAAATGAAAAGCATTACAATCCATGAAGAATATTTCTACACTAGAGATAAAAATAAAACAAGGAGTTAAAATGTAAAAACTTGATGGAGAAAGCTACTTGAAAGAGGTGAACTTATTAATTTTTTTCTTCCCATACGCCTGGTCTATCTTATTATGTCTTTTATTTAAATTCAACCTGCTTTCTTGTCTTTAGAGAGAACCTTCAGGCTTTTTTTAAAGGATTCAGAGAAGTTTTAAGGGGAAATTTGAGAGAGGAGATGATTTTGAATAATGGGCATGAAATAGGAGAGTGTTTTCAGAGTTAAGTACAGTATGGAAAATTTCAATCTTAAAAGTGGGAAAATGAAACTATATACTATGTGTTTAAGTCCTTTCAAACAAGGAAAATAATTGTAAATTTTAATGTAATTTCCTCCCGTTGCTGGCTACATGACCTTCACTTTCTTGGCCTTAGGCATTCATCTCTCTGGGTTTGCATGTGAGGAATGATCCAGATAGACAGAAGATGTTAGAAATGTTGCAGAAGCACTCAAAGAGAAAGACAAAAGTTTATGACACACCCAGCTTGTGATAGTCAGAATAGAATTAAACAGAAAGACTATTATCTTGAAAGACAACTTCCGAGATTTATTTCTCACTTTATCATTAACAGCCAGACCTGTACAACCCATGCTTATAGAAGTCTCCCATGGTCAAGGAGATATTCCTGGCCACCATTATGGCTTAGCTGAAGTTTGGAAAAGGAAGGATAATAGAAGAAAAGCCCACCTCTTTCAATTTTGGAGACTAGTGGAAGGAGAAAGAATAGAGATATAGGAATGCAAAGAAGTATAGTTAAGGTACATGGATGTTTCCCTTCTCTGGGCTGTATACATAAGTAAAAGGAATGCATAGGGTAAAAGGGAACCCTTCACCTCTCAACTTCTGCTTCTTATTCGAGAGTCTGGGAAGAAGTCCCTTTGAAGACTGCCTTAGACCAATCTAAGGTCAACTTGCCTGGACAGTATGGTCAGTCAAAAGGAGATCCTGAAATGTTGCCTTCCCGAGCCACCCTTTTTTCCAGAATTAACTATGAAAAGCTTGCCAGAGAGGTTTGTGAGAGTGAGAATAAGGCACCTAATACCAAAGTTGAAGAGTTAGGAAGCAATTTAATCTCAGCCACATTCTAGAGAGGTCTACATTGTCAGCAAAGACTGAGACAGTTCAAGTCAGACAGGAAGGCTATTAGGTCCAAACAAATACCAAGTGGCCAGGTCACAAGTTCCAGCACCTACACAGGACATCATCTTGGGGAAAGAAGTGGCATACAGAGGTTTATCTGAGAACTTGGGTATTCTTATTCAATAAAATGGTAAGTATTGATTGAAAAGTCTGTTTTAGTTACTTGATGAAAGTTTTAGTTAATTTTTGTTTCCCATTAATCTGCAGAAAGGTGGACTGTAAGTGAAAGGCCAGATTAGTTGCAGAAAAATTAAAGGAATTACATTTCCTCTGCACTTTCAAATTGTAGTATGTGTGACAATGTAGGAACAAGGAGACAAGCTAGATTCACATTCAAATATACATATAAATGAATTTATAAGATATTTAATAAAACTATAAAATATTTTATAATATTAATTTTTCATTTTATTTTCAACTCTTCTATATTTGATAAGCCATTTTATTGATATTACATGATACTATGTTTGAATAAAGAATGGATGTCTCAAAGAAAATTTTCTATTGCTCATTTTCTGAGATATAAGCCTGCCAGATTTTAGGTGATCTACATGCTACATTTCCTGTTGTTTAAGAGCCTATGGTCTCATCAGGGAGTTAAGATTCATAGCCTGGACAATATAAAGGCCAAGCTTCTGGTATCATCATCAAGCTATGAGATTATGAGAATAGAGAATTGGGGGCTTGCTTCAGTTAAAAGGCCATGCTGAAAGGATGTAGAGAATAATAACCACTGTGAAGTATTCTTCAGCATAAATAATGAAAGGTACTCATTAGTGTGGCCAAATAGAGGGCATTTGTAATAATGGACATGTGATTTTCTTCTTAATTGTACAGGAAATGGAAAATACGTTTTTGAGTTGGGTATCCACATGACGAAACCCCAGTAGCAATGTCATAATGTACAGGAGGTCAGGCTAGAGGAAGGAAATTCATTTAGAGTCATTTCTGCAATAGTTTAACAAAATAAAAATGTAGTTCTTGATCATGGTGTCCTTAATGTTACCAGAAAAGGAGTCAGCCATCCAATTAAAAGGTGGTATAGCATTGTAGTCACTGGTTCTTTAAGGTTTTGTCTTTAAGTGACACACATCACTTCTGGTCAGAGCAAGTCAAGAAACAAGTCTGGCATCAGTCAAGGATGGGAGTTGTTCTAATATCTGTGCAGGTGGAGGTTTCGGCATCTTCAATCTGCGGTTTTTCCATGAAGTAATCTCCATGACCTCTCTCCTTCTCCAATTTGGACATCAAACCCAGTTGATGTCCAAGTGGGAGGAGAGTGGTCACGGAGATTACTTCATGAGAGATTTTATAGGTGATGTATTGATACACATCACTACCATTCATATTCCATCATTCACCTAGACCTGAGTAAAATAACTGCATCTTATTGAAAAATGCAGTCAGAAATGTATTATTATAGTTCTTGACTATAGAAGCATTTCTCAGTGACAACTCTTCCTTGTGGAAAAGAGCTTCAATCGTAAGTTAACAGCTAAAAATCCTTGTCACTTATTAGCTTAAACTTGAAGAACCACTTATGTAGCTCATCATGAGTCCAACCGTGTTCCAAATAGGGACTGCTTTCAGTGTGTGCCATGCAGTGAAGATGACTTTGAGCAAAGTAACAGTTAACCCCCCATAAACATGGAATGTGAATTAAAAGTAAACATTTGTTGTAAGAGATTTGGCGGTGGTTTGTCTTCACATAAATCTTAACCTACACTTTCTCATATAATTGACAGTAGGACATTTTTACGGGATGTATTGCTCAGAGTTATTACTCTGAAGAACATATTTTGGAAATATCTAGAGCAGGGAATGATATCTGAAAGTCATTTCTAATCTAAATAGTCAAGTGTTCCATTGTGTTACACACCATTCTCCTGGCTACAAATGTCAACACACTTTGAAATTAGGGAAAGCCCTGGAAATTTTCATTTTTCTTTGGCAAAATCTCAGATGTACAAGCTATATTTTTTTCTAAGTTACTATAGGCCTACTATTTATTATTCAGAAAAATTAGTTCTTATATAAGCCATCATACTAAAACACACTCAGAGTATTCAAGCAATTAAGCAACACACATATAACATAAATATTTCCTGTATCAATAGAATGCATATATATTTCTACTATTTGATTAAATAACAGAAAGGAGCACCAGAAGTACTTATTTGCTTTTTTTTTGACAGAACACTTTGGTCCTGCCGATGAGTCTCATACTCAGTTCGAGCATGGTTTCAGAAGACTGATTTGGCTTAATAATAAAGAAAATGAAAACACAGAATTTATCAAAATCACTTGGAATTCTACTAGTGGGTCTCTAAGAACTTCTCTATTAACTACTGCTCCTGTAAAACTCTTCAGGTAGAAAATCACCATGCACAGACTGATGCACATATTAATATGAATTACAGCTCTAATTCCTTGTATATATGATCCATAATTTCCTAGAATACACACCATATCATATAACGCACTTCCTCAAAATACTTAAAATTGACCTGTTTTCCATAAAACAGTCTGAACTCTTTAACAACAGTATCAAAAGCTTCTATAACCTGTGTTTATCTTAAATCTTGCCCTTTAAGCACTATCCTCTTACCTGTGCAATAGATCAAAGCTGTATCATAAAAGCAAGCCTCAGGCAACTGTGCATGTTCTAGTCAATTGCTCCTTTCCCTGTCTCTCTTTAGGGAAAGAAATGGTGTAGATGACCAGTTACTTCACTCCCTGTTTTCTCACTATAAAATTGTAACTGCAAACTTATACATAATATTGATTTTCAACATATTTTTATGACAATAAATAAAAGGTGCATAATATCTGGCATTCATTCACTAATTCAACAAACATTAAGGAGTACCTACTAGGCACTAGGCAATGTGCTAAGATATTAAGATATAGAAGATTTAGAAAAGAAATAGAGATGAATGGGGAAAACAAAATGTGATTTATAGTACCATTTAGTCATAAATATGAATAAATTTCCAATATATCCTACAACATGGATGAACCTTGAATCCATTATGTGAAGTGCAATGAGTTAGAAAGTTAGATGCCAACCAACAGATGGTTTCTGGATCCATTTACATGAAATATCTAGAATTGGCAAATTCATAGAGACAGAAAGTAATTAGAGGTGATCAGGGACTAGGGAAAGGAGGAAATGGAGAATTATTGCATAATCAGTACAGTTTCTGTTTGGGGTGATGAAAAATCTTCAGAATAGGGAGTGGTAATGCACAAAATTTTTAATGTAATTAATGCTATTGAATTGTACTCTTAAAATGGTTAAAATCACAAATTATATATATATGTGTGTGTGTATATATATACTCATTTTTTAAAATAAATCGTCTTTACCTTCAAGGAATTTGGACTTACCAAGGGGAAAAAAATAATTACCTACATGATTACAATGCTACAAGAAAGCACAATGCTACTCTCAGAAACTATAGGAGACATAAGCCAACTGGAAGTACCAGGGAAATTATTTGATATATGGAAATGACAACTGGGTTGAGCATGAGTTAGCCAAGTAAGGGGCAGAAAAAATGGCAGTGTTTTCTAAGCAGACAGAGTGAAAAAAAAATGCTTCCAAGAACCTCAAATATTTAAATATGACTAGAATGTAAGGATATGCATGTAGGAGAAAGGTGAGTGCTGGGGAAACATTACTTGGTAAACAAGAAATTGATTGCCTGCACAATTTTTGATTCCCTGTTTCCTAGCTTGCCTCCACCTCGAGGCTAGAAAACCTAAAGAGATGATTTCTCCCAAGGATTTCTTTCAACTAAGAGTTGCCATGTGACCCAGTTATAGTCAATACAAAACAAGTAGAAGTATTTTAAGGACCTCTAGAAAGGCAATTACTTTTTCTGATAAAGTGAGCAAATGTAGCTAGCACATCCCTCTCCATTTATCTTTCAGCCTTTAATACAGATATTATGCCTGAAATTAAAGTAGTCTTCTTGTGTCCATGAGACAATAAAGCAACATACTATAGCTGGAGAATGATAAAAAGATCATGCATAGTAGATGACGTTCTTGAGTGGCATCAGCATTGCCTACTTCCAGAGTTCTTATTAGATGAATAAAATATGCCTATATATTTGATTTTTATTAAATCAGACTTTCCATCACTTAAAAGTGTTCCCAAATGGCATAGGAAGTAAGCAGCAGAGGATCACAAAGTATGCTTTACTTACTATTTTCGGTATACCTCACTTACTAAGTAGTTTGAATTTTATATTAAATGATATTATTTTAGGTTTCAAAACAAGAAAATGATTTGGTCATAGTTTTATTGTAGAAAACTAACACTGGACACTGTGACATATAAGCTTCAGAAAATGGTAGGGCTAAACTAAGGAAGAAAGAACTAAACTAAGGGAAATAAATGGTAGTTTAACTTAAAAGACTAATTTTTGAGATAAAGGGATGAAGTCCAAAAGACACTAAGAAATTTATATCAACAGGATTTTATAATAAGAGGAAAAGAAATCATATGTCATTTCCAAGATATTTGGAAGGAGTCAGGGAGTGAATGGCAAAATGGGGAATACAGGAGGAAGAGTAGTTGAAAGCCTGAATTCACTTTGGGGATTTTGAATTTGAAATCCTCAAGGAACATCAAAATTGTACTTGGGTTTATGGCTCAAAAGACAGCTGGTCTGGAGAGATAATTTGGGAACCACCAGCAGAAATGACAGTCTAAGGTTGAGGGGTAAGTGAGACAAAGGTTGTGGGGTAAGTGAGACAAGGAAGTAGAATTTGGAGAGCAAGAAAGTATATCATAAGTAATTAAATAATTCTCATAAGTAAATAATTCTCATAAGTAATTAAATAATTCTGGGAAACACCAATATTTAACAGAATAAAATGAAGAGAGCCTTTGAAGGAGACAGAGAAGGAATGGGCCAAAGAGGGCAGAAAAAAAGGAGAAAAAGGGAAAAGGAGATATCCCAAAGGCTAAGGGAAGAGAGTTTAAAGAAAGAGACATTGGTCGATGGGTCAAATTCTGCTGTTAAGTAAGTGTTAAATGTTAAGTAAGATAAGAATGGAGAGTTGGATTTAGCAACTAAGAGATTATAGGTGACCTTTGAGGCATCAGTTTCAATGGAGTGTTGGGAAGCAGAAACCAGACTGCAGTGGGTTAAACAGTTAATTTAAGGTAAGATATGTGTGACAGTGATAGTAGACCATTCTCTTAAAGGCTTGACTGAAAAGGGAAGGAAAGAAGGAGTAACTGGAGAAGGATACAAAATTTAGAGAGAGGTTTCAGTAAATATATAAGTTGTAGGTTAAAAGCTATTAGAGAAGGAGAAATTTAAAATACCAGAGATAGTGGATAATTGATGAAGTGAAGCACCTAAAAAGACATAAAGGTTAGGATCCAGCATTGCTAGGGAAATTAACTCTGGAAAGGATGCACACCATTTCTGCTTATGATATCATGGAACTGGAGAATATTATGACTTTATTGAAGGGGCTATAGTTAGTGTTCAAATAAATGTGAATTAATAAGATTATTTGATGAATAAGAGGCAAAGTTTCTACTCATATTAAAACTATATTTGACTGAAAAGACTCTAACATGGATCTTGGGCATTTAAACTGTTTCCTTCACAATAGTTCCCCAGGAACCATTTTGCATTTCCAACAGCAACAGATGAGTGATCTAGCCTCCCCATATCATTGCCAGCATTTGGTGGTAATATTATTTTTATTTTAGCCATTCTTATAAGTGTGTAAATACATTATTGTGGTTTTAATTTTTATGTATAAAACAGCCAATTATATCAAACATATTTTCCTGTGTTTATTTGCATCAGTGAACTGTCTATTCAGGTTCTTTGCCAATTTCCTAACTATTTTTTACTGTTGAGATTTTAGAATTTTTAAATATATTTTAGATATATTTGTCAGATACATTGTTTGCAAATATTTCCTCCAAGTCTGTAATTTACCTTTTAATTCTCTGAGCAGGATCCTGCATAGAGCAAAAGTTCTGAATATTGAAGAGATCCAATTTAGCAAGTCTTCCTTTCATAGATTGTGCTTCTGATGTCAAGTCTAATATTTCATCGTCTATCCTGTGATCCCCAAAGAGTTATCTTGTTTTCTAAAACTTTTATGGTTTTATATTTTATATTATGTCCATTATCTATTTTGAGTCAATTTTTAGAAGATATAAGGTTTAGGTCAAAGACTACTTTTGGCTGACGGGTGCCCAATTATTTCAACACAATTTGTTGAAAAGACTCTTCTTCCTTCATTAAATTTATTTTACACTTTTGTCAAAAGTAATTTGATCATATTTGTGTAAGTCTATTTTTGGGTTCTGTACTCTGTTCCATTGCATTGATCTATGTGTCTATCCCTCGACAAATGCCACACTGTTTTAACTATTGTTGCTAAGTATTAGGCTTTAATACTAGATAGAGTGAATCTTCCCACTTAATTTTTTGTCAAGATGATTTTAGCTATTCTGGGGACTGAACCTTTCCAAATTAATTTGAAAATAAGCTAGTCTATGCCTATATTTATGGGGATTTTGACAGTAATTTAATTGGACCTATAAATTTCAAAAGGATTAACATCTTTGTTATGTTGAGACCTCTATTCCATGAACATAGTATATCACTTATTTATTTACATGTTCTTTGATTGTTTTTGTCAGCATTTTTGCAATTTTCAGCATACGGATCTTACACATATTTTGTTAACCTTATACCCAAGTATTTGATGTTTGGGGGATTACAAATGGCATTGTGATTTTAATTTTTGTTTCCACATGTTTACTTTTAGTATGTAGAAATGTGGTTGATTTTTGTATGTTGAATGTGCACCTGGCAATCTTGCCAAGCTCAGTTATTTGTTCTATTTTTTCATTTTTTTCCTTGTGATGTTCTATGTAGACAATTATTTCATCTGAAAATAGAGAGAGTTTTATTACTTTCTAATTTCTATACTATTTTTCCTTTTTCTTGCCTTTTTGCAGTCACTAAGACTTCCAGTACCATATTGAATAAGAGTAGTTACAGTGGACATCTGGTCTTGTTCCCAATCTTAGAGACAAAGCATTTCGTCTTTCACCACTAGATACAATGAAAGCTATATATTTTATGTAGGTGCTCTTTATCAAGTTGTGGAAGTTCCCCTCTATTCCTAGTTTGCTGAGAATTTTAATCATGAACGAGTATTGAATTGTTGTCAAATTCTGTTTCTCTATCAATTAATATGACCATATGATTGATTGATTTTCAAATCCTGAAATTGACTTGCAGGCCTGAAATAAATTTTACTTGGTCGTGGCAGGTAATTCTTTTTATACATTGCTGGATGATATGGTTTGGCTGAGTCCCCACCCCAATCTCATCTTGAGTTGTAGTTCCCATAATCCCGACGTGTCATAGGAGGGACCTGGTGGTGGGGAGGTAATTGAATCATGGGGGTGGTTACCTTCATACTGTTCTCATGATAATGAGTGAATTCTCATGAGATCTGGTGGTTTTATAAGGGGCCTTTCCCCCTTCACTGCACACTCCTCCCTTTTGCTACCATGTGAAGAAGGATGTGTTTGCTTCCCCTTCTGCCAGATTGTAAGTTTCCTGAGGGCCTCCATGTGGAACTTTGAGTCAATTCAACCTCTTTCCTTTATAAATTATGCAGTCTCATTATGTCCTTATAGCATTGTGAGAACAGAGAACATACTAACACACTGGACAAGATTTGGTAATATCTTATTGAAAATTCTGATGTCCAAATTCCTGAGATGTACTGGTCTGTAGTCTTCCTCTTCCTCTTCTTCTTCCTCTCTTCCTCTTCCTCTCTTCCTCTTCTCCTCCTCCTCCTTCTCCTCCTTCTTCTCCTACTTCTTCTTTTTTGTATTGTCTCTGGTTTTGGTATCAGGATACTTCTAGCCTTGTAAGATGAAGCAAGAAGGGTTTCTTTTTCTTCTATTTTCTGTAAGAGATTGTATAATATTGGTGTTAATTCTCCTTTAAATATTTGGTAAAATTCTCTCATGAAACTGTCTTGGCCAAGAGATTTTTTCCCAGAAGGTTTTAAGTTGGAAATGCAATTTCCTTAATGGTTATGTAATTGTTCAAGTTGTTTTTTGATTGTTCATTAGGTAGCAATTTTATGAAATTGATTTCTTTCTTCTAAGTTGTCAAATTTATGAAGTAAAGTTGTTTGTGGTACTCCATTATTTTTTAATGGTTTGAGAATCTGTAGTGCTATCCCGTTTCATTCCTGAGATTGATTATTTTTATCTGCATTAGTCTTCCTATAGATTTATGAATTTTATTTAGCTTTTAACATAAACTTTTTGTTCCATTTATTTTCTTTATTGTTTTTCTTGGTTTCAATTTTATTGATGTTTGTTTTTATCTTTATTATTTCCTCTCTTCTTGATTTCTGATAATTTTGTTTTTTCTTAGCATTTTGAGCCAGGGACTTAGTGTATTGATTTGAGACTTTTCTTCCTGTCTAATGTAAGCATTTAATGCTATAAGTCTCTCTCACATCATTGCTTTATCTGTGCCCCCACGTATTTTGATATATTTTCATTATTATTCAATATGTGTTTTTTATTTCCTTTGAGACTTCCTTTCTGAGCTTTATATTATTTGGAATACTCATCTTCAATTTTCTAACGTCTAGAGACTTTTTTGTTATTTTTCAGTTCTTGATTTCTAGTTTAATTTCATATGGTTAAATAACACATTCTGTATGATTTTCTTTTTTTTAAGTTTGTTGAGATTTATCTTATCGTCCAGGACTTGGTTTATCTTGATGAATACACTCTTGAAAAACAGTAGCATGTTATACTACTGGTGGTAGAGTGTTATATATACATACATATTATGCAGTCTCATATATGTCCTTATAGCATTGTGAGAACAGAGAACAAACTAACACACTGGAGATATATCATTATCTATATCTATATCTATATCTATATCTATATCTATATCTATATATATATATATATCTCCACTAAGTACTGTTGATTGATAGTGTTGTTCAGTTCTGTTATTTCTTTGCTTATTTTCTCTAGTACTTCTGTCAATTGCTAAAAATGGTGTGTGGAACCTGTAATTATAATTGTAGATTTGTCTATTTCTTCCTTCAAATCTGGCAGTTTTTGTTTCCTGGGTCTTGAGATGCTACTCTTTGAATTGTATACATTTAAGATTTTTTATGTCTTACTGGTGTATTGATCATTTGATCATTATGTAATAATCTTCTTTGTTCTAGGAATTTTCTTTGCCCTGAAGACTACTTTAACTGATATTAATATAGCCCCCTTGCTTTTTTCTTAAATTAACGTACACCTGGTATATTATTCTTATCCTTTTACTTTCAATTTGCTTATGTAATTATCTTTGAAGCAAGTTTCATTTAGACAGCATATTATTGTATCTTAAATTTTTAATTTGTCATCCAAATTTATTTTAAAAAATACATGTAGTTAGACCATATACATTTAAGGTAATTACTAATATGTTAGGGCTTAATTCCGCCATTTTATTATTTATTTTCTATATATTTCACATGTTTCCTATTCCTCTGCTTCTTTTTTTTACGTTTTTTATGAATAGTTTGAGTGTATTTTTAGGACTCCGTAATAATTTTTGTATAATGTTTTTGAGTATATTGCTTTGTATAGTTTTCTTAGTGGTTGCTCTAGGTATCACAATATATATATGTAACTTATTACAGACTACCAGTGTTGATGTTTTACCACCACTTAGAATGAAGGGTCAATATCTTATTTCCATTTAGGTTCTTCACCCTCCCCACTTTTAAAATATAATTGTCTTTAGTATTTCTTCTACATACATTAAGCACCACATCAGATGTTAAAATTTTTGCTTCAGTCATATGATTTAAGCAACTCACAAAAAGCAGGATAGTCTATTTAACCCTGTTTTTACTTATTCTGGGGTTCTTCTTTCCTTTCTGGAATTTTAAACCTTCTTATCATTTTCTTTTTCTTCAGAGAAGTTCCTTTAGCCATTTCTTAAGGGTAGGTTTTCTAAGAACAAATTATCTTAGTTTTCCTTCATCTTTGTTTTCCCTTCACTTATGAAAGATATTCTTGTCAGATATAGTATTGATAGTTAGCAGTTCTTTTCTTTTTGTAACTGAAAATGTGAAACTTCCTCCTCCTGGACTCTATGGCTTCAGAGAACTCACTATCATTGAATTGGTTCTGCCCTGTAAGCAGTGCTTTTTTTCTCACTGGCTAATTTCATTGTTTTTTTTTTGTTGTTGTTCTTAGTTATGAGATGTTTAATTATGATGCCATTTTGGCATAAATTTCTATGTGTTTATCATATTTGGGGTTTGCTCAGCTACTTGTTTCTAGGTTTATGTCTATCACCAAATTTGGGAGATTTTCAGTTGATATTTCTATGAATACTTTTTAAACCCTACTTTCTAATTTCTCTCTGACTGGAATTTCAATAATATAAATTTTAGTTCTTTTGTCACTTTCTTACAGGTTCATGAAACTCTATTTCTTTTCAGTATATTTTTTGTAATTCAGGTAGGGTTAATTTATTTTTCTGTCTTCAAGTACATCTCCACTCCAAGTCATCTCCACTCTACTACTGAGCACTATCCAGTAAGAATTTTTTTTAAATTTCTGTTACTGTATTTTTCAGTTCTATAATTTTAATTTTTAAATAATTTCTATATCCTTACTCGGATTTTTTTTTTTTATTTTTTCACTTATTTGAAGAGAATTTATAATTGCCTGTTAAAGCATTTTTATGATAGCTGCTTTGAAATTATTAGCAGATAATTCCAATATCAGAATCATCTCAGTGTTGGCATTTGTCCTTGTACTTTTTGTTCGGCTGTTTATTGTTGGAAGTTTGAGTTGGGATCTTCTGTAGCATCCTGCCTGAGATATATGAGAGGAAATACGGAAAAACAGGGAACTCATTGCCATGCCATTCTTCAAATCTAAAGGTCCCTAGGAAGCCCACCTTCTTTTTCTACTTTTCTGAGACTTCCTATACTTGTTTGTTTCGTTATATATGGTTTTTGTTATTTCTGGTTTTGTTATACCTCTTCAGGTAAAAGAGGGAGGACACGGGAGGAAGGGGATACTCCATCTTGGCACAACTAGAAGTCTCTAAGTTGCTTTTTTGTAAATATAAAACTCTCAAATAAGAGAAATAATCAATGGTGGAAATGATGGTACACACTTAGAAAAGTTTGATCAGACACACATTCAATATATAACATTCTAAATCCAGGAAATAAAGTAGCACAGTGGAAGAAAACTTGAACTTTAAGATCAAACTGGTTTTGAAAGTTGTTTATATTACCTTTCCTATGCACTTATTATAAGAGTACTCAACTTGCAGGGTTGTTGTGAAGACAAAATGTGTGCAAAGACCATGCTAAGAGATCAACTGTTACTTTCCATACTTTTGCCAATAAGATTGCCGTAATGAATGCAGTTATACAATACACAAGACTTCTAAGATTGAATAGGTTTTACTCAAGACTTCTTTCCCCCTTAAAAGAAAAAAAAAACAAGGATTTTAAAGTACAGAATATTTTAAAATATATTTTAGGCCATTCACTTAACTGTGGCACAAGAATCTAGACAGGTGATCATCAAGTTGTTGCTCATGGAGAGTCAGCAGTTGCATCACCTAGGAATTTCTTAAGTATGCAAATTCTCAAGCTCTCTTTCTAATCTATTGAAACAGAAACTTTTGAAATTGTACCCAAGATTTTGCATTTTAACAAGCCCTCCAAATGATTTTGATGCCCATTAAAGTTTGAGAACTACTGGACCAGATACTAATCTGCCTCCCAGGATATTTCCAATATACCTTATAGGAGGCTTCCTATTTTAATCTGCTCATTTGTGGTACTTACACCAACGTACAGAACCCTTACATCATATGCTCACAACGCATTGAAAAGTCTTACATTTTGGAATTCATGTCCTCTGCTATCTTGAAAAAATAATTTTCTGGAGCCTTTCTAGACTCTTTTGCCTGCCAATGGAGCCACCATCACCCTGAAATATTCTCACTGGGGCAACACTAATTGTTTCTACTAACCTTATTCTGGTCACTGTAACCTTCAGTTGAGCAGCTCTCATCATGTTTGCAGCAACATGTAAATGCCCTCCAAGAAAACCTGATGATTTCAGACAAAAGTCCTTGGTTCTTTCCTTTTATAACATCCTTTAACCCATGGTCAGGTCATTGTGCCTTTCTCTATACTTTCACTCCCAATTAAGGAGGTGACAAATTGCCCATGGTGACACAATTGACAGCTATAATAAGCTCAGCTTGGAAGACATCCCCAAGCTAACATCCATTCCTCCCTTAGAATGGGCACTATCTTTTTGAGACTCCTCAAATGACTATGACTAGATCCCTGAAGATAATATTAATGACCTTGGGAAGGGGTCAGAAGAAAAGTACACACGCTTCTCTGTTGCTGCAACTTTATCGGTAATTAATGACAAAATCTTGGTGAGCTATTATGGCAACTCAAGCCTGTTCTATGTTATCTGTTCTGAGCACATATGTAATTTGATTGCTGTCAACCCACACTTCTAAAAAACACTCCATATACATAGTCCCAAAACTTATCAGTTACTACCCATTTTAAGGCCAGGAAATCTATTTTGTAAATAGACTACTAAATGCCACCCCTAGACACACCCCACCTGGCAGCAGATATCACCCTGTGCTCCCTCTCCTTGTTTTGACAGACTACTGCCCTCAGGCAGTCAAAGGTGGCAGCTTTATAGATAATGAAAAGCAAGAATCAGCCAAGGGGAGGCAGGGGTTATGTAATCCACTAAAGCACCAACAGGTTAGAGGCCTTCCTCCACATCTTCCTGAATATCTCAAGAAGCTAAGGGGAATAGAGATGGGGGAACACTGAATTCCTATTATACTGTGAGCTTCCTCCATTTTACTTGCAATGCCCAACTCCTAACCTAACATGGTCACTGAGTATCTTAACAATCTGGAAATATTTCTTTATAAAGCTCCTATGGAAACCACTAAATTTCAAAAATGTATTCTGTATTCTGTAATTGTGAGGACAAGTGATGAGAGTAGAAATCCTGTCAGGATCTATCTCTATTTGTAGTGGGTACTCTAGCCTGATATGTGCAGCCTTATAAAATCAGCCCTTATCTTTAGGCACATGAAGACATTTATTCAATGTGTTCTCATTAAGCCTAGGTATTTGATAATTTCTACTTTTTGAAATCTGATCCAAAAACTACTCTTGGCTTTTGAAATAATCTCAGGAATATGAATTTGGTTTATAGAAAACCAATTTTTATGTGTATATGTAGGGCTATGTAATAATGGAAAGTTGCATTTTGCCTGATTTCTGGGGAAATTTCTAGGTTCTAGGACTTAGAAATTATGCCATTAATTTGAAATTATTTAATGTGGTCTCAGAATGCCTTGAATTGGGACAATGGAACTTCTCCAGACCTCTTTTCCCTTAAAGTTCAAGGAATATTTTGATTTCTTTTACGCTGCTCATCCTAAACGCAATCTCATCTCATTCATGGAAAAAGAAAATGGTACCCCTATCTTGGAGTTGCCTTTTCATCTTTTTAAAAAAATTTTTTAAATCATAATTAACCTTAAAGCTCTAAACTTAGTCTGGGAGATCTAGATGGTACAGCTTCAGAAGTAAGAGGCATCAGCTATCATCAATGTTAGGCTTCTCTCTCCTGTAGATGTCAGCTCACAGGAAATAAATTGAGATGATCATTTAAGTTCTCTATGTTCTACACAGCTAACCAAATTAGGCCAGTAATTTAAATAGGCTGGAATGTATCCCTGTCAACACCACTGTTTGCATGCATCCTAGATCTAATCACACAGTCATGACATATGAACCTCTCCTAGAGTACCCTACTACCTTTCTTTAGGAAACATTAATTTAATGTTTAACCAAAGTAAAGTTGGAATTCAGTGCTAAAGCTTCATAGGGACAGCCACCCTAATCCCAGGTATTTGTTACTGAAGAATTTTAATACAGTAGTGGTTTGAGACCATTGAGGCCATTGAGCTCCAAACACCTTCCATCTTCTGTCTTTTCACCTTCTTTAGGATTCAAAACTAAAGAGGTAGTCCCCAGTGAATCAATTTTAAAGGGGACCCAAAAGTCTTAACCTATCTTTCATAGAATCTGTATTAGTTAAGGATTGTGTTTGACCAAATACAACAAGAAACCTAAATAACAGTAGACAAAACAAAATGGGGGCTTAATTTTCTCTCACAGAACAGGAATCTAAAGTTAACTTGGCCAGAGCTAGTATAATCCTGCTTAAGGGTTTCAGGACTAAGTTCTCTTATATTTTCTTAGCCTTTTATTCATGAGCATTTATAAGATGGCTGCTGCCACAATGTCAACTTTCACACATAATGAATGAATTTCAAAGAGTGAAAAGAGTACGTGCTAACTGAGCTAGCCACCTTTTTAATGATCCTTCCAAAAACCCACCAAACATCTCATTGATCAGAACAGTGTTACGCCTGGCTGCAAGGGACACTGCGAAATGTAACTCTTATAGCTGAATATATTGCCATCTCTACAAAATCTGGTTTGTGTTAGTGAAGAATAAGGGAGAATGAATATTGGATGGACAACTAGCAGACCCTATTAGAGCCAAAGTACATAATTCAGTGAAAGAGTGCAAACAATAGCTGTCTTCTTAATTATATGAAATAATTATTATTAATTTGTCTTTACATTGTCTAATTTTATTATAAAAACATGTAATTAATCTTGTTTTTAATTTGCTTAAAATTGGTGCTATGCATATATGGCTAATGATTATGAAGTTGTTCATGAAAGCTACAAATTTGAGAAGCACTTTCATACTTCTCAAAGGAGGCCACTTATGTTTTAAAATTTTTAGAAAAATTGCTTTGATGACTATGGAGGATGCCACATGCAGCAGCCATCTAGACAAGTAGGGGACTAGAGATACATGAAGGGAAGACTCCTCCCCACTACCAGAAGTCTGTGCTAGGGAGGACACTCCAACAGAGGTTTTAGGCTCAGGGAATAAGGATTGACCCATCTGAAATATGTTCCACCTAGACTCAGTTTGTTTTCTTACTCATTACATCTTATAGATTGAAAATCAGATATAGAATGTCAATAATTGTAGCAAGTATTTTATTTCTGGAGTTTTGGGTTGAAAGGAGATCCAGAAAAAAAAAAAAACTTATTTCAGTGCTTTGCCAGATGCAGTATTTACAAGAATATGAAAAAGGAACATTATTGGATACTCCCCAATGAGTAGACCATTTCTATCTGTACTTAAATGGGATGAAGACCCAGGGAAGAGAGCTGGGCAATGCCACCCCAAAAAGGAAGAGGATGGGATGGAGATGTCCACATATGATGGCAGGACAAAGCACAAGATATGACGCTCTCCATGCTGAAAGCCACAAGAACCAGCATCTCCAGTGACTATAGACCACATCTTGAAAAGGAGGGCCAGTGGAGACTTGTGTCTGAAGAGGAGCTGTACTTTGAACTTACTAAGTTGTTACTCAGTAGAGACTTTTTAAAACTTAAAATGTCCCTTTGAACTGGAAGAGAGTCCACTTGAAATGCTTTTTCTTTCCTTGTGCTATATGAAGGAAACAGAGCAGTTAGAGACAAGTAGAGCAATTATAGAAAAATATTTTTTCTCTATAATTAATTAATTTCTTAGTTTAATTCATAATTTCTTAACTAGTTAATTATAATTAAATAATTGCTCTATAATTACTTTTTCTATAATAACTTGGATATTTTTCTCTCTGTAATTTATGGAGAAATATATATTTTCTAAATATAAAAATAGAGTAAATATTAAAATATATAAAATATAAAGCATATAGTCATATAGTATGTATGATTATGGTATAGATAAAATATATATTTTATGAGTATCTAATAAATTTATTATGTGACTAATAATTTATATATTTAATAAATTTAATAATTTCTACATTTAGTAAATATGTAAAGTTTTAAATATTATTTACTGAATAAATATGAACTATATCATTTTTACAACTTAAAAGCCCCTTTGAATTGGAAAAGGATAAGATATCAACATTTGGAGGGTTTTTTCTTTTTTTTTCCTATGCAATAGAAAGGGAGCAAGAGCAGAGCAATTACAGAAAAATATGTGTTTTCTCTCTATAATTAATTTAAAGGGAAATACATAAAATACATGTTAAATACTAAAATATATACAGTATTTTATAGTGATATATATTTGTATGTAACATATATAATAAACTGAATATTAAAATATATAAAACATAAATATATACATTAAATATATTAGTATATAAATATACATTACATATATTAATATATAAATATATCTTCAATATATGCTCATATATAATTACTCATATTGGTAATTAAAGATTTACACATCTAAGTAGTAATGTGAGTAAATCTGCAACCCCATTATGTAAGTCATTTTCAAAAGCTAGATAGTGGAATGTTTCAGTGTAAGAAATAGCAACAAATAATTTACTACTCTCTTTGTTCAAGTAATACTTATTGTGGCCTTACTGCATTCTTCTATTACATTATGATCTTGAAATAATTTATTTTGTTTTGTTGTAACATTTGAATGGGGTTTTTGAATGTGATCAATAGTATATTAACAATTTCTTTCTTAAACTAATAAAGAAAACATTGTGTTGGAAAAGAGTCAAACTGGGGCAAGCAAGCATGAGAAGATCTAATTTAGGTGGGCCCCAGACTTTAATTTGGTCTAAGAGCTGGTTTGGCAGATCGGAGGACAATTGAAAATCATGCTGACACCAGGTACTGCACTCCAGAGGCTACTGCTTTCTAAGGAAGTGGTTCTCTCAGTCAACCACCTCTTTATTATTATACAGTGTTATATAAATAAGCCGAAGGCAGCCTCTGTATATTGGTCCCTAGGTTATTTACTTCTTCACAGCAGGCTATGAACAGTTCGCTCAAAAACTGGCCAACACCATCAAACTTAAATTTTTATACATGCAGTTGTTTTAAACATAGCCCAAATAAGCAGAACTATGGCCATCTAGAGCTTCAATACCCCACAAAGAAGCATACTCGCCATCTGCTAGCTATAGATAAGACAAACTCTGGGGCTATGAAAACCCCAAGCTGCTGCTGCCCTTCAGAATTCTCTGACCTAGAGATACTCTGTCATGCTGCCAAGTGACATCACCTAGACATAGAACCACCTATCTGATCCCTCTCCCCCCTGGAAGTTCCCTTGACCTCCTCCCCTTCTGGATGGCAGTCCTCTCTTGAGCTATATCCCCTAGAAGTATTACGGGACTTTTCTCACATGCAAATCTATGAAAGTATCACCCAGCTAAAGCTTGTGTGTGCTATTGTCACCTCATCATCATTTTTTTTATCAGCCCCCAAATACTCCAAATTTCCTACACATAGATGCCCAGATATTTCCTGCTCCATTGTGCCTCAAAATATGTAACCTGTTACAAGAGGGTGGTCATCTCCTGGAGCCCATTGTTTGGTATTCTTAGTCCAGGTATACCTAAGTGCCTAACTATGACACTCTGTGGAATAATGGAATTTGGGGGGATCATGTAAACGCTGCTACTTTTCTTTCTTAAGTAAACCTGATATTATACTGCATGATACTAGTAGAGTACATGTTCATGTTCACTTTAAATGACAGCAGGTTAGTCTTGTAATAAAGCCTGAATATTTTCAACATTAGAAAGCATGATATTTTGTAATATCAAGTAATAATAGGTTTAGGCTTTTAAAATACTGACTGCACTGATGACAAAGCTTCTTGAAGTAATGAAAGTGGTTTTTTGCTGGAATAATGTAGACTTTGGATGAAATGTTTATATTTTATCCTTTACCTCTGATCATCTTTATACTTGATAGATAATTTTATTCAATATGAAATAACCATGCCTTGCGTTACTGCCCACGTAAATGGGAAGTTAATTGAGAGGACAGATTATTTGTGCCCATCATTTCATATTAATAAATTTCCCTGTTAATAATATTAGTTATTAACAATTTTAATGACTTTCACTGTTAATTACTTTACTGTTGTTTTTAACTTTGAATTCAGGCAATAATATATGTCATTGGTGGCCAATTTAACCTTTCTTAGAATAAAGCAGTGTTTGAATTGGCATTCAGATGCAACAATTGATGCACTTTCTTATTGCATACATAGCTGCTGTTCCATCAGTACTGAGCAAAACACTACTTTTACCATTTATATGTACGTTACAAAAAATGAACAAAACATGTCATATTAGATTTTAAGTGAAAACTGGAATAAAAATTCCTCAATCTCAGATCCCACATATACATATACTGCACCTATCAAGAACAGATCATAACCTTCTGATTATAATCAACACATTAATGGTTTCATCAAATTATGAAACAATAAGAAAGTCCGGGAAAAATTTTGTGATCTCTTGCAATGGCCAGAGCGTGAGGATATTTGTGTCTCATATGAAAGTTCATTGTGGAGCAGTTCACCCATGTCAGTCAGTCTTTCTCCCCAGTTATCACAGAGCTAAATTAATGAGTTCATGAACAAAGTGACATGCACTCAGTAACATGGGTGTCCTTTCACCAAGGATGAGCTAACAATCACATTAGATGAGTAACCAACCTACCAGCCTCAGAGACCAATGTTAAATCCCCAATAAGATGTCATTCCCTAGGTATACTGGCCAGCCAGTATACCTAGATTAATTACATTGTATCCTGTCTGACATGGAGGTTGCAGCAATTATTCCCCATTACAAAATAGACCTTTACTATATTATATAAAGTTGACTTTCCCATGAACAGAACTTTTGTCAGCGTCATTCTTTATAGACACACATACAATTTTATTCATTGACATGACATCCCACTCAACATTGCCTCCTAATCAAGGAACTTATTTTTATAGAAAAAAAGTGTATTAATGGGTTTATATCTATAGGATTGACTTGTTTATCATGGATTCAAATACCTATAAGCAACTGGCTTAATAAAATGGGGGAATATATTATTGAACACTCAGTTATGACACCAAGTGAAGTACAACATTATCTGGGGTTCATTCCTACAATATGCAAAATATACTCCAAGCAAGTAACCAATATCAGATGCCATTTTTTTTCTCATGATACATAGGTCCTTAAACAAAGAGTGGAACTGGGAATGCCTCCTCTCAGTACTAACCCTTTTGACCAATCCTAAAAGTATGTCTTGCTTTCTGTCTGCTCAGCTTTGGACTCTGATCTTATATACCAGTGGAAGAACACTGTACACAACCCAATGCAGAAAGACCACTAAAGACTTAACGCCCTCTGGAAAGAGGATTTCGTCACCCTACAAAGCAAAGAGCCATTATCAACTAGAGTATCATCTAAAGGCAATGGGAACATGGAATGCAGTGGAGGAAGGATGTTAAGGCTACCAACTAAGTTCTCACCTTCAGCTACAAGAATGAGAACTATAAAAGGTATGCATATTTACTTGATTTTTAAATTATTAATTATAAACATATGTTTATATAACTAGTAATTATATAATTCATATATACATGTATACATATACACATACATATATACATGCTGCTATAGTGTAAATATTTGTGTCCTTCCAAAATTCATAATCCCTAAGGTGGAAGGTGGAAATCTTTCCCCCAAGATTAGGTGAATATCCTAACCCCCAAGGTGGTATGGGTAGAAAATAGAGCCTTTGGGAGATATTAGGTCATGAGAGCTCTGCCGAGGGTGAGGAATGAAATTAGTGCCCTTATAAAAGAGGCCAGAGGAAATTCATTCACCATGTGAGATCTCAGTGAAAAGATGGCTGTCTATAAACCAGGAAGGAGGCCCTCACCAGAAACCAAATTTGCTGGTGCCTTGATCTTAGACTTCCTAGCTTCCAGAACTGTGATAAATAAATATCTGTTATTCATAAGCTACGTGGTATGTAGTATTTTGTTACAGAGGTCTGTACAGATTAATGCACATATATATATATATATCTCGACAATTTTTTAGTCTCTTTCCCTTACTATTTTATAGAAAATATGTTGGTAAGTGCCATATAACATAGTCCTGAACAAATATCAAAAAGTAAAATGGAGCTTTCAAATGAATACACAAAAGTAGTTAAAAATACAGAGTAGCAAAGAGAAAAAATCATTAACCAGAGATGGATAGAGTGGTTGTTAATAACTTTGTGTCTTCTTTTCGTTGAGAGAGTACGTGCATCTTTATTTGTATAAGGAATATTCTTATCATCAGCATAGTGTTGTTGCCATTGTTGGATAGAAAGATGTTTATGGATACTGACTTTCCAAATGAATAGACTTGTCATATATTGTCTATTGATGTCATTCTAAGCTCTTTCCTATATCATATAGGCTTGATTTTTGAACCTGCGTTTCTGAGACTCCCTTTCCAGCAAAGCTTTGGTTTAGATCTTCTATAAAAACATGCTTGTGGCCCGGCACAGTGGCTCACACCTATAACCCCAGCACTTTGGGAGGTTGAGGCAGGCGGATCACGAGGTCAGGACATCGAGACCATCCTTGCCAACATGGTGAAACCCCGTCTCTACTAAAAATATAAAAATTAGCTGGTTGTGGGGACATGAGCCTGTATTCCCAGCTACTCGGGAGACTGAGGCAGGAGAATCACTTGAACCCGGGAGGCAGAGGTTGCAGTGAGCCGAGATCGCACCACTGCACTCCAGCCTGGCGACAGAGCGAGACTCTGTCTCAAAAAAATAAATAAATAAAAATAAAAAGGTGCTTGCATGGGATATAGAAAATGAAGGAAAAACTAAAACCTTTATTGGTCCTGACATTGGCAGGCAGGCAGCTATGTGAACTTAATCAGAAAGCAGACATGAGGTCTTGCAGTGACTGTCAGGCCTTCTCCTGTATATTATCCACTTTGGTGCTTTGGGAACTGACGTTGCTGGTGGCGATGTCTTGCGATTTTTGCAACTGCCTATTTTTCTGATTACAGACAAGTTTCTCAAACCTTGTTGAGGGCTGAATTATGCCCTCTCAAAATTCTTCTGTTGAATCCTTAACCCCCCAGTACCTCCAAACTCTAACCCCCAATACCTCAGAATATGACCGTATTTGGACATGGGAACTTTAAAGAGGCAACTAAGTTAAAATTAGGCTGTTTGAGCCCAAATACAACCTCACTGATGTCCTTATAAGTAGGAGAAATTAAAATCCTCAGAGAGGCCAGGCGCAGTGGCTCACACCTGTAATCTAAACCCTTTGGGAGGCCGAGGCGGGCAGATCACTTGAGGTCAGGAGTTTGAGACCAGCCTGGCACCAACATGGTGAAACCCTGTCTGTACTAAAAATACAAAAATTAATCAGGCATGGTGGCAGGTGCCTGTAATCCCAGCTACTCGGGAGGCTGAGGCAGGAGAATTGCTTGAACCCAGGAGGTGCAGGTTTCCATAAACCGAGACCATGCCAGTGCACTCCAGCCTGGGTGACAGAGTCCGATTTTTGTCAAAGGAAAGGAGGAAGGGAGGAAGGGAGGAAGGGAGGAAGGAAAACAGAGAGCACCAGGGACGTACATGCACAGAGAAAAGACCGTGTGAAGACACAGGAAGATGTTAGCCATCCACAAGTCAAGGAGAGAAGCTTCAGAAGATCTGCAAGCCAAGGAGAGAGGCTTCAGAAGAAAGCAAACATGCCAAAACCTTGATCTTGGACTTTCAGCCTCCAAAATAGTGAAAAAATACATTTCTATTATTTAAGCCACCCAGTCTGTGGTATTTTGTTATGGCAGTCCTAGAAAACTAATACAAACCTCATCTTCTAGCACGTCCAAAGGTTTTATTAGCATCTAATACTTGTGTTAAAGCCCTTCCTTCTTGAAATATTTAGAGTGGATTCTCTTTTGTTAATCAAAACCATACTAATACAATGTAAAAAACACTTAATTTAATATAGTAAATAAATAGAAACATTAAAAATAATGAATAAATAACATAAGGCCATTACCATTGTATTTTATTAAAAGAATGTAAGCCAAGGTAAATACAAAATGCCATGACTTTGGAGTATGTGTAGTCTTCAAGTTCCTATTATCTATTAGGATATAATGAGACATTCCTGAATTTCTGAGAAATTTATAATTAGTTTTATACTTTCTGTTAGTACAATGTATATAAGTAAATGTATCACCCTTTTTCTTCTCAAACTGCCAAAGTACTGAAGAACACTGGTTATACTGAGGGGAGCAGGCAGTGATAAGTGGAGCATATGTTGAAAAGACTTCTCCACCAGTCTTTGCAATATTTTATATTCTTTCTGATATAATTGATATAAACATAATTGATTTTTGACTTTAATTTTCAGATGCTTTACTGCTAGCATATAGAAATATAATTGTTCTTGTATCCTGTAGCTTTTCTAAATTTGTGTATTAAGCTGTAATAGATATTTATTTCTAGATGCCTTCATGCTTTCTGTATAGAAGATCATGTCATGTGCAAATAGAGTTTCGTTTCTTTCTTTCCAATCTGGATGCCTTTTTTTTTTTCTTCCCTAATGGCTACATCCTCTAGTGCAATGCTGAGTAGAAGTAGCAAGAGTGGACGTCCTTGTTTTGGTTCTTGATCTTAAGGAGAAAACTTCAGTCTTTTAGTGTCAAAAGCTTTTTATAGGTTCTATTTAGCAGCTTGAAGAAGTCCCCTTCTCGTCGTGGTTTGTTGATTGTTTTACATAAAAGGATGTCGGATTTTATCAAATGATTTTTCTGCATCTTTTGAAATGACAATTTCGGCTTTGTCTTCCATTCTATTAATATGGCACATTATATTAATTGATTTTGGATATTAAACCAACCTCACATTCCTGGGGGTAAATTCCACTAGGTCATAATATATAACACTTTTTATATGTTGTTTGATTTGGAGTTAGAGTATCTTGTTGATGGAGTTTATATCTATATTCATAAGGTATTGGCCTATAGCTTTCTTTTTTGTTCATATCTTTGGCATTGGAGTGCTATTGGCTTTGTGGAATTAATTGGAAAGTGTTATCTCCTTTTCCATTTTTTGGAAGAGTTTGTGAAGAATTTATTCTTCATTAAAAGTTTGGTAGAATTTACCAGTGAAGCCATCTACACTTAAGCTTTTCTTCATAGGAAGTTTTAAAATTACTAATTCAATTTCTTTACATGTTACAGGCATTTTTATATTTTCTATTATTTTTGAGTCAGTGTCAGCAATTTGTGCCTTTCTAGGAATTTGTTTCATCTGAATCATCTAATTTTTTTGGCATAAAATTATTCATAGTATTCTATAATCCTTTTTATTTCTGTAAGGTTTAAAATTATGTCCTTCATTTATTCTTGATTTTACTAATTTGAATCTTTTCTCATCGTTTTATAGTCAGTCTAGTTAAAGGTTTCTCAATTTTATCATTTTCAAAGGATGAAATTTTGATTTGGTTGATTTTCTCTGTAGCTTTCCCTGCTTTATGAATTTTTGCTCTAATCTTTGTTTTCTTCCTTCTGTTTTTTTTTTATTTAGTTTGTTTTTCTTTTTCCAGTATTTGAAGGTAAGTGGCTAAGTTATTGATTTAGATCTTTATTCTTTTCTAGGATAGACATACATCACTATTAATTTCCCTATTAGCACTGCTTTAGCTACATCTCATAAATTTTGGTGTGTTGTGTTTCACATTCGTAAATTTCAAAGTATTTTCTAATTTCCTTTGTGATATCTTCTTGACCCTTTGGTAATTTAGGAGTGTATTGTTTAGTTTCCACTATTTCTGAATTTTCCAAATTTCTCTCTATTAATGATTTCTAGCTTTTTTCCATTCTAAACGAGGAACATACTTTGTATAATTTCTGTCCTCTTATATTTGTTAAGACTTGTTTTATGGCCCAGCATTTGGTCTCTTATGGAGAGTGTTCCATGTGCACTTAAAAATAATGGATATTTTATAGTTTGTTGGGTGGATTTCTATAAATGTCTGCTAGGTCTAGTTAGTTTATAATAAATAAACGCTCTGATGGTTTTGTGGAACAATACAGCTCCAGTCATCTCTCTTCCAGTCATTTCTTTTATTTAAATTTTTAATTTTTAATTTTTGTGGGTATATAATAGGTGTATGTATTTATAGGGTATGTGAGATATTTTCATATAGGCATGCAATGTTTAATAATCACATCATAGAAAATGGGGTAACCATCTCCTCAAGTATTTCTCATCTGTGTTACAAACAATCCAATTATACTCTTCTAGTTATTTTTAAAATTACAATTAAATTATTACTGACTATTGTCCCCCTATTGTGCTAGCAAATGCTGGGTCTTATTCATTCTTTCTATTTTTTTGTACCCATTAACCATCCCCACATTCCCCTCATACTTCACTACCCTTCCCAGCCTGTGATAAACATCCTATTCTTTATCTCAATGAGTTTGATTGTTTTTATTTTTAGCTCCTACCAATAAGTGAGAACATGCAACGTTTGTCTTTCTGTGCCTGGCTAATTTCACTTAACATAATGACCTCCAGTTCCATCCATGTTGTTACAAATGACAGGATATCATTTATTTTTATGGCTAAATACTACTCCATTGTGTATAAGTAACACATTTTCTTTATCCATCCATCTGCTAATGGACACTTAGGGTGCTTCCAAAACTTGGCTATTGTGAACAGTGCTGCAACAAACATGGCAGTGCAGGTATCTCTTTGGTATACTGATTTCCTTTCTTTTAGATATACACCCAGCAGGAGGATTGCTGGATTATATGGTAGCTCTATTTTTAGTTTTTTGAGGAAACTACAAGCTGTTCTCCATAGTGGTTGTAATAATTTACATTCAAACTGACAGTGTAAAAAGGTTCCCTTTTCTTCACATTCTCACCAGCATTTTTCTTGCCTGATTTTGGATAAAAGCCTTTTTTTTTTTTAGACAGAGTCTCACTCTGTCACCCAGGCTGGAGTGCAATGGTGTGATCTCGGCTCACTGAAACCTCTGCCCCCCCAGGTTCAAGGGATTCTCCTGCCTCGGCCTCCTGAGTAGCTTGGATTACAGGCACGCACCACCATGCCCAGCTAATTTTTGTATTTTTAGTAGCGACAGGTTTCACCATGTTGGCCAGGCTGGTCTCAAACTACTGACCTCAAGTGATCCACCCGCCTTGGCCTCCCAAAGTGCTGGGATTACAGGCATGAGCTACTGCAACCGGCCGGATAAAAAGCCATTTTAACTGGGGTGAAATAATATCTCATTGTAGTTTGGATTTGCCCTTACCTGATGATCAATGATGTTGAGTACCTTTTCATACACCTGTTTGCCATTTGTATATCTTCTTTTGAGAAATGTCTGTTGAAATCTTTTACTCATTTTTATTCAGATTATTAGAATTTTTACTATAGAATTTTTCGAACTCCTTATACATTCTGGTTATTAGTCCCTTGTCAGATGGGTAGTTTGCAAATCTTTTCTTCCATTCTGTGGATTGTCACTTCACTTTGTTGACTGTTTCCTTTGCTGTGCAGAAGCTTTTTAACTTGATCCCATTTGTTCACTTTTGCTGTGGTAGACTGTGCTTATGGGGTATTACTTAAGATTTTTTCGTCCAGATCAACATCCTGGAGAGTTTTTCTGTTGGTTTCTTATAGTAGTTTCATGGTTTGAGGTCTTAGATTTAAGTCTTTAATCCATTTTGATTAGATTTTTATATAAGGCAAGAAATAGGGGTCAAGTTTCATTGTTCTGTATGTGGGTATCCAGTTTCCCCCCCATCATTCATTGAAGAGGCTATCTCTTCCCCAGTGTATATTCTTGGCACCTTTGTTGAAAATGAGTTCTCTGTAGGTGTGTGAATTTGTTTCTGGGTTCTCTATTTCATTCCATTGGTATGTGTTTGTTTTTATGCCAGTAGCATGCTGTTTTGGTTACCATAGCTCTGTAGGATGATTTGAATTCAGGTAATGTTATTTCTCCAATTTTGTTCTTTTTGCTCAGGATAGCTTTGGCAGTGCTGGGTCTTTTGTGGTTCCACATAAATTTTAGGATTATTTTTTCTATATCTGTGAAGAATGTCATTAGCATTTTGATAGAGATTGCATTGAATCTGTAGATTGCTTTGGGTAGTATGGACATTTTAACAATATTGACTTCCACTCCATGAACATGGAATATCTTTCCATTTTTTGGTGTCCTCTTCAACATTTGGTCATGATGAGTGATCTTTTTAATGCATTGTTGAATTTGGCTTGCTAGTATTTTGTAGAGGATTTTCATATCCTCTACAAAAGATATTTCAATCTTTTCATCAAAGATTTTGGTTCATCATTTTCTTCTTCTTCTTTTTTTTTTTTTTTTTTTTTTTGACATGTCTTTGTCTGGCTTGGGTATCAGGGTAATACTGTCCATGTAGAATGAGTTCAGAAACACTCTCTCCTCCTCTACTTTTTTGGAACGGTTTGAGTAGAATCAGCAGTGAATCCATGGGGTCCTAGGATTTACTAGGAGACTTTTTGTTAAAATTTCAATATTGTTACTTGTTATTGGCCTGTTTAGGTTTTTTAGTTCTTCATGCTTCAATCCTGGTAAGTTGCATATGTCTAGGAATTTATCAATTTCTTCTAGATTTTCTAATTTATTGGCATATCGTTGCTCATAGAATCCACTAATGATCCTTTGAATTTCTGCAGTATCAGTTATTTCATCTCTGATTTTATTTATTTGGGTCTTCTCTCTTTTTTCATTACTCTGGCTAAAGTCTTGTCAATTTTGTTTATCTTTTCAAAAAAAACAACTTTTTTATTTCATAGATTTTTTTACTGTTTTCTTCATTTCAAATTCATTTATTTCTGTTCTAATCTTTATTATTTTGTTCTACTAATTTTGGATTTGGTTTGTTCTTGAATTTCTAGTTCTTAAAAATGTATCATTAGGTTATTTCTTTGAAGATTTTCTTCTTCTTTGATGTAGGCACTTATAGCTATAAATTTCCCTCTTAATACAGCTTTCAGTATATTCTATAGGCTTTGGCATGCTGTTTTCCATTGTCATTTGCTTTAAGAAATATTTAAATTTACTTCTTAATTTATTCATTGACCCACTGATCATCACAGAGCATTTTGTTTAATTTTCATGTGTTTGTACAGTTTCCAAAACTCCTCTTGTTGACTTCTAGTTTTATTCTCTTGTGATCAGAGAAGATGCTTGATACTATTTCATATTTTTTGCATGGTTTAAGCCTTGAATTGTGACCTAAAATATGGTCTATTTTTGAGAATAACCCATGTGCTGAGGAGAAGAATGTGTATTCTGCAGCCTTTGGATGAAACGTCCTGTAAATATGTATTAGGCCCATTTGTTCTGTAGGACAGATTAAGACTGATTTTTCTTTGTTGAGTTTCTGATATTTGTCCAATGCTGAAAATAGAATGTTGAAGTCTCCAGTTAGTATTTTATTGAGGTCTATGTCTCTCTTTATCTCTAATAATATTTGCTTTATATATCTGGGTGCTCCAGAGTTGGGTGCCTATATATTTATAATTATGTCCTCTTTCCGAATTGGCTTCTTTATCATTACATAGTGATGTTCTGTGTCTCTCCTCATAGATTTTGTCTGGAGATCTACTTTATCTGATATAAGTATATCTACTCCCCCTCTTTTCTGTTTTCCTCTGGCATGGAATACCTTTTTATATTCATTTATTTTTAGTTTATGTGTATCTTTATAGATGAAGTGTGTTTCTTGTATGCAACATATCATTAGGTCTTATATTTTTTATCAATTCAGCCAGTCTGTCTTTCATTGGATAGTTTAGTCCATTTGCATTCAGTGTTATTGTATTAGTCCATTTTCATGCTGCTGATAAAGACATACCTGAGACCAGGAAGCAAAAGTGATTTAATTGGACTTACAGTTCCACATGGCTTGGGAGGCCTCAGAATCATGGTGGAAGGCAAAAGGCACTTCTTACATGGTGGTGGCAAGATAAAAGGAGGAAGATGCAAAAGCAGAAACCTCTGATAAAACCATCGAATCTCATGAGACTTATTCATTACCACAAGAACAGTATGAGAGAAAACCACCCCCATGATTCAAATTTCCTCCCACCACATTCCTCCCACAATACACGGAAATTATGGGAGTACAATTCAAGATGAGATTTGGGTGGGGACAGAGCCAAACCATATCATTCCACCCTAGCCCTTCCAAATCTCATGTCCTCACATTTCAAAACTAATTATGCCTTCCCAACAGTCCCCCAAAGTCTTAACCCACTTCAGCATTAATCCAAAAGTCCACAGTCTAAAGTTTCATCTGAGGCAAGGCAAGTCCCTTCTGCATATAAGCCTGTAAAATCAAAAGCAAACTAGTTACCCCCTAGATACAATGGGGGTGCAGGTATTGGGTAAGTTCAGCCATTCCAAATGGGATAAATTGACCAAAACAAAGTGGTTACAGGGCCCATGCAAGATTGAAATCCTGTGGGGCAGTCAAAATATAAAGCTCCAAAATGATCTCCTTTCATGCTAGGTCTCACATCCAGGTCACACTGATGCAAGAGGCAGGTTCCCATAGTCTTGGGCAGCTCCACCTCTGTGGCTTTGCATGGTACAGCCTCCCTCCTGGCTGCTTTTACAAGCTGGCATTGAGTTTCTGTGGCTTTTCCAAGCAAACGGTGCAAGCTGTTGGTGGATCTACCATTCTGGGATCTAGAGGATGATGACCTTCTTCTCACAGCTCCACTAGGTTGTGCCCCAGTAGGGACTCTGTGTTGGGGCTCTGACCCCACATTTCCCTTCTGTACTGCCCTAGCAGAGGTTCTGCATGAGCACTCTGCCCCTGCAGCAAACTTCTGCCTGGGCATCCAGGCGTTTCCATACCTCTTCTGAAATCTAGGCAGAGGTCCCAAAACCCCAGTTCTTGACTTCTGTGCACTGGCAGGCTCAACACCACATGGAAGCTGTCAAGGCTTGAGGCTGCACCCTCTGAAGTCACTGCAAGAGCTCTACTTTGGCCCCTTTCAGCTATGGTTGGAGGGGCTGGGATACAAGATACCAAGTCCCTAGGCGACACACAGCACAGGGACCCTGGGCCCAGCACACAAAACCATTTTCTCTGAGGCTTCTGGGCCTATGATGGGAGGGGCTGCCACGAAGACCTCTGACATTCCTTGGAGACATTTTATCCATTGTCTTGGGGATTAGTATTCAGCTCCTCATTACTTATGCAAATTTCTGCAGCTGGGTTGAATTTCTCCTCAGAAAATGGGTTTTTCTTTTCTGTTGCATTGTCAGGCTACACATTTTCCAGATGTTTATGCTCTGTTTCCCTTATAAAACTGAATGCCTTTAGCAGCACCCAAGCCACCTCTTGAATGCTTTGCTGCTTAGAAATTTCTTCTGCCAGATATCCTAAATCATCTCTCTCAAGTTGAAAGTTCCACAGATCTCTAGGGCAGGGGCAAAATGCTGCTGATCTCTTTGCTAAAACATAACAAGAGTCTCCTTTGCTCCAGTTCCACAAGTTTCTCCATCTGAGACCACCTCAGCATGGACCTTATTTTCCATATCACTTTTAGGCTTTTGGTCAAAGCCATTCAACAGGTTTCTAGAAAATTCCAAACTTTCCCACATTTTTTCTTCTTTCTTCTTCTTCTGAGCCCTCGAAACTGTTCCAACATCTGCCTTTTACCCAGTTTGAAAGTTGCTTTCAAATTGTTGAGTATCTTCTCAGCAATGCCCCGCTCTACTGGTACCAATTTACTCTGTTAGTCCATTTTCACACTGTTGATTAAGACATACCCAAGACTGGGAAGAAAAAGAGATATAACTGGACTTACAGTCCCACATGTCTGGAGAGGCCTCAGAATCATGGCAGGAGGCAAAAAGCACTTCTTACATGGTGGTGACAAGATAAAATAAGGAAGATGCAAAAGTGGAAACTTCTGCCAAAACCATTGGATCTTGTGAGACTTATTCACTACCACAAGAACAATATGGGAGAACCCCCATGATTCAAATTATCTCCCATTAGGTCTCTTACACAACGTGTGGGAATTATGAGAGTACAATTCTAGATGAGATATGGGTGGGAACACAGAGCCAAACTGTATCAGTTATTATTGGTAAGGAAAGACTTACTCCTGCCATTTTGTTACTTGTGTTCTGATTGTTTTGTGGTCTTGTCTTCCTTTTTTTTTCCTTTCTTCCTTTCAGTGAAGGTAATTCTCTCTGATGGTGTTATCTAATTTCTTGCTTTTTATTTTGTGTATGGTTTTTCATTTGAGGTTACTATAAGCCTTGCCAATACTATCTAATAAGTCATTATTTTAACTGATGAAAACTCAACACTGATTTCATAAACAAACAAGTGAAAAGAAAACAAATAAAATCTCTACACTTTAACTTTGTCCCCCTGCTTTTGGTCTTCTTGTTGTTTCTCTCTTTTTTTCTTAGCTTTTATTTTAAGTTCCAGGGTATATGTGCAGGATGTGCAGGTTTGTTAGATAGGTAAATGTGTGCCATGGTGGTTTGCTGCACAGATCAACCCATCCCCTGGGTATTAAGTCTAGCATCCATTAGCTATTCTTTCTGATGCTCTAACTCCCTCAACTCCACTGACAGGCTCCAATGTGTGTTGTTTCCCCTGATGCGTCCTTGTGTTCTCATCATTCAGCTCCCACTTACAAGTGAGAACATGTGGTGTTTGGTTTTCTGTTCCTGTGTCAGTTTGCTGAAGATAATGGCTTCCAGCTCTATCAATGTCCCTGCAAAGGACATGTTCTTGTTCCTTTTTATGTCTGCATGGTATTCCATGGTATATATGTACTACATTTTCTTTGTCTATTATTGATGAGCATTTGGGTTGGTTCCATGTCTTTGCTATTGTAAATAGTGCTGCCACAAACATATGAATGCATGTATCTTTATAATAGAACAATTTTTTTTTTTGAGATGGAGTCTCACTCTGTCACCCAGGCTGGAGTGCAGTGGTGTGATCTCAGCTCACTGCAAGCTCCACCTCCTGGGTTTATGCCATTCTCTTGCCTCAGCCTCACAAGTAGCTGGGACTACAGGTGCCAGCCGCCATACACGGCTCATTTTTTTGTATTTTTAGCAGAGACGGGTTTTCACCATGTAGCCAGGATGGTCTCAATCTCCTGACCTCGTGATCCACCCACCTTGGCCTCCCAAAGTGCTGGGATTACAGGCATGAGCCACAGCACCTGGACATAATAGAATGATTTATATTCCTTTGGGTATATACTCAGTAATGAGATTGCTGGGTCAAATGGTATTAAATATCTCTGCCTCTAGATTTTTCAGGAATCACCACACTGTCTTCCACAATGGTTGAACTAATTTACACTCCCACTAACAGTGTAAAAGTGCTCCTTTTTCTCTACAAACCTGACAACATCTGTTGTTTCTGGACTTTTTAATAATCACCATTCTGACTGAGCTGAGATGATATCTCATTGTGATTTTGATATGCATTTCTTTAATGATTAGTAATGTTGAGTTTTCTTCATATGCTTGTTAGCCACATGAATGTCTTCCCTTGAGAAGTGTCTGTTCACCTTCTTTGCCCATCTTTTAGTGAGGCTGTTTGTTTTTTTCTTGTAAATTTGTTTAAGTTCCTTGTAGACTTTGGATATTAGACCTTTGTCAGATGGGTAGATTGCAAAAATTTTCTCCCATTCTATGGGTTGTCTGTTCAGACTGATGATATTTTTTGCCATGCAAAAGCTCTTTAGTTTAATTAGATCTCATTTTTCAATTTTTGCTTTTGTTGCAATTGCTTTTGACATTTTCATAATGAAATCTTTGCCCATGCCTATGACCTGAATGATATTGCCAGATTTTCTTCTAGGGTTTTTTTTTTAGTTTTGGGTTTTACTTTTAAGTCTTTAATTAATCTTGACTTAATTTTTGTATAAGGTGTAAGGAAGGGATCCAGTTTCAATTTTCTGCATATGGCTGGCCAGTTTTTCCAGCATCATTTATTAAATAGGGAATCTTTTCCCCATTGTTTTTTTTTTTTTTTTGTCAGTTGTGTTGAAGATCACACTGTAGGTGTGCAGTCTTATTTCTGAGTTCTCTATTCTGTTCCGTTGGTATCTGTGTCTGTTTTTGTATCAGTACCATCCTGTCTTGGTTACTGTACCCTTGTACTATAGTTTGAATTCAGGTAGTGTGATGCCTCCAGCTTTCTTCTTTTTGCTTAGGATTGTCTTGGCTATATGAGGTCTTCTTTGATTCCATATAAAATTTAAAGTAGTTTTTTCTAATTCTGTGAAGAATGTCAATGGTAGTTTAATGGGAATAGAATTGAATCTATAAATTACTTTGGGCAGTATGGCCATTTTCATGATATTGATTCTTCCTGTCTCTGAGCATGGAATGTTTTTCCATTTGTTTGTGCCCTCTCTTATTTCCTTGAGCAGTAGTTTGTAGTTCTTCTTGAAGAGGTACTTCACTTTCATTGTTAGTTGTATTTCTAGATATTTTCACCTTTTTGTAGCAATCGTAAATGGGAGTTCACTCATGATTTCCTTCTGTGCTTGCCCTGTTGTGGGTGTATAGGAATGCTAGCAGTTTTTGCACATTGATTTTGTATCCTGAGACTTTGCCGAGGTTGCTTATCAGTCTAAGAAGCTTTTGGGCTTAGATGATGGGGTTTTCTAGATATAGAATCATGTTGTCTGCAAACAAAGATAATTTGACTTCTTGTCTTCATATTTGAATATCCTTTATTTCTTTATCTTGCCCGATTGCCCTGGCTGGAACTTCCTATACTATGTTGAATAGGAGTGGTAAGAGAAGGCATCCTTTTCTTGTGCTGATTTTCAAGGGGAATGTTTCCAGCTTTTGCCCATTTAGTATAATATTGGCTGTGGGTTTGTCAAATAAGGATCTTACTATTTTGATGTATGTTTCTCCAATACCTAGCTTATTTAGAGTTTTTAACATGAAGAGATGTTGAATTTTATCAAAGGCCTTTTCTGTGTCTACTGAGATAATCATGGGGTTTTTGCCTTTAGTTCTGTTTATGTGATGAATTACATGTATTAACTTGCATATTTTGAGCTAAGCTTGCATGTCAGGGATGAAGTGGTAAATAACTTGATAGTGGTAGATAAGCTTTTTGATGTGCTGATGGATTTGGTTTGCCAGTATTTTATTGAAGATTTTTGCATTGATATTCATCAGTAATATTGGCCTGAAGTTTTTTGTTTGTTTATCTCTGCCAGGTTTTGGTATAAGGATAATGCTGGCTTCGTAAGATGAGTTAGGGAGGAATTTCTCCTTTTCAATTTTTTCAGTAGAAATATTTTCAGTAGAAATGGTACCAGCTCTTCTTTGTACTTCTGGTAAAATTCAGCTATAAATCTGTCAGTCCTGGGAATTTTCTGGTGGTTGGATATTTATTATGGCCTCAATTTCAGAACTTGTTATTGATCTATTCAGGGATTCAATTTCTTCTTGTTTCAGTTTTGGGAGGGTGTATTTGCCAGGAATTTATCCATTACTTCTAGGTTTTCTAGTTTATGTGCATAGAGGTTTTCTTAGTCCATTCTTACGCAGCTATAAGGACATACCCGAGAATGAGTAATTTATATAGGAAAGAAGTTTAATTGACTCACAGTTCCACATGGCTGGGAAGGCCTCAGGAAACTAACAATCATGGCAGAAGGGGAAAAAAACATGTCCTTCTTCACATGATGGCAGGAAGGAGAAGTGCCAAGTGAAGCAGGGTGATGTCCCCTATAAAGCCATAAGATCTCATGAGAACTCACTTGCTATCATGAAACAGGATGAGAGGACAACCCCCATGATCTAATCACCTCCCACAAGGTCCCACCCCCAACACATGAGGACTACAATTAGGATTACAATTTAAAGTGAGATTTTGGATGGGACAGAGCCAAACCTTATCAGAGGTGTTTATAGTACTCCCTAATTGTTGTATTTGTGTGGGGTCAGTGGCGATATCCCCCTTATCATTTCTGATTGTGTCTATTTTATTCTTTTCTCTTTTCTTCTTTATTAGTCTAGCTAGCAGTCTATCTATTTTACTTTTTTTCTTTTTTTCAAAGAAATAGCTCCTGGATTCATTGATTTTTTGAATGGTTTTTTGGTGTCTCTATCTCCTTCAGTTCTGCTCTGATCTTGGTTATTTCTTGCTTCTGCTGGCTTTGGGGTTTGTTTACTCTTGGTTCTCTAGTTCTTTTATTTTTTATTTTCATATTTTTATTATTTATTTTTTGAAATGGAATCTCACTCTGTTGTTCAGGCTGGAGTACAGTGGTGTGAGCTCAGCTCACTGCAACCTCTACCCTCCTGGGTTCAAGCAATTCTCCTGCCTCAGCCACCTGAGTAGCTGGGACTACAGGGATGCACCACCATGCCTGGCTAATTTTTGTATTTTTTTTAGTAGAGACAGGGTTTCACCATGTTGATTAGGCTGGTCTTGAACTCCTGACCTCAAGTGATCCACACACTTCAGCCTCCAAAAGTGCCAGGAGTATGAGCCACCACACCCAGCCTCTAGTTCTTTTAGTTGAGATAGTAGGTTGTTAAACTTGAGATCTTTTTAGCTTTTTGATGTGGGCATTTAGTGCTATAAGTTTCCCTCTTGACATTGCTTTAGCTATGTCTCAGCAATTCTAGTGCCTTGTCTCTGTGTTCTCATTAATTTCAAAGAACTTTTTCATTTCTGCCTTAATTTCAATATTTACCCAGGAATCATTTAGGAGCAGATTGTTCAATTTGTTTCAATTTCCATGTAATTGTGTTTTTAGTGAGTTTCTTAGCCTTGAGTTCTAATTTTATTGTGCTGTGGTCTGAGAAACTGTTATCATTTCAGTTCTTTTGCATTTGCTGAGGAGTGTTTTCTTCAATTTTGTGACCAATTTTAGAGTAAGTATTATGTGGCAATGAGAAGAATGTATATTCTGTTGTCTTGGGGTGGAGAGTTCTGTAGATATCAATCACGTCTGCTTGATCCAGAGCTGAGTTCAGTTGCTGAATATCTTTATTAAATTTTTGTCTCAATTATCTGTCTAGTATTGTCAGTGGGGTATTAATGTCTCTCACTATTACTGTGTGTGAGTCTACATCTCTTTGTAGGCCTCCAAGAACTTGCTTTGTGAATACAGGTGCTCCTATATTGGGTGCATATATATTTAGAATAGTTAACTCTTCTTGTTTAATTGAACCCTTTATCATTATATTATATAAGTTGGTTTAAAGTCTGTTTTGTCAGAAACTAGGATTGCAATCCTTGCTTTTTTTTGTTGTCCATTTGCTTGGTAAATTTTCCTCCATCCCTTTATTTTGAGCTTATGTATGTCTTTGCATGTGAGATGAGTCTCTTGAAGACAGCATAGCAATTGGTCTTGACTCTTTATCCAGCTTGTCATTCTTTATCTTTTAAGTGGGGCATTTAGCCCATTTACATTTAAGGTTCGTATTGTTATGTGTGAATTTCATCCTGTCATCATGGGGCTAGCTGTTATTTTGCAGTCTTGTTTATGTGGTTGCTTCATAGCATCACTGGTCTGTATACTTCAGTGTGTTTTTGTAGTGGCTGGTAATGGTTTTCCCTTCCTTATTTCGTGCTTCCTTCAGGAGGTCTTGCAAAGCAGGCCTGTGTGGCCCTCTTTGTGGGTTTTATCTACCTTCAATTTTTGAGGTTGCTGACCTTTGAATGGGGTTTTTGTGGGGCCTTTTTTGTTGATGTTTTTGTTGCTTTCTGTTTGTTTTTCTTTTAGCAGTGAGACCAGTTTTTGCTAGGGCTGCTGCAGTTTGCTGGGAGATCCTTCCATGTCCTAGTTGCCTTAGTTTTTCTCTTACCTAGAGGTATCACCAGTGAAGGCTATGAAACAGCAAAGATGGCAGCCTGCTGCTTTCTCTGGGAGCTCCACCTCAGAGGGGTACTGACCTGTTGCTGGCCTGGAAACTCCTGTAGGAAGTATCTGGAGACCCTGTTGGGAGATCTCACCCAGTCAGGAGGGACGGAATCAGGGATCCACTTAAAGAATCAGTCTGGCTGCTTTTTGATAGAGCAGGTGTGCTGCATTGTGAGGAGGGGGCGGTGGGAACCCTTCCTCATTCAGACTGCCTGGACTCTTCAGGGCCATCAAGCTGAAAAGGCTGAGTCAACGGAACTGCAGAGACATTGGCCACCCCTCCTCCCAGGGGCTCCATCCCAGGGAGAGATCAGAGTTCTGTCCATATAACCCTGGCTGGAGTTACTGAAATTCCCAGAGAGGAGGGATGGATCACGGTCCCACTTAAAGAAGCAGTCTTGCCGCAATCTGGCACAGCAGCTCTGCTGCATTGTGAGGGACTCCTCCTCATCTGGACCACCTGGACTCCCCAGAGCTAGCAGGATAGAATGACTGAGTTGATCAACCTAACCGCAGAAATGGTGACTGCTCCTCCCCCCCAGGAACTCAGCTATCTCAGCCAATTTCCAGCCTGTTGCTCTGGTTGGCTGGAATTCCAAGCCAGTGGGTCTTACCTTGTGAGATGCCATGAAAGTGGGCCTGCAGAATGACGCTGCTTGGCTCCCTGGATTCAGCCTCCTTCCTATGGGAATGTAGGAATGAATCTCCAGCCTTGCTGGGGTTCCCAGGGCTGGAGTGTATAAAACTCCTGGGTCTCTCTGTGAGCCTGAGTGACTGTTCTGCTGATAGTCTGCGCAGCTCTGTGTATCAGACCCAAGGCCTGGTGGCATGGGCTCATGAAGGGATCTCCTGATATGTGGGTTACAAAGATCCATGGGAGAAGCATGGTTTTCTGGGTGAGGATGCACAATCACTCACTGCTTTCCTTGGCTGGGGTGGGGTTCCTTTGGCTCCATGCCGCTCCTGGGTGGGCTGTCACCCCACCCTGCTTTTCTCCATTCTCCTTGGGTCAAGTAGTCTACCTAGTCAGTCCTAATGCAAGAACCTGGATACTTCAGTTCAAGGTGCTGAATTCACTCACTGTTTTCATTCCTCTTCACAAAACCTGTGGACTGCAGCTGCTTCTGATCAGCCATCTTGGCCCCTTCTTCAATATGCATATTTTCTGAAGTGGGGTCCTTAAGGTGCTAGATCTCCTCAGAAGTCTTTTGAAGGTCCCAGTATCATCCAGTGTTTGAGCTGAAATGAGGAGGACTCCCTTTTGTAATCACTCTCTTCACCTTGGCAGCTTGAAATGCAGACTCTTCAAAAGAATAAAATTAAGGGATGGGGTGGGAAGGAGAGCAACCAAAAGCCTTCACCGAGGCCTGAACAGGGTCAAGAGTCAGTCATCATAGACTGGAGGCAGGGAAGAGGGGGGGAATAATAAAAAACAAAATAGAGGAAAAAAGGATTCAAGGACAGAGTGATGCTCTCTGTTCAGGGATATCACCTCTGCTGCCTCCATAGAGATCCGATTCACTGCTGGCCTGTTGTTTCTCTTAATATCTTACTTACTGTCTGTCTTGAAAAGTTGATGTTATCATTTTTTATTGGTTCATCTTTTAGTCTTTCTACATGAGTAGTTTACACACCACAGTTATAGTGTTATAATATTCTTTTTTTCTGTTATAGTGTTATAATATTCTTTTTTTCACTTACTATTGCCAGTGAGTTTTGTACCATCAGATAATTTTTTGTCTCATTAACCTCCTTTTTAGTTGTGATTGAAGAACTCCCTTTAGCATTTCTTGTAAGGCAGGCCTGGTGTTGATGAAATCCTTCAGCTTTGTTTGTCTGGGAAAGTATATATCTCCATGTTGGAAGTGTAATTTTCACCAAATATACTATTCTAGGGTAAGAAAAATTTCCTTCACCTCTTTAATATGTCATGCCACTCTCTCCTGGCCTGAAAGATTTCCACTGAAAAGTCTGCTGTCAAACACATTGGAGCTCCATTGTATGTTATTAGTTTCTTCCTTTTGTTGCTTTTAGGATTCTTTATGTATCTTTGACCATTGGGAGTTTGATTATTAAATGCCTTGATATAGACTTCTTTGGGTTAAATCTATTTAATGTTCTATAACCTTCTTTTACTTGATGTTTATATTCTTCTCTAGGTTTGGGAAGTTCTCTGATATTATCCATGGGATAAACTTTCTACCCCTTTCTCTTCCTCCTCTTTAACCCTTTTCCCATTTAGAATTTTTTTTAAGTGTAGCTGGCTGCCAGTTCTTATTTAATTTTATATAAACATGCTCTTTGAGACTGAAGCAAATTTGACTTATTTTCAATGTGAAAATAAAATATAATTGTTCTTGAAATTATCTCTAAAAAGAACATCAGAATTGTCTGAATCATCTATTTCAGAAAAATCGGATTCATCAAATGAATCTTCGGCCAACAATAATTTGAAAACGATGGTAACATCACGTGCAGGAATTTTACAATTTCTAGGATTTGATATTTTCAGTGATTGAGAGTTACTATGTTTTGTAAATGGAAATACTTCTACTAAAAACAGAGTGCTATAAATAGAATGATATCTTTTGTTTCCAAAGTTGATACACTACAGTGATTTGAAAATAATAATAAAAGTGAGGTATTTTGTAGCAAAGTTATCTTGGGATAAACGCTGCAGCTGCAAGCACTGCTGGCAAGTGTTCTGGGGGCTAATGAGAAAAAGGGTTAGGGACAATAACTCTTAGCTTTGCCCTTTTGAGGCTATTTTCTAGATCTCACAGGTGTGCTTCATTGATTTCTATTATTTTTTCTTTTGTTTCCTCTGACTGTGTGTTTTCAAATAGTCTGTCTTCAAGTTCATTTAATCTTTCTTCTGCTTGATCCCTTCTGGTATTAAGAGACTCTGATGAATTCTTCAGCATGACATTTGCATTTTGAATTCTAGAATTTCTTTTTAATTCTTTTTAATTATTTGAATTTCTTTGTTAAATCTATCTGATAGAATTCTGAGATCCTTGTCTGTGTTGTCTTGAATTTCTTTGAGTTTCTTCAACATAACTGTTTTGAATTATCTGTCTAAAAGGTCATATATTTTTGTTCTCCAGGATTGGTCTCTTTTAGTTCATTTGGTGAGGTCATATTTTGCTGTATGGTGTTGACGCTTGTAGATCAAGCTTGTTCAACCCATGGCCTGTGGGCCACATGTGGCTCAGGATGGCTTTGAATGCAGCCCAACACAAATTTGTAAACTTTGTTAAAACATTATAAGTTTTTTGGGATTTATTTTTTAGATCATCAGCTATTGTTAGTGTTAGTGTATTTTATTTGTGGCTGAAGACAATTGTTTTTCCAATGTGGCTCAGGGGAGCCAGAAGATTGGACACCCCTGTTGTAGATGTTCTTTGGTGCCTTAACATTGAAGAATTAGGTATTTATTGTAGTCTTCACAGTCTGGGGTTGTTTGTACCTGTCCTTGGGAAGACGTTCCGGGAATTTGAAGGACTTGGTCCCCAAGCCCAATAATACTGTGGTTTTACAGACTTATAGAGATACTGCCTTGGTGGTCTTGGACAAGATCTGAAAGAATTCTCTGGGTTACCAGGCAGGGCCTCTTTTCTTTTTTTTCCCTTACTTTCAACCAAACAGAGTCTCTCCCTTTGTGCTGAGCCTTCTGGAACTTGAGGTGTAGTGATGCAAGCACCCTTGTGGCCACCACCACTGGAACTGCACTGAGTCAGACCTGTAGACAGCACAGCACTGGAACTTGCCCAAAGCTCTTCCCTTCAGAGTAGTGAATTTCCCCAGGCCCCACGTGTGTTCAGAGATGCTGTCTGGGAGCAAGGGATTGGAGTTTAAAACCTTAGAAGTTGGCCGGGTATGGTGGCTCACACCTGTAGTCCCAGCACTTTGGGAGGCCAAAGTGGGCAGATCACCTGAGGTCAGGAGTTCAAGACCAGCCTGGAAAACTTGGCAAAACCTTGTCTCTACCAAAATTATTTTAAAAATTAGCTGGGTGTGGTGGCGCACACCTGCAGTCCCAGCTACTCAAGAGGCTGAGGCAGGAGAATCGCTTGAACCCGGGAGGCAGAAGTTGCAGTGAGCCAAGATTGCACCATTGCATTCCAGCTTGGGCAACAAGAGCGAAACTCCGTCTCAAAGGAAAAAAAAAAAAAAAACTTCAGAAGTTTACCTGATGTTCTATTTTACTGCAGCTAAGCTGGCACTCAAACCACAATACAAAGTCCTTTCCCCTCTTCCCTCTTCTTTCCACAGGCAAAGAAGCCTCTCCCTGTGGCCACCGCCATCCCTGGTCCATAGGGATTCTGCCAGCTCATCACTGATGTTAACTTAAAGCCCAAGGGCCCTTCTGTCAGGTTGTGGTGAATGCTGCCAGTTTTGTGATTCACCCTTCAAAGCAGTGGCTCACCTCTGGCTCAGAGTAGGTCTAGAAATGCTGTCCAAGAGCCTAGGTTGGACTCAGGGACCCCAAGAGCCTGCTTGGTTCTCTACTCCACCATAGCCAAGCTGCTACCTAGGGTGCAAGACAAAGTCCCCTTTACTTTTCCCTTTGCTCTTCTCAAACAGAAGGAGCCATTCACTGTAGTCACCACAGCTGGGAATGTAAAGAATCACCCCTGACGCCAGCACGTCTCAGAGCCCGAGGCCCATGGCATATTCCCTAGGTATCACTGCTGATTATTTGGGACTCAAAAGCTCTGTAGCCAGCAGGTGATGAGTCCTCCTTCCAGGACTAGGTCCTTCCCTTCAAGGCAGCAGGTTCTTTTTGGCCCAGGGTTTTAGAAATGTCATCCAGGAACTAGGGCCTGGAATGGGGACCTCATGACTCTGCCTGTTGCCTTATCCTACTGTGGCTGTATTAGTATCCAAGATGAAAGACAAAGTCCTGTTTACTCTCCTCTCTCCTCTCCTTAAGCAGATGGAAGGAGTCACTTTTGTTTCTGTAAGCAGCACTGCCTGTGGTTGGAGGAGGGATGGTACAAGCACTCTCTTAGCCACCCTGGTTGGTGTTTCCCTAGGTCATGTGCCACTCTGCTTCACTGGCTCTAAACGCAGCCTAGGAATTGCAGTTCTCAACTTGACTGCCTTTCAAGTTTACCTATAGGACCCCAGAGCACTTCAGCCTGTGATGGCATGGTGGTGAAGCATGCCAAGAAACTCAAGTTCTGACCACTGGGATGGATGAGTTCCCTTTGGCTAGGTCTGATCCAATGCTCCCTCCATACAGGGGTGCTGGCTGAGACCAGCACAGCTTTATTCCCTTCTGTGAAGGGGCAGCACTGAGTTCAATGTAAGGTTCCTCAACCACTGTACTGTCCCGCCCCAAAGTGCAGATTCTCTTTCTGCTGCCAGGAAATAGGGAAAGGGTGGTGCCAGCCATTCAAGACTGTCTCTCCTGCCCTCCTTAATGTCTGCTATAGCAATATGAAGTTAAAACCAGGTACTGTGATTACTCACCTAATTTTTGGTTCTTGTGACAGTGCTTTTCTGCATCCAGATAGTTGTTAAAATTTGGTGTTCCAGCAGGGGTGTGGGAGGATGAACGATGAACAGTGTGGGCTTCTATTCCACCATCTTGCTCCTGCCTGTCCTATTTATTTCTTGATGTCCTGCCTAGTTATTATATTCATTGTTGAAAGTGGCATATTGAAATCTACAGCTATTACTGAATTGTTCATTTCTCCCTTTAATTATGTCAGTTTATGCTTCATATATTTTGTAGCTCTGTTTAAGTCCATATGTACTTAGACCTTTTATAATTTGAAAAGTCCTTTATATTTAGTAACTTTTAAACTTCAGATTCTATTATGATGTATATTAGTATAGCCACACCAACTTTCTTATGGTTGCTATTTAGATGAGGTATATATTTTTTCACTTTCTTTACTTTAAAACTTTTTGTGTCCTTGAATCTAAAATGTGTTCCTACAGATGATGTATAGTTGGATCTTGTTTTTGTATCTAGTATGAGAAAATCTGACCTTCAATTGTATTGTTTATCCTTTTACACTTTTACACTTAATGTTATTATTGATGTGGATGGAGTTAAGTCTGTCATATTACTCTTTGGTTTCTATATGCCTCATGTCATTTTTGTTGTTCTGTTTTACCTTTACTGCTTTCCTTTGCATTAAGTGAATAATTTCTAGTATAACAATATAATTCCTTCATTAAATTGTTTCCTATTTTTTAAAAGTTATTTTCTTAGTTGTTGCTCTAGGGATTACAATATGTATCTTAATTTATCAAAATCTACTTAAACTACATACTATTGTTAAAAGAAAAACTTTTAGCTGAATTAAATTTAAAGAAGTTTAATTGATCAAAGAAAAATTCACAAATCAGATAGCCTCCCAAGCCAGAATAGGCTCAGAAACCCCAATGAAGCCACATGGTAGAAGTTTTATGGTCAGAAGAAAAAAGTGATGTACAGAAAACAAAAGTGAGGTAAAGAAAAAGTTGGATGAGTTACAGTTTGGTGTTTGCCTTATTTGAACATGGTTTGAACAGTTGGCCACCTTTGATTGGCCAAAACTCGGTAATTGGCACAAGAGTAAACTACAGTCTGTATCCAACTCCATTTAGGTTATAGTTCACAATGTACAGAGAAACCTTTAGGCCAAACTTAAAATATGTAAGGAGGCAGCTTTAGGCTAAACTTGATTTAACACTCTCTTAATTCCAGAGAGAAATAGAAATGTTATTTTTATATCATTCTATATTTCCCCTTTTTGGGGCTATTATTGTTATAGATAGTATACCTATATGTGTTACACATCCAAAAGTATATTGTTATAATTATTACATTATATATTTGCATATATTTTTAAAAAGCTGAGATAAGAGAGTAAGTACACATTTATAGAGTTTGTTATATTAATGTTACTATGCTACATACCATTTCTGATTCTCTTCATTTCTTCCTCCGAATTTAAGTTACCATCTGGTGACATTTTCCTACTCCAATACAACTTTATACTCATCTGCTTTCTTTGTGCTGTTATTGTCATACATTAGATTTCTATATGTTATAGTCCCAATAGCAGAAGTACATTCATATTATTTTATAGAACTGCTTTTTAAGGCAGGGAAGAAAAGAAACTTGAGGAAATGTTAAATTCAATGTATTTTATAACTACCTATGTAATTAACTTTACTGATGCTTTTGTTTTGTTCGTGTGGTAATCATGTGATATCACTTGCTTTCAGCCTAAATAATTTCCTCTGGTGTCTCTGGTAAGGCAAGTCTGTTAGCAAAGATCCTATCAGGTTTTTTGTTTGTTCATTTCTGACAGTGATTTATTTTACGTTAATTTTTGAAAGATAGTTTTTTTGGATATGAGACTTATGATTGACAGTATTTTTCTTTGAGATTTTAGATATGTCTTTCCACCATCTTCTGGCCTCCATGGTTTTAAATGAGAAATTAGCTATTAGTATTACTTAGGATCCATTGTACACCATGAATCACTTCTATCTTGCTTTTTCCAAGATGATCTCTTTCTTTTTACAACTCAGTTTGAGCATATTTGTCTCATTGTGGCTCTCCTTAACTTTATCCTTCTTAGAGTTTGTTGGGCTTCTTGGATGTGTAAATTTATGTTTTTCATTACATTTGGGAAGTTTTTCAGTGATTATTTCCTCATCTTTTTTTTTTTTTTTTGCTTTATTCGGTATTCTCATTATGTGTATGATGGTATGCTTAGTGGTGTTCCACATTTCTCTGAGGCTCTGTTAATTTCCCTTCATTCTCTTTTCTCTCTATTCTTTCAATTGCATAATCTCTCTATCAACCTATCTTCAAGCATGCTAGTTATTTCTTCTGCAAGTTCTAATTATCTTTGAGCTTATCTAGTAATTCATTTCAGTTATTGTGCTTTGAACTCTATAATGTTCACTTGTTTCTTTTTAAAATAATTTCTGTCTCTGTATTAACATTCTCTATTTGATAAGACAGTGTCATCTTACTTTCCTTCATTTGTTCAAGGCATTATTTCTTTAGTTCTTTGAATGTATTTATAAGATGCTTTAAAGTCTTTGTCTTCTAAGTCTGACATCTGAGCCCTCTCAGAGGCAGTTTCTGTTGCCTGCCTTTTCTCCGTGTATAGGTCACACTTTCCTGTTTCTTTATATGTTTCCTACCTTTTTATTGAAAACTGAACATTTTAGATACTATACCTCTGAATACAGACCCACTCCTGCCCTCAACTTGTTGCTTGCTTATTCGTTTAGTGACTTCACTGCACTATTTCAATGAATTCTATTTTTCCTTCAGTGTAAAGCCTCTGCAGTTGCTTTTCAAATGATACAACTTTGGAAATGTAAATAATTGCCATAAGATGAAGGTGGTTGTAGAAGTGATCTCTTTGTGTGTTCATCTCTTTCTGGCATCTCTCTGTTAGGCTTCTAACTAGTCTGTCTCTATTTTATCACACCCAGATGTTGGCTTCTATTAATTGTTGGCTGATTGCTTTGTTTTTTGTTTTTGTTGTTGTTGTTGTTGTTGTTTGTTTTTTGAGAGGGAAACTCGCTGTGTCACCCAGGCTGGAGTGCAGTGGCGCCATCTCGGCTCACTGCAACCTCCACTTCCTGGGTTCAAGCAATTCTCCTGCCTCAGCCTCCTGAGTAGCTGGGATTACAGATACCTGCCACCATGCCTGGCTAATTTTTGTATTTCAGCAGAGATGGGGTTTCACCATGTTGGCCAGGTTGGTCTTGAACTCCTGACCTCAAGTGATCCGCCAGACTCGGCCTCCCAAATTGCTGGAATTACACGCATCAGCCACCACACCCTGTCTGCTTTATTGTTTTTGACAAAGCTCTGGGTTGGAATTTCTTCACAGTCTGATCCAATTGAATTTGAGCCTTTGGTAGGGTTTGTCTTTGAGGCTAATTTTTGCACCCATTTCTGGCCCCACGAGTGCTTTTGTTAGCTGACTCTTTCTAGCATAGATCAACCAACCTCTTAACTTCTTATCACCAAAATCTTCATTGTTTTTGATAGCATCCTTTAGACTTGAAATTTTCCAAATAAAATCAGTTCTCTTGGAGATAGCTACCAAGATCTGTGTTCTTAAGTTCTCCCTCTCCCATAGACAAAACATCTTTGCCACTGTTCCAAAGCTGGGCATCAGGAGAGCAGCCCACTTCTCTCGAGATGACACCACTATTTTATGAGTGGGGTGCTCGGCAAAAGCAATAGCCACTTGTCTTCTCAGATTGTGTCTTCTGGCATAAAATTTCTGCCCAATAAGCCAGTTTGGGTGGAGGTAATGGGGGCCCAGTATTCTTTGCCTGCTATACTTTGGATACAACTTTTAGTCTCCAACTGGGGAGTGGGTAGTGAAGGAAACCACAGACATCTCAACCACTCTTGCCTGGAAGAGAGTTTCTACAACATTGAGCTGGGGGTAATGAGTATTAACATCTTGCCTCCTTTCACCTTGAGAGAAATCAAAGCTCTAGGTATGAATTTGAACAGATAGAGAGCTTTGTCTTTTTTGCAACAACTGCCAGGAGTAAAAACTTATTTTCACTGAATTGGGGGTGAGAAGAAGGTCATACTTCAAATTCCACAAATTCTCACTGTTCTTACCAAAATTTTATTTTATTAGACTTTCTGAAATAAATATTTTTCTATTTATGTATGCCCTTAGGACAATTTCAGAGATTGTAGATGGAGATATTTATCTAAATGAGAATTCACATTAGATATTCACCTACCTAAGTGAGACTCCATATTCTTATTTAGATGGAGAACATTATGTATAATTATATATATATAATTTTCACCAGTTTTGGTTGTTGCACTAGGAAGAAAGTTCATGCAGCAGCTCCTTTCACTGCCCACTACCACTCCAGAAGTACGTCCTCAGCCTTAATCTGTCTTGTATCACAATAGCTCTTATTTTTTTAAAAAACGAGAAAAACCATCCTTCCCTTGAAAGTCAAAGAATTAAGTATTCAGAAATACAATTACCTACTCTTTGTTTCTGACAGGAGAGAGAAGATATCCTGTATTTCACACTAGGCAAGATCTCTCTTGTTTCACAACAGAGTAACAGAGAAAAGTCCTTTATGCCTTTCCAAATGAGAAAGTAAATAAATGAATAAGACAAAAAATGATTATGCCTTCTTATAAAATGCTGGTTGGCTGTCCTTATGCATATATTTTCTGAAGAAATGCAACAGAACAAGAGATAAACTCCACCCCCCAAAACAACCTCAGGAAAAATACAACGCTCAGGTTGTGAATGATATCTACCCAGTTTGCGTCTAATGGTAGAGAACCTGTCTCAAGCGGAATTGCAAGGATCATTTGAGTATCTAATGTGAAGTGTTTTAGATTTTCCAGTCAGGCGAATAGGGCCTCCTACTTGTGGTCAAGAGTCTTGTTTTGTGGCAGTATTTCACAGGAAGCAGAGAATTAACGGGACAGGAATTAAATCATAATGATGATGTGTGTTCTCATACATTTGCTAAGAGGGATGATAATGGACCAGACTAAGTGATGCAGCACTTCCAGAGGAAACACTTTTTGTCCAAGGAGAAAGAAAAATAACAGCACAAATCCAAAGGACCTCTAGCGACACAAGTACCTGTTATGCTTCTTTTTATAGAAGACCACAAAAATTTAACTAAGCAAAATATTTAACAAAGTAACCATTTTGCTTTTCCACCAGAATTCCATGGGGGCTAATTTTTGAGAAAAGGGGTGGAAATTCTTCAGAGGGAAGGATAGGCAATGCCTCTCATGTGGCTTCCCAAGGGTGGGAGAGTCATATAGTCATGTTTTTGAAATGCACATGTGGGTGTGGTGGATTAGGAGAGGGATAAAGGCTCTCAGAAGTGAAACATGAGTTGAGACAGCTGGGTAGCAGTGAGTGAACTGATTTTTCACAACTGCAAGAAATATAATATCTTGGAAAGAGGTAGATTTAAAAAGAATTTAAGAAGCTTTCTATATAATTCATTGCAGAAGACCTTGTACCTTTCTGATTAGTCAGAATTCACTCATGAAAATGGAAACCACACTAGTTATTTTATCAGAGACAATTTAATATAAGAAATTGGTTACACAATTGTATGTTAAGCATTGGTTAGGTATTGGAGGGCTGGCAAGGCAAAATGAGAACACTGAAGCAACACAGAGATAGTAACTTCAGAAAGCAGCTGCCATCCCTAGGTCTGTCTATCCCAAAAAGAGGGTGGCTGGGATTATCAGAACCTACAACGCTGAAGGAGGGGCCTCAGGGATCTGACCTGAGCTGGGCCTCAGATCTCTGAAGAGGTGGGCACTACTCAGCTTGTGCTCATATCTTACTATCAGTTGGTTAGTTCTGAGAGTGGCAGAAGAATCTGAAAACTAAAACCAACTATTTCTGGAAATAATGGGGACAGCCATTTGTGGCATGACACTTACAATAATAGCAAGCAAATAGAAAGGAGCAAGTTTTTCTTCCCCCTCCTGTCTTTCATTTTCCCTCCAGTGCTCAACACTTGGCCAAACTTAACGGGAACCAGATGGCAAAAAAGAAATGCAATTTGCAGAGTATCAGCCCCAGCACTACAAGCCAACTAGAGAAGATGTGCTAGAACTGAGAGACAACTGCTTAATTACTGACCCGTTCCCATTAATAGGCCTGTGGTAATGATCATTATTTTTCTCACATGCTTTCCGAAATCAGATTTGCGTGATTCCAGGATGTGTTAATGATCAGTGTTGGGGCTCAGAAAACAATACTCCAAAATATAGCACTTTGACCTGCCGAACCTCAAGGTATCTTTCCCTGTCTCCGTCTCTCTGATCCTCTTTCTTTTCCAAAGTTTTGGAAGGGTCTTTCTCTGAAACTTTTTTTTTATCTGACTGAGAAAACTTTTAAAAGAAATGCTATTGTCTTAAATGCCCTACTTAGGAATCTCATCAAACAACCAGGAAAGACTCACCACCAGAGAAGAGAAGAGGCTGAAACTCATCACCACTCCCAGACAGAATTTTCATCTATTCTTCTGGGGGCAGCTCCAAGAGATTGCCTGGGGGACTGTATCTCCGTAATAAGACAACCTTTGTTCACCATGCAGTTCCACCCCTCACATTCCTATTGTTTGTCCTTTCCATTCCGCTCCATTCAGTGTCCAAACAGAATTATTTACAAACCATTATCCACTCCTGGAGATGGAGGGGGCCCCATTCCCCACTCCCCCACTCCCGCCCCAACTTTCCTCTCCCTAATGAAGAAGGTAGTTAAGCATCAATCGTCTAACCATTTCTTTGAATTTTCATATTTTTGTATGGCTCTCATACTTATTCACATTCATAAATTTGTTGTGCTTTTCTCTTGTTAACCAGTCTTTCTTTATAGGGGTATCAGCTGTGAGCCTTTATGATGGGGAAGAAAAGAACCACCCACTTTCCACTCCTACATCAGACAGATCTCAAGATATCTAGCCATTAAAATTTTAAGGAAAGGTTAACACCTCTACACCCTGCATCTTACCTGACTAAAACACAAAAAACTTCTGAATACAGTATATTTAGTATTATATGATTAAATACCATAATTCCTGCTCAATGGTGGTACATAATTATTTACCTGGAAAGGCACATGATCAAATGCAATGCTTATTTCTTCTCCTAACAGTAGCCTTCTTCCCTCATAATGTATGTGCTTCTCTGTAAACTGACTAGCTTAAATTCAGGAGGACATGAATATGAGGATTATAGTGAACTCTCTCTCCCATAAATTTTAGAGTATACATCTGAATACTTACAACAAGCTACACCTTGATGCAGGGATTTTGTTCTCTATTAGGGTTTTTCAAAGTACCATACAGCTATCACTGGTGGTTCATAATAATATTTTACATAGTGCCAAGATGATACTTCGGCCTCGCTTGCTGGGTGCTGATTGGAGCCTCAGCATGCACAGTTCAGTCACAAGACGGCTGTCTCTGAAGCCTGCATGTACCTTGTTTGACTCTCCTCTTCTGTCTGCTTCCTTTCCTTGGAATGTTTTAGCGACTCTGGCTTACCTCCCTGCAGCTTCTTTGGCCCCTGCCTATCCCACAACTCTCATTTCAGCAATCCGTCATTTACTTCTAAAATCGTCTTTGCAAAATTATGACAGTAAGATAAATCCAATATGGCTGACTCCATCTTGCTTCTAGCCTCACAGGCTGGCTATCTTTGCTCATTCCGGGATGTGAGCCAAGCTAACTTTGGGAGAAATTTAGTTTACAGTTTAAATGATAATAGCCCTTTCTAAAAACTAAACTGTTCTCTTAAAACTAATGAAAGGCCACCAAGTTAAGATGATGAGAGAGGATTGCATTCTAAATAATTACCAGCCATTATTTTGGAGGTCATAAGATTAGCAGTTTTCCCAATTTATCTTGCAGATAACATCACTATCATAGAACCTAAGATTAGGCTTTTGAGATATATTTTCAGGTTTTTGCATTTCTGACAAATGGATACCCTCATCTGGACCCACCAACCAGTCCTGTGGCCTTCACCTGAAAACTGAATCAGCACAAGAGGATAACTTCAATTCCCTATGATTTCATCTCAGATCCAACCAATGAGCATGCCTCCTACCCCAAACCCCTGCCCACCAAACTATCTTTGAAAAACCCCTAACCTCCAAGCCTTCAGGGAGGTTGATTTGAGTAATAACTTCATCTCCCGCAGAGCGTGGCTGGCTTCACATAAACTCTTTCTTCACTGCAATGCCATGGTTTCAGTGAGTTGATTTTGTTTGTGCAGTGGGCAGGAAAAACCCCTCAGGCAGTTATACTTCCTTTCCTTAATTATCTCAGTTTCTCAACTTGGGCCTCAGCTGCTTCTTTGCACTCTCTCTTTTTTGCCAAATAGCTATTCTGCCTGATTTTTAGTCCATGCACTCTCATTTCTCCATCCCCACCCCTACTCCCTTGTAAGTCCACACAGCCTCAACCTCCTCTGAGTCTTCAGAGTTCCTTCCTTGGCTATGGCTTCAGTATCTCTCTATTGAGCTCAGATCCACCATCCTCCAGTTTTGTCTCTTCTTTTTCTTATCCATTTATGTAATTTTTATTTTCTAATTTGTCTCTTCCAGATGTTGATCAGATAACTGAGGTCCAACTGCTTCTTTCCTCCTTCTCTTACCATGTTCCTCTTGTATTTAAAGCTTTGAAGTGTAGACAGCCAGCCCCAGACCACTTCTCTTGACTCAATTTCAACATCCCAAATCTCATTCCTTTATCTCTGAGAGCAATTATTTTATCTGTGGCTGTAATCCTTCCTATTTTTAATCCTTTTTTTTTAAAAAAAAATTTAAACTAAATTTCATTAAGAATAAAAATGGGCCAGGTGCAGTGGTTCACACCTGTAATTCCAATATTTTGGGAGGCCAACGCGGGTGGATCACCTGACGTCAGGAGTTCAAGGACAGCATGACCAACATGGTGAAACCCAGTCTTTACTAAAAATACAAAAAATTACCTGGGCATGGTGGTGGGCACCTGTAATCCCAGCTACTTGGGAGGCTGAGGCAGGAGAATTGCTTGAACCCGGGAGGCGGAGGTTACAGCGAGCCGAGATCATGCCATTGCACTCCAGTCTGGGTGACAGAGCCAGACTCTGTCTCAAAAACAATAAAAATAAAAATAATTTTACTTAAAATTGTCAAACTAGAAGCAAAGATGTATACAGAGGATTTACGTTTGGAACAGTCTCACTAAATGGCTTCAGATGATTAAAAGGAAGAGTAAGTGGCTTTCTGTTCCCACAGACGGGCTCTAATGAGAATCACACTGCTTTCCAGGTTCTAAGTAAGGTGTGATTTGAGAAAGTAAATGATCTCAGGGAAAGCATGATTACAGAGCTTTGATATAGTTGTTGATGGCATTGGTGATATTTACAGTTTGTGTGAACTTACTTCAGGGACAAGAGGAAGCTGGAAGCACTGAGCCTTGAGGGTATGTAGGACACAGTGAGGAGGCAGAAGAGGCTGCTGTCAAGAGTACTGCAGAGACTCCTCATAATGGATGCATAGATTGAATAGAGTCAGTAGAGAGAAATACTCATACAGTGCAGAAGTACTAGAACTAGCCCAGAATACAGATCAGAACAGGAAGGCTGAGGACGGTGGGAGGAGGTGCTACCTGGAGAGCTACTCTGAAGTACTGAAAGGTAATTGGAGGTACTTCTTGACTGCTGCAGTTCCAGCCTTCCTGCAGATGGAAAGGAGCTTTTAGGCGTGGAGCTCATACATTTAGTGCTACCAAATATAGCAATTTTGGTAACTGCCAAAAGAAGCAAAGTATTTAGGAAAATCCCACCGAATATTAGTAGCCTTTGTCACTCAGTCAGTGATTTCCTGAGTGAAACAACTGTTTGCTTTGTTAAGGTTCCAAGGTGCTTTACAGAAGTGGAGAAAATGATGAGACAGAGTTTATAGTATTGTGATTCATGCAATGTTGAGTACGAAGTAATTCAACAGTAACCTCCTGAAAAACAACTGAAATGCCCAGATATTTAATAGAATTATGCAGGAAGTGCCAGGACATTGAACAGAGCTCTCAAGTGAAGCTATTGTAAAATTTCACTTCCTTCCTCCTTTGGCTTTCTAACTCCCATGCTCTCCCAGAATGAGAGCTCTGGAAGATTTTGACTTCTTCCTTCTCTCTTTCCCTTCACCCCTACATCAAGATTTTGTTTCAGAAAATCTAATACTTTCATCTCTAGACTATTATCAAAAATTCCATGTCAGTATAGAGCTACTAACACATGTTACCCATTTCCAGACATTTAGATTAACTCTATATAATAAACTAAGTTTTTTGATCAGCACCTTCTCAATTCTTCTGTTATGAAGTTTTGGTTCTGGTGTTTTGTTTGTTTGTTTAGGTTGGTGTCCTTTCTTCATTATTCTCCCTGGGAAGCATACCTAATGGTATATTTGGACCTCTAAAATTCATAAATATCCTACTTTCACCCTCACTGGCAAGTGATATGTTGGTTGGGTTTAGTCTTTTCTCACAGTACTAAGAGATGTTATTTTACCATTTTTCTAGCTTCAAAGGTTGTAAATGAGAAGTCCGATGTTACTATGATTCCTTTTTGTTTATGAATAACTTGCCATCTGCAAGATTTTTCTCTTTTTCTTGAACTTCAAAATACCAGGATAAGCATGTATCTTTTTTTTTATTTTTTTGAGACAGAGTCTTGCTCTATCACCCAGGCTGGAGTGCAGTGGCATGATCTTGCCTCACTGCAACCTCAGGCTCCCGGGTTCAAGTGATTCTGATGTCTCAGCTTCCCAAGTAGCTAGAATTACAGATGAGCACCACCATGCCTGGCTAATTTTTTCGTAGTTTTAGTAGAGATGTAGTTTCACCATATTGGCCAGGCTGGTCTCAAACTTCTGGCCTCAAGTGATCCACTTACCCCAAACTCCCAAAGTGCTGGGATTACAGGTGTGAGCCATTGTGCCTGGCTTGCTTTGTTCTTTTATATTAAATTTCTTTTTGATCTTCCAGGCATTAATTTGTCTGTCAACAGTGATCACCCATTCTTCAAACTTATCCGAATGTGGTTACACTGAGATATTACATTTTCTTTAGTTAGACTCAACTCTACCTGAGTGTTATTATTATTATTATTATTATTTGTTCCAGTAGCCATTGGTTTCTTTCCAGATAGTATTTCACTACACGTGGGCTTTGTATATTCTTACCAATTTTTTGGCTCTGGCTGCTGGGCCTCCTCAGACTGATTGTTATTTCTCTTTGCTGGATCACTGGAGCTCACATCTAGTGGATGAACTACCCTCCATGTCAACCGTCCCACAAGAGGTAAAAGTTGTCATGTTCTTTCCTCTTATTTTCTGAGGAGTTAGAACAAGATTGGCCCTACTTTCCAAACTATGCTTCTGAAAAAAGTCTCCCAATTCTCCGGGTTTCTCATACTCTTCTGTGTTTATCTTCATTGGGCCTGAGTTCCCTGGTTCTCCTCTTTCTTGGCTTTTGGGGGCCAAGGAGACCAGGTATACAGCCAGTGTCTAGTTTTCTTCAAGGGCCCAAGCTGTTATCAGCCACGTTCTTTCCAGAGTACGCTGCTTTACCATCCTTGGCCATTAGATTAGTTATTTATCGCTGCATTATGCTATTACCACAAATTTAGCAGCTTAAAACAACATGCATTTATTTTCTCATAGTTTCTGTTGGGCAGAAATCCAACAGGGTTCTTTGCAAGATTATAATTAAGGTGTCCACCAAGTGTGGGTTTTCATCTGGGTTCAACTTCGGTAAGACCTTCCAAGCCCCCTCGTTTGTTGGTGGCATTCCATTCCTCACAGGCTGCCAAACTGAGGTTCTCAGTTTCTAGCTATATGACTGTCTATCTCTATGGCAGTTTACACATGGTAGGTTGCTTCATTAAAGCCAGTGAGTAAGGGAAAGGGCCTCCTCTCAAGGCGGGTATTACAATTTTATGTAATGTGGTCACATAACATCCTTCCACGTTTTCCGTAATCTAGAGCTAGAAACAAGTCACAGGTCCTGCCTGCATTCAAGGGAAGGAAATCACCCAGAGGCATGAACACTATGCCCAGGAGTCATGGAAGATGCCCTAAAATCTGCCCACCATGGACATCTATCCTGAGAAGGAGAAAAGCCACTCCAGTTTCCTCTGTTTGGACTACCTTGGGTACTGAGAAACCTATGTCTCATAGACCCTAGCACCATTTAATTAGAAGAGTTTTGAAGAATGGGGCTGATATGGAGATGAAGAGAACAGCATTCAGGTAGCCATCTTCCTAGAATTCTTAGTCTTATCAATTTTATCCACGAAACATCTATCCTCCCTTCGTGCTGCCTCCACTTTAGGGCAATCCATAATCAGATTTGGACTGAGTTACTAAAACAGCCTCTTCGCTGATCATCCTGCCTTGGGGCCTAACATAATCCAATCAATCCCCAACATTGTTGGAGCAACTTTTCTAAAATTTAAAATTAATTTTTGTCTCTTCCTTATTTAAAATCCTTAGGTGGCTTCTGATTACTTTTTAGACTGAATCCCAATTCCTTAACACTGCTCACAAAGTGGCGCATGATTTATTCTTTCCAATGTAGTCTGTTCTCTCAATCTATCTGACCCCATCACAGTAAGCTTCCTTCTCTCAGTCCTTTGACTTTATCACTACATCATGTCATCACCTCCAGACCTTTGTATATGTAGCTCTCTCTGCAGGAGATACTTTTTCTTTGCCTAGAAACTTTCACTGATCTTTCATGTCAAATTAAACATGAATGCTTGGAGGAAACCTTCCCTGACCCAGCAAGTCCAATGGAGGTGCTCCTTCTTATGTGCCCCTTTTACCTCCCATACTTCTCTTGTCATATAGCTAAGTTGGCAGGTGATAGGGGAATTTTCTACAATGAATTAACATTTTTATTGATATGTTAGTCTCTCCCACCAGACTGTAAGTTCTATGAGAGAAGGGTCCAGTTTTATTTCTTTATCAACTAGGGCATTTTGGCTGCAAGCAACAAACATACTCGGTAGGCTAAGTTAACCAAAAAAAGGAAATAATCAAAATAACATGAATTAGCCTACATCAAAGGAAAAACTGAGGAACATGACAGAAAAGATAGATAACCTGATAGCTACAGTAAGCTGGGATGCAAGAATATCAAGACTATGTTATAGAGAAGAATCAGTGCTATTTTTTATGCTTGTATCACTCCATTTAAGAATCAAATTTTCAGGTGAGAGTCCTACTGAACTAGTTTGGGGCATATCTAAGGCCAGTAGATGCCATTCTCTTCAGGTCTGTTTGATAGATAATGTGTAGTTGCCCAAACAAAACTGGAATGCTCCTCTCAGCAAAAGGGAACATGGATGAAAACGGGCAAAACCAACAGATGTCCACTGAATATAAACATATATACCCACAGCATCATAGGTATGCAATAAATATTTGTGGCATGAATGACTGAGCATCTGAAATGTGCTATAATTGAGTGGAGTTAACCACATATCAGTTGTAAGTCAAACTGTACATATTGTCTTCAATGTCCATTAAAAACAGTAAAATGCTAAGGGACTAATCTTGAACTACATTGTGTAGTTTCAAATCTTGACATTGGCACTTAATAAGCATGTGGCTTTGGGAAATTACTGACCTTCTCTGTGACCCAGTGTCTTTATCTTCCAAAAGGAGATAACATTGGTACCTTCCTCCTAAGGTTTACATAAAGACTAAATAAATTATTAATATAAGTGGCTTACAACAGTGCCTGGCACATTGTAAGGGTTGAGTCTTACCTTTATACATCTGCATACTTACCTTTGTTCATACATCAACATACCTCCTGTCCAAGAAAAAGAATCCTAGAATTTTTAAACATACCTGAACAGCAATCCACCTAACTATTAGTTAAGATTCTGTACCAAAAGATGACAAACTCAGGGAAGCAGTTTTTAAGCATTCTGCCTTAATGAGATTTATTTCTGCTTATGCTATTCGTTACAATGTAAAAAAAAAAATGTGAAGAGATCATATTGAAGTAGTGAACTGCCATCAATAATGCTTGTACAGGAAAAAACTACTCTTAGATGAAATACTGTAATGGTTGGCTTATCACTTAAAAGAGAAATATTGACACCCACTACAGACAAATTTTAAAAGCTTTTACTTCTTTGTCTAAATGCTCAGAATACAGTGGTTTCCTTTATGTGATAAGCCAAGGTTAGATTGCAGTAGAACTATTACTGGCAAAAAATAATCTCTATGGAATTCACAATTCTCTTTGGCAATATTCTACAAGAGCTAAATAGCATTTTACTGGGAAGCCCTTCTGGCATATGCAAGCATAAGAAATTTTAGTTGTTTGATTCACATCTAATTCCAAAAACAGGAACTTTTTTGTTTTAATTAGTAGCATTAGTAGCACCATTTTTGAGTAAATGGTTGTAACTAATATATGAATGTTTATACCAGGGCACATTTTTCAAACACTTTTTGTGTTTGCAACAGAAAACTTTTGTAAAATAGAATCTGACTTGGTATCCCCATATATTTAACAGAGAAAAGGAATATTGCCCTGATTGAAGGTGAAGTGCAGGGCCCAGGGGCCCTAGGTCCCCAGGCTCTCCTTTGCACAAATGCCCTCATTTTCACCCCATTGGCAATTGAACAGTACTAAGCAGGCAAGTGTTCGCTCTGTTCAACAAAGGTCTTACCACACAGAACACTGAATTAGACTCACCGAGCTTCTAGATTAGAAAATTCCTACCTGGAGGGTGACACCACTTCATGAAAGTGGGCAACTCTAAGGCCTGTTTTTCTTATCTGTGAACTGAAAAGAGCATCCCACAAAGTCTGTGACATTGAATTCTTATCTGAAATTTATTTTCAAATATGGTATGAAGTGACGATCTAAAACTTTTTGTTTTCTAAATTTTCCCTACACCATTTAAAAAATAATCCATCCCTTTCCCATTGATTTATAAAACTGCCTTTTTCATTTTAATTTCCCATAAATCTTTATTCCATTTCTTCTAATTTTTTGTATCAATTTTTCATAATAAACAGTTTCATGGACATTTTGGAAAAAATACAAAACAGCATGAAAAGAAAAGAAAAATGCCTCATAAATATTAAAATTGTGGAGAATTTTCTACCAGTCATACACACACACACACACACACAGATAGATAGAGATAGAGATAGAGATAGAGATAGAGATAGAGATAGAGATAGATAGAGATAGAGATAGAGATAGAGATAGAGATAGAGATAGAGATAGAGATAGGTATAAAGGGATGCTGTAATATTCACAAAACAAAACAAAACAAAACGAAAAGCCCAAAGGCAAGGTCAAGTAAGTGAAGATGGTTTCTGGACTGGCTTCTAAGAAAGGTGAGTGCTCTGTACTATGAAGCACAGATGCAAATTTAGGTATGCAAGACTAGAGATAGAAGCTGGGCGCGGTGGCTCACACCTGTAATCCCAGCACTTTGGGAGGCTGAGGCGGGTGGATCACGAGGTCAGGAGACCAAGACTATCCTGGCTAACACGGTGAAACTGCATCTCTACTAAACATACAAAAATTAGCCGGGCGTGGTTGGCGCGTGCCTGTAATCCCAGCTACTCAGGAGGCTGAGGCAGGAGAATCACTTGAACCCGGGAGGCAGAGGTTGCCTTGAGACAAGATTGTGCCACTGCACTCCAGCCTGGGCAACAAAGCGAGACTCCGTCTCAAAACAAAACAAAACAAAACAAAACAAATGATAAAAAAAAAGAAGCTGGGCTGGTATCTTAGAGAAGAGAAGGGAAGCTGCAGTTCTGTAAGGATGAGAGAACAGGGGAAAACAAATCCGAAACTCCTGTGGCACTGTGCTCTAAAAGTGCTGTGAAGAACCAAAGCATCTAGCAAAACATTTAAAAATTTTTGCCTGAGCTGTCCCCCAACAAGATCTTCAGTAAAACCCCCATTGATCAACTAAGGTTTTTATCTGTGTTCTTCAGGCCATGGTCTTCAACTTGTTTGTTCATATACTCTAACATAAATTCTGAATAACTACTAATTCCTTAAATAAGTTTTGGTTCACATCAGACATTTTTCACTACGTTTAAATCATTTCAAAACATATAATTTACGGCAAAGGATATGTATTGATATTTTTAAATAGAACTACTGCCTCATTGTTTATTTATTAGCATCTAAATAGAATAGTAGTTTGATACCTGCCACTAATATCCATTTAAAAAAAAATTCATAAAGCTCTTTAACAATGAAGAGGGTGGAAAAGGACAATCCAAAATATACCTTGGCACATTTTCAGATAGACCTGTGTGAGAAGAATACACACACAGGGAAGGTAAGGTTTAGAAATGAATTCACCTAAGAATATCTGTGAGGTCTAGGCACGGTGGCTCGCGTTTGTAATCCCAGCACTTTGAGAGGCTAAGGCAGGCAGATTACTTGAGGTTGGAAGTTCAAGACCAGTCTAGCTAACATGGTGAAACCCTGTCTCTACGAAAAATACAAAAATGAGCCCAGTGTGTTGGCGTGCACCTGTAATCCCAGCTACTTGGGAGGCTGAGGCAAGAGAATCACTTGAACTTGGGAGGCGGAGGTTGAGGTGAGCTGAGATCACTAGCCTGGGTGACAGAGTGAGACTCTGCCAAAAAGAAACCCAAACCAAAAACAAAACAATATCTGTGCTTTCTTGGAGCAAGTGGTACAAAAGACAGTTAATACCTGGTATATAGATATAAAATCTTTCTTCCTTCTTTCTTTTTTTTTCCTATGAAAGTGAAAGCACAAAGTATGTATATATAGTTTGGAATCCTAGGATTCTCACATGGCATTATTTTAGGTTATTAAGTATTCTTCAAAGATATTTTAATTATTTTATATTATTCTATCATAAGTACATAATATTACTTATTAAATTATCAATCGTGAAATGCTGATTCAACAGTCAGCTGAGGATTTGAGTGAAGTTTATGCTCAGGTTTTGGAGTATTAAATTTCCAGATCTTCTACGGTTCTGAACTTTATTATTTGCTGCTTCGAGTTGCTAAGGTTGTCATCTCCTGCTACCTGAACCAGGGGAATTGTAGAGCTTCCCCAGGCAAGAAAGCCACAAACTTGGAGTTCTTGCTCAATGCAGTGGCAGTCTCTAGAATAAACATCTCTCAGGTATGAATATTTCTCAAGCTTGCCATTGGATGTTTTCTGGTACCTTAAAATGGTTCTTTTTTGTACTTTTGCCCATGTTTTGTCATTGATATCTGTGGAGGAGACTCCTGACATTTTCCTGCCACAACTATGGAGTTCTCCCCAAATGAGTATTATTAGATTATTAAAATTTTTGCTAATTTGATAAGTAAAGTTTATTGCTCCTTTAATATTATAGTTTCAATGACTGGTGTGATTAAGCACTTTTTGTGGTTATTTGCTATTTGCATTTCATCATTTGTAAATTACCTACTCGTTTCCTTAGCCTTTTTATTTTCTGGAGTCTTAACTTTTTTATATTGGTTTAGAAACATTTTTATTAACAAAATATTAGCCCTTTGCCCGAATTATTTAAAAATATACTTCTGTGTTAGTGACTTAACACATAAAATATAAATTTTATATGATTACCTTGTAAGTTATTTTTTAAAGGAATAACAATAACATCTCTACACATTTCAGTCTTACCTAGGGGTCCAGTTTATCTTTTCATTTGTTTGAGTTGGTATTTATCATCCCAATAATATAAATTTTAATACAGATCTGACATTGCATTTTTAATGTTTTGCTTTACTGATATTGCTAGATATTTTCATGATGTATTTTTTACTACAAATTCCAACTGGTTATTCTTATTTTATAGAAAATGCATTCCCACCTCACCAATTTCTATCATTTTCCCATTGGGCTTTTTTTTTGTGAATATTACAGCATCCCTTTATATCTATATATATTTGTAAGTATTATCTCATTTATTTCTCAAAACAACACTATTATATAGATTTTACTATCTCCATTTTTATATAAAGTATTTCAGTCATACAAAAATATATGGACAATAATATAATGAACATCCATGTACACACCAGCCACTTAAGAAAAAGAATATTACACTGTGAATCTCCTTCTTCATATCAATCACCTCACTCCCCACAGTTAACTACTCTTGAATTTTGTTTTAATCATTCCCATGCAAGTTTATGTATATTTATGACATGGGTTTAAAACCATAAAAATATATAATATTGTTTTTTCACCTTTAAATGCATATATAAATTGTGTCATGTGTATACCGTCTGCATTTTTTATTTACTATTACATTTTCACATTTATCTATGTTGATACATGTATCGCTAGTTAATTCGTTTCAGCTGCTTTATAATATTCTTTTGTATAAAGATATTGCATTTTATTTATAGCCTTATGTTTATGAGCTTGAAGGTTACTATAAATCTATACTATTGCAAATATTCATGAACATTTTTGTATTTGTCTCTTTGTGACCAAGGACTATGGTTTTTCTATGATATAGTACTAGGAGTAGAATTGCTGGGACTTAAAATATGCACATCTTCAACTTTACACATATTGAAACATTGCTATCCAACAATGACTAATTCACACTACTACTAACAGTGTGTGAGTTTCCATTTCTCTCCATGCTTGCCAATGCATGGCACACTCAGAATTTAACTTTTGCCAATCTGATGAGTGTGAATGGGTATCATGCCTCTAAAGTTTGTATCATCCCATTTTCTATCTAGGTTTTACATCTTTTCAAATGTTTATCATGTATTTTTTCCATCTATTTTTTTCAACTATGAATTGCTTTTCATATAATTTATTTCATATTATACTAGGTTCTTTGTCTATTCCTTATTGGTTATTAGTGGTTTGTTATATTGTCAGGATAAAAATTCTTTTTTGATATATGCACTGAAAATATTTTTGGATTTTTCTTTGACATTCAGCTTATTTGAATTTTAGAAAGATAAAATATATAATTTTTTATTTGAGATTATTTTCTTCTTTTAGATATTTTTGACCACAAAATTCTATAAATATTAAGTACTAATTTGTTTAATCATTTAAACATTTTGTTTTTTATAATAATCTTTTTCATCTCTCTGGAATTTTGTTGGAGTGAGACAAGTGATAAAATATTATTTTTATACCAGATAACTAACTTTCCTAGCACCATTTGTTTAAAAAAATCCATTGATTTTACATATCACCTGTCAGAAATGAAATATCTGTATTTGTGTGGCTCTGCTTCTTGTTGTTGTTGTTTTTAAATTTTGTTTATATTTATTTTATTCTTGAGTCCCTTGCCATAGTTTTTGTTTCTTCTGGAATACCATTTTCTTTTGTGCAACCTCCTTTTCTGGTTTAGAAACAAATTGCTTCTTTTCAGTAAGGATCATTTTGATGTGGCAGGGGGCACTCATGTATGGGTTAATCCCGTCATGAGCTCTGTAAATCCTGTGGGCATCTTGGGTGCTTTGTCAACTTAGATATGCTTGATGACCACAGAATCTACATCCAAATCCCTAACTTCAGCATTACTCTACATTTGTAAGCATATGTAGCAAAAATTCAGCACCCTTCTTGAATAACCAACCCTGTGTCCAACCTCATTGTTTGGCCTGGGCGTTACCTACCAACTATACCATGGTAACCTGGAAATGGTAGACATCTTTCTACAAAGTGACATTTGTCAGATACTCAATGGCTTTTCATACGTGCATACTTTCAATGGCCTGGGCCATTTCATGGGTGTCCTTAAAGTGAACATGATAATTTGAACCTCTTGATTTGCATGATTTTGTGGAGTTTTCTGGGTTCAGTGAATAGCAAGCCATTTTCACAGATCACCCTAGGCCACTTACAGAAATAGCTGCCTCTTGTTTTTATCTTATATTTTGTTCGTATTTCTGTCAATCTTTGTGTAAACAACACATTAAAATAATTATTTGGCTTTGTAATAAGTTATTTAGTCAGTGAGGAAAGAACACTTCACCTTTTCCTTTTTCGAAATTGTCTTTGTTTTTCTTGGCCTTTTGCTCTGAGTAAATTTGTGTACTCAGCTTATCAATATCCAAGAAAAACACCCAGTTTTAATTTTAAATGTAATTACACTGCATTTATATATTACTTTAGAAATAATTAACACTTTTTTTAGATTGAGTTTTCTCATTAATGAGGTATTTGTGTCTTAAAATAAAGTTTTATATTTTCTCCATAATTTGTCTTGTTTTTAGTTTTAGGCATTCTCAGACACCTTATAATGCAATTATTTATTTCACATAATTTGAGTATTAATTATATGCCAAGCATAGTTCTTAGTTATTTGGATGCATCAGTAGAAAAATAATGATGCCTGTCCTGAGGATACAAAATATATAATAACAAAGCAGATAAAGACATGGAGCTGTTCTGTTCTGGCGTGGCTGAGTACGTTTCTATCTGATTGGCTTTCCCAAAGATAACTGTCTGAGTGTTGGACAACAACTGAACTGAACTACCTGAAGGCTCTGGAAAGGGAAGAAAAACATGTTGGTTCTTAAAGAGTCTCAAAACTTCTAAAAGGGACTTTGAACATGAATACATGAACATGATTATATGCTCACAAAGTGAGTTTCCTGTTTCAATATCTTTTAGCTGATGGGCAAGCCAAGACAGGACACCAATGGCTCCACGTGGGGCACATAAAACCTTGGTAGAAAACATAGAGTCTTTGGCTTGAAGAACCAGGAGACAGAATTTGAGGACAACCATAGTTGCTGGAAAGTAGAGAATAGTGGAAGAGAAAAAGCCAGAGAGAAGACTCAAATTGGTGAAAAACTATGTCCAAATCTCTGTCTGATCTTTGAGTCATGTGACTGCAGGGCTTACTGCAAGTGGCCCAGCAAAAGGGAAAAATGTCTTAAAGGAGGCTTGAGTTGCTCTTAAGTGTGTATTTGCGGTTTCACTAAGTAAACTGCCATTTTTTTTTCTTTTGAGACAGTCTCGCTGTGTCACCCAGGCTGGAGTGCAGTGGTGCAATCTCGGCTCACTGCAACCTCCACCTCCTGGATTCAAGTAATTCTCCTGCCTCAGCCTCTGGAGTAGCTGAGTGCTCACCACCACGCCCGGCTAATTTTTGTATTTTTAGTAGAGATGGGGTTTCACCATGTTGACCAGGCTGGTCTCGAGTAAATTGCCTATTAAAGCTAAAATATAAGGCCGGGCGCGGTAGCTCACACCTGTAATTCCAGCACTTTGGGAGGCCGAGGCAGGCGGCTCACGAGGTCAGGAGATCGAGACCATCCTGGCTAACACGGTGAAATCCCGTCTCTACTCAAAAAAAAAAAAAAAAAAAAAAAAAAAAAAAAAAAAACCGGGCGGGGTGGCGGGCGCCTGTGGTCCCAGCTACTCACGAGGCTGAGGCAGGAGAATGGCATGAACCCAGGAGGCGGAGCTTGAAGTGAGCGGAGTTCACGCCACTGCACTCCAGCCTGGGAACCAGAGCGAGACTCCGTCTCAAAAAAAAAAAAAAAAAAAAAAAAAAAGCTAAAATATAAAACGTTGTTCAGAGGAAAATAACAGAATCTAGAGCCTGCACAAAATATCATTCACAATGTCCACAATGAAGTAAAATCACTCCATATGTAAAGAGTCAGTTTTCTCAGGAAAAAATACAGTCAATGGTAGCCAGCTCTAATACATCCCATATGTTTGAAGTAGCAGACAAAAACTTTAAAGCAACCATTATAACTAGGCTTAATAAGGTAAAGAAAAGTATGCTCATAATAAAAATCTAAGAAACCTCGAAAAAGAATTTTTAAATATTATATAGGATGAAATAACCAATATCTGAAATAAAAAGTTAACTGGATGGTTGTAACTGTATAATGGAGATAACAGATGTATGAGTCTTTGAACATGAATATATGTCAATCAAAGGGACCTAATCTAATAAATGGAGAGAAAAATGTTGAAAAAAATCAGAGAACTCCTGTGGGAAAATATCAAAGTTTAAATGTACATAAAATTAGAGTCCAAAAGTGAGGGGAGAAAGAGATTAGAGGAGACAAAATATTTGAATAAATAATGACCAAACCTTCCCAAATTCTGTGAAAGCCATACATTTGTAGACTCAGGAAAGTTGGGCCCAAAACAGTACCAAAATGAAGAAAACCATTCTGAAAACCAATAATAAAGAGAAAATGTTGAAAACAGCAAGAGAGAAATGACATATTATATATAAAGAGAAAACAGTTTGGTCTCTGACTTATTGGAAAATATGAGAGATCAGAAGAGCATCTTAAAAATTGTAAATAGATAAAGCATGGTTATCTAGAATTATCCAGTGAACATAATATTTTCCAGAATAAAGAAGAAATAACATTTTCAAATAAAGTAAAACTGTAAAAAATTTGTCACTAGCCCATCTGCACCATAAGAATTGCTAAAGGAAGTCTTTCAGCGTGAAGAAACATGGTACCAGATGAAAACTTGGATTTTTAGGAAAGAAGGAAGAGCATCAAGAATGGTAACTATCTGGATAAATATAAAAGGCTTTTATTTTACATTCAGTTTCTTTAAGGTACGTTAGATTGCTTAAAGCAGAAAATATGCCATTGTCTCATGGGGGTTATACTGAATATAGATATATATGACAATTATAACCTAAAGGATGGGTGGTTAATAGGCCTATATGATTCCAAGGTTTCTATATTTTATGGGAAGTAGCACAATATGAACTCTAAGTAGACTGTAAATAGGTAAGAATTACATATTTTAATCCCTAGAGAAATCATTTAAAATATGCAAAGAAACATAACTGAAAAGCCAATAGATAAATTGAAATAGGCTTAAAGTTATCCTAATATTCCAAAATGAGGCAGAAATCAATAACTGAAAAACAAAGAAAAGAAGAAACAAATAGAAAACAAATAATAAAATTGTAGACCCAATCCAACCACATCAATAATTCAATTAAATTTTCATAGCATAAATCATCCAAAAACAGAAATTCTTAGAACAAAAAATGCACAATCCAACTACATGCTGTCTATGAGAGATACACTTTAAATATAAAAATACAGATTAACTGAAAGGAAATGGATGGAAAAAGATACACATTGGAAATAGTAAGTACAAAAAAGTCTGGAGTGGATAAATTATTGACAAATTTAAAAAATGATATACTATGTTAGAAGATAGTAAGTGCTGTGTAAAAGAAAAAATAGAGCAGAGTATAGGGACTGGGAGTGTGCAGGGGCTATCATTTTAAGTTGGTCACGATAGAGGTCATTGTAAAGGTGACTTTTAATCAACAACAGAGGAAGCTTTGCATAGTAAAGGGGTTAGAAACAATCAAGCTTCATCTTGTAACCTAGTTAGAGTGCGAACAGTGCTGCTGCTGTTGATGATGATGAGATGACTGACCTACAGATGGCTCCTCAGTCACTGAATAATTAATTCTATTCCTTGTACCATTCATTCTGTTCCTTGTATCATTCACATGCAATCATTCACATACATACATTCACATGTTCTTCACTGGCTGTTCCAAAAGGAACACAAAAGAAATTGGATTTATTATCTCAAGTTGTAGGAGAGAATGACCTGAAATTATTCCCATACCAAGACAGTACTCATTGATGGAGAGGTAATTCATCCAAAAGAAAATAGATGTGGGTGTGGTATATTGAATGAATTGCTGTTACATTAAAAAAAATTAAAAGGCCAAATGTTACTAGAGATTTTCTTGTGGTTTGAATTCAATTTTAGGACAACTTTTGAACCCATACTATATGGCGTAGTCCTTGCTAGGTGCCGTGAATACAAATATGAATAAGAAAATAATTCAGTCCTCAAGGGCAGCCATTCAAATAAATAACTATAATGTTTTGTGATAAATGTTATTATGAAAGTTTGTTTAAAGTGAATGGGAAAAACGGAGTACGTCTACTGGGAAGGTTAAAAAAAAGAGAGAGAAGGTGTGCAATTAGATAGTCATGAAGGCTCAAATACACGTGAAAAGTGGATAAAGAAGGAAAGTGGATTAAAGGCAAAATTTCGAAGTGTGAAAGGGAGGGGCATCTTCGGTGTACAGGGGATCCAGCCTAAAAGAGCTGTAACACAGGGTTTGTAGTGCAAGACAAGGCCAGAAAGATAAGGATAAGGTTGAGAGTGCTTACAATGCTTTAAAAAAAAATGGCTTTGTAGAGACGAATAATGCTTTTAAGTAGGGGAGTGCCATGATCAAATTTGTACTTTAAATTATAGCTCTTGCAACCATGTGAAGGATAAGTGGCTAAGACGGCAGATATTGAAGATGGTGAAACTAGTAGAGACTTTGATCATGGTCTAAATGAAATGTGAGTCCCAAATTAAGGGACAGGAATAAAATATGTTTTAGAGAAATGTTTCTTAGCTAGAGTAAACATGACAATTATGAAAAAGGAGGTATAAACTGATGATTTATGAATCTGAATTTCTCAGTTTGGGCAATGGGATGGGCTGGGCTGTACTGCTGATGACTAAGATATGAAATGCAAAGGAAAAAGGGATTTAGGCTACGGTGAGGGGAGAGAGTAGGAGTGATAAGCTTCCATTTTAGATATGTTGAGTTTGAGACAAACAAAAGATAAAGAGGGGTATATACATAATAGGTGACTGTGTTGGCACTCCAGAGAGAGCCCAAACCAGGAAATAAAAATTTGAAAGTTGTTTCTATGTGGCTATTGATTGAAATCATGGAAGTAGATTTCCAATAATACGAAAAATGTAAAAAAGAAGAGTGGGCCTGGTGCGGTGGCTCATGCCTGTAATCCCAGCACATTGGGTGGCCGAGGTGGGTGGATCACCTGAGGTCAGGAGTTCGAGACCAGCCTGACTGATATGGTGAAACCCCATCTCTACTAAAAATACAAAAATTAGCTGGGCGCGGTGGCATGCATCTGTAGTCCCAGCTACTTGGGAGGCTGAGGCAGAATTGCTTGAACCCGGGAGGTGGAGGTTGCAGTGAGCTGAGATGGTGCCACTGTACTCCAGCCTGGGCGACAGAGTGAGACTCCATCTCAAAAAAAGAAGAAGAAGAAAAACAGTGGCCAAGGACAAAATAGTGGGAACATCAACACCTAAGAGAGATGAAGAGATATCAGAAAAATAAAGAATAATTAAATCACTGAGAGAAAAACCAGAAGAAATTGAAATCTATATTAGAATTTTTTTTAAAAAAAGATAAAAATGATAGGGACTCCAGAAATAGAAATAAGTACATGTAGAAATTTAACAGAATAATAATAAATTGACAGGGGAACAAACAATACTGTATTATTCAAAATATATTGTCAGAACCACCTGATAGCTATCAGAAAAAAAAATCCCTGAAATTCTATCTCATGGTTTATGCAAAACTTAAGATGGATCAAAGATTTAAATTTATAAAAATTGAAGAAACAGTTAAATGGAAAAATCAGTGGATGATTTTTATAATCTTGAAGTGGAGAAGATATTTCATATGAAAACACAAAGAAAAACCAAAACTAAGAAAAAAGTCAAAAGCAACAAGAAAAAAATAATAAAAGAGAAAGAAATTTAAGAAAATAAAAAGAAAATGCGTATGTAAAAGTCTTCCCTCTAATCATATATAAAAAGTCTCATAATTCAGTTTGGAAAAATAAAGGCAAACTTTCCAAAATAAAAATGAGCAAATCATGTCTTAAGTCTATGACCACTGGGGAAAAGGAGCAACTGTGAAAGTGAAGAACTATCTGCCCAGTGCTAGACTTTTCAGCAACCCTAACATGTGCATAATTTTTGACTCCTTCTTTGTACCTTTCATGCATCACAGAAAATGCCACAGGAGAGGAAGCAAAAAGGACATCAAATCAAGGGCCATCAAAGAGGAGTGATTAATGATTTTCTTTAGTTTTACTGTCTTTTCGATATCTGTATTGAAATATCTATTCCAACATCCAGGAAGAAAGCAGGACAACAAATGAGATTAGTCCCTACTTATGGGAGTGAAGATAACCCACAAAAACTGGAAAGACACATGTAGAGACACATAAAATAGATTTAAGTGTGTGATACAAAACTCTTATGACTATACAGTAAAATCTCTTTTGAAATTTACTAGTGATTCCTATAGAAGTAACATTTACCTTCTGTCTAATCCTTTGAGGAAAAGTTAGCTTTGGTGAGCCAAAAATGATACACTGGAACAGGTATTACTCAGAGTAATTTGGGAGATGGTGCTCTGGTTGGATTGTCAAACCAGAATGTTATGCCTGGCTGTATTTTGGATTAGACTGCCTTAGACTTTTAACATGATTGCAAACTGTTTTTGACATATAGCACAGAATATAAATTGGCCTAACATGGGCTGCAGTATGTTTAGAATATTTGAGGAAGGGTAGACTTGGGTATGCTGTGGTAACAAATAGACCTCAGAATTTCTGTTTATTTTTTCCTTAAGCCACATTCCACGGCAGGTCAAGACGCTCTCTTGAGCAGCTCCCTTTCTAGCTGGTGACTCAGGGACAAAGATGCTTCTAACATGTAGTACTTTTGAAAAATGTACTGGGTCAACACTGAAAGGAAATAAAAGAGGATTGATTGTGCAGTATTGTCTTAAGGGGTGGGCCTAAAAGTGATTCCCGCTATTTTTGCACAGTCCATTGACTAGAAATAAGTCACATGGCCCCTGACTTAATGCAAGGGAGAATAAGATATGCACCTGTCTTATGTGCCCAGGAAGAAGAAAAAGTTTGTTAAACACATAGCATGGTCTCAGCCGTAGTTCATACTCTGGTCAACAAAACATCTGTCTCATTCTTCTCATGTATCAAACATACTCACACCCACCCTCTCCCTAAAGGAAAGAACCCAATGTTCCTCCATTCATTAACTCTATATTAGGATGCAAGATCTCTCTAGAAATCTTCTCCATCAAGCCTATATGTGACTCCTCATGGTCAGGTGACCTATGAACCAAAATGACAAGTTATCTGCACCCCACCTCACTGTCAAACACAGGATGTCTACAATGAATATTCTGAATTGGGAAGGGGAAGACTAGGAAATATACAATAATCAATATTCTTTAGTGATTCTGAAATATCACTACACAGACATTGTGAAAGTCTCACACCCAAGGTGGGGTTAGGGTAGGGAGGAAGAGGTTGCTAGATGAGGCCTTGATTTTATTCTCTGAGAGGATAACCCTGTCATGTTTTTCTCTGTGGCTACTGGCTCTGCCTTCTTGCAGACTCTTCCATGTCAATATTGTTATTAGCACATCTTAAACAGTCTGAAGAGATGTTCTTCTTGGAGGAGGCATTCAAATGCTGCTTTCTTTATGTGGGTATCCAAGAACTGATTTTAGTATTTGAATTCAAAAATAGGACTTTTTTCAAGAATGGACTTGTGGTTTCCTTGTGTATTCATCCATTTTCATGCTGCTAATAAAGACATACCTGAGACTGGAAAGAAAAAGAGGTTTAATGGACTCACAGTTCCACATGGCTGGGGAGGCCTCACAGTCATGGTGGGAGGTGAAAGGCACTTCTTACATGATGGTGGCAGAGGGAAATGGAGAACCAAGTGAAAGGAGTTTCCCCTTATAAAACCATCTGATCTCATGATATTTATTCACTACCAGGAGAACAGTATGGGAGAAATCGCCCCCATGATTCAATTATCCCTTACCAGGTCCCTCCAACAACATGTGGGAATTATAGGAGCTACAATTCAAGATGAGATTTGGGTGGGAACACAGCCAAACCATATAATTCTGCCCCTGGCCCCTACCAAATCTCATGTCCTCACATTTCAAAACCAATTATGCTTTCCCAACAGTCCCCCAAAGTCTTAACTTATTTCATCATGAACTCAAAAGTCCACAGTCCAAAGTCTCATCTGAGACAAGGCCAGGCCCTTCTATGATCCTGTAAAATCAAAAGCAAGTTAGTTACTTCCTAGATACAATTGGGGTACAGGCATTGGGTAAATACAGCCATTCAAAAGGGGAGAAATTGGTCAAAACAAAGGGGCTACAGGCCCCATGCAAATCCAAAATCCAGTAGGGCAGTCAAATCTTAAAGCTCCAAAATGATCTCCTTCAACTCCATGTCTCAAATCCAGGTCACACTGATGTAAGAGGTGGGTTCCCATGGTCTTGGGTAGCTCCACCCCTGTGGCTTTGCAGGGTACAACCTTCCTCCCAGCTGCTTTAAAGGGCTGGTGTTGAGTGTCTGTGGCTTTTCCAGGCACAGTGTGCAAGCTGTTGGTGGATCTACCATTCTAGGGTCTGGAGAACGGTTGCCCTCTTCTCACAGCTCCACTAGGCCGTACCCCAGTAGGGGTTGTGTGGGAGCTTCAACCACACATTTCCCTTCCACACTGCCCTAGCAGAGGTTCTCCATAAGAGCCCCACCCCTGCAACAAACTTCTGGCTGGACATCCAGGCCTTTCCATACATCTTCTGAAATCTAGGTGGAGGTTTCCAAACCTCAGTTCTTGACTTCTGTGCACCCATAGGCTCAATACCGTGTGGAAGCTGCCAAGGCATGGGGCTTGCACCCTCTGAAGCCATGGCCTGAGCTGTACCTTGGCCTCTTTTAGCCATGGCTAGAACAGCTGGGAGGCAGGGCACCAAGTTCCTAGGCTGCATACAGCAAGGTAGCCCTGGGTCCAGCCCATGAAACCATGTTTTCCTCCTAGGCCTCTGGGCCAGTGATAGGAGGGGCTGCTACAAAGGTCTCTGACATGCTCTGTTGACATTTTCCCCATTGTTTTGGTGATTAACATTTGGCTCCTCGTTACCTATGCAAATTTCTGCAGCTGGCTTGAATTTCTCCTCAGAAAATGGGCTTTTCTATCACACTGTCAGGCTGCACATTCTCTGAACTTTTATGCTCCGTTTCTCTTTTAAAACTGAATGCTCTTAACAGCACCCAGGTCACCTCTCGAATACTTTGCTGCTTAGAAATTTCTTCTGCCAGATACCCCAAATCATCTCCCTCAAGTTCAAAGTTCCACAAATCTCTATGGCAGGGGCAAAATGCCACCAGTCTCTTTGCTGAAACATAGCAAGGATCACTTTCACTCCAGTTCCCTAAAAGTTTCTCATCTCCATATGAGACCACCTCAGCCTGAATTTCATTGTTCATATCATTATCAGCATTTGGGTCAAAGCCATTCAAGTCTTTAGGAAATTCCGAACTTTCCCACATTTTCCTATCTTCTTCTGAGCCCTCCAAACTGTTCCAACCTCTGCCTGTTACCCAGTTCCAAAGTTGCTTCCACATTTCACGTGTCTTTACAGTAGCACCCCACTCTACTGGTACAAATTTACTGTATTAGTTTGTTTCCACACTGCTGATAAAGATGTACCTGAGATTGGGAAGAAAAAGAGATTTAATGGACTCACAGTTCCACATGGCTGGGGAGGCCTCACAACCATGGCAGATGGCGAAAGGCACTTCTTACATGGTGGCAGCAAAAAAGAAATTGAGAACCAAGCTAAAGGGGTTTCCCCTTATAAAACCATCAGATCTTTTGAGACTTATTCATCGTGAGACTGTTCTCACAATGAGAACAGTATAGGAGAAACAGTCCCCATGATTCAATCATCTCCCAACAGGTCCCTCCCACAACATGTGGGAATTATGGGAACTACAATTCAAGATAAAATTTGGGAGGGCACACAGTCAAACCATATCACCTTGATGATACAATTCCTTTAAAAACCCTGCAGATTTCTGATCTATTAGTTTCAACCAGTACCATGTAACCAGTAACCCTATCCAGAGATATTTCCTAAAAATAATGTTCAGATTTATTTTACATGGTTACTTTCTCACCCTCATGCCTCTTTCCCAGTCAATTTAATGCTGGCCACCATTGGGTCTTCTGAACAATTGGTGTCAAGCACACTCCTACTCCAACTTTTGCTGTGAGTCACTATTGAACTTGAAAGACTTTTAATTTGTCTTATCACTCAAAGTCTTCTCAATTCAATCTCTACAAGCAGCTGGGTTTTTCAACCCTGGAAGACCTTGAGTTTCTAAACTGTCTCCCATTTCTGCTTGCAAGCTGATTAATTATTCTCTGAAATTTTTTTTTTTTTTTGGTAATACTTTGTGAAATGCAACTCATAATAGACAACATATACTAGGGTAGTGAAGCATTTCAATACCTAACTAGAGATGAATTGTAGGCCTACAGTCTTTCTTCTAAGGTAGAGCAGGCAATAGTTTGAGCAAAGCCATATTACCAGCCTGCAGTATCAGTTTCAATTTAAGTGTGTACCCATTTTGCTCATCACATACCATTACCCTAAGGCTTTATATTTTTGGATTTTTTTGGAGCAGTACTCTACTTCAAGGTATCAATTTCTGTGTTTGGGTAAGTAACATTAGCTCCTTTAAACCTATCCCCAAACCTTCAGTGACTGAATAAAATATACTTAGTATTTACTATTAAAACTTTAAATAATACAGTTACTCTTTCCACATGAAAAGCCTTTCCATCATTCTCCATTTATCCCATGGGCTCAGAACCAACCAAAGCAAAGCTTGGGATATGGTAAGTGCTCAAAAATATACTAGCTGTTATTATTTTTATTTTCAATTACTAATATTTGGGATCACAGAGGGTTACAAAACCAAACAGGCAGAAGATATTTGCTAAGCCATAAACAAGGCAGTAGTCAATATTTTGAAGACAGTATTAGAAAAGACATCCACAATGTGTTAGTTTGCTAGGGCTGCTATGACAAGCTATCACAAACTGAGAGGCTTAAACAATAGAAATTTATTGTCTCATAATTCTGGAGGCTGGAAGTCAAGATCATGGTGTGGGCAGGCCTGTTTCCTTCTAAGGGCTATGAAGGAGAGTCTGTCCCATGCCACTCTGCTAGCTCTGGTGTTCTGCTGACCATCTTTGGCTTTGACTTGTAAAAGCATTCCTCCACCTCTCCCCTCATGTTCACATCGTGTCCTCCCTGTGTGCATATCTGTCTCCAAATGTCTCCTTTTTAAAAGGACACTGGTCAGATTGGATTAGTGCCCATCCTAATAACCTCCTTTTAACTTGATTACCTCTATAAAGATCTTATCTTCAAATGGGTCATGTTCTGAAGTACTGGGGGTTAGATTTCAACACAGGAATTTGGGAGAAAACAACTCATATTATACAATAACACATTTAAAAATAATATTTTCATTAAAGTATTTCTGAAGATATATTTACATAGTTAGGCAATGGTGCTTATCAGTCTTTTTATGAACAGAATCTAGACATTTGTATTAGAAATCAGTATGTATTCCTTCCTTGTACTGGGGATAATCATGCTTAACGTATCGCAAACTATCATAGTGCGGTGTCCTCAAGGAATACTTCTGTTGCTTCCTATTTTCCTGACTTCCAGATGCCCTCTGTCTCCTGTGTATTGTATTAATGATTGGCTGTGACAGAACAGGATGACCAGGTGAGCAGAGCACACCTTTAGGAAGGTTGTATTAGACCAGGCTTTCAGTCTGTGCTTCATCCGTTGTAAAAATTATAATGTCATCTGAAGTCTTCTATTGCAAAATTGTTTCACATGGCTAGGAAGAAAACTTAGTAGATTAATTAAATATTAAAACAAGGAGAGTCAGGAACAATCATGGAGGCATTCATTAAATTAAAACCAATATCTTCATTCTTTTCAGTGTTTATTGATAGCTTGAGTAAGGTGCTCCTTCCTCATTATTTACAACATGGTGAACTATAATCCTGTAGCTACGCTAAAGAGAAGTAAATGAATGTTTTTAGGTCACAGATATTGCCAAATAAACTACTCTTATAATCAGATTGTTTTACTGAAAATATAGAAGTATTCCCTTACAGAGATAATAGTTGTGGATAAAAAGTTGAAAGATATGGGTTTGTTTGCTTTTGGAAAACTACACACTTGCTTTTGTTCTCTGACTAAAGTGTCATTATGAAGGAAAGCAGTATTGGCCTGAGTCCAAATGTCTGAATAGTTCAAATTTAACACAGGCTCTCCTTTTGCTCAGCTTTCTCTTCTCATCTTATGCTCACTTTTTTCCCCGGAGCATTTATTAAATATTGCCATCTTGTTCCTGGCTTCAACTTGTCTTTTTATCACCAACCTTCAGAAGAGAAAGTAGCACACTGCAAATACTCAGAAACTATATTGGATTGAATAAATAAATGAGTCAGTCAATCCATGAGTGAACTGTAGTGAGCCTGCCTTGTAGCCCAATCAGCACTGTCTTCTTAATGCTAAAACCGCAAATTAACTTCCCTTATTGGGCTGGGCACTGTGATTCATGCCTGTAATCCCAGCATCCTGGGAGGCCGAGGCAGGTGGATCACTTGAGGTCAGGAGTTCGAGACCAGCCTGGCCAATATGATGAAACCCCGTTTCTACTAAAAATACAAAAATTAGCTAGGTGTGGTGGTGGGCACCTACTCGGTGCACCACCTACTCGGTGGTGTTCAGCTACTCGGGAGGCTGAGGCACAAGAATCACTTGAACACAGGAGGTGGAGTGAGCCAAGATTGTACTACTGTACTCCAGCCTGGGTGACAGAGCAAGAACTTGTCTCCAAATAATAATAATAATAATAATAATAATATTAATTTCCCTTACTGATTGATTGATTGATTCAGAAGCTCACTCTGTCACCCAGCCTGGAGGGCTGTGGCACTGCCCCTCCTCACTGTAGCCTCAATCTCTCAGACTCCTTCCACCTCAGCCTCCTGAGTGGCTGTGACTATATGTATGTGCCAGCATGCCCACACTAATTTTTAAAATTTTTTTTGTAGCAACAGTGCCTCCCTGTGTTGCCCAGACTGGTCTCAAACTTCTGGGGTCAAGTGATCCTCCCACCTTGGTCTACCAAAGTGCTGGGATTACAGGCACGCGTGACCATTTCTTACTTTTTCACTCCTTTCAGTGAATGTTTCCAGTTTATCTGGTTATTAATATGTAAAATTATAACTGAGATACTTAACATTATATTATAAATGATTGGCCCTCAGAGTTATTTGCTTTTAATTTTTAAAAAATCTCCATTTTGTAGCATTTCAGTCAATGAGGTAAGAAAAAAATCAGACTGTGACCAAGTCTATTTTTTTGACTAGTTCTTCAAGTAGCAAAGCTAATCCTGTGAAGACTGGCCAGGTACATAACAGATAAACAACATAAATTTATTTACTAATGATGAGAGAGGAAGAGAATTCAAATACTGTGATGGTATCTTAAATATGAAAACCTGGGTTTTGTTATATTTCATTGGAAAAAAGATTTTTACCTTATCGTTAAGAAAACAGGAAAGTCCTCAGTATTCCTTGATTTAAGTAGTTCTTGTTAATGAGGTTAAGTTTTGATCAAACAAAATGATCAGTGGGAAGTATTTTCCTATTTTAATCATCAACAGTGAACAATTTTCCTGTGAGCCTGAGAAAATAGGGGAACAGGATGTTGAATGGCAATGTGACAGAGCAGATTTTTTTTTTACAGGAAAAGGGGGCTTAAAAGTTAAATAAGTCAAAAACTTGTTTTAGAATATAGTTGAAACAGAAAATACTGTTGGTCATATCTATTTAGTTCTTTAGAAATTCAAATTTTATAATATTACCAAGGGAGTATTTAAATGAGATTTTGTAGTCATAGATACAGAAACACTTAGCCATGAACTAAATTTCCTACTGATCTTGAATATTTCAAAACCACTTTCTGCCAAACATTCGAATAAGCATCTATATATATTATGAAAATCCTCAGGCTGGATTACATTCAGCCTATAACTGAACTGCCAAAAACATGATAAAAGGTCAGGGCCTCTTTATCCAGACATCTGGATTGGGAATTCTCAAAAGAACTTGTTCCAAAGACATGATTATTTTGTTTTTTCCTGTATAGAGTTCTTCAACATATTAAAGTAGAGAAAAAAGGGTAATAAGGAAAGTATGTTTCATGCAAATCAAAACCACGATGAGATACCATTTCACATCAATCAGAATGGCTATTAAAAAGTCAAAAAATAACAGATGCTGGTGAGGTTGTAGGGAAAAAGAAACACTTACACATTGTTGGTGGGAATGTAAAGTAGTTCAACCATTGTGGAAGATAGTGTGGCAATTCCTCAAAGACCTAAAGACAAAAATACTATTCAACTCAGCAATCCCATGACTGGGTATATACCCAAAGGAATATAAAGCTTTCTATTATAAAGGCACATGCACATGTATGTTTACTGAAGCACTATTCACTATAGCAAAGACATGGAATCAACCTAAATATCACTCAGTGATAGACTGGATAAAGGAAATGTGGTATATATACACCATGGAATACTATGCAGCCATAAAAAAGAACCAGATCATGTCCTTTGCAAAGACATTGATGGAGCTGGAGGCCATTATCCTTAGCAAACTAACACAGGAACAGAAAACCAAACACTGTATGTTCTCATGTAAAAGTTGGAGAACACATGGACACATAGAGGAGAACAAAACACAGCAGGGCTTATCAGAAGGTGGAGGGATGGAGGAGGGAGTGGATCCGGAAAACTAACTGATAGGTACTAGGCTTAATACCTGAATGATGAAATAATCTGTACAACAACCCCCCATGACACAAGTTTACCTATGTAACAAACCTGCACATATACCCCTGAACTTAAAATAAAAGTTAAAAAAAGAAAAGTACAATTCAAAATTTGATAAATTGTCAACATTATCAAGAACAGTTTAAAGGTCTGTCCAGGTGAGTAGGCACCACATGAATTGAATACTCAGGCAATATTTCTACTACTTATAAATTCACAGCCTAAAATATAGTACTTAAAACTAATATTTAGAATCACAGAGACATCAAATTTAGTACCTGAATAAAATTTAATGATCCTCAGTGTGAAAAAAGAGGTGAAGTGAAATAAAATTCCCAAAGTGGATGAGTCTAAACTAGAATTCTGGTTTTCTGATTATCCAGTCCAGTCCACTGTCCATATCTTTATGAGTCCAGATTTCTTGACTGCCCACTATTAGAAGAGCTTGAATAGCACAAAGGAAGCTCCATCAGTTTTCTAATTAGGCAGAGCATAGTTAGAAGTCCAGCTTCTCTGGCTCCTGTGTGAGTGTAAGAAATGCACTTTTTCATTCTGAATCTTCATTTCCTCACTGGTAAAACTTTGTCTGTACAGATGCAAGTGTGTAGGACAAAAGCGCTGATCAATCAACAAAACAACCACAGCTGGCCTTTATTTCCACCGCTAGGAGAAGGGATTGACCTAGGTTTGGTCTCTGGTTGGTCCCATTCAGGTTTAGTCTTACAGGAAGTTAGGGTACATACTGGTGGTTTATGTGCAGGAACTGGGTATCATTAGTAACAACTGCTTTGTTAGAGTTTCAAAATGTTTTATAAAGCTTAAAGTTGTTATAACTTAAGTCATCAACATATATATTAAGCCACATATATTATAGGGAGGGATGATGGTTGGAAATACGTATATTTGCTATCTTACATTTTCCCCTACAGTTGATTTTCTTCCAATGCCATAGCAACCCACACAAAGGTGTTTTGTTTGGTCTGCCTGTTGAGTGTACTATTAGAATTAATGCATTATTTTCTGTATCAGCCTAAAACCAAAACAGGAAAAAGCTATTTAGAAGAAAAGTGAAAATATTTTAGCTAAAAAAACTTAATTTTAAAAAATCCTAATTTTGTGTTACTTCATTGTTGTTACTGATGGTGTTTTGGTGAGAACACACATTGCAGTTCAGTAAGGATATGCTCAAATCAGAGTTTGAAACCTTGCAACCCAGTAGATTAGGCTAATAGGTCTATCTTCTTTGAGCTGTACAGTATTTCTTTTAATTGCATTAAATACCTTTAACATGGACATATACTCTCCACATCTCCAGAGTCTTCACCAATTCCTATCTATTAGATCTGTTTACTTCATTTTTTATACTACCCTAAGGCCCCTGGGCACATTAAAATTCACAGTCCCTGAGATAGGTTTTATTAGTATTTCCTTTTCCTCCAGAGAAGCAAATACAATGATAGTAAAAGAATGAACCTTAAAGGCAAGGAGGATGGGAAGTAGTTATTCAAATTATTTACTTAAACAACTTATAAATATGGGAAGAGGATGAAAACCCATTGAAGTATAAAACAGAGTAAGCAAATAGCCTTCTTAAAGACAGAATTTTAGAAGGCAAGAAGAGAGCACCACCCTTCCAAAAAGATCCCTTGGGCAGCAGTTAGGATTGCCCTTGGCTTGATGTAACAGAAATGCAAATACAGTGACTTAACAAAGCATGTATTGAGAAATCCAGAGTCAGTTTAGAGCTGGTATACAGCAAGCGAAGTCATCAGAACCAGCTCCTTCCCCTTTCCAAGTATGATTCACAGTATATATAGATTTTGTTCTTATGATTACCAGATAGATTTTCTATACCCAAGCATCACGTTCTATTCCAGATATGTACAAGAGGGTGGGCCAAGAAGAAAAGTTGCATTCTGGCTTTTGGGAAAGAACATTTTAGGTTCTCTTGAAGCCTCACCTAGCAGATCTCTGCTTGCATTTTATTGTTCTTAACTACATCACACAGCCAAAACTATTTGGAGGATAAACTCCTAAAATTAATACTTCTACCTGAATATCTTGAGCAAGACTTTGGTTCTGTTGCTAAAAAGGAAGAGGAGAAAAGATTCAGAACAATTTGTTAATAGCTAATAATTATACAGCATTTTCATTATGCCAAGCACTTTACATATATTAACTTTTTTAATACAAACTATACTGTGCAGTAGTACCATTACATTTACATTTTAAATATAAGTAAACTGAAACACACAACATTTAATAACATGCAAAAGATTACCTAGCTAAGAAGTGGCAGAGCCAAGATTTGCATGTAGGCAATCTGTCTCTAGGCATTGTAATAATACTATGTCAAGTATATGACACATTTAAGGAGAAATAAGATTTAGAATTTGGCAGGTGCAAAGAGGGTGGAAGTCATGCCACCAGCTAGACTGGAATTTTGACTAGTAAACTATATCAGAGAGTGACAGTCCTATACCCCATCCATATTTCCCACCCCTTTTCATCAGCACGTATGACTCAAGAATGATAGATACAAGACTCATTTCTCTACAACTTAGTATCAGTTAAGATACTTTCAGATTTGGGGAAAAAAAAACAACCTCAATAGAAACAGTCTTAAACAATACAAAACATGTTATTGGCCCTATAACAAGAACTTCAAAAGCACAGCAGATGCCACGCTTAGAATGAGCAGGCTTCAGTTTTGTTTGAATGTAATCCTCTTTGTTATCATTCCTCTGTGGGTTAGCTTTCTTTTAGGAATGGCTTTTCTCATTGTCAAAAATGAGACAGAGGTAAGTGATGCAATATTATTTCTTTTTTATTTCCAGGAGAGAGAGAAGCACACTCCTCATAATTGTCTCTTAAGAGCAATAAACGACTCTCCCCAAAGACTCTGCAACTCACCCCTTGTCCAGAATTAGATCCCTGGCCTATTTCTAAATAATCTCACTAACAGGGAGGATGAGATTATATTACAGGATTAGAATTAATTAAGATCACCCCTATAGTAGAGATGAGGCAAGTTTTCTTGAATCACAAATACTGTGTGAAGGAGGGGTAGTTATCTAAATGAACCAGGGTTCTGTTAGGCTTGTTGGAGGAGATATTACTGCTGGGTAGAAATTAATAATGTTAATAATGTTCAATAGTTGTAAAATCCCAGAACATCAAGTGAATAAGAAAGTAAGGTAGATAACCTACAAAGTTTTCTGACTAGTATCAGATTTCCAACCAGCAATCATGAGTGCTAGAAGACAAAAAAGTGATGTACTTTTTAAAATTTCTCAGGGGAAAAAATGATTTCTAAACGTTGAATTATATTTCCAGCTAAACTATCAACCAAGGATTAAGAGCAAAAAAATATATATTCTCGGGTCGGGTGCGGTGGCTCACCTGTAATCCCAGCACTTTGGGAGGCTGAGGCGGGTAGATCACAAGGTCAGGAGATTGAGACCATCCTGGCTAACACAGTGAAACCCTGTCTCTACTAAAAATACAAAAAATTAGCCAGGTGTGGTGGTGGGCACCTGTAGTCCCAGCTACTGGAGAGGCTGAGGCAGGAGAATCGGTTGAACCTGAGAGGCAGAGCTTGCAGTGAGCCGAGACTGTGCCACTGCACTCCAGCATGGGCAACAGAGCAAGACTCCGTCTCAAGTATATATATATTTATTTATTTAAAATATATATATACATATATTCTCACATAAAGACATAGGAGTTTCATTTCATAGGTATCATTTCTGAAGAGGTTATTTTAAGATATGCTTCAAAAAATGAGAATGAAAAACATTTAAAAAGTGTAAGATACAAAGCATGGTGGAAATAACTCAGGAGTCAGTCCACTGAAAACACCCCCTGGGATAATAGCTAAGCAGCAAGCAAGAAAGCAATTAGTTGAACAGATAGGTGAAAATCTGCAACAGGAATGTCTTCAAGGAGTAGAGTGGAATGGACCCCAAGCCATAAACAGAGTGGGTAAGCAACTAGAAGACATTAGTGACATGTTAAAGAAAGTATATGGTTCATTACAAGAAAAAAGGAAGCCAAATTGGAAACAAACAAAAACCTGTTTGAAAAAGTCCTGATCTTATCATAAAGCAAAAAATGTCAGGCATCATTTTAAGCAGTTGATGGAATGCAAGGAAAAACCATACATTCAACCTAGATTAGACACATTCTCCTGGAAGTGGTACAGGTTTCATACTGTTAGACCCAAAAAGAAGAAAATAAAGTTGTAGTCAATTAGCTGGTTCTTCAGTGAAAAATATATCAGTCATAATAAAATAATTGTGGTATGTTCATTTTCAACTCAATGTGTAAAGATGGAAGAAAACATGGTTGCAGGACAAAATGTAAATGTTATCAACTTTCACAACAGAAATGAGAAACTAGTCAGAGGTAGAAGGATACTAGGAGGGATATAAAAGTGGTAAAAACATAAGTATAAGTATCTTCATTCTATATAGTGGGCAGGGATATTTTATAAATTTGATGCAACAGATAGAATTTCAAGTGCACTGCATAGCATTATGGAAGTGGTTAAATGTGGTTGTCTCTGAGAGGTGGGTTCTGTGGGGGTGAGGGGAGACTTCATTATGTAATCCACTTTTACAATTTCATAATGTAAAAGGGGATTATAAAATGAATATATCACTTTGATAAAAAAGTAAGATTAATTTTTAAGAGAAAAGTAAGTATATTGAAGACTGTTTTCTTATTTATTTATTATTATTATACTTTAAGGTTTAGGGTACATGTGCACAATGTGCAGGTTAGTTACATATGTATACATGTGCCATGCTGGTGCGCTGCACCCACTAACTTGTCATCTAGCATTAGGTATATCTCCCAATGCTATCCCTCCCCCCTCCCCCCACCCCACAACAGTCCCCAGAGTGTGATGTTCCCCTTCCTGTGTCCATGTCTTCTCATTGTTCAATTCCCACCTATGAGTGAGAATATGCAGTGTTTGGTTTTTTGTTCTTGCAATAGTTTACTGAGAATGATGATTTCCGATTTCATCCATGTCCCTACAAAGGACATGAACTCATCATTTTTTATGGCTGCATAGTATTCCATGGTGTATATGTGCCACATTTTCTTAATCCAGTCTATCCAGTTGGACAGTTCGGTTGGTTCCAAGTCTTTGCTATTGTGAATAATGCCGCAATAAACATACGTGTGCATGTGTCTTTATAGCAGCATGATTTATAGTCCTTTGGGTATATACCCAGTAATGGGATGGCTGGGTCAAATGGTATTTCTAGTTCTAGATCCCTGAGGAATTGCCACACTGACTTCCACAATGGTTGAACTAGTTTACAGTCCCACCAACAGTGTAAAAGTGTTCCTATTTCTCCACATCCTCTCCAGCACCTGTTGTTTCCTGACTTTTTAATGATTGCCATTCTAACTGGGGTGAGATGGTATCTCATTGTGGTTTTGATTTGCATTTCTCTGATGGCCAGTGATGGTGAGCATTTTTTCATGTGTTTTTTGGCTGCATAAATGTCTTCTTTTGAGAAGTGTCTGTTCATGTCCTTTGTCCACTTTTTGATGGGGTTGTTTTTTTCTTGTAAATTTGTTTGAGTTCATTGTAGATTCTGGATATTAGCCCTTTGTCAGATGAGTAGGTTGCGAAAATTTTCTCCCATTTTATAGGTTGCCTGTTCACTCTGATGGTAGTTTCTTTTGCTGTGCAGAAGCTCTTTAGTTTAATTAGATCCCATTTGTCAATTTTGGCTTTTATTGCCATTGCTTTTGGTGTTTTAGACATGAATGCCATCCCCATCAAGCTACCGATGACTTTCTTCATAGAATTGGAAAAAACTACTTTAAAGTTCATATGGAACCAAAAAAGAGCCCGCATCACCAAGTCAATCCTAAGCCAAAAGAACAAAGCTGGAGGCATCACACTACCTGACTTCAAACTATACTACAAGGCTACAGTAACCAAAACAGCATGGTACTGGTACCAAAACAGAGATATAGATCAATGGAACAGAACAGAGCCCTCAGAAATAACGCCACATACCTACAACTATCTGATCTTTGACAAACCTCAGAAAAACAAGCAATGGGGAAAGGATTCCCTATTTAATAAATGGTGCTGGGAAAACTGGCTAGCCATATGTAGAAAGCTGAAACTGGATCCCTTCCTTACACCTTATACAAAAATCAATTCAAGATGGATTAAAGACTTAAACGTTAGACCTAAAACCATAAAAACCCTAGAAGAAAACCTAGGCATTACCATTCAGGACATAGGCATGGGCCAGGACTTCATGTTTGAAGACTGGTTTCTTCAATTATCTTTGGATAATTGCTGCTACGGACTTGCTTTCATTCCCTCTAAATTCCACAACAGTAAAAGGTCTTTTTAAATGGTAATTTTAGCAAAGAGAAAGAAAAAAGAAGTGCCAAAAAGACATTAGAAGGATCTGAGGATCGGTCAACAAACTTTTGTAAACTTTTAAGAAAGGGAATTGACCTAGTAGGTCAGGGAAAGCCGAAAGTTAATTCCTAGCAGGAGTGACACCCAGCACAAGCTGATTTTCACTTACAGAGTAATCAAACTATTACTGGAGGCAACAAGTACTCCTGAAGGTTGGATGCAGATCAGATTGGAAACATAAGGATTGGCACAAACTCCCTGTAAGAATCATTGAAAACCCTATATTTCCTACTATACCACACTACTAGTTGACAACTTCTCCTTGCCTGCCCAGAAGCCTAGGGTAAAGCCACAGGAACTTCATATTCAGCGACATTAACTAAAGGTACTACCCTACTGAAGAGATATTAAATGAAAGTTTGCACACAGAGCAGTGAGATACTAAGCTTCTTTCCCTGACTGAGCTTTGAGAAGGCCGAGTATGGAGGATTTTTATTTCTGGGGAATGTGATTAACTCAAGAGTAACATATTTAGAGGTATAGATTGTAACCCACCAGCAGCAAGGTCCCTGCCCTGTCTCCCAAAACCTACTGCTTGACAAACATTTTCGATCCCTACTCGACTCTTACACATAGACTTCTAATATATGTTTAGTGCCTTAGTCATATTAGAATCATGACCAAAGATGTATGGAAAACTTGTAACATGAAAGATAGATACCAAATCCTATGAAAAAAAATTAATTAGGAAATACCTAAGAAGCAAAATTCTCATGGAACGAAAGAAATCTTCAACAGAAACCCATAGTTATTGACCACAAAGAGGGAGTGCAGGGGAAACAAGGATAATTTACTGTATAAAGGAGCTCTTGAGAAATCAAAAAATAAATATAAGGTATTAAAATATGATTACATAATTTAAAATGCAGTAAAGGTTTGGAAAACAAAGCTGAATAAATTTCTCACAAAATAACAAAAAAATGGCCAAAGGGATAGAAAGAGGAAAAGATTAAAAAACAGAAGTACACATCCATGAAGACTCAAGATATTCATAATAGGAGTTCCAGATAAAAAGATAATACAAGGAAATTTCTCAGAACTGTTGACAAGCCACAACTTTCTAGACTGAAATGGCTCAACAAGTTTCCAGCTCAGTAAGTGGTGGGATGGGGCCACACACTGTGAAATTTCGGAAGACTAAAGGGTAAGAAGAATCCTGAAAGCTTCTAGGTGGCACTGGGGGACAGAAGCAGGCAACATTCAGTGGATAAGGAAACAGAATGGAAGCTTCAACACTGGAAGCTAGAAGCAAATGAAGCACTGTGTTTAAAAATTGAGGGAACATAATTTCTTACCTAGAACTTGACACCTTGATCACATATGAGTGCCAAATAAAGGCAGTTGTACTCTTGCCAAATCTCAAATTACCTTGCATATATATTTTCTCATGAGAATTAACTCCAAAAACAATGACATAAAAAAAGAAAAAAGAAGAAAAGGAAGGAGAAAAAAGAAAAGAAAAGGAAGTAGTAAACCACGAAAGAGCAACATATAGCATTTAAGAAACCTGGAATACAACACAGGAAAAAATCAGGGGAATTCCCAAGATGATGATGAAAAGGAAATTTCAGTCACAGAGAGCAAGTAGCATAGAGTGGATAACAAGGATAGAGAGCTCCAGGGAGGACACTGCCATTGGGAGAAAGCTTAAACTGGTAGGTTATCTGATGTCTTTGAACATACTAATATATTTGAATTATTACACTGGCTGAGGATTTGGGGATGAAGTAGTAATAGTGCATTAAAAAACCAAGAAAATGACAAAGAACGTAATTATTAACTCCAGGAAAAACAGAGCTATATCAAAAAAATTAATCATCATATATTATATGAGTTAACTGTTAATAAAAATATAATTATAAACTTCTGATTTGCCCAAAAATTTGGATAAAGTGTCCACCGGGAGGGAATAAAACTGTTATATATCTTCATATTTTCATAGTAGATAGTACAGTCAACAATATCTAAACTAACACTTTTTTAAAAATAGTAAAGTTATTTAGATACCTAGGGTAAACAACAGAAGAATCAGCTAAGAAGAATTGATGAGTGTACCTCTGGGAACAGGAATTATTGAGATGTGAGGTAGGACAAGAAATGGCTAACTTTCATTATGAGCTTTGAAAATCTATTTGGCCTTTTAATCTATGTACACCTATTTGTTTAATAAAAAGTAGTTTTAAAAGGAATATATTAGATTTAATTTTCATTACAAGATAAATTTTTAAAGTGATGTAATTATCCTTTTTAGCTTATTTGAGATGATTCCATTATCAAAATGCCCTAGCATGGTTATTCACAATCCTGCATCTTTAGTTCACCCTAAATTCACTTCTAATGCATTATTTTAATACACTTTGGCAAGTAGATAATAGCAAAGATAAGTGATTTGATTAAGTCTATACACATAGCAAGTGTTCTCAAAATCTGTTTAATTCCTTGTTTTGCATGTAAGAACTTATAGCAAAAGTTATAGATTAGAAAATAAAATTCACCACAGAAGTATAAACATTATTCATGCGAATTGTAACAACATTCATAAAATTTATGTGCAAGGTAATCTGTTAGATGGTTATTCAAATGTGACAAAGTAAAGTTGAAAGTAAAATCAAACATCTGGGGCCAGAATATATGTAATCAGGAAGGTTATGGATATGCATGTCAATTGATCATCATGCCCTTGAGGAACTCTGACTTTGAAAATACTAACTTCTTCCCAAGAGTTACCCTCAATTGAAGTGAATGTCCAAAATCGGTCATTGATAATGTCTTGATTTATCATTGTTAAAAACTGTAGATTTATCCACTCAACAGTCATAAGAGTTCTTTGTTTTTCAGGATTAGTCAGGGAAAAACAATCAGCAAAAGTGTTTTTATATAACTTTCTCAGAGGAAAGTAGAAAATTTAGTGGGATTGATATTTCTAAATATTCAAATATTCCGTCAAGCCGATCAAAGCCATAGACAGTTAATTTTTGCCTTCATTTAGTCTTTTGGTTTGAGTGTAACAGGAATCAATTAGTGCCAATTTAGGCCAAAAATCATAAAAAAGGAAAGGTGGGAAGGAATTTATTTTAAGGAGGCATCAGTATCTCATTGACATCAAGGACAGAAGTACTGCTGCAGTCCAAGGCAGGGCTGGAACAGGAAATGGTATGCCATCACATGTTCCCGTCTCAACTTCTCTCTCAGGACATTTGTTTTATTTCTTTCTCTATATACTGTCAAACTATCTCTGTTACCCTGTTTATATAGTAATAGCCATGCCACGATTCCAGAAGTTTTACTTCTCCTTCATTCAAGAGACCAGCCCAGGTGAAGAACAGAACTCTTGATACTAATTCTAGATCCCCAAGGAAGGATTGTGTTGAGTCATATTTGAGTCAGATACTCCATTTGGTCCTAGCATCCACCGTCAGAACATGGTGTCGTGTGTTATAAAGATGGCTGCCATCTCTTGTACCTGTGATTCTGTGGAAGAGGATTGGGAATGGTAGGATTCCCCAGAAAAGACAGAACGATTCTCAACTTTTTTCTTCAATAATTTTGTTAGGACTTTCTATGTGTCCAGCACTGGGGGCATAATTCTGAAAAAGACAGACATGTTTTTTGCCCTCACAAACCTCACTAATTAATTAGGCATATTGAGACAGGGAAGGGGCTGGTGAAAATTAGATGTATATAAAATTAATTTGCCCATGTAATACAATGCAACAAGTAATGTTATGGTGAACAAAAAAGATGTTATGGAAGCAGCTTAGAAGAGGTATCTCACTCAGACCCGGGAGGTTAGTGATGTTTTCCTGTGAAAAACATTTACACTAATTCTACAAAGAAGCTTCAGGGTTAGCCTGGTCAAGTAGACGAAGATAAAATGTAACAGAAATGACCAAGATTCTAACATTTATGTAGACATATATATAATGTTGATAGATTTAAACCAAAGTAATGTTGAAATGTTGATGAGTGTTTTGGCTTAGATTTCCCCTACATCACACTCTGAGACAGGGTAAGACAAAAACATTCTCTGTGTTTACATTGCTTTTAGCAAATTCTTTCCACAAGGATGGCCACTAGCAATTTCAGGTTTGCCTTCTCCCACTGTAGCAATCCTAGCAGAAAAACAGCACATCTTCCTCAGTGGTTTTAGAAAAAAGTTCCAGGACTGACTTTTTAGGAACAATTTGGACCATAGAGCCAATCACTGTAGACAGACATATGGAATATTTTAATTGGTTTAACTGGGGAAGACCACACTTAAATCACATGACCAGAGAGTGGGAGGAATAATTCTTCAAAAGTTTTCAAGGCATTATTACCAGTAGAAGAGAGAACGAATGTTAGGCATACAAAATCAACATACGTCTATTAATATTTTGGTGGTTACTTTTTAAATATTTTTCTTCTACCCAGAGGTACTTTGTGCATCATAAAGACTTAGTAGCAAAGAACTTTATAAAAAGAGAGTTTATCCTATTAGATAAACTTTTATAGGAGTAGTGATTTGGACATAAAGAAATGGGTACAAAGAGGAAAACTTAAATTATCCACGTTTTAATTTTTTTGTATATCATAAACATTTACACATAAACATAGCAGTGATTCTAAACCCATATTGATTCACATTTTTTCACATATTTTTGAAAATATGATGAATTCAATAGATCCACTCCTTAGAAAATTACTTATACATACCAGTTTCTTTCAAGGGATTGATGGTCTCCACAAAGCTCAAGTTAAACCCCTGATCTAGACTGACTGAATGTTTTCAAAGCCCTTAGCTCCTTTGCAAGTAAACAGATAGTCTTTTTCATAGTTATAAAATAGAAATGCCATTTAGATGAATTTGTTGATTTTTATTTTTAAACTGTTGAAATTATAAAGATACACAAATACTAAACACTATTTTCATACTGCATTCTTGTTCAATTCAGTGTCACAATCTTAAATCAAGGCAGATAAACTGTATTCAATTTCTGGTGAGTATACAAGGGCAAAAAATTAAGTCTTTCTGAAGCTTTTGAATATTGTTTACTCCCATAATAAAGAAGGCAGCTTGCTGCCTAATAAGATGTGGCCTGGGAGGTTGCTTTATCAATTTGTTGATCCCTTGGAGGAAAGAACACATTTTAAAAACAAATCCAAGAGTAAGACATACATGAATGCAATCCATTTACACTGAGAGTGCATTTCTGAACTGTGCCAAATAAAGTAAGAATTTTTGTAGAGAAATTTATTCCTTCTACCTTGCTTTCCCTAAATAACATTATAGTCAAGAATTAAATGTATTTATATCTGTAGGAAGTACTTTAGAGTTTCTCTGCCTTTCCTGGAAACACTATTATAAACCACCATAAATTTTTGGAAATGCTAAATTTGTAGGTTTGCCAGATAAAATACAGGATGCTCAGTTAAATTTGAATTTGATATAAGTCATAATTATTTTTTAGGATAAATACATACCAAATATTGCAGGGAACATACTTACCCTGAAAACTTATCGTTTATATTTAAATAGACATCTTGTATTTTAATTTGCAAAATCTGGTACTCCTATAAACTTTCAACTAATATTTCATTCAGTTGTAAATAAGCACTTGGTTTTGCATATTAATGTAGTTTGGGTACTGGCATCTTATTTTATTTTCCTATGTATGTTTTCTAGCTAAAATGACTATTTAAGAATACAGTAGTACCCCTTATCTGTGGTTTTAGTTACCTGAGGCCCCAAAACAGGTGACTACAGGACAATAAGATATTTTGAGAGAGAGACATAGAAAGAGGAGAGAGACCACTTTCATATTACTTTTATTACAATATATTGTTATGATTGTTCTATTTTTAGTTGTTGTTTATCTCTTACTGTGCCTACTATAGAAATTAAACTTGATCATAGGTATTTTGTATAGGAAAAAGCAGTATATATAGGGTTTGGTACTATCCGTAGTTTCAGGCATTTACTGAGGGCTTTGGAATATAAGCTCTGGGTATAGAAGGGTACTACTGTATATACAATTTTATTCTCATTGAAGTTGTAATACAATACTTTGAGCTTTTATTCTGTAAACAGTTTCCATTCACATACCTTTTCACTTCCAAAGAACTTTATGAAAAAAGCTAGACTGAAGTAGATGTTTGTTTCAGATTGAGTTCAGATCTTTTTTTTTTTTAACATTTTAGAAAATATTATTACAAGTTGCATTTTTCCAGTTTTTAAAGTAACTGGCATTTTACATGTAATTTAAAATGATTTGTTTCTTAAAGCAGAAACTTTTCTAAACAAACCATTATGTAGACATTAAATCGGTGAGCCTAGAAATCAATAATTTATTTTTAAGCAAATGAGAAATTATTTTGTGCTTTTATTTGTACATTTGCACATTTATAGTTAAATTGTAATTTGCGATACAGAGGGTATTAGTTGTGAATTGTGGTTTTCAGTATCACAGACACATTTGTTGCTGTGGTTTTGCAATATCATTCCCTGATGCTTTTCTCAATTGTGGTTTTCATAATCATTGTTTGATAGTCATGTAGCTGTGGTTTGGGGCTGCTATATCCATTTGGACAGAGATAATTGCTTATAGGTTTTTCCGTCTATTTATTTTATAACCTCAGTGAATTAAACTAGAAAAAAAGAAAAACTGAACCTTAAATATCATTAATATTCTCATTAAAAATAATGAAAAAATATAAAATGTAATAGTATTCATTATTTTAATTCATTCATATTGACTATATTAATATATATTTATAAATTTAGATAAACTAATATCTATCTCTAATAATGCATTCTGGTTATCAATCTTGCCTTGAATTCTCTGACTTCTGCTCCTTTTAGCTTTTAAACTAAACATTTAGCTGAGATTTATTTGTTTTTCTTTTGCATTGCATATTTAACCACTTCAAACTCCAAAAGAAACAGTTACGATATTTTAATTCCAATGGGCATTCCTTTTGGGTGACATAAAAATTCAGCCAGTTCTGTAAAAAGATCTTTAAAAACCATAATGTACAATACATCTGATTCTAAGCACACCAATTTAACTGTAATGAATTGAAAATGAAGGAGGTAAAAATCTGCAGTTCTCTCTCTGCTTATTTATTCCACAACACAAACATAAATGGCCCTGCTTTTCATGGTACTTTCAGCCTTAATTTGTTGGTTCTTCACAGGAGGGACTTTGTCATTTAGTGCATTTTCCACTGCAGAGGACTATGTATTCTTACAGCCTCCTATGGTAATAGTACTAATGGTAATGTAATAAAATTCACAATTTGTCTTCAGCTTTGTATTAAGATTCTCTTGGCCATACCTTTCACAAGGCAACTCTTTACACCTTCCAGAAGATGTCCTGTTGGGGTTATAAATGACACTGATTACAGTGCCTCTTACACACTGAGCATCTTGCATTATGCTCAATCAGCCCAGGCTCTGTGCTGACCCCAGACCCTTTTAGAGTATCCAGTTTGGTGTGGTTCACACAAATAATAGTCAACCAAGCAAACGGGGACACAATTTGAGATCAGAATGGTCCACTTCACAACCTCCTGGGGGAAAAGTCAGCAGTATCTGGGGGACTCATGTGAACTGCAGTGGAGTTTATTAGTAAATACTGATTACATAAAGCAGCTAGTCCCACTGCACTTGGATAGAAGCTCCTTCCAACCCACATGGGAGAATATATTTAATACTTACCGTATATGAAACTGTAAGAAAATAAGCTAACCTCATACAGTTTAACTTGGCCAAAATAATAACTATGCAAATCACCTCAAAATTTGTTCTCCTTTTGGCTTGCAGTTGCCGATATACTACACATACAGTAATTGAATAAGAATAAAACAAAATTTTAGAAGCTAAAGAACCATTAAATAGTTACTGGGTCTTACCCGCTTGGGAAATTACAGCAAGATCAAATCTTTTATTAGTCGATCGGTGCTTCCCTGTGGCAGAAGACTAAGAGAATAGAAAGGTCACGGGGCAGGGTGGGACTACAGAACTTCCCCAGACTTTCCCAAAAAGTTAGTATTTTTATTAGAGATGGTTCGTTTTCCACTTACGGCTAATCAGCTAGCTAACGCTCGCTCCTCCTTTTCAAGATGAGAAAAATATCTGCTTGTCTCCAAATTTGAATATTTTACAATTTAAAATGGAAACTGTGGGTGACAGAACACGTTGAGGATCCGACTCAGCACCTCATCCACGTGGGCCCAGAGCGGGACGGTCCGTGTCCGCAGCGGTCTCCTGGGAGCCTTGAGAGCAAAGAAATGGTCTTCTGAGAGCCTGGGCAGATGAGCGGACTTAACTGGCCCCAAGACACACAGTTGGCATTTGTGATCATCTGGCTCTCGCCGAGGACTTTGCCAGTGGCCTAACCTTCCTGCCAAGAAGCTGGGAGGGCGGGGGTTGGGGGTGAGGGGAGGGGGCGGCATAACTGAAAGCACAAAGTTTAGGGAGAGACTGAGATTTCTTTGTGCCCCGCTGGACTGGCGAGGCGTGAGAGAGGAGAGTTGGGGTCCCTCAGAGAGGGCCGTTGGAAGAAGTTGCCTGGAAGGAGGTGGGGCGGGGTGCCCTGGCAGCTGCCCAGCGTTGACGCGGTGACAACTGCAGAAGGTGGCCCTCCTCCAAGCCGTCCCCACGCCTCCCCTCCAACTCCCACCCACCCCTGCCCCCATCCCCCACCACCGCCTGGATCCCCCGCACTTCGCCCGACCAAGGCCGGGGCCGTAGTTTGCATCCGGACTGGATTTGGATGCAGCCAATCCTCCTTTGGCTGATGGAATAGTCTCCCCTCCCCACAGCCCCGGCGCGCCCCTCCCTCGCGCGCCTCGCCGCCTCCCGCCGCAGAACAGGAGCTGCGCGGCCCGGAGCGGCGGCGGCGGCGCCGGAGTATCCGTCCCGCACGCCGGGGCGAGGGGCGAGCGAGCGCGCTCCTCCTCCCGCGCCCTGCGCCCCCGCGCTCCCCCTCTCCTCGCTGCTCGCTCTCCCGTCCCTCCCTCCTTCTCTTCCTTCTTTCCGTGTTATTTTTCTCTTCTCTTTCCCCTTTTCTCTCTCCCTGACCGTTCGCTTGTACATTCCCATTCTCCCCCCGTCGCTCTCCTCTCCCCCTCCCCTCCTCACTGTCACACTCTCTGTGCCCCCGTCTCTCTTCTCTCATTTGCTTGCTCATCTCCGAACGTGAATCCGCGGCTCCCGGAGGAGCCCAGCGCCCGGAGCACCTGGAGTCCGGCCGGCGGCGGGCCGAGCCTGGCCAGCGGCGGCGGCGGCGGCGGCGGCGGCGGGAGCCGAGGGAGCGGCAGCCGCGACCGCGGGCACCGCGGGAGCCCCAGCGGCAGCAGCCGCCGCCGAGATGTCCCGGCGAAAGCAAAGCAAACCCCGGCAGATCAAACGTAAGTTTGCGCGCGGGGCCGGGAGTTGGTGGGATTATTGCCCAGGAGCGGGGTGCGCGGGACGGGAAAGCGGTGGGTGGGTGGCGGGGCTAGGGGAGATCCGCTCCCGGTCCCCTAGATGTCTCAAACTTTGCCTGAGCAGTCGAAGGGACAACTAGACAGTCATAGACAGACAGACGGCCAGCCCGAGCCTCGGGCAGGAGAGAGGCTGCGAGGAGCAGCCCATGCTTGCCCCGCTCAGCCCTCGCGCTCCCGGGCTGCTTTTTTAATTCCGACCCGCGCACGCTGCGAGTCCCCGGCGCTGTCGTCCAGCCGGAGGGGCAGTCCCGCTCCTTTAGACGCTTATTATTGTTGTTGTCATTGCTTTGTGCGATTGACGTGGGACTACTCTTGGGAACCACTTTTAGTAACCAGGGTAGAAACTTCTCAGAAAAGCTGGGCGGTCGAGACCTCGGGGCGAGGGAGGTAACTTCCCCACGCGGTGGAAAATCAGAGCGTCAGGGTCCCGATCCTGGGCGGTGCCAGAGCCACACCAAACCCGAAGCGAAACAAAAAGTAGGTGTAAAAGTTCGCGCCTCTGCGGCGGGCGGCCGTGCGTCTCTGCCCTGCGGGCGCGGGCTGGTGGCTGGCAGGTCGTGTCCTGGGACTTCGGGCGGGTCCGGCTCACGCCGCCAGGACGCTCAGCCGAGCGGGGATTCGGGTGGTGTCTGGCCCTGGTGGCGCGCGGAGTCCTCCCTGGGAGGGGCCGCCAGTCACTTCCCAGCGCGGAAGCTGTGAGTTCAAGGCGGTGGGCGCGCAGGGGAGTGCATGGCCCTGAGCCCCCGGGTGCCCGGGGGTCCCGATGGTGCTTAGAGGACACGGCGGGTCAAGAGACACCTTCCGAAACAGGCACGCTCGCAGAGATCAAGTCGGTCAACTTTTCTTGGCTTGGGGAGAATTCCTCCAATAGCGTTTTATAGGCCTGCGACATATCTTCAACGCTTTGGCCGAAAAGAAGAAAAAACCTTATTAGTTTATTTTTTGCTAGCTTTATGATGTGTCTGTTTCACCGTGTTGCTCAGAGTCTGCAATTAGTTTTAAACAAATTATGATGTAATTTAAGGATAAGACTTTAGTAGTATCCCTTTCCCCCCTGATTATTAACCATACTCGCCCCACCCCCAAATGTTGAAAATTCTATTTGGTGTAGTTTAAAAATAAATCTTATCAATCAACTTGTCCTTGAAATGGGGGCCAGGTTATAAACAGTTATCAACAGTTAAGTATTCAGATCTTTGTGTGTGTGTGTGTGTGTGTGTGTGTGTGTGTGTGTGTGTGTCTGCTACTTAAACATGACTTTCTAGCTTTTATTTCTTCGATTCCTTCTCTTATACTTCAGTTCTCACTCTATGCAACTTGGGTTAAAGCAAGTACTGGACTTCACTTTTGGCTCAAAGCAGTTTTAATCAAGTAGCGATATCGTTTTTGAAGACTCACTTTTTCAGAATGATTATTCATGGTTTCCACCAATTGCCTTGTAGTTTTTAGGACTCAATTGATCAGATTCCTCTGTTTAAATGTTGCATCTTAGAATACAAAACCGTGCTTATTATAAGATATGATTATAAACATTATTAGATACAAATGCTTTTTAGTTCATGGCTGTCACCTGGGTTTGTTAATAAATAATTAATATTAATTGATTGTATGGCACAAGACCATCTGATTTTACTTGGGAATACTTTGTTATCTTCTCAATTAGCTACATTAATTTTTTTATTTCCTTCTATGTCCACCTCATATAATTGAAGATTAAAGCATTGAAACTAATTGCTGATGCTACTCTTGTGTTACAAGTCATAAAACATTTTAGTGGTTTATTTGAATGCTGTGATTTATTAAGTATCAAAAATGCTTGAAAGTTATTTCATTTGAAAGTGAACAAATATATTTATATATTTATTCACAGTGAGCATTGCCTGCTGATATATGCATACATATGTATTATTTATATGCATGTAATACTTTTATTGGATTCAATTTGGGGTCACAGTGATAATCTGTGCAAATGTGGACACCCCTTCTTCCATTCCACCGTTAAGAAAAGTGAAAAATTAAAGGTCTTTGAATTTCTATACTGGAGTAGTCCTCTTCTTTTAGCTTTTTTAGGGGGTGGGGGAGATACTTAAATGTCGTTTGACCAGCTTTAAAGTCATTTTAGTTGCAATCTATTGACGTTTGTCTCCTTTTGCCTGTTCAGGCATAAGAGGCAGTTTCGCAGATGGAGAAGTTTGTGTTGATATCCAAAGTCGTTATTATTGTAGGTCTCTCCCCCCAGTTTTAGTAGTGCGTAAGAAGTGCACCATTTTCTATTACAAACAACACTGTTACTTTTGATGTTCTGGATCAAATATAAGTTTGGAGAATCTCAGAAAGCTATGCTCTGTGAAACAATAGCATTTCACGCCAGTAATAAAACTGCATTTTAAACTTGGAAATGTCCAGGATTAGAAAATAAAGCTTTGGCACTGCTGATAAAACATACCCAATTTGAAGCAACTATGACAAGCAAAAAGTCAGCTTATACCAGAAACTCTGAAGACAGTCAATTTAAAGGACAAAAAGGTTGTTGGGCACAGTTTTTTTTTTCTTTTACTGCATACAGTTCCCTGCTATCTAAAATTGTGATTTATGCAGTATTTTAATATTTTGCTTATTCTTTCCCCTTGGGTGCTCTCCGGGCAGCGATAAAAAGGCGACGCTGAAAGAGCACCATTAATTTGCTATGATGACTGGCCAGATAAGAGGAGATAATGGGAAAGATAAGCGGAGAAGATATACCATCAGAAACCCGATTATTACCATTAAAATTCCAGCCCAGCAATCTGCAGAAGCCTGATAATTCCTTCTCCGTTTCCACCACTTTGGATGATAAGGCAAAAAATAGTCACTCAGTGCTCCTTGATTAGACTGCCTGGATTTCCTGATAATACAGTGATAAATTATGTATTTTGCCCCCATGTTTTGTCCCAAAATTCAGATTTTTTTTTCCTATTCCAAGACTATATTTTCTGCCCTCCCCTCAGAAGCTTTCTCTCATAAGCTATTATTGTAATCCTGGTTTGATAAAAAGCCCTGATAGGACGGGAGGTGTTTGGTGTGGGAGCCATATCATGCTATCAGCCCATCTCCCCGCACAGCTGCTCGCTGTTGTTGTTTTTAGCCTTATCACCTCCTGCCAATATGCCAATAAATTGCCCAGATTGTTCTCCATTCTGGGGCTGCAGTGCAAAATTTATGACAGAAATGATGATTTTTTTCTTTTACCAATGCATCTCTTTATGATTAGTAAATGTGTTGTGTGTGCAGTTTTATTGTTATTTTCTTCTTCAAGCTGTTGTCTCTAGTAATGTGTTTACTGCCTTATATGTCCCCAACTCCAGTCACACTGAAGTGTATTGGCTATGGGTGCAGGAAGAGGTGGACATCACTTTTTTTTTTTTTTTTTGCAAATGAATGTCATTATCTGCTCTCTAGTAGTTAATATAGAGCTTGAAAAGGAGAAACTCAAGTAATTTATTTTTGTATAAGATTAGGAAAAGGCACTCTTCTTTATACCATAAAAGTAGAGTTTTCATAAAACTTTTAGATTGCTTGATCTTTTCAGAGCGTAGTGCATAAATGTTTGGTCTAGATCAGGTGCCAAATAATTTGTGGTGAAGTATAATGAAAGGGTGAATTAAGAGGCAGAATGTTTTCTTCTTGAAAAGTGAAGCAGATACTGGAAATTAGCATGCATGTTGAAAGTAAAATGTTCTGGTTAGAGAATAATCTTGTTAGCAGTTCGGTAGAGGGTCTTTCCCAGAAGTTGGAATCCATTCATATTGAATAATTACCATTTTGTTATTTGAGATGATATAACAATTTTAGGCCGTACGAATTCCTAACTTGCGCATTGGCATTTTAATGTTCTATGCTATTTTTATAAAGGGTAGGTTATAGTCAATATTTTATGCATAAAACAATTATTGTTTTAAAATAAGAATATTATATATTAAATTTATTATTTAATATTTGTCACATGAAAACCTCTAGTTGGATCATTTCTATAACCTTAAAATTATGTTATGCAAATAATTGAGTATGGCTATTTTTCATTGTTCTATGGGTCTTTTAAAAGTCTTTCTTCTATTGATATTCAATCTATAATTTTAGGGTTAATTATCTACTGTGTTGTCTTTGATATTTTTATTTTTAAAAATGTTTTGGGAATACTACCTATATTTGAAAACATTGATCATTGTTATACACAGTTAGAATGTCTTTTTTTTCTCCTGCCAAATATTAAGACAGGTTTTTGTTTTGAAACAAATAAGTTATTTTTTTTCTGAATTTTAGGGATAATTGAATATAATGCAAAATAATTCTTCTCTTTGGTCTGTAATACTTCTCATATTGGAGATTTTTATTTTCTACATTTTTGACTGAGCAACATTTCGGAAAACCTATTTTTACACGTGCCACAAATTAAAGGAACCTGTATTCTGTATAATAGTTGTTTTAGCAATAAAACAGATAGAATAGTACCTATTGCTTGTAAGATAGCATAAAAATAATTTCCTGATTTATGAATTTGAAATAATATCAATGCATAGATTTTTTCTGGAAAAATCTAGGAATAATTATTTAGTGGATTTAAAAACAGACAAATCTTAAGATGACCAATATAGTCATTTTGGTTTTTAAGAGTTAAAGACAACCTAAGAAAGTTTACCTGTAAAAGATCATTAGTCATGAAGTTAGGTTTTTTAAAGTTCAATGGAGTCAGCAATGTAAATATAAATGAACTAACATTTTTATCTCTAATTGCTTAAGAGTTTAGGGCTAAAACTTGGAGATATGACTTGAAATAAAAGAGTAGGTATGTTTTCCACTTCTGGTAACTTTCAAAGTAGTTCATTTGTAAAATTATGGAGTAAGAGGGACTATCAAGTTTAATATTATATATCTTAGTATTTCTTGGGTGAACACACAAGTTTGAATTTTCTATAAATTGCAGTTAGAGACCTTAAGAATAGTAAAATTGCATCAATTTGGTTGCTATGTGACTTGCCATATATTAAGTTGGTATTATTAAGTTAGGAAGGAAGACAATGCAATTAAGTGATTTGCTCCTGATTTTTATGTTCAGCCAATTTAAAATTTCATTATATGTTTAAGAGTTAATACAAAGATTTATACATTGCTTTGTTTGGGGGTAATCTGGGGATAAATTAAGATAGTCATTGATTATATCAATTGTCTAGCCTGTATCTATTAATATATCTATGTTTTGCCTATATCTATATGTATCCATATTATTATAGTAATGTCCATTAAGTTAACTTTGCATTACAGTTAAGGTAACTCATTTTTCTTGTTCATGAACTGTCCAAGGACTTTCTCATCCATGTTATTTCTGCTAGTTGAGGCCTTGCTATTCAAGAACTAATTAGCTCTTTTTTCAAATGATTTTTAAAAAAGAAACGAAAGTCTAATTAGCCATTTCACTATTAGTTGTTACCACTGGAAAAAGTTTTAAGAGGACAAGATTAAACCTAACACTCTAGCTAAAATGAAGGATTTGGGACTAGTGTATGGATTTCTAGTATCGATGTTTTTGTTCTTCCCCATAACCAGGACAGATCAACAATGGACTTCTCAGTTGCATTTTAATCAAACCCTATTTAAATATATAACTTTTCCTCAAAAGGTATTAAGTGAATAAACTAATTTTATTTATTCTACATTCTGTAATTTATTTTTACATTTCAAGAAAACACCTTCCCAGATGAACTTTCCTTGAAAATAACTTAATGTGTATTCAAGTTTTAAATAAAGTGATACCATTTAGAGAAAGTTTTTTGATGTTTGGCCAAATTGTGTGAAGAATATAACATTAGATTTGTATGGGAATAAGAAATATTTTTCAAAAGTAGCTTCCTTTCTTAAATGTAATCTTTGTTCACTAAAAAGTATGAGTGGATATGTTAACTTTGGAGTTCTTATCCTCCAAGTCATATTCCCTTGGATTCTTTGTTACCTTCCCAATTCCAAAGGACTAGTAGGATATTTCAGAGAAACACTGCAGATGTTTTTGAAACCCGGTCTAATTCAACACCTGCCACTGTGTAAAATTATCAGTTCATTCTCTCATCAAACGAATAGCAGCAAAAGTCTGTTACTTCAGTCCAGAGAATGTGTTTTCACCATAGATAAAGAGGTAAGTATGTATCGTTTAATAAGGTTACATTTTTAAAAACTGAAATGCAATTAAATTAATAAGCTCAGATGTGGCAATATTTGGCATTCTGGAAAGAACTATCTCTTTAAAGGTATTAGCATAAAGATAGCACATTTGTTTATTATGCTTCCAAATCAGCTCCTAGTATCTCTGCCACAGGTAACAATTGACTTTTCAGGCTTCAAGTTAATAGCCTTGTCTCTTGCTTGTAGGGATCAATATTAGTATTAATTAATCACCATTATCGGCACTAGGATCTGGTTCTATTTGTTGTTACATCAGCAAAATATCAATATAGAAAGTGGACTCTCTGATCGTCATGGCAACTTCATCTCTTGGGTCAAAGAAAGTTTATCTTATCTGTGCATAGAGAGTGGCAAACTGTTTAGGGATCTAGTTTGAACTCTAAGAACATTGATTTAGTTTTTGTTTGCGAATAGAGGCTGAATTCCAATCACAAGGGATAGGTAAGATTTAAATATTAATGCCGAGAGGCTTGTCTGAGAGGGTGTCATACCGTTACTGTCAGGCCGTCTTTTTGAGATGACAAAAAGGTAGAGAAGAATTGTCTAGTCAGGATTATTTAAAGTTTTAGTAATTTGTGCTTTTGACAAATACTTTTAAAATGAATATGTGATTATCATTAGGTAGAATTGGTTTTGGTCAAGATTTCACATGTTAAAATAAAAGGCTATTCTTTTTTCTCTTTCATTTCTTCTTTCCTAGTCTCTTATTAATATCAACTGTATTTAGAAAGTATCTTTGAGGACTAGTTTTTGCCTCACGATGAGTGTGAGGTAGCTAGTCCTATGTCTACGGTGAGAGAGTTTTGCTGTGTAGTTTCAAGTCCAAGAAAGAAGTTTATCTGAGGATATTTTCATATTAGCAAATACTTATTTCTAATAAGGAAAATCCTAAACAATAAGGTGAAGGAATAAATGCCTTTGGAGAATTCCTACAAATATAATAAAAGATCGTAGGTTTCCAAAACCAGGAAACAAAATACACACTATTTTGCAGCTATTCCTCAGATATGCTGATTACTTAAAATGAGCATTTTTAAAATCAGATCATTGGAAATTAGTCTTTTAAAAAAAAGTTATGCCGGAGAGTAAAAGCTAGATTTAGAAATGATGCTTTAAATATTCTACTTTTCTTTTAGGATTATGGGCACTAAATACACTTAAATGTTTGTAGATTGGGGAACTCTATATGCAGCTTACAATTTCAGAGACTTAAAAAAATGAATATTCAGTGCCTGATGGCTATAACCAATGCCATATTCATTCCAAGCATTGTCTGTAGAGTAGCTAAAAACTCTTTTTATAACCTGCAAGGTAATGCTATTTATTATTTAATATTCTGGTAGTATTCCCATGTATGTAAAGCAAGGAATTTGCTAATAAGAGACACTAATATAATAGTTAATATTAAGTAGACTTTCATGTCATCTGGTCATGTGCCACTAACTGCTTAGTTTTATTTATTTGTGAAAGTCCTCCCCTTTGAATTGCTAGAAACTGTTGAATGGTGTTAGTCTGATATTTTCATGGAGGTGACTTGGCTGTTGCTAATGTCAGATTTATCATAAACAACTCATAAATATATATATATATATAAAATAAGCTATACATAGACTATCACAAAATATATAAATTTAATATCCCACACAAAAGCTATAACACCTAGTTTTTGTGGAGGCCAATAAAATGCTATATTTTAATTTGTATTTAAATTTTAAAATGAATTTAAAAATTATTTTTAAATGGGCATTTATTGGAAGATATATTTAATGTTATTTGTCAATTGATTTCTTTCTTAGAAAGATAAATTCTTTGGATGATATGAATTATTCTAATCCACATTTGGAAAACTTTTGTGGGCATCTCTTATTGAGAGAGAAAAAAAGATTTTTTAGCTAGTTGACATCTGTATAATATTGCATAGGAAGATTTCTTGCAAGTGTAAGTTAATCTACATAGATTTTTTCAGTAATAATCTCTAAAATTCTTTTATTTTTCACAAAATTTGCAAAATTTTAAAAATATGAATAGAGTGAAGAATTAATTACAAAATTTAGAGTTAGAAGCAAACATTTTTTCTTTATTTTCTGTTAATATGGAACTTTAAACTTTTAATTTCTGTATTAATTACTCCCTTGGAATATTGAACAATGGTATACTCTTGAAGAAAAACTATTTGCTTCACTGTGGTATGTCCTGAAATTATTGGGAGCCTGCAGTAAATTGAGGAATAGAAGATTAAAAATAGTGAATTGACGAGTCTTCAAGTTCAGTTGAGGGCCACATTTCTCTTATTCTATACAGAAAAAATAGCTAAAAATCATGTATTTCAAAGTACTTTAAAATAATGATGAAATAAAAATTGTAAATAAAAAATACACTCAATTTTGTCCATTTTCCCTTTGCATGCTACATTAAGATTACCTAGTTTGGAAGAGTGGCTTTAAAGCTTAACACACAATTCGATTAAAAGATCTGATTATTTATAATTCACTGACAAAATCTGTCATAGATTAATTGTAGCATATTTGGTATTCAAGAAAAGTTTTAAATTTATTTTTTATTACTTACAATAGCATAAAAGGCCTTTTTTTCATTTTCTAGTAGAAGCTTGTTTAATTTCCCATAGCTAATGTCTCCTAACAGTAAATGCCATGGACTGGTAAGCCTTCATGCTCCTTGTGTGTGCTGAGAAGTTCAAAGGCATTTGTGTGTGTGTGTTTTTTCTTTTTAATAAAACCCTGTGAATTCAGTGCGAATCATTTGGAATGATGTGTTTCTCACTGTATACAAATTATTTTCATGGTGTGCATTTTCATCCATGTCCAATATGTCAGTGTAATACTTTGTGATGTTATATAGCCCATACTTACATGATTAAAGTATGCATTTATTTGGATAAATTCTGTGAAGAAATTTTATGCTGTTTTTAAATGCTTTTCAAAATATAGCTCAGTGAATGTATTATTGGGGGATGGATGTATATTGACAACATTACCTATTAATGGAATGCTTATATTCATCATGAAGCTTGTTGTTTTGATTTTAAGAAAGATCTAAAAGTTTAATTTCTCCTTGAAGAAAAACAACAAAGTGAGGCAAGAAGACAGTTACTAATGCCAACATAGAATGCTTATATCCACAAAATATATGTATATTTTACTCTTCTTGCTTTTGTGTAGAAATTATAGAACGAATATCTGCTTTGAATTTGAAAATTTCAAATTTGTAATCTGTGTTGTAATTGTCTTCTTACCTCAACTGTTTATGTATAGCAGTATATTCTGGACTATGCCATTAAAGTAGGAAGCCAGCTAACCTAGATTTGGCAACAGCATTGAAGGTTTAAACATGTTTTTTCCAAGACTGTTGTCAATATAAATAGATTAAATGGCTTTTAATTTTCTAAGTTATTTTTATTTATTTAGGATAAAACTGTCTGAATTTGTATTGTGCACACTTACCAATCAGTTCTTCTTTCTCTTCTTGAAGTGACATTCTCAAATTCTCATTTTGGTAGCCTTTCTGCTTACATTGACATAAAAATAACCAGATTTTCCAATGCTGTTTGACTTGTACATAAGTACTCTTGCGTTTTTTGGAAATATTGGGCCTCCCACCTCCAAATGAAGACTCAGTGTACAGGGGAGACTGACCAACCTGGGACTTGAGTGAATCTGAAATATTCAAGTGTTCATTTGCAAATATATTAGGTAGCTGCTAAAAATATCACCCCACTTCTTAACAATGTGCATCTTGGACAAACAGGCACATATTTTGTCATCAAGTTGCTTAAGCTTCTGAAGTCAGGGCTACAACTGGGTCAGATGATAAGATGAGCACAACAGAGAAACGAAGAGAGCGTCTGATAAAACCTGATTGATTGATGTCTGGCTTCCCCACCATCACAGGCAGTTGACAGTTAGTTTGGGATCAGATGATTTGGCTTTTGCGATAGAAGATGGGGCCTGGTAGGCAAGCCTGAAGGACAAAAAGGTCAGTTTCTGTGTAGTGTCAAGTAATGTCGAGCTCCCACAAGGTGGGACATTATTAATATTTCATTCTTTCTCTTTTAGGTCCAGGTCCTAACATTTGATAGTCATTTAAAGGCATGAAGATTCAGTCTACAAACAGAAATGTGTGACTACTTCCATGTTAATTTAACTTAATGTTTTTACTTTGTTGATATGATAAAGGATGAGGGCATATGCTCATTTCATAACTAAATCATATTTCATATTATACTTTGCAATATATAATGACTTTTTGCATATTTTATTGTAATCTTATGGGGTAAAGAGCTACAAAATGTCATAGCACTTAACCTGGCCAAATTTAATATTAAATTTAAACTTTTTGAAGAAATATAGGTTTTCTGGGATGAAAAATTACTTCGTAAATTAATCTAGAGTTATCAGTCCAGCTGCTTGGGAATTATAGGTTCTGAGAAGCTTAGGTTAAAAAGTATTCTAGTGCACAACACAGACATGTCAGAGTTTGGGGAAACCTTGGTTGGCACAATGGGAGAACTTTGTACAGATCCATAGTTAGTGAATGATTGTGCTGTAATTAATTTGCTGAACTTGAATCTTGTTGGTTGGTGATGAGATTATTAGAATGTTTCTTTGCATTTTAATAATGGAAATCCCCAAATTCTTGACACATATTCAAATCACCTTTAAAAAAATCTGTATTTGCTTGTTTTTTTGCTATGATAGAAAAATGTTGTAGAACACTTCTGAGTTTGAACATAATTAACAGGATAAATGTTCTTGGAAAGAAAGGAGGAAGGCAAGCAGGCAGGCTGGCAGGCATAAAGTAGAATAGCTAGTTTTAGAATAAAATGGTTTCCAGTGTTAGCCATAAAAATTAGTACCACTGTGACAGAATTGGAATTTGGACAGCCTGCATTTGAATTTAGATTTAGGACAGTTTGATACTCTCTAGAAATCCTCTATGATGTATCATTTTTCTCTGAGTTTTAAGGGTCAGATCTCCAAAGGACAGTTGGGTCTCAGCAAATGCTGTAGGCTTAATATCAGGAAGGTGAATTCTGCAAGGTGCTGTATTGCTGATAGTATAAGTGGAATATTGCCTGAAAACACTTGTGCCAGAACCTGAAGTGGTACTCATGATAAGTCATCAGGGAAGGTGAACCGATCACCATTTCAGCAGTAATTAGTAATAGGTCCAAGAAAAGTGCATAAGAAAATGACCTAGTTTCTTCTATATAGATTTATATGGAACAAAACAATTTCTCTCTCTCTCTCTCTATATATATATATACATATATATATATATACATATATATATACATATATATATATACATATATATATATATACACATATATATATATATATATACATATATATATATATATTTTTCAGGAATAGTGAGGAATCAATAAAGTTATGGTTTGAAAAACTTTTGCAGAAAAGATGGTTCAGGCAAATGGTGCTGACCTTTACTGATCTTGTTTTGATGGTTACATTGCTGATGGGAGTCTGGTAATATTATTTATTGATGGTAGCTAATAATGGTCAATAATTTTGTTACATGAGAGAAAAGAGAAAACAATTGAATTTTCCTTGTAAAATCGCTGTGTAAGTCTGTGATACATTTTTCAGTTTTACAGTTAAAATATTTTAAGGCAGTGTCACAATTGTCAAATGCCAATTGCTTTGATAGTATTTCAGTTTTTTTGTGTGTATCTGTGAACAACTCTCTAAAGGTTAATAACCTGTTTTTTGGTGTTCACACACACACACTTAATATTATAGAGTATCTAATACTTCATGTTCAACCCTTTTCTCCCATTATTTTTTTTGTTTGTTGTTTCTTTTGTTATTCCATCTGGTTTTGAACTGGGTATATATTATATTTTATATATATATATTATACACACACACACACACACACATATATATACACCCAGTTATATAATAAATAATTATGATCAACAATTCTTACAAATGGAAAAAAAGAATCAGGGAGCTGGCCAGCTAGACTGCAATTCTATGATTAATCCTCCAGATTCAGAAATCTCATTTAAGGAAGAGTATGAGTTTGGGATGCAGTGGCTGGACTGATGAGTCTGACATTCACTTTGATGTTCTTTGACTCTTGGTTTGGAAGTTTTCATTTTGGAGAAATAAGAACAAGGAGGTTCCGGTATGGGATGTTACTAAGGTACGTGTTAGGGGATTTGTTGTTTCTATACTGTGGTTAGTACCAATGTACTTTATGTAGAGAAATAATCTCTTATGTATTACAGGAGGTGAAACAGATGTTAACAGCATATTGTTCCTACTCTCCTAAGAAAGAAACATGATTACATTTTGAATGAAGGATTTTTAGGTTAGGGTCTATAGGCTTTGAAGAGTTTGTGAATATCCACACATTTAATGGAAAATTTTATGTATTCATGAATTTTTCTAGGAAATGGTTTTCATGAGCTTCTCAATGGGCTTTACAGCCCTATCAGAACTTTAAGAGGACTCTAAGGAATTGCTATATAGACATCTATATGATCACTTATTACATTTTAAAAGGTAACAATATAAAATAGGAACAGTTTCATTTTTATTTGCCAAAATGATTTTTTTGAAAAACATAAAGTCAAGTCATATCACTTCACCTCTCTTCCAGTGGACATCCCTTTGCAAATTAATACCTAAACTTTTGATCATGGACTACCAGATCTGTTCCTTATGTCTGACCTGATCACTAAGCATACTATTGTTATGTAGCACTTCCCTATCCAACTCCTACCCATAAACCACTTGCAGTCACTACATTTTATCTTTATGGGTCTTTGTTCTGTTCCGTAATCATGCCAAGCTGCCTGTCTTCCTGTTCTTTTCCTAGATTTCCGTATGGCTGGCTTCTCATTCACTTCTTACTTCACATGTCAATTGTTCAGAAAGGTCTCTTTTAGCCTTCCCATTTAAAGTTGCCTCAGTTTGCTCTCCAGCCCATAACTTACGTATTTGTTAGATTATTTACTTGTTTATTAGTTGACTTTGTACTAGAATGTAAGCTCTCTGGGTGTGTGACCTAGTCTTGTTCACTTCTATAACTACAGTTGCTAGAAAAATACCAGGCACATAGCAGATGCTCAAAGAGTAGTAGATTAATGAATGAATGAAAAATTTTTTTAAAAACCCACATAATTTCCTGTGATATATTTTTAAACAATTTTGCCCCAAGAAAAGATTGTTACCTATATGTGTTAAATTTAACTTACATGAAAACTTCATTTAATATTCAATAAACAAACATATAGTAAGTACTAATTTTGTGTACCATGTTAAGCCATGGGGATGGGGCAAATACAGACCATGGTCTCTCCCTTCAATTAGTGCATTACATAGTAAGTACACTATGATTTAATCTTGATAGATAGAGGTATAAATTGCTGTGGGCATTGAGGTTCATAAGCGCGTCAGGTTAAGCCTCTAGGATGAGGTCCTATTTCAGCTGGGTATTGAAGGAGGAGTGGGAGATGTAGTCATGACAAGAGGGAATTGTATCCTGGCAGAAACAATAGCTTGGCCAAGAGGTTAAGGAGCATGGTATTTTCAAGGTCCAGTGAATAGTTGTGGCCAAAGATGAAACTATGTGAGTGACAGAGCATGCATCTTGAGAGCTGATTTGGGGCCAAACTTTTAAAGGGCTTTGTGTGCCATGTTGAAGAATTTGAACTCATCCTTTAGGTAATTGATGGTCATTGCAGATTTTGAAAAATAGAGCCTGATCAGTGTATTTTGTATTTGCTTGATAATTGCTTTGATCCTACCAAATTCCAATTTGGAAATGGAAGAGGACAAAAAACAAAACAAAGCAAAACAACAACAACAACAACCTCTGAGCTAACAATGGGCTTCAGTTAACTTTCATTTTGTGAAGTTTAACAATTATTATCTTGAATTCAACCTTAGACCTTCTGTGCTACCCTCTAACTTTTAGATACGGATTTAATAACAACATCGTAGCTGATGGCTAAAACCATCACTCAGTGCTTTCAGTAGTTTAGTATGAATATTTTATTGAGGCTAGACAACACATGCAAAAATGAATGAACAGAGCAGTATCTTTTTAATTGAATCTGTTTGTGCTTAACTCATGAGATCGTCTTTGGTAGTAGCTTTCCATTCATTCATATGCATTAGCTTAGTTTTATAGCTGCCTATCGAGAGGCAAAAATGTTCACTAGCAAGAAGGCAAAGTAATTGTTACTGGGATTGCCAATTGTTGCAACCTCTTTGAAAGACAGTCTGGCATTTTATAGCAATTAAAATTGCACATATACTGTTTGACCCAGCAATTCTACATATCCCATAGAAACCCTCATATGTGTGCTCATTACAGCATGGTTTCTGATAGCAAAAAATTCGAAGTCACCTAAATGTCCATTAATAGGGGATGGGTTAAATAAAATTATGGTATAACCCTCTCAGGTGTTGTAAAGGGTAAGACAGATGTGTTCATGCTGATATGGAAATATCTCAAAGACTCGTAAAATGAAAAAAAATCAGTATGGCATGTACCTATTTGTAATGTTTTTGAAAAGAAAAATGAATAGATATTAGATATGTTTTTCATAAAAATTTTTGAAAAAATATGCAAGAAATTGTTGATGGTTTCTTTGGGAATGAGGTCTGAGAGTTTATGGTAGCACATAGACTCTTTTTTCACTGTATGCCTCTTAATATTGTTTTCAGTTTTTAACCAAATATAATTTTAATAAGTTACAAATTAATACCAATAATTAAAAAAATAAAATGTATACATTGTGGAATGTGAATGTCAGTATTTTCATACCACTGCCATTACTGCTAGTAATAAACTGTGTGTGTGTGTGTGTGTGTGTGTGTGTGTGTGTGTGTGTGGTGGGGGGAGGGGTTTGGGGCCAGAAAATCAGGTAATATTGCCATTATAATTATGTTTTCAATTATTTGTCTTCCCTTAGGTTGTGTAGTTGAGAGGATAGAAGTGCTTTTGGGAGTTGGGAAGAAAGTAGGGCACAGAAAAATATTTTATGGAATATTTTAATATCTCTCTAATTCAGACAATATGGGAGAGAATAGCTATAATGATAAATGTTTCTATAGTTATCATTCAGTTTATATGAGAATATACCAAAAGTGAGCACTCAAGTGAAGATTATGCTCACTTTTACTTTAGAGAAAGAAATAATGCAGAGAAAAAGGTTTTAAATATATTACCTTTTAAAGTATAGTATTTCTCTACTCTCAGCAGCATAGGTCATGGGTGTATTATTAACCTCAGATTAATAGTGTATGATAGTTTGGTTTTAGATAAAAGTTCTATTCTTTAAAATTCAATGTATTCATTTAGGCCCTGTTATACAAAAAGTTTATCTCCACGATGTTGTTTTCCTGAGTTCAGAAATTTTTTTCTGCCCTGCCCGAAAGAGTTCATCTCTCACCCCTATCAAATGTTTTGCCTTCTGAGTGATTTTAAGATGCTTATTTTTATACATATTATTATATGCAGACATAGTTTTAAATTGGCCCTGGGCCCAATGTGTTGCTCTTTTTCGTACCTTATTAAGGATTTTTTTATCCTTGAAAGTCTTCCAAGCTATCTCAAGTGTTCTCGTGGGCAGTAGCAGCAGCAGCAGCAACAGCAGCAGAAGGAAATGAAGGAGTACATGGAGAGACCAAAGCTTAGAGTGTCAGTGGGGTTTGAAAGGATGCCCCTGAATAAAATAGAAAGGTTTTAATTCATAAATGCCAGCATAAATACCCCCTGATAATTATGACAGAGTGGAAAGAAAATTAAATATGTTGAATTTTTGTCAGATAATTTTGAAAGTGGACATAAGGTTAGGAAACAAATAACACACGGAGTTGAGGGAAATTATAATCCGAAAACAAATGAAATATTTGTTTCTCTCATTTGAAGGAACCTAGAGCCTAGGAACATTAATGCAACTTGAGAAAGGTTGTTTTTAACCGTGGAGTCTCTTAGCATTTTCAGCCTCAGTGGAATATTATAGGACCATAAGGTCAGTTTTATTTAATTCATTCTCATAGATTCTGAACAACCTAGGTAGTGCTGAAGATTTTATTGTATTTTGTAATTTACATTCTGAGTTTGGACAGAGGTGCTACAAGGTGTATGCTACTGTAAGTAAATTCATCTGATCAGTGGCATTATACAATGACTTTATGCAAATGGAGAACTAATTTTTTGGGAAAAAAGTTAATCTCTTGTGGTATGTCTTGCCATCAAGAATTCTATTCCTAAAGACCCAAAGAAGTAAAGGAAAGAATCAGAGGAAAATGAACCCAAAGTGCATCCAGTCCCTGGCTCCCATGTGGCCAGCTGATGTTCCAGCCATCAACTGTTGAAAAGCTACAAGTGGTTTTCATGATGATAAAGTTAGTGGTCAGCACCAAAAATAGATCCAGAGCAAGGCCTAGTAGAATAAATTACTGAAGATGATCAAGTTAGAACTACCTCTGCTGAGAAGGCTACACAAAATTTCTGGGATAAAGAGTAATGAGGATTATTGATGTTACTAGGATCCATCTTCAGAATTGGTTGGCCTGCTACGTGCAGCGTATTCTGATCAAATGGTGCTGCCCCTCCCTAACCACCCTGTGGAAATGTATTAGCCCAGAGGTCTGACTGTCCTGAGAAATAGCGTTGCAAGCTATCTACTTGAAAATGAGGATGTAGGTAACTTACATGTTAACTTTACATTGCAAAATGCAGTGGCTGCCTATCCGATGGCATTTGAATGGATGTACGGCACAAAGTCATATATTTACGTTTTAGAAGGGGATTGAATTATACAATCATTCTTTAGAGAAGGGGTATTGTTATAATGTTTCAGAACTCTGGAGTCTTTCATTGGGGTTCACGTTCCTGCTCTGCCACTTCCTTGTGTCGTGTCCTTTTAGCATGTTATTTAATCCGTGACTCAGTTTCCCCATTTGTAAAGACGAGGTTATTAAGGAGAGCTTATATAAGGGCTGTTGAGAGGATTCAACGAGTTTACACATGTAAATCGTTTAGAACAGCACCAGGTATGCACTGATAAACTTTTCTAGATTATTAGTATTTTTGAGGTCAAATCCATGAAAAGAAATTGTTCTCTGGTAGTGGTAAATATCCTCAGGTATTTAAAATATAATTTTAAAGGTCTTTGGTTTGCATGTTTTAATTGACAAATATTTAAATGAAGTATTTTTTGGTAAATATTGTTTGTAGTTGACGTAAGTTTTATAAAAAGATCTTGTTGAATACTCTAATTGAATAATTTTGCTCAAATCACCCTAAAGTAATTTTAAAAGGAATAAATACTTTATTCCCAATGAGGAAAATATTTTGAGCTTCACTGGGAAACGCTTTATAAGATAGATTGATATTAAAATGTAATATACTCCACACACACACACACACACACACACACACACACACACACACAGACATATACATGCAGACATACACACTATATATATGACACACACATTATAGATGTAGATATAGATGTATAGATATAGATATCTATAAACCAGTAAATGTTTTTACAAACTCTGAAATCTGTTACAGATCACTTCGTCTCATTTTTTGGTATTAAATAACACAGGGTGCTTTGGTTATACTAACCATTACCAGAAAAAGTGAGTAGTTAGTTTTTGTTGTTTAGTTGTTGTATTTTTCCAGACGGTTCTGGAGTTAATACATAAAATTCCTTTAGAAAGATCCTGACTGGAGTATCTCAAAAGATCATCGAAGAAACCAGTTGGTGAAAATGCATTTGGATGACCTGAACACATAGTTGTTGTGTCTCTAAATCCCAGACATACTTTATTAGGACAATCCAGCTGGTTTGCTATTTCTATCTCATCATTATCAACACGTTATGGTATGGCCTCTTCCCCCTCACTTCCAATGCCAAGAATTTGGCAGGGACACCATGTTAGCAAGTCAGAGACTGGGGGTGGGGCAAGACAACAATAGTTTCACACTGCTGCAGGGGTAAGGAATATGTGTTTTCTAAACATTTTGCTACTGGGTTAAAATTGATAATAGATATTTTTAGTCTCTTCACTTGAGGAATTTGAAGAAATAAAATTTCACAAGTCTCTAGAAACCCTCTTAAAGAAACATTTTCTTTATCCTAGTTCACACTTTCATATACATAGAATTTGGTTGTAAATCTCAAAGTTTCAAAATTCTTTGCCTTTCTCCTCTTTCCCACCCTTGCCAATATTACAGAAACTCAAGAAAGTGAGAGAAAGAAAACTATTGTCCCTAGGTCTTATTTCATAGTTTACATTATGAATAATAAGTCAATAACTGAATATCATGTCACATTTTATTATTATGTGTGTGACCTTATTAGTGACCTTAACTATCGTCTTCTAATGTATTAGAGCATAGAGAGAACAGAGATGAAAATTCTTTTTGGTCATAGTTCATAATTCTTTTTGGTCATAGTTCATGTTTTTTTTTTAATTTAGTGAAATGAAAAATAATCAGATGAGGATTTTCCTGACAGTTTTATAAGACTGCAAATTTTGTGAGTGAGTTAAGCTCTTCCAAAGTTATATTACAACTTCACATAAATGTAGATTCTCAAAATGATAATGGTCATGTAAATGTTCTTCAGTTATAAGTATATATGTAATTTTGTGTGCTACAAATTGGTTTCTAACAGATCTCTTCCATTAGAAACTCTCTACATTCATTAGGATGACTCATGAAATATTTTCTGTACTTTGTTAAAAAGTTTTAAAAATAATCTCAAATTAAAATGATTTATTTACTTTTAAAAACTCATGAGTTATGCTTGTATAGCAACCTAAAGGTTTTTTATGATATCCCATGATGTTATTACAAAACATTAGGTTTTAATAAATAAAGGTCCACCTTTATTTTTCACTATGCATAGAGATATTTATGATAAAATGAGTTACTTATGACCTCTTCCTTCCAAATAGGGAAAAACTACATAATGATATGCTTTGTTCACATATATATTAAATTCTTTTTATTCTATTTGACTCTTTGATGCATCTCATACATAGGTCAGGCACCTGAAAGACAGCAAGTATGAACAATATCAGTAGAAACTTAGTCATTTAGAAATTGATACCTAGAGATCTTGTTTTATAATGCTCTTTTCTGGTCAGGAAAAATAAATGTTACTCTATAAGATAACTTTTGTTAAGTCTTTACTAGCTTATTTAAAATATAGTAATGGGTTTTCATTTTTAAAAGTCTCAGTTAAATAAGGCAAGAATTTCATAATCTGAGAAAGGAATAAAGCCATTAGTGAACAAATATCTGTCCACAGCTTTTAGTAAAGAGAAAAATATGTAACCTTTTGTGCCATTCACTAGAGCAGATTTGTGCCATCAGTACAGATGTGAGTAAAAACTCAGCTTTCTCTTAAAGCCTCAATTCCTTGAAGTTTTATCATCCCAAGGGAAATGAAAGAGTTGTCTGTATGAATTTGCATGTGTCTTACCTTAAGGTTGTAGTAAGGCATATTGAATATACTGGTAGGACATTGAGATTTTACTGTGGGTAGAAAAAAAGAAGAATGCAAATTAAAGTAGCAATGGTTTATTCACAAATTAAAGAAACAAATTGTTCCCCTGGGTGCTTCCTTAATTGATGAAGAGTAAATAAGTAGGACACTGTTAACTAGACCAGCAGAGTGGGGCAGGCATATCTCTCAGGACTGGGGTTAGAACCTCAGGCTTTCTAAGTGTGAGGGATTTGTAAATGAAGCTACTTTGTTACTGTCAGAATTAATATGTGGATAAAAATCTATGTTTTCAAAGCTCTTACAGCATTGTTTTGTATTCTTTATTTTTAAAAGTAGTTTTATGTTATTTTTGTACTATTAACATTCTACACTTATGACATTTCAGCCCCCTCACTACCGACACCGAACAATAGAACTGCTTCAATTAAGAAACAGAACATCAGCCCCTGGCATCTTATTCTGTTGTTCCATCTTTTTTTGCTAGGGAGAATTCATTTGTTTCTTAATTAAGAAAAACACCAATAGCATGAAAAATCTGCTTATGGTACCTGAATGGTAATTAGGCAAAAGGTAAAAAAGAAACATGCACATACATTCCAATAGCAGCCAAAATGAACTGGAGCTGATAAAAATGAACTACACTACCCTTGCATAAATGGAGGCTGAGAGAAGTGTACAGTCATTATGGCTAAGACAATATGCAAACTATCTTCAAAGAAATCAAATTGCTAGAGTGTTTTCATTTGCATGTATTAACTATTAACATAATGAGGAGAAGTGACATTGGACCCGGATTGTGTGTCTGTTCGGATTGATAATTCGACTGCATCTGCAAACAGACGCCCAAAAATCATGCTAGTAGTTAGATCAGAGTTGAACTCTGCAATGTGGGCTAAAACAAAATCTAGAGTTTGACAAACCTGCTGAGCTACTGAATGGTGAATGGTTGACATCTCTCTCATTCACGTTGTGTCTCATTCATATTCTCTCTCTCGCTCTGCTTTAATTTAATTTTTAAAAACAATATTCTTTTAGTCCAAAAACTTACTTTGAGCTTTAAAGCAGCAAAATTGCCCTTTGGAACTTCTTTGTTTTCGTTAGTGCGAGAATATAAGAATTGATGCCATAAAGGAGATCTTAAGGAATCATAGGGTTAACTTAAGGTCTGTTGTTACAGGATTTGAAAATATTGTATTTTCGTTTATTTCCAGCAAATATAAATCTAGGAATAAAGGAAACTGGCATTTATTGAGCTTCTCTTATGTGGAATGCACTGTACAAAGTGTTTTTCATGAAAGAAAATGGAAGGAGTCGTTGAGAAAAATGAAGGAGCCATTGCAATGAGAAACACCTCTAGCCTTTTAGATAACCTCGATGTTATCTAGACTCACTGAGCTTCTGGCTCTTAGTTTTTTCTCACCTGTAAAATGGGCCAGTATAACTACATTTGTGTTTCCTATTCTAAAAATCTTTGAGGTCAGTAGCCAATTTCAATGTTCTTAAAAGCCTTGGGGAAATTGGAAAATCATCACTCAGAAACGTACCCATAACAACAAAAATGCCTTATTTATTTAGGAGTCATGGGATTTATCACACAATCAGATTACATTTGCTATTCCATGCTGGTAAGAAACTCTGGCAATCATATACATTTTTGACTAATTTTAAGAAGATAAATCTGAAATACATTTCTTGATTGTAGAATTCCTACTTTTAATGTCCCTGAAAATCAGAATATAGCTTACTTTAAAAGCAATAAATCCATTTAATGTAGTTTTCTTTTTTTGTAAAAAGTATTGATGTGTCTTGTTAATGATGGAGACTTCTAATTAATAAATTTATTTTGTATAGTTTTATTTATATTAACAAGTACATATTTTGATCTTTCTTTGAATCTACCTGGCACTGTTCTATGTACAGAAGTCAGTGGTGCACTAGGAAGGTAAGATCTCTGCTTTCACAGAACGTACATTCTAGAGGTTGGCAACAGGCAATAAACACAATAACTCAGTGAATGTGCAATGCAATTTCAGATTGGCATAAGTATACGAAGAAAATAAAATAGGGTAACGTGACAAAGAGTAACTGTTGGGACTGCCTGACAATGATCTGTTAGACACAAATTTCCTAGACTTAATGCTGTTGATGGGAGACATAAATTAATATCTTTCTTTGAAAAATGGAGAGGAACCACTGTCAAGGGTGAGGGGACAAATGTCCCCTAGAGACTCTCATCTACCCCATCCCCTAATGGCCCAGCTGAACCATATTACCTTTTGAATGGTGTAAAGCCAGGAAAAAAGCAGATGTGTCAGAAATGGAGTTAAGTTGGGATAATGTAGTTACTAAGGTAGGTATAGAACATACCCTCGTGGGGCTTCCACTCTCTAAAAGATGCACAAATCCGTCCAAAATAATTATATTGGCTCTCAGGAAACTCAGTCCAATGCACTTTGATTTTTCAGACATGTCATTTATTTATATGATATTTGCATTTTCAACAAATGGAGAACAACGCAATTGCACTGACAATGACATGATTCTGTCCATATTATGGGAGTGAATTTCTATCACAAAATATTGCATTATGATATTATACAATATATGTAATATTAACAATGTAATACTTTATTATAATACAATAACATTAAAAATATATACTATTACTGTAAGGTAACAATGCAATATATATTATGCATGTGGCAATACAGTATGTATGTTACTGTAATGTTAACAATATAACATTATTGTTGATATATGCAATATTAACACAGTTGATATATCCTCATTTTATATATATATGTATTTCCCTGAATGAAAATTTGTGACTGATTAGATTAAGTGATAAGTACTGGCAATTTTTATTGACTTTCAATACTACTGTTGTAGTAGCAGTTGGTGAAACTTTTAGGGTTGAAGCCATGTTACTTCCCTTTTAACTTCATTTTAGATAACATGTATCACTGCTAATATCCTTGGATATATGTGACCTTAGAACCCTGTGGAGATTCTTGGGAACCTGTGGTGAACACAAAGCATCTAGAACATTCTGAAATGTTATAGTTTTGTACTCCAAGCTAAAAGTTCATTGGGCTTTTGTGGAATAATTTATTCACAGGTTGTTCATCTGGAGATGGCTAAGTTAAATGCCTGGGCATTTGCTAGTATTAGTGAATGTAAACCTCTGCTCAGGGAGAACGTGAGTTGGGCATAAAAGCAAAACTCCAGTTGCATAAAGGATTTTGATACTTCTGAAGATTTCTAATATGTGTCTTCTCAGATAGGAATAGATGAGTTGACAGTACTCTTTGAAGACATCTCTACACTTAATAATGCCTTATTGCTCTCTTTTCATGAATATGGAGATTATAAAGAAACCTGTTTCATATTTAAGTGATAAGTTAACCTTTCTGCCACATATGTTGGTTATAATGTCAAAATCTCCTTTGAGAAAGTCAAGTTGATGAGCTGTGCTGAATCATTCATTCAGATTCAGCCCACAAGGATTAAGAGGTGAAAGCAGGTATTGTCATATTCTCATAGAAATTACCTAAGAATTAGTTAGCACAGTTGCTCTAGGAGAACTCTTGAAGAATCCTTCTCTTGATGGAAGGGCACAACTGAGCACAAACTGGGTAATTTGAAATAAAAAGACTCAGAGCAGACGGATTCAAGAGGAATGTGTGAGACATTCGGATGCTCACTAACATTAATGGGACATTAATATTTTCACTTGGATTTGCCTATTTATCTAAAGAAAAGAAAATAAGCTATATAAGACAGCCACAGAGAAAAGACCAAAGAAACTCATAGAGGGGAATGCAAGTTCTTAACTTATATTTACTTTAAATTGAAAACAACAAAATTCTCCTAAAACAAAGCAAAAGAGAAAATATAAGAAAAAAAGAAAAGAAAAAATAAAACTTGCTTTCCCTTACCAATTACAATTTTGTTGATTCTGTTTGAAAGAAAAACATCTAATTTCACTTTTACAAACTATTATTTGTTTTTCTGGATATGAAAATAGCAACATATGACATAATAGATCTCTAGGTTTCTTAGTAAACTCTGTCCAATGCCTGTCATACTAAACTCCTAGGTCTGGCACATAAAACCAAAAAAAATAATAATAAGTATAACAATCTTCTGGAGGCAGACTCAAGTGCTTAAGGCTGAGAGGGGACATACTACATGCCTGAAAACATTGAGTTATTTTTATTTAAATGGCTTTTACTATGGTTCAGTGGGAAACATGAATTAACAAGATCAGGTTGCAAAGCTCTGTGTAGGCTGGAATGATACCCTAAAACTGTTGGTGAACATTTAATAACAATATAGATTTTGGTTTAAAAAATCAACTTTATTAAGTACAGGATGGGAAAATGAACTTTATTTGCTGCTAAAATGAAAACTTCATAGGTGTTTTAGTTAACTGAGTCTTCAGTGGAAGTTGCATTCCAGAACCATTCTGCAATGTTCAACAATTGACAGGAGTCCTGCTGTACTTTGTACTGGCCAGTCACATCTTGGGTATTGTGTTCAATGTCATATCCTCCTTAAAACTCAAGTATGTCTGGAGGTGAACCCCCAGGATAACAGTCAGGCAGTAGCTGAAGGAATTGGGAATGTTTAATAGGAGAAGAAAATTCTGGGTTTTTTAATGAGAGCTATATTCGGATATCTGGAGAACTCCTATAGAAAAGGAATTAGCTTTCTTCCTTGTAGGTCAGAAGGAAATAATTCCAGAGGGTGCTCTGGGTCTACATTCTACTCACTGAAAGCACTTTTGAGCTCAGCATCAGTAAAATAGCTAGAGCTGTTCAAAATGGCCCAGCCTTCTTTGAGGATAGAAGACTACCTTGTCACTGGAAGCATGGAAGCGAAGGTTTGCCTGGTTAACCACTTGCTACATTTATTATTTAGTAGATCCTTGGAATATAGGAAGTAATGGCAATTAGAAAGTTGGGGTAAAACAGGAGTAGGTTTCTGAGTGATTTAATATTCTAGATGGGCCCCAGAATGTTTTAAGTTTCTTTCATTCAGTTCAATTTTAGAAGGATTTAGTTGGTACCTATTGTATTAGTCCATTTTCACATTGACATACCTGAGACTGGGTAATTTATAAAGAAAAGGAGGTTTAATGGACTCACAGTTCCACATGGCTGGAGAGGCCTCACAATCATGGCAGAAGATGAAGGAAGAGTAAAGGGATTTCTTACATGCAGTGGGCAAGAAGAGGACTTGTGCAAGGGAACTCCTCTTTATACATCTATCAGATCTCATGAGACGTATTCACTATCACGAGAACAGTACAGGAAAGACCCGCCCCCATGATCCAATTACCTCTCACTGTGTCTGGCCCACAACTCATGGGAATTGTCAGAGCTACAGTTCAAAATGAGATTTGGGTGGGGACACAGCCAAACCATATCACCTATCAAATCCTTATTATCATTATTGTATAAGCAACAACCAAATCTTCTGGAAGCTAAACAAGCTGTCAGAACTCTCAAAGCCTTGGGAGGGGCTCAAGCAGTACGTTCAGCTGGTCTTATATTTTTACAAAATATGCAAAATTAAAATATTTTAGCTGCAATTTTTTAGGACTGCTAATTCTTCCCACTTTGACATTCCTTCTGCCACAATTCAGAATGACCACAGGCATTATTAGGTTCTTGGGAATATAATAGTCTGATTTTTAACATTTGTAATTTACTGAGATTTCTCTACATCGATATTTATTTTTATACACAGTATGTGTTTGTAATTTTGTATTCTCCTGTTATAGAGGGTCCCTAGTTGTATAAGCTTCAGATCCCACAATACCTGGGTCTATTTCTGTGTGCCCCCTTCATTTATATCTATATATACACATATATATGTGTGTGTGTATACATATATGTATATATAACATTTATATATATGCTATGATTCTAAATACCTCAAAGAGAAAGATGAATAAGCCATTGTCCTTTATATCAAGTTATGGACAATGTAATGGAGGAAGCTGAGGAGTTTTATTATGAATTCAATGATTTAGTTGAAGAAATCATTAAAACTAATATACAATACAATATTTTTACAACTTTATATGCGTGGACATTTTTAATGTTGAATAAGAAATAATTAAACAACAATAAGAAAGTTAAGACCAACAGTGACACTGAGCACTCAAATCCAAGAAGATCATATTCTTGAATTATAATCTAATAAATGTGTATATTATTCCTATGGCAAAGGTAAAAAGGCTGTGTAATTGTGTACATCTTATTGATTAGACAAGTAATGTATATATGAGGATGTCAATACACTTTTATATTTTAGTGATAAAACTGCCTTGACATCATAAGTAAGCTCATTTTGGTATCAAATCCGGTGAAGCCAGCTGACAAATTTTGAGGATCTTAACAGAAGAATTTTTCCCCTATCATAAATCAGTAATAATAGGTTACCGAATACTATACTTTCAGACAATCTGGAGCTTTTTCAGCATCTTTGACAAACTTCTTAGTCTTGTGCATCTTTTTGCCAAAGTTCAATTTTGTTCTTGTTTCCATCTTTTGGAAGGCAGAGATGTGGAGCATGATTCTGCGCTGACATATCTAGCTTATTCGTGATGTTCTTTTTTTTTTTTTTTTTTTTTTTTAAGTCCTGTGTTTCTAAGCTAACACAATCAAGAGGTGTGCCATGATTGTGATTTCCCTTGCACAGCAGCATCATTTCTACCATCAAGGGAAGTTCATGCTTCCTTAAACGTATGGAAGCTCTTTCAGGTACTTGGCTAGCTAGCAGGTGATCTTTTCATAAATGTTATGGAAAAGACTAGTTGAAGAGGAAGACATACTGTTCAGCTTGTTCAGACACAGCTGTTCAGATCAAATCTAGTTCTCTTTATGTGTCTCTATTGTTAAGATTGATGTAGTAGAGAAATTGGGAATACAAATGTTCTGTAATAAGATTGTTATAATCCCAGAATGAATTGTATATTTAAGCACATAGACCTGTTTCTAACTCTCAAATAGGATTTTGTGATTCCATTTTTTTCCTAGAATGTACCATTATATTTTCCCACTTATATTTAAAAATCAATTTCATTATTATACTTACATACAATGTTTCTAAATATTATTTTCCTCTGATTTGAATGTTTTTTTCAATAAATGTTTGCCATGCAAATACAATGTATCTGAAATTGACAAGTATTTGAATGATTTTTCTTGAACTTAAAAATAAGGAAAGAAAAACATACAGGTGTTATGGCATAGACATTGAAGTAGATAAATGGATAGATTTAGTTCTTGGGCCGGCACAGTTGCTCACACCTGTAATTCCAGCACTTTGGGAGGCTGTGGCAGGTGGATCAGCTGAGTTCAGGAGTTCGAGAGCAGCCTAACCAACATGGAGAAACCTCTTCCTACTAAAAATACAAAATTAGCCGGGCGTGGTGGTGCATGACTGTAATCCCAGCTACTGAGGAGGCTGAGGCAGGAGAATCGCTTGAACCCGGGAGGCGGAGGTTGCAGTGAGCCGAGATCACGCCATTGCACTCCAGCCTGGGCAATAAGAGCGAAACTCCATCTCAAAAAAAAAAAAAAATAAATAAATAATAAAATAAGAGATTTAGTTTTGGCATACTTGTTTTAAGCATTACATATGTAATTAAACTTAATAGGAGGAGAATAAACATTTATTTCCTTCATTCAGAAGATTTCCTGGGAAACAGTGAGATGCAGTTATGACAGATATATGTGTGCAATACATATTACTTCTGGAAAAGGAAGGAAAACTTTCATTGAGAGCCTTCCTATGTGCTAAGGACTCTGTTAGGCACTTTATAAGCATTTAACTTAATTTTCTTACATTATTTACCTGCATTATCCTTTTATGTAGGACAGGGATAATTAGTTCCATTTTGGAGACATTGTTTTGGGCCACACTGCAATTGACAGCCAATATTTGGAATGGGTTAAGGGGTTTTTTTTCATAGCTCCATTTTGTCAGTGAAAGGGCTTCTGCTGCAAAATGACAGGATCCAACGATGAATAAGATGAGATCACGTAGGTGGAGATGGCTACAAATAGCTCTGGCACATTAGCACTCAGTAAATGCTAGTCAGTTTTGAATCATGGGTCCAATTCTCACATGGCTGTCTTACAGTCTAAGGAAACCAGATGTAGCCATAGGTACAATGCAGAATGAAGTGTCAGGAGAACAGCACAGATAGATTTAAAGAAGGATCCATGCAGATTAAAGTTTGGCCTTTAGTTCTCTTATTTGAGAAAGTATATTATTGGAACTTTAAACAATTTTGAATGATGTAACACCCCCCACCCCGCCCCCCAAAACCCTTAGGTGTCAGATAGAAAAACGTATTGAAGGCACTTTTTATATACTTTTCAGAAAGTATTCAATCTAAGCGTGATTATTCTTTTAACATTAAAAATTCAATTTACTGATTGCAAATTAAAAGCCTATATGAAACATAAAACTTCCAGTCATTGATGTCAATAAAAACCTTATTTTTTTCATAGCTTGTGAGATTTAGCTTAGGGTTGGTATAGTCTTACAAAGTTGCTTTACTTTTACTCTATGGAGTTAATAAGATATATCCATAAACCTTAATGTGAAAAATAAATGCATATTCAGTATGAAATGTGTGAAAACTCAGACAAAGCCCCAGTTCAGTGTACTCTGTTCCTCCTGACACCAAGAGGTTATGTTTCAAATAGGACTACTAAAGGTTTTAACATCTAGTAGTATGAAGCAGGTACAGAAAAGAGTGAATGACATGCCAAGCCAGCAGTGACACACACAACCCCAAGGTGGCATGTGACATACCTTTACTTCATTTACAGACATGGCATATGTCAGAGTGCTTGGCCCTACCGCACAGTTGGTTTGAGCAATTTCCATTCCATTATGTTTTCTTACAGCTTCTGTTTTATGCCCCCTCCAGCTTATTCAAGTGTTTAAATTTCAAATTAGTTGCTTGTCTTTATCATTCATTTTTGGATTAGAGAAACATATTATAGCCGTTGGACATGTTTACCATATTAAAAATAATAACAAAGAAAACAAAAATGATAACCACCGCTCCCCACCCCCGACATACTCAAGGCTTTAAAGGTTGTGTTGAAATCACAGGCTATTCCAAGAAATCACCTTAATCCAGTGTGATTGACCAACTTTTCCTATCCAGCTTGAGGACATTGAGAATACATTTGTGTGTGTGTGAGTGTAATGTTTTAAATGTTGGGACAAAATCGACTGATAGAAGCAAGTTCTAACAGTTATTTCTTTGCTTGACCATTTTGTTGGTTCTTTGAGCCTCTCACAGGTTGCATCATAGTCTATGTGGATAGATGAAGAATCATGTAGTAAGGACCAAGGAAATGGTGACAAATAACAGAAAGTAGTGTTGGTTATATTTATGTAATGCTGACTATTCCATGCTTTGCATTTGCAGGTATGATTTTCTTTAAAGTCATTTGTATAAGAAGCAGAGACTTACAATCTACCATTCTAAAATTTGAATTGCTTTTCTAGAAATTAAGTAGAGGGGCTCTGTGTTATCTCTGTAGTGTCTCATCATGTGACACACATCAGGTTTTCGTAATGGCTAGCTGGGATCCAAATGCCAATGTGTTTGTTTCTCTATGGGTTTTGCTGTAAAATCAAAGTGAAAGCCTATTGATTATATTGCTGTTTTCCCAATAGTTTATTGTCTTACTTATAAGAAATGTGTCTCACTTATAAGAAATGTAAAGAAGAAAAGTATATTAATAGCTAAAGTGTGCTGTGACTACAGGAAACTCAGGAATTCGAATTTACCATTGATGTTTTTGCATTTTACCTCCTGTCCACTTCTTTCAAGGGAGGGACAGGGGGCAGGTATAGCAGTAAACCAATAAAAGTCTTATTAGATGATTGACATATTAGATAATTCATTTAAAAATAGAAAGTCAACATTCCCTTTTGTAATTAGAGAAAAAGACAACTAGGATTGAAATTTCATTTATGAGTTTGAAATCTGGAATTGTTTGATTTTATTTGCAAATGATTATGAGGTTGAACAGCACACACCGTACTCGACTCTCTGTTGTGAATTCCCATATGATCAGCATAGATAATGGAATATTTCATTTTCTACTTAAAAATCATTTCCAAAATGTTTGTAAATATTTGTTTCTCAGGGATCCATTTATCTTCTTCAGTTCCAAAGAACTGTTGTGGGGTTACAGAAAAAGATGATAAATGAGCCCAAGGAGCCTGGGTTTAAATTGTCCCGCTACAGGTTTTACTATTATTTGGTAGACATGCAAAATCTGTGAATGCATTAATATTAACTGATTAGGTTCTGGATTTTTTTAAGGCCAGAATTCTGAAATGAGAATAAATCAGTCATGAAGCTATTCGGGCTTGTATTTATCCACAGTTAGATCCATATGAAAATTCAATATAACAAGAAAGAAAAATGGCTGGAAGACATTCCTTCTCAAAGGAATGGCCTGGACTTCAGCCGCCTAATTCCCATTCAGTTCTGAGGGCCCGAGTAATGTGGTCTGTAATTGTATACAAACCTTATAACAAAGAAAGTGACAACAAAACCCATCTGCTCTTAGGTATCCTTGTACACAATACAAGGTATAACCTGGAATGAGCCATAGGGTATTTTGATTAATTGAGCTTAACTGATGGGTATCCAGTAACTCTGTTTTACTAAAACCTTTGTTGAAATTCTCAGTGAAGGGTTTACATTCACTTTTAGGTCAACGTAATGAAACTTAAGATGATTTAAGACCTTCTAGAAACTCTGCATCATGATTCTAAATCATAAAGTTCATTGCATACGTTGTGTAGCTCCAGAGATGAAGATATGGGAGATGTAGATGTATTTGATGTGTACTGACCCCAATTTCTTACAAAAGCAATATAAACAAAAAATACATCTAACTACCATGATATATCACTTGTTTTTCTATATTTTTATGTAATATACATGTAATCATAGTATAGATATAATTTCATTGTGATTATAACTGGAAATATTTTTCATCTTTCTACATGGCCTTCTTGACTTTCATTTTGTATTCCTGCTCTGTAGTCTCTCAGTTGATTTGTTATAATTTATTTAAACATTATACTATAAGGCACTTGAATAGCTTCCAATTTTTGTAACTAACACTGAAATGACTCAATTAGTGCAATAGTTTTTTTACGTTTTTAAGGTTTTCTTGAAGGGTAAATTTCAAACAGTAAGATTAGTGGATTAAATGATATATACTTTTTAAGGGGTGATGGTGCAGGAGGAAAGGATAAAGAAAAATATTTTAAATTTGGCATTAGACTTCTAGAGTTCCTACCTCATTAGAAATTCTAGAATATCAAGGTACATTTTGAGCAGGAAGTGATATCATGAAACAATAATTTGCCCAGAGGCTAAAGGCAGCCACCTTCGGAGAGTCTGTTAAAGTGATTCAGGTGTGCAGAAATGATTTCCTTGGCCGTAGGTGGGTTTTGAAAAGGAAAGGAACATGGCAATCTACTCCACATTGAGCACCTGTCCTGGGTGCTCTAAGGTTAAATAAGAGACAGAAAATTCTACTCTAAAGGTTATGAAATACTTGATTAGTGAAAATATTCATAGAATAAATAATCAGATAAATAAAAAGAGAGTAGTGTAGATTGAATCAGATAGGAAGACTGCATAGACTGAATCTTAGGCTGAAAGATGAAGAAAATGAGAGGTTATTGGTAGGAAGAATGCAAAGATGTCTTTCTTAGGATAGGGAGAGAGCAAAGCAGAAAACTTGGTAGGCAATTGTAATTTTGGTGGGGGACACTGAGGAAATGAATAAGGTGTCATCTTAATGGATATTTTAGCATATTAGTATACTCTTTACTTATTCATTGGTTCTTCTATTTATTGGTGACTTTTGGAGGACACAAAAGTGTCATACCTTCCCTGATGTAAAGATTGTCATATTCCATCTTATTTCACAGTTGAACTATATAGTCCTCCTTCAGTATCTGTGGAGAATTGGTTTCAGAACCCCTAGCAGATACTAGATTCCAGATAGAAAATGACATAGTAATGGGCTGGGCGTGGTGGCTCACGCCTGTAATCCTAGCAACTTGGGAGGCTGAGGTGGGTGGATCACTTGAGATCAGGAGTTCGAGACCAGCCTGGCCAACATGGTGAAACCCCATCTCTACTAAAAATACGAAAATTAGTCAGGTGTGGTGGCACATGCTTGTAATCCCAGCTACTGGGGGGGCTGAGGCAGGAGAATCGCTTGAACCTGGGAGACAGAGGTTGCAGTGAGCCGAGATCACACGATTGCACTCCACAGAGTGAGACTCTGTCTCAAAAAAAAAAAAAAGAAAAAAAAGAAAATGACATAGTATTTGCATATAATTTATGCAATCCTCCTGTATACTTTAAATCATTTCTGTATTACTTATGGTACCTAATACAATGTAAATACTATGTAAATAGTTGCTATACTATATTTTAAAATTAGTGTTCTCTTTTATAGTTGCATTATTTCGTGTGTGTGTGTGTGTGTGTGTGTGTGTTTGTGTGTGTGTGTGTATGTAAATATTTCCAATCCATGATTGATTGAATTCTGGGATGTGGAAACCTCAGATAAGGAGGGCTGACTGTACATCAAATTTAACTAGAATTTTTAGGTGCAAATTCAACTTTGTACTTACGTAAAAGATCCTGACTCAGAATCCTTTCATTGGAATCAGAATTGCCATGAGATACATTAACTGGTTCTCCTGATTTGCTTGAGCAGATGAGAATAAGACTCAGAATTTTGCTTTCTGGTTATCCTCCTTTTAATGACTAAATTTGGTTTACAGATAATATTGCTGATTAAAAGTGTAAATGATGAAATCTGGGCTATTCATAGGGAAGAAATAATTCTTTATTCTCTGAACCAAATATATGTTGTTTTTTTTTTAATATTCAAATTCATTGCTGTGAAAAAGATGGGAGGTCATTTTTCCCTTTGGAAAAAAGGCTCTATTTTATATTAAAAGCAAAACTTTCGATATTTAATCAATGGAGAAATTATTTAACTAAAAAGATGGGCATTTTTCTAGGGTCTGGCAGTAGCATCAGCATCCCCTCAGAGCTCGTTAGAAATGCACATTACTGAAGTACATTCCAGACTTGGAGCCAGAATCTTGAGAGGGGCACCCAGGATTCAGGGTTTTAAGATGCCCTGCAAATGGTTGCATGCCGAAATGAGAAAGCCACTAATTTAGAATGAGTTTTTTAAGCTGAGCTTAATTATGGCCAATGGATGCATCACTTCCTAAACTTCATGCATCTTACGTTTGGAACTAAGCCTTGGTTACAAAATATATAGTGTTGTGTTGATTTTGCACATTGTTGGATGGTTTAAATGTTTCTTTATGAAAATGACATTTTAACTTTGAAACCATAGTAGAAACTTATTTTGACAAGTTTTAAATACCGAATTAAAATATCCCTGTTCTTTCATTATATGCTCTAAACTGCTTATTTAATACACAATAACAATATCAATTATAATTTATATGATTACTAGGACATAGTTTTTCTTAACATTCTTCAGTGAATTTTGTTAAAAGTAATAGCATTTATATTAACCCATTAGCCCACATTAATTCAGTATTAATGAAGAACATGATTTTAATTGGAAAAGAGTCCAGAACATCCTCCTTTTTTACATTGTTTTTTCAGTTCTTTTGGCACGACTAAAAGACATCCAGAAGTTCCCATTTTACCGTTTTTTTTTTTTTACCTGTCTTTGACCCTTTTATTATCTGGATCTGCTGATTTGCTCGAGCAGATGAAAATAAGACTCAGAAGTTTGCTTTCTGGTTATCCTTTCTCAGATGTCTCCATAAATATTGCCATGAGAAGCAGAGCCCAAATTGTGGTTCAGATTTTTGTCCTGCATTGTTGTAAGGTGGCTTTTTGCTTACTGAAAAATGTTAACATTTAACATTTAAACCTTATCTGTATGCCTGCCTGCCTGCCTGCCTACCTGCCTGCTTGATTACCAGCTAACCTACCTACCTACCTATTCGTCTATACCAGTCAGTTACAGTGAGAGCAACTCATACAGATTGTTTCACTGTGGAGCACAACATTAGCACATCAATATGTAAAAATAAGATAAATGTGTTGTATAGGCTTTGAGCTAAGTACACAGCTTGAAAACATACTACCTAGAGAATTAAAGTGTTATTAGTTGGGTTTGTGGTTTGAGTCATCCTACTGTCTAAGCAAAAACATAAACCTTCCAACATTATGATGAATAATCTTTTACCTTCCTAACTTTCACCTTTTTCACACTACTTTCTTGGGTATCAGAGGTCTCCTTCCTAGAGACTTCCCTAATGCTTCTGAAGGGATCCCCCCACCCCATACTCTCATACTGCACTGTGCTTGGGTCTCCCTGGCACTCAATTCACTCTGTGTTCTGTTCAGATGTCCCCCTAGTAGAGAGTCCTTTCCTGGTCACCCCATATACGATAGTGCCTCCTTTTGTGTGACTGGTTATCACCATATTCTGATATTTTTTTCAAAGCACTTACCATCAACTGAAATAAGAACACTACACAGGCAAGGATTTTTGTTGTTGTTGTTGTTAGATGTTTTAAACAACCTATGCCCAGGAATCCAGGTAGTCCCTGACACCAAAAAACTATGTAGGTTTAATTTTCTTTTCTCCTTTTCTGGAATGTAAATTCCATTAGAACTGTGACTCTTTTATTTTTTGGCTACATCTCCAGAACTGAATACAGTGCTAGGCAATAGTAGCTAATTAGCAATAGTTAGTGGATAGTTAAATATATAACTGGATAGAAGCAGAAATATATTTTAGTGGGTTAATGCATTTATACTCCTTATTTGCTTCTTATCCATCTTCATATTAACGTTTATCATTAGAACTCCTATGTTAGCAGTCTTCACATTGCCCTTTAGTGTTTGCTTAAAATTTTTTAAAAGGACCGGAGTTTTATTCTAAGTGCTAAATTATGAAAAGTTGTTTGTTTTTAGTTTCTAGTAAGAATTTCACTTGAACTTGTAGTATGTTTTAAAACATCAATAAACTGTGGCTTAATTATACAGGTATCATAAAGAGTTGGATTGTGGCTGTATTCTAAGGAGTATGACCACCCACTTCCTGGATCATCGTTGTCCAGATGTGGTACTCTAAGCAAGCAAATAAAAAAAAGTAAACCTCAGTGGAGAGCACTCATGATAGCTTACTTAAGGAGGCTGCAAACCACTTAAGGATGCTAACTTTTTTACACGAAGAAATGTGATTAAGATATGTTAAACGGAAATCTATACAAACCAGTGAAATTGTTAAAATATTCAAATATGCCGTATTGTAACAAGAAAACACTGCAATGCACTGAAATCAGCAGTAGAACAGCTGTGTTTTAAAGGACAGTACTTTGAATGTCACTTGACAATTTGCTTTCAATTAGAAGTAATTTACAGGAAGATGCCCACAAGCTAATCTTTACAGGATAATTAAGTTCCATTTTCTTTACTTTTAATTAAAAAGCAGAAAAGATTTAGCTGATCCATAAAAAATGTTCTGTTTAAACATTCATCAGACTTCACACTCTTTTTTTGTTATTTGTTGTAGCAGATGTTATCAAAAGTGCAGTCTGCTCTGTTTTAAACCCTGAGTATTTGGAAAGTGAAACATGAGTGGCAGTAGGCATGTATTGGTGAGGTATGATCATTGAACATCTGTATGTTCAAAGAGGATAAAACAGATAACTACTCTTCCATTCCTTAATTGTGTTCTGTCTGATGCATTTAATTTTAGTACAAAACCACACACAGTAAAATGAGAAGCAACGCAATTTTGAGTTTTGAACATTGTATGTAGTAGGATGATATTTTATCATGAGGTCAGGAGATCGAGACCATCTTGGCTAACATGGTGAAACCCTGTCTCTACTAAAAATACAAAAAATTAGCTGGGCATGGTGGCACGCACCTGTGGTCCCACCTACTCGGGAGGCTGAGGCAGGAGAATGGCATGAACCCGGGTGGCGGAGCTTGAAGTGAGCCGAGATGGCGCCACTGCACTCCAGCCTGGGCGACAGAGCAAGACTCTGTCTCAAAAGAAAAAAAAGAAAAACACAAAAAACAGCGGCAACAAAAAATCAAATGTTCTAAAGTTTCTATATTTTCAGATGTAACATGCTATTTTATTGCAATTTTCATAATATAAAAATTGACACTGTTTTTTAACATGAGAATTTATTCACGGAAAATATGAACAATTCAGTGTTGTTGTAAAATCATTTAAAAATTCTTTCTCTGTATTAACAGTTTGTTGCATTCCTACTATGCTTTTATTTGGCAAAATAAAATATATCGCTAAGGATGTTTGAAGTTTTAGTTTTAGAAGTCACTATTGACAAGCTATTTTTATTCTAACTGGTAAGAACTGTCATTTTTCATTCTTATTCTCCTGTCATACTATGCTAAGGAGTTTTGCACTGAAAATTCTTCAGACACAAATTCTTTAATCCTTTCTTATGGTATCTTTTTTTGCTGGCTAATTAATGTGTTCATGTTGGGTAATAGTTTTGTTCTTTTAAATTCTAGAAAATTTCCTACTTGAAAACTTGAAGGAAGTTGGGCCATTATAGAGCTGTGTACCTTAACATTTTACAGTAATAATTCCATTTACTGTGCCTTTTAACAAACAAGCATGCTTTTTAATTTTATGATCGGAGAGTACTTAAAATTTTAAGATGCTGTTAATATTATCTATTTTTACTTGCTTTTGTTTTCTTATTTAATTTCCCTCTGTTGGATGGAAAAGAGGAAATGACAAGAGATTGCTCACAAGCCCATTCATGTATTGCCATTTATATTTGTATATGTAGGGAATATGTCCAAAGGCATTTTGACCAACATAGTTTAGGTGATTCCTAAATAAAAAAAACTACAGTGTGTGTTGCAGCATATTTTATAAATTTCAGGTACGAACTTAATTATAATAATCACAATGCATTCATTTAAATGGAATATGTGTTTGAACATGTAGATGTCATCAGATTTTGTAATGAACTGGTGAAAATGTATGCTTCTTGTACTGAAAGTATAATACTGGGAAAAGATAAAGCACGCCCCATCTCTCTCCTTCCCTCTTTTCTCTCCTGTAATCAACACCTGGTTTGATTACTTCTTTTTGAACTATAAAAGCTATAGAATTATAACTCCTTACATGGAAGTTTTTGTGAAAGGGAATTGTAACAAACACAGTGGTTAAACTTTCCACTTTCAGAATTCCTCCTTTTCTTGTCATCCTGTAATTCAAACTTTCTTTAGTAAAGGATAAAGCAGTTTTGTTATTGTTCGAGAGAGTACAGTGATTTCCCTTTGGCACTTGGTTTTCAAGTTCATGACTGCTTTAGAAGGCCAAGACAGGTTTCTATGTATTTGTGGTGCTTGGGGAAGTTGTCAGCTGACCTCTTCTATGTTCCCATCATCCATGGCACCTAACACATTGGCTTGTACATAGTTGGTCCTAATTAAATATTAATAAATGGCTGACTGGCAATCAATAAAAGTTATACACAGCTCTATTTGATTCATTACACATAGTCAGTGGATTCTTTCCCATTTATTGCTTTTTATTTTGTAAGATCAAAAGGATCTGTAATCTGAGACACTGTAAGCAGTTGTGTTGCTTTTCATCTTCAGGCCTGCACTTCCTATAAAGCCAGATGCTGTGAATATTGACCCTTTTCACAGCTATGCTTAGAAACTGATATATATATACAGTTTGCATGTGCAGAAATAATGTTCTACTTCAAAAGACAGCAAAGAAGTGCCTTTCTGGTCCATATTTAGTTTGTTTTGTTTTCTCTGTAGTTGTTGAGGCTTACTCCTTCCCCCGACAGTTGATGACTATAATGTTTTTAGCATGTATTTCTTTACCCAATCCATTTCTATTTCTTGCCTGCCTTTTCGAGAAGTGGCACCACTCACTGATTTGCCTGTTTTCCTCCTCTTACTGCTTCATCCTGCTTGTAATTTTGCCTTCCTCAAGTCTACCAGGCTGATCTTCTAAAAACAATTAACAGCATGTCATTGCCATTGCTGAAAGTCTGCTATAGCTCTTTATTACCTACTTTATCAAGTCCAATTTGTCTACCCTGTTTTAGGACTTCCCATAATTTGCAATACTTTGCTTTTTGCAAACTATTTCTCCTACTGTCAAGCCCCTGGCTTCTGTTCCGGTGAAGTAGTACTGCTCCCTGGAGACCCCATCTCCCAGCACACACACGTGAGTCCCTGCCTCTTGCCTTTGTTCATATGATGCCCCTGTCTTTTCTCCATCATATAAATCTTTCTGATTGAAAAGGTCCAGTGGAAGTTCCACATCCTTCAAGAGGCTTTTCAGTATTCTCCTAATCCACAGCAATTTTTCCTTTTTATACTTGTTTCACTAATAGTGTCAGACAGTTTGACACATTTTCTGTATTTTTTCTACATATATATTAGCTTTTTCTCCCTATGAAGAATGTAAGCATTTTAAGGACACACATGTACACACAAAGAGTTCTTATGCCTTTTTGCTTTTATGTAAACCTTACATCTCATAGCAATGTGGTAAGCAGATGGTAAGCGTTTACTTCAGGTCTTGTTTGATTTATAAAATCAGACTACAAATTTAAAAACCATAACTAGCTACAGAGATGAATTGGGAGACATTATTGAATATTTTGTCATATATTTATAACAAACTTTTTTTTTCAAAGTCAGTTGGTTTATGTTTCTTCTAGAAAATTTTTTGCCACTTAGAAAAAAATGTATATTCCCTTAAAAAACAATTACCAGTAACCTAAAGATAAATAGAGATAAACCATCAGTTTTTAAGGGCTATCGTTTTCACTTTCAATAACTGACTTTGGAAGTGAACACGTTAGTAAAAGGAAGGACGTGTAAGTCATCCATCTCCTTAACCATAGAATGATGATGCCACCCCTGCCACTGCCTGTTACTGGGTTCATCAGAGCCTTTACATATTTATAATTACCCTTCCATAAATAGTTTGCAACTTGACCATAGCATTTTGCCACTCTATTAGAATGAGGCACAAGGTCCAAGTTAAAAGCAAAATCCTTAATGAATTTAACAAAATTAAGCAAAGAGCTTTAGGTTATAGGAGCAGAGTTAATGGATTCAGCTGTTCTTTACTTTCACTTCAACCAACAAATTCTGCATTCATTTTCCAGATGTGAACCTTGTTAAATTAAAATGGAGTAAAATTAATTTTGTGAAGCTGTTATATCACCCCTGGAGATAATTGGAGATAACCTAGTGTGTCGTAAAACTGGAGCTAGAAAATCAGCATTTATAGGGTTGGTTTCAGTAACTATGTTACAAAGGGATCCCAAGATTCATTTTTTTTTTTTTTCTGAGGTGGAGTCTTGCTCTGTCGCCCAGGCTGGAGTGCAGTGGCATGATCTCAGCTCACCATGCCTGGCCCCAAGGTTTATTTTTAATGCATATTTCTCAACTTTTGCTAGGATTCTTTCATGTGACTTAGTTGTCACTAGAGCTGAATTGTGATGCAGTCCTAGAATGCAGAGGTGGCCAATCCCAGAATCAGAGACAATGATGGCAGTGCTAATCAAAGTGTGGTCAGTGCACGGACCAAAGCTATCAACATGACTTCGAAGCTGGTTAGCAAAGCAGAATGGTGGGATTTGCCTCAGACCCACTGACACAGAATCTCTGTGTGTGGATCCTAGGATGCTGTGGAGTAAGTAACAGGTTCCCCAGGTGAGCCATATAGATGCTGAAGATTAAGAGCTACTTGTTGGCTGGGCGGTGGCTCACTCCTGTAATCCCAGCAGTTTGGGAGGCTGAGGTGGGTGGATCATGAGGTCAAGAGATCGAGACCATCCTGGCCAACATGGTGAAACCCCATCTCTACTAAAAATACAAAAATTAGCTGGGTGTGGTGGTGCGTGCCTGTAGTCCCAGCTACTTGGGAGGCTGAGGCAGGAGAATCACTTGAACCCGGGAGGCAGAGATTACAGTGAGCTGAAATCATGCCACTGCACTCTAGCCTGGTGAAAGAGTGAGACTCCATCTAAAAAGAAAAGAAAAAAGAGCTTGTCTGTGGAACCCCAGAGGTAATTATCAGACAAACTCACTGATATGGTTAGGCTTTGTGTCCCCACCCAAATCCCATTTTGAATTGTAATCCCCAAGTGTTGAGGGGAGAAACTTGGTGGGAGATCATTGGATCATGGGGGCAATTTTCCCCATGCTGTTCTTGTGACAGTGAGTGAACCTGATGGTTTGATAGATGGTAGTTTTCCCCATGCTCGACTTCTCTCTCTCTCTTGCCTGCCACCATGTAAGACATGCCTGCTTCCCCTTCTGCAATGATTGTAAGTTTCCTGAGGCCTTCCCAGCCATGCAGAACTGTGAGTCAATTAAACCTCCTTTCTTTGTAAATTACCCACTCTCGGGTATTTCTTTCTTTTCTTTTTCTTTTTCTTTCTTTTTTTTTTTTTTTGTTGTTGTTTTGAGACAGAGTCTCGCTCTGTCACCCTGGCTGGAGTGCAGTGACATGATCTTGGCTCACTGCAACCTCCATCTCCCAGGTTCAAGTGATTCTCCTGCCTCAGCCTCCGAGTAGCTGGGACTACAGGCACGTGCCACCATGCCTGGCTAATTTTTTGTATTTTTAGTAGAGATGGGGTTTCACCGTGTTAGCCAGGATGGTCTTGATCTCCTGACCTCATGATCCACCCGCCTCAGCCTCCCAGAGTGCTGGGATTACAGGCGTGAGCCACCGCGCCCGGCCCCACTCTGGGGTATTTCTATATAGCAGTATGAGAGTGGACTAAGGCACCCACTCTCAATATTTCAATTGAAAAAACTATATCCAAAGGTTTCTGATCTCTCATCCATCATTATAAAATGCAGACTGACATTTTGAATCCAATTTTTTGTTTCTAATATTGATCATTTTATAAGTTTCATCTGTTTTTCTGAATGAACTGATTCAGCTGAACTGATTAAAATATAAACCAAAAGAGCTAGATCGCTATGATGAGCAAGGGAAAGCCCACAGTCTTCTCTAAGAGTAAATGTATGCCGTACTCAGTTTTATGTCACTTTGACCTAGCAGAGAAGGAAAGCAACTGAAGAGCAACCTTATTCTGGCCCTATTTTGGCACTTAGGTTGGTTTCATTTTGGTACATGGCTCTGTTCTTTCATCATACAGGGAAGTATTTGCAAAATGAGTGAAATTTCAGATTCTTTGAACAATTTCATCAGGCTGTTTTCCTGAAGGACAGAAGTTGTCTCTGTACCGAATTATTATCACTTCCACATATTTAGATAGATGCTAAAAAATAAGGAATATGGAGTTCATTATTAGTTGTAATCTTGGACTTTAAAAAGTATTCAGACATTTCTTGAGATCTTTAACTTTTTTGTTTGTTTGTTTAAAAACTCATTTTTATTTTTACTCACAGTAAAAAATTAAAATAAATACATGATTGAGGAAACAGATGAAAAATGGAATTGCATACTTATCACATTTTTTGGCAGATATAACATAGCTTGTTTAAAAGAATGGGGAACATACTTTTATTTATTTATTTAATATTATTATACTTTAAGTTTTAGGGTACATGCGCACAATGTGCAAGTTAGTTACGTATGTATACGTGTGCCATGCTGGTGCGCTGCACCCACTAACTCATCATCTAGCATTAGGTATATCTCCCAGTGCTATCCCTCCCCCCTCCCCCGACCCCACAACAGTCCCCAGAGTGTGATGTTCCCCTTCCTGTGTCCATGTGTTCCCATTGTTCAATTCCCACCTATGAGTGAGAATATGCGGTGTTTGGTTTTTTGTTCTTGCGATAGTTTACTGAGAATGATGATTTCCAATTTCATCCATGTCCCTACAAAGGACATGAACTCATCATTTTTTATGGCTGCATAGTATTCCATGGTGTATATGTGCCACATTTTCTTAATCCAGTCTATCATTGTTGGACATTTGGGTTGGTTCCAAGTCTTTGCTATTGTGAATAGTGCCGCAGTAAACATAGGTGTGCATGTGTCTTTATAGCAGCATGATTTATAGTCCTTTGAGTATATACCCAGTAATGGGATGGCTGGGTCAAATGGTATTTCTAGTTCTAGATCCCTGAGGAATCGCCACACTGACTTCCACAATGGTTGAACTAGTTTACAGTCCCACCAACAGTGTAAAAGTGTTCCTATTTCTCCACATCCTCTCCAGCACCTGTTGTTTCCTGACTTTTTAATGATTGCCATTCTAACTGGGGTGAGATGGTATCTCATTGTGGTTTTGATTTGCATTTCTCTGATGGCCAGTGACGGTGAGCATTTTTTCATGTGTCTTTTGGCTGCATAAATGTCTTCTTTTGAGAAGTGTCTGTTCATATCCTTTGCCCACTTTTTGATGGGGTTTTGTTTTTTTCTTGTAAATTTGTTTGAGTTCATTGTAGATTCTGGATATTAGCCCTTTGTCAGATGAGTAGGTTGCGAAAATTTTCTCCCATTTTGTAGGTTGCCTGTTCACTCTGATGGTAGTTTCTTTTGCTGTGCAGAAGCTCTTTAGTTTAATTAGATCCCATTTGTCAATTTTGGCTTTTGTTGCCATTGCTTTTGGTGTTTTAGACATGGAGATCTTTAACTTTTTGCCATTTGTTACATATATGTGCTAGTTATTTATTGTTCTCTCTAGTAACATCACCTAAATAATACTATCTAGTGTTATTTAAAAATGTAGATTACATCATCTGTATTTATGTAAATTCTTTTTAAAAAATAAATTTTCAGAATAATGCTTTATGGAAATTGAAGCTTGCATTTAATAGATTCTATATTCAGTCATGTACTACATCATGATGTTTCAGTCAACAATGGGCCACATATATGATGGTGGTCCCATAAGATAATATTACCATATTTTTACTGTACCTTTTTTATGTTTAGGTATGTTTAGATATGCAAATACTTACCATTGTGCTATATTTACCTACACTATTTATATAATAACATGCCGTACAGGTTTTTAGCCTAAGAACAACAGGCTGTAACATGCAGCCTGGGCAGGTTTACTCTATGATGTTACATAACAATGAAATCACCTAACAGTGTATTTCTTAGAACGCATCTCTGTTGTTAAGCCAGGCATGATTGCATGTGAATGTGTGTGTGTATGTGTGCATACTATTTTTTTAAATCCTACGGTATATTATTGAATGTATAAGGATAATATTTGTCTCTATCAATTTAGTCTAGCTTAGATCTGAGACTCAATTATAACTTTCAAGTCATCTAGAAGTAAAATCATATTGCATAGGAGATTCTAAAGCACTTTATTTAGGTAGAGGCAGAATTTGCCCTGCCAAATTTTTTTTCATTATCCTCTTAAGTTATGTAATATTGTGAGGTGACAATAACTATACTGGATCAGGGTAACTGATCTTTATATTGGTGCTACTAAGTTCGTATTTTACAGCTAATACTGATTGTATTGGATTTGTGTTATGTCTGACGCCTACTGAAAAGTTATAATGCCCTAGAGGGTTATTACTATTAGTGATACTGAGATGCTGTGATGATAGCAGGCTCTTCATTTAGAAGACTCAGATTTTAGATTGCTTTGTTTATTGCTGCGTTCTGTTGATTATATTTATTTATTTTTAATTTTATTGACATTACTCAAGTGCCGATTTATATCATAATGCTAGAGTCTTGGAAGGTGAAGAAGGCATACTTATGTTAATAAAACACAGTTCCTTTTCTCAAAATGGTGTTCCCCTGAGTGAATAAATGCGCGGAAAGTCTGAGTGTACACAATATTGGAAGTAGCAGCTTTGTGAACCCGTTTGTAATATTGGCAGTGTTGTGTCATTCAGTTTAAATTTGTTGCATGTTACTGATTGATTGCTAGAATTTTAGTGCAGAATTCCCTTGGTTGGAAATCAGAAGAGTCACACATAGATCAGAGGTCACAAATAAAAGTGTTGTTTTCTTCTAGCATAGCTGTTGATTTTATTATTTAACAATATTTCCTAAGGTAGCCGGCTGTGTTTAGAGGGTGCTAAGACAGCTGGAGTGGGAGAAAGAACCCTTGGCCAATATTTTCCTTTTCACTTGGTTAACTTGGTTACTTTTTAAAGGGATTCATGAAAGTGATCAAGAATGAACGTGTATCCCCACTCACCTTTACATGGGTCAAGGACTTTGCACAAATCGGACTACATGAATATTGCATGTTTCATAAGATAATTCTTAGTACCTCTTTCAAGGTTTTAGGATCTTGATAAAATTTTAAATGATCTTTGTCTCCATTTCATCTATGGATAGTAGTGGTGTCACATATATTTTCTCTGTGGCTTGCTAAATATATATTTAATAGAAAACATTTTTATCTTTCCACTGTGGGTAGCCACACCATGAAATGTACATTTTACAAGATCATTTGCTATGTGACTCTAAGGTGAAAGCATTGCCAAATTATTTTGTTCTGCAATATTTGTGTAACATGTCCTTTGTAAGCTTTAGTTTTTTAATTTTAATGAGGGAAGGAGTGAAGAAAACTAACATGTATTATGTGCCCACCATGTACCAAATATTCTACTACATGCTTTAATTTAGATTATCTCATATTGTCCTCACACTGACACTTCATATTAGACTCAGAGGAATAAAGAATGCGTCTTAGATTCCAACTCAGCTCTGTCCAACTCCCACAACCATAGTATTGCTATTATGGCATGCTGTCTCTTACCATGAGGCCATGTGCTGACACACTGTGGAAGGTGCAATAATAAATGATATGTATTCCTAAGTTTGGGGAAACTTAGGAATGCTAAGTTTGGGGAAACTTAGGAATGGAGCAGGCAGATAGCTTTAGTGAAAACAGGACATAGAAGATACTAAGGAGCTGTGTAAGCCATGAGATCTGAGCATATAGGAAGAAAGATCTATTGTTTAAAATGAATTTTTCCCTCCTTGAATTTTCTAAAATTAACTTAATTTATAAATAGATATTTCTCAGTATGTGGTTTATAGTCTGTCTTATGTACTGCATATTCTTGAAAACTGAGATATAGGTTTTTTTTCTAGAAAAGAAAATTTGTAGAGAAAGAAGAGGAAGATGTGTTGTAGACTACAGCTAGGCATAATCAGCCTCAATTCCTATATAGTGGTCTTAGCTTCAATACAGAATTCTGACACTAAATGGATATTTTTATAGGCATATTGTTTATTCAGAAGTTGGGGAGACTTAAAATGCATGTCTTTCCTGATATATATGAGCTACATTTTACTAAGACAACCTTAATTTTTATAATGTAAATTTTTATAATGCTATAACATACTGTCTGGAAGTAGGAATTGGTTGATTGGGGGAGGGGAGAGCCAATGTAAATCAGAGAAGCAATAATTACTAGGTCAAGAAATAGGGCAATTAAAAAAATAATTCATGGCAAGTAGGAGTGAGATATTTACATTCTGAAATTAATTATGGTACTTTTTATTTAAATTAAAATCAGGAAGAAAAGTTCAGGAAAAAGAGGTTCAGGGAAATTTTATATATATTCATCTCAACTACAAATTAGTAAAGATCTTATATTCAACAAATGTGTCAGAGTCCATTAAAGACATTAGAAAACCCTATTTCATTGTAACTAAACTGCTTGACATTTTAACCTCCAAACTTTTTTATAATCAAATGTAGAGATTGTGTCTGTCTTGATAAGTCTACATATAGTATCCATGCTGCAAGAATACCAAAAAAAAAAAAAAATGGATCCTTAGTTTTACAGGATTGACAAAGATGTCTGTTGGCCAAATCAAGTGTAAGAGTTCCTGTAAAGTCCTCAGATCAACAAATTTTTAAAAAGAAAATCTTTTATGTTCACTTAGACAGCAACCAGCTCGAACGGACAATCCATTTCTTGTGTAGTGCATCCTTAGAAGCTGGCTTTTAACTCTGAAGGTCTATGGTCTTGGTCTTTGGCCTTCTAGGGTACTGATAATTACTGCTCCTACTGCACCTCCCGTTTAGTCCTTCGCTTTCTATTCTTTGGTTCACTCTTCCTTCCTTGTCACTTCCCCATTAAACTTTTCTGTCCTGGGCCCTATTATCTCAACTTGCTCTCAGCCCCAAACTTCCTTATTACTCACTCTGATAAGACCAGCTTGGTTCATAAGTGCTGGTGTAAAGAGGGCCCTGGCCTGTCCTGTCTCATTAGCAACTAGGGTATTTAGCATGCTTTCAGTGTGTTTTTGGTGATCACATAACTCACAGGAAGAAGCTAATATATGGTAATTTTAGATCCACTGATAGGTGAGTGGAAGAGATCATTGGCCTTTCAATTTGCAAGTCTGATCTTTCCTCAGCTTATATTAGAAATCTCATTTGAATTTTGGAATGGTGATATAAAAGACGAGGTTTTAGATTTGAGGACTTAATTGCTGAGAACATGTTTGCTGGAACCAGATAAAACTTCTTCCAGTGGATGGTAAGCCTGTCTTGGGGTAGCAAACTTAAGGAATGAAGTAAATTCCATTATCAGATATTCAATTTCAATATTTAAAATAGGTGATTAAATATGATGCATAATCTCTGGAGTAGTTTGTAAAAGTGACCAACGTAAGTCATGAAATTTGCGGTTAAAAAGAATTCTCTGATACATTTTTAGATATTCATCCAATAAAATCAACAAGCAGCAGTTAGTTAGCATCAGTGGTTTTTGTTTGCTTGTTCATTTAGCAAAATATAATGTGGAAAGCCCCAAAGGAAACCATATTGCTTAGCGGGGGAGAAAAATGATTTCCCTTTTAGTCCAGTCAGAATGGCCTCCCATCAAGACAGACTGACGTGCTCAGCCAGGACCACCTTACTTAGTGGCCTGGACTTGGGCTTCGATATGCAAAACAGACAGAGATTCCTCAGTTTGTTCGGAAATTTGCAAACGTAGGCACTTTTCTAGGGAACAACTTTATTTAATTCCTCCCTTCATTTAGTTTTCCGTGCAATTCAGAATCCTCAGTTTTCAAAAATGATTGATGATTTCCAATGCCCCAGAGAAAATTTCAGCCTCTGTTAAAACTTAGAGTATAAAAGTGTAAAACTTCCCACATCTTTATAAATGTATTGTTTAAATAATTCACTGCTGATGGATTAAGGGTTAAAATCCAAGCACTATTTTTGATATCAAAATGATACTATCATATCTCAAAATGAGTGTTCATGCTAATTCCGAATGCAGAATGACATATTGACTTGTGAACACATTGAATTGAGGTCAGTTGCTTCTTCATTGTGTGTGGAAGTTACGGTATTTTACGTAATTCAATCGATAGGCATTGTCTATGATAGTGAATTACCTCTCTTGGACTTTTCATCTGTACTAGGGTTGTTTTCTTGCTAGGTAGGGAGAAATCCAAGAGTAAAGATTGCTTGATATAGAGGAGAAATCACTGAGGAGGCATCTTTTAACATCTTTTTACTTTTTTAACAAATGAAGTTAATTCTTTATTAAAGAGATACTGCAAAGAGATACTGAATCTTTATTTACATGGAAGATAAGTTGGACAGATGTATCACAAGGAGAATTCTTTTTTTTAATTTTTTTCATTTATTATTATTATTATTTTTTAATTATACTTTAAGTTTTAGGGTACATGTGCACATTGTGCAGGTTAGTTACATATGTATACATGTGCCATGCTGGTGCGCTGCACCCACTAACTCGTCATCTAGCATTAGGTGTATCTCCCAGTGCTATCCCTCCCCCCTCCCCCCACCCCACCATAGTCCCCAGAGTGTGATATTCCCCTTCCTGTGTCCATGTGATCTCATTGTTCAATTCCCACCTATGAGTGAGAATATGCGGTGTTTGGGTTTTTGCCCATGAAGTCCTTGCCCATGCCTATGTCCTGAATGGTAATGCCTAGGTTTTCTTCTAGGGTTTTTATGGTTTTAGGTCTAACATTTAAATCTTTAATCCATCTTGAATTGATTTTTGTATAAGGTGTAAGGAAGGGATCCAGTTTCAGCTTTCTACATATGGCTAGCCAGTTTTCCCAGCACCATTTATTAAATAGGGAATCCTTTCCCCATTGCTTGTTTTTGTCAGGTTTGTCAAAGATCAGATAGTTGTAGGTATGTGGCGTTATTTCTGAGGGCTCTGTTCTGTTCCATTGATCTATATCTCTGTTTTGGTACCAGTACCATGCTGTTTTGGTTACTGTAGCCTTGTATTATAGTTTGAAGTCAGGTAGCGTGATGCCTCCAGCTTTGTTCTTTTGGCTTAGGATTGACTTGGCGATGCGGGCTCTTTTTTGGTTCCATATGAACTTTAAAGTAGTTTTTTCCAATTCTGTGAAGAAAGTCATTGGTAGCTTGATGGGGATGGCATTGAATCTGTAAATTACCTTGGGCAGTATGGCCATTTTCACGATATTGATTCTTCCTACCCATGAGCATGGAATGTTCTTCCATTTGTTTGTATCCTCTTTTATTTCCTTGAGCAGTGGTTTGTAGTTCTCCTTGAAGAGGTCCTTCACATCCCTTGTAAGTTGGATTCCTAGGTATTTTATTCTCTTTGAAGCAATTGTGAATGGGAGTTCACTCATGATTTGGCTCTCTGTTTGTCTGTTGTTGGTGTATAAGAATGCTTGTGATTTTTGTACATTGATTTTGTATCCTGAGACTTTGCTGAAGTTGCTTATCAGCTTAAGGAGATTTTGGGCTGAGACAATGGGGTTTTCTAGATATACAATCATGTCGTCTGCAAACAGGGACAATTTGACTTCCTCTTTTCCTAATTGAATACCCTTTATTTCCTTCTCCTGCCTAATTGCCCTGGCCAGAACTTCCAACACTATGTTGAATAGGAGTGGTGAGAGAGGGCATCCCTGTCTTGTGCCAGTTTTCAAAGGGAATGCTTCCAGTTTTTGCCCATTCAGTATGATATTGGCTGTGGGTTTGTCATAGATAGCTCTTATTATTTTGAAATACGTCCCATCAATACCTAATTTATTGAGAGTTTTTAGCATGAAGCGTTGTTGAATTTTGTCAAAGGCTTTTTCTGCATCTATTTAGATAATCATGTGGTTTTTGTCTTTGGCTCTGTTTATATGCTGGATTACATTTATTGATTTGCGTATATTGAACCAGCCTTGCATCCCAGGGATGAAGCCCACTTGATCATGGTGGATAAGCTTTTTGATGTGCTGCTGGATTCGGTTTGCCAGTATTTTATTGAGGATTTTTGCATCAATGTTCATCAAGGATATTGGTCTAAAATTCTCTTTTTTGGTTGTGTCTCTGCCCAGCTTTGGTATCAGAATGATGCTGGCCTCATAAAATGAGTTAGGGAGGATTCCCTCTTTTTCTATTGATTGGAATAGTTTCAGAAGGAATGGTACCAGTACCACAAGGAGAATTCTTTTAAGGAGATAAGTAATAACTGGTTACTAGTACTTACTATTGATCTTATCTCAGACAATCTCAGGCCCAGTGTGTCTTCCTTGCTGGTTTATTTGCTCTTTGTACTCTTTCCACTTTGAGCCCAATCAGACTGAATTAGCTGTCATAGGCATTCAAAAGTTAAATTAAAACATTGATGCTTAAATCTAAGTATACTTGCTTTATACCAAGCAAATGAGAGAAACAAAGGTTTTTAAATTTTTTTTTCTTAATTTTATTCCTGATTTATTTCATTATGTAACTGAATACTCAAGAATATGGCAAGTTTCTTCCTCCCCAGATCCTTTCCTCTTGACCTCCCTTATGAAAATGACTGTGTTTTGCCCTATTTAGATTATGGAATGTACTGTTTCCCTTTTCCTGGTTTTTGCTCCCAGTATCCATAAATTTCAAGATAGGGGAAAGAGGAGTAGGGGTTGTTGTGTTGGCACAGCCCATCAGAGTGCCTGGTGCATAATAGCTGCTCCAGAAAAATATGTCTCAGCATTATCTAGAGCTTGTCATTTCTGTCATCTTTGCTTAGCTTGAGGTGATGTGCAACTTTGACCTAGGACCTTTTTGAAGTGCATGGCTATGAGTCCCAGTGGTTCTCTTTCATTTGATTTACAAAGTACTTCTCAACATTAACTTTGTAATGAAGGAGCTTTATTCCCAGAAGATATTTTAGCCAGCGGTATACATGTCATGATTTATGACTAGAGCAAATAATAAAATATATAAAACCACACATGAAGGAGCCCATTAGGTTATTTCTAGATAACTTTGCTCCTACATTTAACTGGCTATGTTTTTCCATGTCTATGTCTGATAAATGGATTTATCTCAATATCAGGTTTTCACAAGATTAATAATCCCTCTTTGTTAAGAGGGTCTGTTTGAAATTGAAGACAATTATCCTGACGTGAATTATATAAATATGTGCTAAATATTATTATGTTTTTATACTTTTAAGCATATCTAATATTGTAAGTTTTTGATGGGGTATCATGCAGAAATAGGAGGTGTACTCAGTAGGAAAAAATGGTGAGGCTAAAAATTTTTTTTTAACTTGGGTAATACTATGGTCTCAAAGCTTTAACCTGAATTATTAGTGCATATAAATCCATCTTCTTAATTAAATGGGGCCTTTGGCCATTGAACGCCAGCATATGGACAGAGTTAGTTACTAGATGATGTTATGAGGCTGGCCTGGCCACATAATCCATTAGACGTAGGATTCAGTTATATTAGTAGCAGCAAAATGATTTTTATGGTTGTAACAATCTTCTCTTTGTTCTGTCAGTATCAATTATTTCAGTCCTAATAAAAATCTAAAAAGGGGGTCAGGTTTATGATCTGTGCTTTGGATGGATAATTTGTAACTTTTCTATCCAGTAGGCCAAGAGTTTTTTCTTTTTTTCTTTCTGGAAAGGACCTATACTATGTAGTTTATGTAAACTACTTCATTGTGTGCTTATGGGTGCAGTGAGAGTGATTTCAAGAGCTTATAATGTTAGAAAATTTCACTGAAGAGCATGAATACACATACAAATAATAAATATGAATATAGTAGTATGTATCTATGTGTTTGTGATTATAACAGTGAATATTATGTATTTCTTTTGGGAATTATATCAGTGTTTGTCAATTATGTTTAAGACTTTGGAGGAATAATTTATAGTAATATGTTAAAATGTATGGTAATAAGTGAGAGGAAATCTAGTTACTGGTCCAGGGTCTCAGTCCACCTTTCATATGAAGCACTAGGAAACCACTGAGAAACAACTCATTGAAATGACAGTGCAAAGTAAATCCAGTGCAAAACTGGCATAGCATCATTGGGTGAGGGGGTAAGAAATAGAACCTGTTTCACATGGTTATGCAGAAGACAACAAAAGATAGCATACGTAAATTGCACGATAGCTAAGTACTCAATAAGTATTAGTTCTTTCTAATGGATAGACATTTTTTAAGGGAGGTAACTACCAGTTCAGAATAAGAACTAATTTTCTAGTAATTCTTACCTTTCCCAAATTGTGACGTAATGAAATTTCAGCCTAGAAGTGTTTAGTTAATCATCCTTTAGAGACGTTGTAAAGGGAAAAACATTGAATGGAGGTTGGGCTACATAAACTTTATAAATGACTTTTTAGATATTTTGTCCTATGGGGCAGATGCCCCATCTTAGTGATATGCATTATAATGTGTACAACATGGCTTTATGGAAACCTGAGAATAAAAGGGGCTATTACAGCAGGAGGGACTTCAGCAGCCACAGACTGGTTAAATTAATGGGATTAAGTCAAGAGCAAGTGCACCACAGCTCCTCTTTTGATAAAGACACTTATTGAAGACTTTCTTTGTGTTAAGGAGTGTTGCAAAGTTTTTATATGAATTGTTTTAACTTACAGTGTATGTGCTGTATTTTATGCCTGAGGAAAACAAGGCAGAGAAAGGTGAAGTAATTTGCTCAAAGGAATCTAGCTGGTAATGTACAGATCTGGGATTTGAACGCAACTTATCTAACTCCAAAGCCAAAGCTCTTCATTCCATGTGTTGTGCTGTGTGTACACACAGCAGCAGTTGTCCTCATGAACCTCTGTGATGGATTTTGAAGATGCTGTAATTCGTTGCTAGACGCATCTTTAAAATATTGGGTGCTACTGACTCTGTGATGCTAATTAGGCCTGGCACCTCTGTATGGGTCTGTATTTTGCAGGACATGAAGCCTGAATTCAAGATGTTAGGTAGAACTTTGTTAAATCCTAGAAATGTTAAGCCTCTATTTAATACTTTTGTTTTAATATTCTTGTTTCTCTGTGTGTGTGTGAACCCATATCCACACACAGTGGTATTGCTAGAACATATACTGAGCTGGTCAAACAAAATTGTATAACGAGGAGAAAAAGATAGGAAATTGAGTAATACTCTCTTTTGTCATGTTAGTCCAAAAGCTGAATATTTAAAGAATTTATACTTGCTGATGATGGGCATCTAGAAGGTTAAAGGAGGTAGATCTGTACACTTGGCTTTCCTGAGTTGTAATGTGGTCTGGAAATAATGGAGGGTGGAGATAGTTACATTGTCAGCATCCAAGAACAGAAGGGATTTTAGGAAGAGTTTGTAAACTTAGTGGAAGGAAACCAGATCAAAAGTTATGTAAGAACTGGTTACAGATGTTATCTAAGGGCATAGATTCTTTAGAGCAATCAGAAGGTCATGAAAGTAAACAGATCGAGATATACACTCTCAAGTGGTTATACAAACTCAAATTCAGGAAATTTGTAAATGAACAGGAATTATTAAATTTTAGGTCATGACTGGAGGTATGAAATTAAAATACAAATTATTTGCATATGCTATCAGAGAAAGGTGATACCACCTTATATAAGACTAAAATATGAGACTAGATTAGATTGTTAATTGCATAAAAAATGTTATAAAGGACATTATTAGGATGATTGGCAAAATTTAATCTGTACTGTGTATTACATAATTGTGTTCATCAAAATTAATTGTTCTGAATTAGTGAAATATACTCTGGCTACATAATAGAATGTCGTTTTTCTCAGATGATATATACTGGACTACTTAGGATAAAAGGTCATAGTGCATGCAACTTACATTTCAAATGGTTCACAAAATGATAAAAATAGTGAAATTATTATTATTATTATTATTATTATTATTATTATTATTATTATTTTATTTTTTTTGAGACGGAGTCTTGCTCTGTCACCCAGGCTGGAGTGCAGTGGCGTGATCTCGGCTCACTGCAAGCTCTGCCTGCTGGGTTCACGCCATTCTCCTGCCTCAGCCTCCCAGGTAGCTGGGACTACAGGCACCTGCCAACAGGCCTGGCTAATTTTTTGTATTTTTAGTAGAGACAGGGTTTCACCGTGTTAGCCAGGATGGTCTTGATCTGCTGACTTCGTGATCCACCTGCCTCGGCCTCCCAAAGTGCTGGGATTACAGGCGTGAGCCACCGCGCCCGGCCTATTATTTTTAGTACTGAGAAAGAAGCATACAGAAAATGTGGCAAAATGTTAGCAATTTGTAATTCTAAGCAAAGGGTATGTGCATGTTTATTATTTAGTATTGTAACTTTTGAAGGTTTGAAATATACAAAATAAATTGTAGAAAATAAAAATGTTTCTAACAAGTAAAATAATAATAATATCAATAATAAAAGTAATAATGTTTACTGAGCTTTCTAGGTAAATAAAAGTCTGGTAGATGGAAAAGTATTCAGAGATTGGAGTAACTGCACTAAAATATCATAGTGTCCTAGGGTTGATTTAAACATCTCTATATTAGTGTATACTTAGTAAGAAGAGAAAACTCCTCAAACAGTTTCTTAAAGGGCAGTGAATTTTTCAAATTACCAGAATATGTTTGAGTTATTTAATATTTAATGTAGTCATGTAGAAAGGAAAGAAAATAAGTAGGAAAGGAAAGCTCTTCTAAGTTTTATCCATCAGGACATGCACCGTATTAGGAATTTTAATGGGAAGCAAGGAAAGTTTCACGATAATGATAGGAATAGAGTGGAATTTAATAAATGAAAAAAAGACTTCAGAAAATATAAAGGGAAGTAAGAGAAAAATGTTTTAGGTGGCAATAATATTCAAAATCCATAGATTATCTCCCAGTTCATATGCATAAGGGCACCAAGTGCTCTGACCAGCATGGTTTTAGATATAAGATTTCTTATCTTTAAGGATTTGTAAAACAAGAAGTCCATTACTATTCTTGTTGGCCAGGAGACCTCTTGTTGGCAAATTGCCTTGGTCTTCTATTCTCACTATTCCATCGTGATTGGCGTTTTTCTTATCAGCATTAGATGAAAGCAGAGGATCTAGAAAGAGTCAAAACAACCCATATTTTAATTTTTACTTCCTCAGTTAAGCCAACCATTCACTGAACCTTCATTCACATTTTCACAAGATTCTTCTTTCTCAGCAGGTACATCAAGAAATCATTTTGAGCTCTTAAAACCTGGCATTCCAAGTTCAGTTATTATTTCCTTTCTTCAATTTTATTTTTCTTTCTCTCTATTAAACTTCCATTTAAGGAGTAAGATCGTTTTTTTCTCCTGAAATCTCACGCCATTTCTTAAAGGCATCTGATGGAGAGTAGTCTTAATTTCACAGGAGAGAGCTTCTCTGGGCCTTACAGTCATCATTACAGATTATGTAGGCAGAGTAAAAGAAATCTCACATGAATAAACACAGTGCCTTAAAAATATAAAGAGTGCTAACAAAATGGAAGATAGATTATTCAATTAAATAAATTGCAGAGAAATTAATGCCTAACTGCATATTCAAGCCAGAGAAAAGCTATAACAACAACAACTACAACAAAACTAAATAAATGAGATAAAAACAATAAAGAAAAATGGAAACTATGTTTTTTTAGTACATTAAACTCAAGGAAATGATAAAGGAAAACGCTGTCCCTCTGTCAGATAGGAAAGGAAAGCTCTTAACTGATGACATACAATAGGCAGAGACTTTTAATAAGCATTTTCTTTACCTCTGTCTTCATGCATAAAAGGTCATCTTTGATCCAATCACTGGAATAGCCAACACCTGGGCTGGGAGGGCAGCAAGTCATGATAAAAGAAGGAACGAACTAGATATTGTGTACAAAAAATAAAAGGTTGTTCAAGTGCTGGGGTTGGCAAACTTTAATATATAAATGGAACTCTTTTAAGTATGGGATGTCAATTCTCTTTCCCTTTTGGGTCTTTCTGTTTATATGTCACATATACTATCTCTCAATTCAGTAATATGTAGGTTTTGTATAGGCAGAGCCTAGAGGAAATTAAACATGAGCATGACATGGCCCCAACTCTCAAGAAATCCCCACATAGTAAACTAGTCTTGGGTGAAACTTTTTAATAAAGAAAATGGTATGACGTGATCTAGATATGTAATTATTTATGAAAGATACACAACTTGCTAGATAAATTGCTCATAGTTCCAGAGATACTTACCAATAGTTTTAAGCAACTGTAAGGAAACTATTATGTTACTTAAGTATGAGTTTTAAACTAAGAATTTTTTTTTTTTTGAGACAGGGTCTTGCTATTTCTCCCAGGCTGGAGTTCAGTGGCACATTCACAGCTCACTGCAGCCTCAACTTTCTCCCCCTTCAGCCTCACAAGTAGCTGGGACTACAGGTGCACACCGCCACACCCGGTGCAATTTAAAATTTTTTGTCGAGATGGGATCTCCCTATGTTGCCCAGGCTGTTCTTGAACTCCTGAGCTCAAGCAATCCTCTTGCCTCAGCCTCCCAAATTTTTATTAAATAAAATAATAAAATGGTAGTGTCACAGGTGAGGAGAAGAGGGTGAAGAGACTATAACAAAACTCTGGTTAAGTGGACAAGCATAGGAACATAGGGCAGGTAGCAGGGACATGATGTGGGAAACCACTCAGAGTGGTAACAAGTTAACATCTGGATCAGAGTCCAAGATAACTCCTGGATTTGTCAATATTCTTTGTAGGGTAGCTCCAGTTTATGGGAGTAAAGACAACATTTTTTTTTTTGGGTTCAGAACCTCTAACTTCCATAGGTAAAATGAGGGATCTGTCCAAGACTACTCTGCAGGGACTGTCTGCCCAAACCAAAGCTGTCAAGTCCTAACTTGCTTTTGATTAAGTACTCTGATAATTAAGTATTCATGCTATCTTTGTTTGTATTTGGGGGCAAGGATTTTGGAGATAATAATTTGTGACTATTATTTGATATTTGTCCAATGGACCTAAATTTTTTTTCCCAGTCCATGGCAGCCTGGATAGGAAAAAAACAAAACAAAAACAAAAACAAAACACTTTTTTAGCTCTGAAGCCCAAATCTGAATTTTAGGATGTACCACACTTGAGAAAGGAAAATTATTTTCTAGAAAGGAATCTAACAGGGTCCTTCATTGATGGAAAGAGCCCTAAGACTACCAACTACTTCTATAAGGTAGGAGAGAAAAGGAAAGAGAATCAGGGACAGAAAACAGTTGCCTGGAGCCTCTATCTGCAGGAAAGCTGTTCCTTAGGAAGGGAAAAGATAGGCAAAGGGAGAAAAGGAGAGGGAAGTGGGACCACAGCAGGTGAAGACTCTGGTCTCTTACTAGTGCAGTAGCAAAGAAGGAAGAGAGAATCGCACCTTTCTCTATGACCTTTGTATGCTCAGTGTTCCAACTGCTGGTAACTCTGGCAGAATTGGTGTCCTGGAATATAACCAAGCAGATTAGAACTCCCTTCACCAGTTGAGTAGTGAAGATAGGAGTCTGTAAAGAGGCAGATGAGGCCTTGGTATGCAGATTAGATGTTGTGGGCTTAACTATTTTCTTATATCATTTATCAGTGTCTTTAATGTAGACAAAAGTACAAACTGAAAGAAAATTGGCTTATAATCATAGCTGAGATAAACTTTTTGAGGTCAACGAACATGTTCCTCTGTGGAGTCTACTTCTTGTCCAAGGGTTTGCTGTGGTTTATCTGTTCTTTCTTCTGCAACATTTCCCTGTAAATACAAGATCATTCCAACATGAATAATAATAACAAAGAACTTTATCATCATCTATCACAAAATCCTTTCTTAACCCCATATACCACCCCACTTCTCTATGCCCTATTTAGAGCAAAATGTCTTGAAATTGTTGTCTCTAGTCTTGTTTCTATTCTTTCATTTCCTCTTCTCTCTTCAACTCCATCCCATTCTGGAAAAAGCCCTGAGATTCCTCAGCACTCCCCTAACAGAGCTGTTACTTTTACTAGTGGCCTCCATTTAGACAAATCCAATCTTCACCTCTCTTAACTCCTAGCATCATTCAGCAAAGTTGACTACTCCCTCCTTCTTGAAGCACGTTCTTCTCTTGAGTTTGGTGACATCACACTCTCTTAGTTTTCTTCCCATTTGAATGGCTACTTCTCAGTTTTCTGGATTAATTTCTCCTCTGCTCAATATCTAGACATTGAAGTTCTTCAAGACTCTCTCCTGGACCTTCCTCTCTTGTCAGGCTGTACTCTTTCTCCAGGTGATGAATTTTGATCCTATAGCTGTAAATACCTTCTGTCTCTGAAAGGCTTTAAAATCTTTATTTCCAGACTTGAATTCTCCCTGGACCTTCAGACTCATATTTCCAACTGCCTACACTCTTCACATGGATCTCTAACAAGCATCTCAAATTTAATGTGTCCCAAGAACAACTCTTGGTCATGTGTCTCACAAATCTGTTCCTCTTCAATTGTTTCATCTCAGCCAATTTCATCAACATACATCCAGTTTGTCTAAGTAAAAAAGCTGGGAGTTAGCATTTATTCTGGCTTTTGCATCTTCTCATATCCAATCTATTATAAGTCCTATCTCTAAAAATATCTTCTGAATTCATCTATTTCTGTCCAGTTTTAGTACAGATCATCATCTTCTCTTGCCCAGATTATTGCTGCCTAATGTGGTCTCTCTGAAATTCACTCTTACTCCTTAGAATCCATCCTGGGTATAGCAGATAAAGTAATCTTTTAAAATAATGATACCATGCCACTCACTAGCTTAAAACTTTTCAATTGCTTCCCAATGCAATTAGAATATAATCTGTATTCCTTGTCCTGGCTTTGAAACTTCCTGCTCAGCTCTCTGTCCTCATCTTGTACCATGGTCCTCTCATCTCTGTGCTCTAACCATGTGGCTCTTTCTCAGACATGCCATGTTTATTCCCACTGTTCCCATTGTAGGGCTGTTCACCCTGTCTTGAATGCTCTTCCCCTGGGATTATTGTATGGTCATTCCTTCTTATCACGTAAGTCCCATCTGACATGTCATCTCTTCAAGGAGGGCTTCCCTGACTTACCAGATGAAGTAAACACCTCATCATAGTAGCCTGTTGCCCGATGTTGGTAATCTTCATAGTGCTTACAACATTATAGTTTATTACCATATTTTGCTTAGTTTGTTTATGCAGTTTATTTATCTATTTATTCACTGGTTGTTTTATTTTCTTTGCTTACTATCGCCTCCCTCTAGAATGTAAACCCAAGGAAATAGAGAACTTAGTTCTGAAAGAGGCCTATAAGAGTACCTGTTATATAGTAGTACTCTAGAAACATTTGTTGAATAGAAAAATGAATGACTGGGCTGGGTGTGGTGGCTCATGCCTGTAATCCCAGCACTTTGGGAGGCCGAGGTGGAAGGATCACTTGAGGCCAGGAGTTTGCGACCAGCTTGGCCAACATAGCAAAACCCCGTTTTTCTTAAAAATCCAAAAAAAAAAAAAAAAAAAAAAAAAAGCCAGATGTAGTGGTGCACATCTGTAATCCCAGCTACTCGAGAGGCTGAGGCATGAGGATCGCTTGAACCCAGAAGGTGGAGGTTGCAGTGAGCCGAGATTGCACCACTGCACACCAGCCTGAGTGACAGATCAATACTCTGTCTCAAAAGAAAAATAAAGAAAAATGAACGACTGAATGAATAGATATTTGGATACCTTTTACAGAAATTTTTTAGGTGCACTTCAGACTATATATACTTCCCTCTTAACAACAATTTGATTTCTTTGAAGTTTGAACACCTTGAAGAGTATTCTGTTTCCCTTTCTTTGGATGAGTGTGTAAAAAGTGTGCTTCCCAGTTTCAGTTATGGGAAACTAGGGAAGGATGACTGCTGTGATGGATGTGAAAAGAAGAGGATTCAAATTATTGCCTCAATGCATATTATATGTCACTATGATTTTTTAATTAAAAAAGTATTGCTATCAACTGGGATATTGGATGATATAGCCAAATGAAATTAAGAAAATTAAATGGAAAGAGCCCTACCTTTAGAGTTGGAAGGTGAGCTGCAGAAGACTAAGTAAAACAAGAGCTTTATGGTAATGAATGTGAAGAAGAACTGGGGGTGAACTAAGAATTAGGGAGGCGGGGTCCCCAAGGAACACAGTAGATATCCCTCAGTTTCTATCTGTAATCCTATATTTTAATCCATAGTTAAGACACATTTTTTTCTTATGAAAACTTACGATATTTCCAACCCGGAGCCATCACTCCCTTGTCTGAACTCTCAGAAGGTTTTGCCCCTATCTGTAATGATAACTGCTTTCTTTTAATATTTGTGTACATGCCTTAATCTTTCCTCCTAGGCTGCAAACTCTTTAAGATGAAGCACTGTGTTTTGTTTATTTTAATTGCTCTGTTCCACATAATTTTCTACAAATAGTTGGAGGACGCTCGGTAAATATTTATTTTGTGACCGAATGAATAAATAGCAGACAAGGCTAGATTATGTGAGTATATGTATATTTCTTTTAATAATGAAACTACAAGAGCATCCTCATTATAGAAACAAAAACTGTTGGGGAGGTTTTATTTGATATACCGTGTATGTTTTTAGGTTTAGAGAGGATGGTAGTCTCTCTAAATCTAACAAATGAGATAAAGAAGAAGAAAATAAGATATTTCTGATATTTGCCACTACTCTAGTTGGTTTAAAATTAAGACAGTTTTAAGAAATTTAAGACATTTAATTAATCAAGGATAGGTAGGTATGTAGATAGATAGGTCAGTCAATCAATAGATAGATGATAGGCAGATGGAGTATATTTAGGACCTAAAATTGACATAGATGGTTAGATAGGTAGGTAAATAGGTAGAGATATAGGTAGATACGTAGGTAGATAATTAACGTCTAGGACCTATTTAGATAATTATACTGTTTTCCTGTGAAGATAACAATATGTACTACTTTTGTTTGTGGTTTTAAAATTGAATTTAAATGTTAAAATTTCAAAAAAATTGTTCTTGTTGATTTTTTTAAATAACTTGTTAATTTCTACATTTGGCACAGTTTTTATTTAGTGGCCTAATTTAATTGCTGTGTATTATTACAGTGTGATTTACAAAACTTTATCTTATAACTTTATATCTGCATATGAACATCAAGTTTTAAAACAAATCAAATTCCCACTGATAGCATAAACAATTAAAAAAAACTTCATCAATAATTGGAATGCAATTAGAATTTTTATCCTCTTGAGTTTATATGAGATGCTTGTGGACTTGAGAGGAAATATTTACAACTCATCAGTGAACCAGCAAACCAGTGGCCAAAATTTAATTAAAAGTTTACATTGGTCCGGGCACGGTGGCTCACGCCTGTAATCCCAGCACTTTGGGAGGCCAGGGTGGGCGGATCACCAGAGGTCTGGAGTTTGAGACCAGACTGACCAACATGGTGAAACCCCATGTCTACGAAAAACACAAAATTAACCAGGCGGGGTGGCGGATACCTGTAATCCCAGCTACTTGGGAGGCTGAGGCGAGAGAATTACTTGAACCCGGGAGGTGGAGGTTGTGGTGAGCCGAGATCACGCCATTGCGCTCCAGCCTGGGTAACAAGAGTGAAACTCTGTCTCAAAAAAAAAAAAAAAAAAGTTTACATTGACTGTAAGAACCAAAACTGGCCATGAACACATGGTATAGACCAATATTAATTTTCTTTTTTGACTACTCAGTAAAGTGATGTAATTTTATTTCACAATGTAAAATGAGGAATGAGAAAACTATAGTCCTATCATAGGGCAGAAAATACACTGAGGATGGGGTCTTGATCTTATTCATTATTGTAGTCCTAAGTCCTGAGAGTGCCTGCGCATATAGGAAATACTCATGACAAAATGCTCCGTTATATAGAAATTCAGATGTGATGTGAATGTAGGCTCACTCTCATCTTTCACCTAGTTCCTATTTCGTTAGCTTTCTAACAGTGATATTGAATTTTGATACAGATTTTGACAAAGACTTTCTGTAGTCGAAAGTCAATAGTTATTTGTAGCAGGAGGAAGTGAGTTAGTTGAAATACTTATAGAAATATTTGCTATATTTCTAACACACAGTAATGCCAAAAATATATAAGATGCTGATTATAGCCTACAATATAAGTAAAGTGGAGTTGAGTTCCTGTTTGTGACTCTATTTTACTCTGTAGGAATGATGACCCCACCCACTTTATGCTCATTTTTTATATGTTAAGAAAGAAAGAGAAAGGCAGGTGCTGATATTTGGGGCTGGCCTGGTGGGCTGTGGTGTTCTTCTCTTGAACACTGAATCTCACTCACGATCAACATTACATAAGGACCCTAGGTGATCATAATTGGCTAGACAAAAATGATACTACTACATATGCACACCCGAACTCAGCCAAAGACATAAACATTTTGCAGACCAGAAAATCAACAGATATTTTCTATCGGTATATATATATTATATATATATATATTATATATAACATATATATTATATATATATTATATATATATATTATATATAACATATATATTATATATATATTATATATAACATATATAATATATATATATATTATATATAACATATATATTATATATATATGTTATATATAACATATATAATATATACACATATATGTGTATATATATTATATATGTTATATATAATATATATAATATATAATATATATGTTATATATATTATAATATATATAATATATAATATATATGTTATATATATTATAATATATATAATATATAATATATATGTTATATATATTATAATATATATATTATTATACTTTAAGTTCTGGGATACACGTGGAGAACTTACAGGTTTGTTACATAGGTATACACATGCCGTGATGGTTTGCTGCACCTATCAACCCATCATCTACATTAGGTATTTCTCTTAATGCTATCCCTCCCCTTGCCCCCCACCCCTCAACAGGCCCTGGTGTGTGATATTCCCCTCCCTATGTCCATGTGTTTTCATTGTTCAACTCCCACTTATGAGTGAGAACATGCAGTGTTTGGTTTTCTGTTCCTGTGTTAGTTTGCTGAGAATGATGCTTTCTAGCTTCATCCTTGTCCCTGGATGAAGGTTCATATCCTGCATGAAAGGACATGAACTCATCCTTTTTTCTGGCTGCATAGTATTCCATGGTGTATATGTGCCACATTTTCTTTTTCCAGTTTTTTTGATCACCAATCACAGCTTTAACGTCACTTCATTCTTCTTGATTGATAGTTAAGAATTTTTAAGATACCCAATCAGAGAATTTGAGTAAGATACCCAAACTAGAGAACTCTTTGTTTTTGACAACATCCTATCCAGAGCAAAGTCCTGCTTTTGTGAACTCTCCCCCAAAACACCTAACACAAGTTCAAATCATATAAGTTATGGCAGACACATTCTTACTGAGATTCCCCATAGTTCCCTCATTGCAGTGGGTCAGGAAACACATTTGTCCAATAACAGATCTGATCCAGGTGGTTTTTGACTGAAGGTCTTTAATAATATTAATAGCTTAAAGACTATCAAGTGTGCTAAAATGTAAATGTTTTTGCATATATATATGAATATTTTCCCCAAAGATAGCCTCTGGAAAGCAGCAAAAGTTTGAGCTAGAGAACAACTGAAGCTTCAAGTGTTTACGTAATTGTGGTTTTTTTGATCCACCAATATTACCATTATATGGTACATTTTCATAGACTACTTTTGAAAGACTACACTGTCAACATGATATAGGCTATAAGTTGAAGTTGTAAACATTATTTCTATGGATTGGTAGACTTTCTGTTAAGTGGTTTGCCATAAATTCAAACATATCAATCTGAAGGACTAATAAACCACCACTGAAAGACTTGCTAAAAACAATATATTCAAGATTCAAAATTTATTTGTCCAAAACACCTGCTCCTGACCTCCCACAAGATAAGCTATTTAGAGATGGTTGAAATTTTTATAATATTATACTTTGGATGAATACAGGCTTAATGAGTCATCTGTTATTCTTCCAGTTTGAATAGTTGACAAATTATACTTCTATTATTTCTATCTGGTCAATAGTATGATTTCCTGACACCATCCTTCTGTGTATGCAATGCACTCTAGAGAGTACTTAAGCTTTTTTTTTAAAAATCATAAGTTATTCATTAGATAACCTTACAGGGAATTAAATAATGTTTGCGTTAAAAATTGCAAAACATAGTTAATCCTGTATGTCTAATATGATGTTTTATTGTATTTTCAATATAGATTATTAGGAAATATCAAACTATAGAAGTTTTTTTATTAAACACTTTTGTCAATATTATTTTCTTATTCCATGTTAAAAGTTTACCTTCATTGAGAAGAATATTAAAAATAAAATAGAAAATGTTATTTTACCCTTTACAACACAGTGGTATAAGCGTTTGCATATATACCTACCAGACTTCAAAATGTGAAATGGAAATGAAGACATTCTAGAGAAGTTTTCTAGAATGGGGGAAGAAAGTCTAGCTTCTACATTTGGGGAATGGCTTAAAATATTTGTGATTTTATGATGGAAAGACTAAGTATAGGGGAAGGTTAGACATAACTTACTTGGCAAAGCTTAGTACTTTGGAAATGGGTAGTTCCCCTAAAACCTGACAAAGGAATATTGGAATTTAGAAATAATTATGGGACTTCAAAGAGTATAAAGGAAGTATTAATGGATAATATTTGCACCTCATCTTTGAAGCTTTGGTGACGATGATGACGAGTGGAACATTAAAGGTGTAGAATATAGTAAATGATCTTTGGAAATCTAATATCTAGTTATGGAGATTATGCTGAAACATAATCATATAATTAAGTAGAAATATATATTTAAATGAATAGGTATTTGATGGAAAGGGAAATAGGTGGTTAGGAAGAGAGGAATAAGGGTAGGCTAGAATAGTCAGGAAAAATATCATGCCTGGGGTTGGGCTTTGCCTGAGCTTTAAAGAAAAGACAGGATTGTAAGAGTTGAAGAAAATGCGAAGGACATTTAGGCTGTATGGTCATCAATATATGCTGCTCCTCATCATCAAAGTTAATAAACATATTAGCATACGTTTTCCCCAGGATATTTCACTAAGTACTGTTGGGGATAGAGTAAGCACCTATCCATGAGGCATTTACAGATTGACTGGATGCTTGTTGAATTTACTTAGCAGACCTTTCTAAAGGGCTTCTAGTCATAGAAAGCATACAGAGTTACAGTCAAAAATTGGTCAGCATGACTGTCCAGCAGCCGAATTCTTGGTCCAATGACAAATAAATCTTATGTGGTGTATTATTTTGTTCTTCTGTTTTAATATATTTATGTAAAAAAGAATGTGATTTCAAATAACCCTCTCAGTCCTACTTTTCTCATATCTGAAATAAAGGTGTAAAAGAACTGGATCTTTGAAGGCCCGTGTAGACTTGTAATTGCATAGTTCTTTGTCCTGAGTTTATCAGCATACAACATATAACATGAAAGATTTACCTAATACATCTTAGTCTTAGTGGTCCGGAGTATATGAAAATAGAGTGTTGTTCATATATATTGTTGCATGCTATTTTAGCCTTGTTTACAGCTTAAAAAATAGTTTGAATTGACAATTGGAATAGACCACTTGGAGCTCCTGCTGGATCAGCCAGCACCAAGTTGTGCCCACTATTCAGAATTTTGAAAAAAACAAAGTATCACTATATTAACTCATTTTAAAAAATCTGCATAATGCTTATATTGCTCTTGTCTTCAGTCTTTCCATTTTTCTGTCTTCTTTCAAATCTGCCTAGGTATTAATATAAAGAGAAGAAAGCTTCAAATATGGATCTCATCACACTAGACAACTACAGAATTCCATTAACTGAAGTATGCTTAGGAAATATGCTATAATTAATTTTATGTGGTAGGATATGTTGGAGAATATTAGACCAGTGTTAGCTCACTCACTGTAGACACAATCCCGTGGACACCTTGACTCCTCCATTCCCCATTCTGCCAGCCCTCCACATTCATTGTCTTAGGGATGGAATCACACATCAGAAACACTGAGAGAGAAAAGATTCCAATTCTTGTCTTTTGAGTTGCACAAGCCAAGACCACAGCATACATGAGTTTGTGAAGATATGATGACCCACGCAAAGCTCCCCTCAACTTCGCCACTGAGATAAAAGTAAGAATTCTCCTGATGGAAGAGAAGTGATGATTGCATAAATGACAATCTCTAAAAAGAGTGTGAGTCACCCTTTCTTCCCCTCAGTTAATCCCAGGAGGTGGATTATCCATAGAGTTCCCCAGTAGGCTCATTAATAGGATACCAAATGGGAACTGTGTTTTTTTCTCTGAGGTGGGGTCAGGGAAATCAGTAAGACCACAGAGACAGATGGGCCTAAGGCAGACTCATTGCCTTTCCTGATCCCATCACATTGTGAGAGAAGCAAACTGATCTCCATGTACCCTAGGGTGTGCAATAGTTAGTTGGGAACAAACATTAACCCGTTTGGAGCAAGAGCTTTGACAAGAAGAAAGAGGAAATTCAAAGGAATGCTAAGGGGGACTGATGACACTAAGGACCAGATGCCTTCTCACCGAGCTCCTCTAAGTCCTTCCCATTGTCAGCCACTAAATATGCTCTCTGGAACTTAGACGAAACCCTGAATTGATGAAGTTTCTGTCACCTGGGAAATAGGTTCTTGAAAAATAAATTTAGATATTCAATAATCCATATAACAGCAGAAATGAATACAGTGCTCACTGTGTCCCAAACACTACCCTAAGCACTTTATGTGTAGTGACTAACAAAAGTCTCACACAGTCATATGAGAGAGTTATTGTCATTATTGTCTCTGTTTTATCGATGATTAAACTGAGACCTAGAGAGGTCTTGCCCGATGTTTCACAGCTCAGAAGTTACAAAGCCAGGATTCAAATCTAGGCAGTCTGTAGCAGACTATACGAGACCACTTCTCAAAGAGGTTTAAAATAATAAAACAACACCTCTGGCACAACTGAGCCTGTGGCCCATGTTTTACATGCCTCATGCATATTTTGGAGGAATCTTATGCAAAGTCATCTTTGACATTCGTTTCTGCATGGACTCTGGGCAGGTTGTGAAGGATGCTGCTTATTATATAATACAGAGTGCTTTCTGGAAGACCATGGATGTTATTTCTGTCTATTCTTAGTAGTGGAAATATTTGGGCTTCTCTTGAGCAACTACTTTATTTGTATTTTGTAGAAAAATCAACTATTTCATCTCATTTCTCTGTTTTCATTGGCTGGTATGTAGCTTAGAGACAAACGTCAAGCTAGCTATTGCCAAGTCACTAGAAATTCATGGCCTGTGTTGTGTGTGCTCACTGTACTGCTCTATCCCAACTTTCCCTTTGCTTTGCTTCTTACCTATTTTAATTTACTTTATCTGTCAGTAATGTACGTATCTTAGTGAAACACCTTAAATCCTTTCTGAGAAAGGCAGGTTGTAAATACATGCAAATATTATTTTTCTTTGCTTCCAAACTACATCACTCTTAGATCTCTCTTGGTCAGCAGAAGGACCCCAGCGATTACTTTATAGCAGTAATGTCATTCCTTCATTGGCACATTTTATCCATAGAGGACAGAGAGGATAAGCTGTGAAGGACACAGTGTGCTTCCTATTCCCTCCTCTCTATTCTTGAGCTGAATGTGCAGGGGTGAAAAGAAATGTTGGCACATAGGGAAGAATGGTGTAGTGGCTAAGTATATGGGTTCTGAGGTCAGAACTGGCTTATATTCCAGTTCTGCAGCCCACCTCCATGTGACCTTGAGCAAGTTACTTATCTGTGCCTCAGTTCCCTCATCTATAACACAGAGCTGAAACAGTTACCCCCATTCATGTAGTTATTGTGAATATTAAATAAATTAATGTAAGTAAACATTTACTGTTTTTCAATAGGTGCTCAGTAAAATGGCCAGTAAGTGGGGGCAGGAGGGCTAGAGAATTAGAAAAAGTCTTTTGAACTGTAGTAAAACAAACAGAATATTCTTGATATAACTCATGAAGAGCCCAACCGAAAGTAGGGTATTTTTTAAAGGTAGAGATTGTTTTTGCTATACTTAATATGTGCCTTTTTGTTTTATTCTTCCTGAAGCTAAAGCATACATTTTTAATTTTTTTACATATTCTTTTAAGCATCAGAATTATAAGGTAAGAAAGGATCTATGTTCATGAGCACTGGCCACACTAGTAATCCTGTGTCCGGAATTCGTGGGTTCTTGGTCTCACTGACTTCAAGAATGAAGCCGTGGACCCTCGTGGTGAGTGTTATAGCTCTTAAGGTGGTGTGTCTGGAGTTTGTTCCTTCTGATGTTTGGATGTGTTCAGCCTTCTGGTGGGTTCATGGTCTCGCTGGCTCAGGAGTGAAGCTGCAGACCTTTTCGGTGAGTGTTACAGCTCATAAAGACAGTGTGGACCCAAAAAGTGAGCAGCAGCAAGATTTATTGCACAGAGCGAAAGAACAAAGCTTCCACAATGTGGAAGGGGACCCCAGCAGGTTGCCACTGCTGGCTGGGGCAGCCTGCTTTTAGTCTCTTATCGGGCCCCACCCACATCCTGCTGATTGGTCCATTTTACAGAGAGCTGATTGGTCCGTTTTGACAGGGTGCTGATTGGTGTGTTTACAATCCCTGAGCTAGAACAAGGGGAAGGTGGAGGACAAAAGTTCTCCACGTACCCACTAGATTAGCTAGATACAGAGTGTGGACACAAAAGTTCTCCACGTCCCCACCAGAGTAGGTAGATACAGAGTGTTGATTGGTGCATTCACAAACTCTGAGCTAGACAGAGGGTGCTGATTGGTGTATTTCCAAACCTTGAGCTAGATACAGAGTGCCGATTGGTGTATTTACAATCCCTTAGCTAGACATAAATGTTCTCCGAGTACCCCGCCAGAGTAGCTAGATAGAGAGTGTGGATTGGTGCATTCACAAACCCTGAGCTAGACACAGGGTGCTGACTGGTGTGTTTACAAACCTTGAGCAAGATACAGAGTGCCAATTGCTGTATTTACAATCCCTTAGCTAGACATAAAGGTTCTCCAAGTCCCCACCAGACTCAGGAGCCCAGCTGGCTTCACCCAGTGGATCCCGCATTGGGGCGCAGGTGGAGCTGCCTGCCAGTCTCGTGCTGTGCGCCCGCACTCCTCAGCCCTTGGGTGGTCGATGGGACTGGGCGCCGTAGAGCAGGCGGCAGCGCTCGTCGGGGAGGCTCCGGCTGCGCAGGAGCCCACAGCGTGGGGGAGGCTCAGGCATGGTGGGCTGCAGGTCCCAAGCCCTGCCCCGCCGGGAGGCAGCTAAGGCCCGGCGAGAAGTCCGGCACAGCAGCTGCTGGCCCAGGTGCTAAGCCCCTCACTGCCTAGGGCGGGCGGGGCCGGCTGGCTGGCCGCTCTGAGTGCAGGGCCCGTGGAGCCCACGCCCACCCGGAACTGGCACTGACCCGCAAGCGCTGTGCGCAGCCGCGGTTCCTGCCCGCGCCTCTACTTCCACACCTCCCCGCAAGCTGAGGGAGCCGGCTCCGGCCTCGGCCAGCCCAGGAAGGGGCTCCACCGTGCAGCGGCGGGCTGAAGGGCTCCTCAAGTGCCGCCAAAGTGGGAGCCCAGGCAGAGGAGGACTCGAGAACGAGCAAGGGCTGCGAGCGCTGCCAGCACGCTGTCACCTCTCAATCCCACTCAAACTGTGTTTACAGAGCATCAGAGAAAAAAAGACAACCTGTATTCGCCCTGGAAAAACTAATGTAAGAAATATTTTCTCTTTCAATAATTTTTTCTGATGCAGTAAGAAATTCCCATAAAATGCTTAAGATTTTACTTCCAGTCTTAGAAATATGTGAACCTATAAATATATTTGAGACCACCAAATTAATTCAAGACATCTTTCAAGAAACTATTGAACTGATAAAAGATATGATATGTGATGAATACTCCTGCCCTCAAGGTGGCTAAAAGCTGGTAAAGACAGACATATAACTGAATATTGCATGCCAAAATATGCAAACACATGTGCATATGAATGTGCACACACACACAACTGCAGTACTGTGAAATCAGTGGCAACATAGAGATTTTCATGGGGGAACAACTCATACCATTAGTGACAGTAAAAAAGGAAAGAGAAGAAGAAATGGAGAGAAAAGGGAAAAGGAGATGGGGTTGGGGGAGGGAGAGAGAAAGAGGAGGGAAAAAGAGGGAGAACACACAACATGGGAGACATGATAATAAAAATGACTTGCAGTATAAGTCGTGAAAGATGAGAAGGCATTTGCAGTTGTTAGCATGTGGGTGGGAGGATTCCAGGTTAGAGAATGGAGTCTAAGAGAATAGAAGCCTTCTGGGGGGTGATGGGCATGGCACAGCATGGCAGTCAAAAATGCAGTAAGCTCCGACTACATGCGGGCAGTAGAAAACCACTGAGGAATTCTCGGCATTGGGACAAACATAATGGGATTTACCTTTTAGAAAGGCAGCATTGGAGAATATGTCTTGAAAGGGAGTGAGGATGGAGGAAGAACAGTTGCTGTGGTCCTGGCTTCTGCCAGGTGATTCTCCTGTTTTATTTATTTAGCTCAGGGAAGTTAACAGCTTCCTGCTGTTGCTAATATCCGGGTTGCGTTGCTGTCCTCTTCCAACCTGTGTGCTCAGTTCCCTGAAATAAATTCCCTCTAGTTAAGAACTCAGAACTGTTTCTGTTTGGAGGTTAGACCTTCACTGATACACTGTAGCAATAGTCCAGAGAAGAGGTGTTGATGGCCCTATGAAAAGGAGAGAACGTGCACATACAGAGGAGAGAGCTAATTTAGAAAACAAAACCACAGAATTTGATGACGTGTGTGTGTGTGTGTGTGTGTGTGTGTGTGTGTGTGTGTGTGTGTAGGCATGAGGGGAGAGACGAATAGATACTCTGACCCTTCTGGATGGCCCACTTAACAGAGTGATGTGATTTAAAGAAACAAGCAATGAGGGAAGAGCAAAGGATTGTAGGAGAAGGCCTAAGGCGACCATAGGACACTCAGACATGTCTAGTAAACAGATGGATGTTGGAATCTGTAGCATCCATAATTGAAATCTATTAGCATATAGTAGGAGTTTAACAGTATTTAAGATCTTAGAAGATCACTAGAAAAAGCATATATAATGAAAAGGGACCAATGACACAACTTCATGGAAGCACTCATATAAAGGGTTAAATGGACAAAGAGGAAAATCAGAGGGGGAAATAGTGTCACAAAAGCCGAGACCTTTAGTAAAGATGAATAGTCAAAAAATGCTAGAATGGGTTCATTCTCTATGCCTACTCAGATGTCATTGACCAATTAAGGGTAGATCCAAAGTTGCTTTTTCTCTTCAAAATAACATTCTACTACATTGTTATTCTCATATTACAATGAAGAGATTGGGAACCAGAGAGAGAGAAAATCAGTTTTCTAATTTTACCCAGCTGGTATATGGGGAAACTAGAATTTCAACCCAGCTCTGACTAATTTGTAGAGTCTGTGGTGCTTTGTAAATGGTCATCAATGCGAGGCTAACAAATCTGTATGTATTTATATAGTAACAAGAAAGCTTGAGACAAGGTAAGACGTGATCATAGCTATGTCTGAGAAGAATAATCTAAAAGCAGCATGTAGTGGGGATTTGAAAAGATAGATCCAGGAAAAAGGAAGCGCAGTTATTAGACCTCTAGATAAGGAGAAATGAGAGCCTTCTTTAGGGTGCAGATTTGTCAGATTTAGGAAAAATAACAGTAAAACTCAAAATGCCCATTTACATATGAATTTCTGAATTTTTGGTTTAAGTACGTCCCTTATAATATCTGGTATTTATGTATATTAAAATCATGCTATTTATTTTAAATTTGTATTTAACTAGTCTCATGTATTTTATCTGGTAGCCTAAAGTACTGTAATGTAATTCTGACACTAACAACCTATAGTTTGTGCAGACTCCGTAGGTTGAGGCAAAGACCCCAGTAAGATTGTTCTTGTCAGATACCAATCTCAAACTCAGAGGTTCCCAGGCCAACTGCACTTCTGACTAACAGGCTACAAATTTGGTGTTTCCTATGATTCCCTTAGGTTGATATGATAATTCACTAGATTAATTCACATGACTCAGGAAAAGGGTATACTTATGACAGTACTTTTATTTTAAACAATAAAAAAGCAGAACCTCCTAATGAGACATACCTCCTAAATGAAGACATACGTAGGGCAAGGTCTAGCATGGTTTCGAAGTAGAGCTTTCGTGTATTCTCACAAACTCGGAATGCATCATTCTGGGTGTGCTCACTAACCAGGAAGCTCACCCAAGACTCAGTGTATAGCAGCTTTGTTGGTGTTTCTTTACATAGGCATGATTAATTGACTCTTTGCCAACATGATTGAACTCGATCTCCACTCCCCCGTATCCTCCTCTACAGTGAGGGGCCTACTTTGAAAGACAGAGACATTCCTATCACTTGAGAAATTCCAAGGGCTTTGGATTCCTGTGCAGGACAAAGACCAGACAAATTCTTTATTATACAACACAACCTTAATGTACTCATGGTAATGAAAATGGAGAGACAGATGAGGAAGGAATTATACCAGGGAGGAGTCTAAATTGTTGGTAGTATTAACATTCTAGCTTAAATTGATCATATTTAAATTGATCCTAGATTGGAAATATGTAAGAAACTGCAGACTGATATGAAGGAGATAATATAGGTAATGAGCTAATTTTAGATTCCTGGAGTTGAAGATATTGATGAAACACATGAATGCAGGGTAAAGGTATAAAAATGCATATCTAGGGTTTAGAAGAATCTTCAGAATTATATACTGAGAGTCAAGACTCCATAGCATAAATGTGATTGCTGTGGCTCACATTGCAGACATACCTCATTTTATTGTGCCTCACTTTATTGTGCTATGCAGATATTGCATTTTATACAAATTGAAGTTTTGTGGAGCTATGCAACAAAAGCAAATCTTTCAGTATGGTACCATTTTTCCACCAGTGTGTGCTCACTTCATGTCCCTGTGTCACATTTTGGTAATTCTCACAATGTATTGGACTTTCCCCAGAACTTAAAGTATAATGAATAAATAGTGCATATACCTTAATGTAAAAACAGTTGATTTAACTTAAAATGCTGATGATCATCTGAGACTTCAGCAAGTCATGAATTGATGCTGATGGCTGCTGAGTGATCAGGGTGGTGGCTGCTGAATGTGGAGGTGGCTGTGGTAATTTTTTAAAATAAGACAACGATGAAGTTTGTCACATTGATTAAGTCTTCCAGTCATGAAAGATTTCTCTGTAGCTTGCAATGCTGTTTGATAGTATTTTATCTACTGTAGAACTTTCAGAATTAGAGTCAATCCTCACACACCCTACTTATGCGTCGTCAATAATGTCTATAAAATATTCTAAATCCTTTATCATTTCAACAATTCACAACATGTGTACCAGAAGTAGATTCTATCTCTAGCAACTACTTTTTTGTGCTCATCTTTAAGAAACAAATTCTCATGTGTTAAAGTTTGTCATGAGATTGCAGCAATTCAGTCACATCTTCAGGATCTCCTTTTAATTCTAGTTGTCTTGCTATTTCCAGCCCATCTGTAGTTACTTTCTCAGCTAAAGTCTTGAACTCCTCTAAGTCATCCATAAGAGTTGGAATCAACTTCCTCCAAATTCCTGTTAATGTTAATATTTTGACTTCCTCCCATGAATCATGAATTCTTAATGGCATCTAGAAAGGTAAATCCTTTACAGAAGCTTTTCAGATTACTTTGTTCAGGTCCATCCATCACAGAAATCACTGTCTGTGGCAGCTGTAGCCGTATAAAATGTATTCCTTAATAAGACTTGAAAGTCCAACTTTGCAGAATGGATTTTTGTTACCAGGCATGAAAACAATATAGGTTTCCTTGTACATCTCCATCAGAGCTCTTGGGTGATCAGGTGCACTGTCAATGAGCAGTAATATTTTGAAGGGAATTTTTTTTCTGAGCAGTAGGTCTCAACAGAGGGCTTGAAATACCAATCAGGCTTTGAAGTTAACCCAATCTTTACTCTTCAAAGTTTACCTTTTCTTTCACATAGAAAGGTTAACAAAATGGAATTAAAGTCAGTGCTTTTATCTATTCATTTAAAACTTGTTCTTTAATTATGAAATGGCTTACAACTAGTAATAATAAATTAATCTAGGTAATTATAGTTTTCAAATGGCTGAATGGGAAATACTTGCAGTGTATCTACATAATCTCATGAAGACCATTGATAAAGCCACATCGTAGCACATATACTTGTAAAATGTCACCTTCCTTTGTCTAGTCTCCAACTACAATATGATAAAATTTAACAAATTTGCTAAGTGTCCACTATGTACCAAAACACTTTTCTGAGTATTGTGGGCCGTACAAAAACAACTAACATATAATCTGATGGAGAGATGAATACTTAAAAAATACCAACATTTATGTTTTGGTCATTATAATTTTTGTCGAAACTACTTTACTATAATGTCACTAGTAGCATTAAATACTGCATAATTAATAATCCAAATTAAACAGAGTATCAGTAGAGATGTCTTTGAAACATGCAAACAAGCAAATTGCTTCACCCCTTTGAACTTCATTTCTTAATCTATAAGTGAGAGATTGTATTAAATTTTATCTTTTTGCTTTTTCAGTTCTTTTCGTGCTTATAGTGTCAGATAATAGGTTTTATTACTTAAATCCAAGTTCTATTTGAAGCTTTAACACTTGGAATTATGTGTAAGGCTGCCTTTTCATTAGCATGTGGTTCAAAGGCATGGAATAATAACTGGAAGCCTGGTTTCTAGTTCTTGTTCTATGAAAAAAACGTCAGAATCCCTCAATGTTCTCATCTGTGTGATGAGATAAACTGTGGTGCTTTCCATCTGTAACATCTGTAATTTTTTTAAAGCCTCTAATATCCAGGTGAAGACCAATCCAATCAGTCTGATTTATAAAATATTTTAAAGAAATATTTTTATTGCTCTTAAACCATGCCGTTGGAAGTGTGGCTGGTGTAGAAGACAGCCTAATAAAAATAGCTGAAGCATGTGCTATACTGAAGAAATTATATTCTTCAGAATGTCTTCCTTCCTTCCTTTCTTCCTTCCCTCTCTCTCTCTTTGCCTTTCTTTCTTTCTTTCTTTCTTTCTTTCTTTCTTTCTTTCTTTCTTTCTTTCTTCTTCAGAATTTAAATATGGAATGTATCACTAAAATGATTATATCTCCAGGTTTTGAGATACCTAAAAACAGGGTGTTCTCTTTAAAGGAATTAAAGATACTCATTTAGTATCTACACAACCACGGATAAACTCTTTTCAGAGCTTGGCCTTTTTCTTCCTGTATAATGCAAAGACAAATTTCAGCCAGAGCATGTTTATTATTATAACAAATCAGCCACGTTCTGTTATATGAAAGTAAGTTAGTGCTGGCATAGTCTTGGGTGGGAGAAATTCATTTTGTGCAAGGAATATTTCGGTGAGATTTTTGACTGCATGTGTTTATTTACCAGAGAGTTTGATTGTTGATTCCTAAACTGGAAATTAAATGTAACAGTGTAAATTGTGGATGTTACAATAATTAAAATATCTTGGATTTAGGTCAGAATTATTATTCCTAACCACAATTTGGGAAGTTACCAATTTGACTATTGAAATGTTATAGAATTAGATCTAAAATATTTCTTTTTTTTTTTTTTTTTGAGATGGAGTCTCGCTCTGTCACCCAGGCTGGTGTGCAGTGGTGTGATCTTGGCTCACTGCAAGCTCCGCTTCCTGGGTTCACGCCATTCTCCTGCCTCAGCCTCTCAAGTAGCTGAGACTACAGGCGCCTGCCACCATGCCCGGCTAATTTTTTGTATTTTTATTAGAGTCGGGGTTTCACCGTGTTAGCCAGGATGGTCTCTATCTCCTGACCTAGTGATTCGCCCGCCTCGGCCTCCCAAAGTGCTGGGATTACAAGCGTGAGCCACCGCGCCCAGCCATAGACCTAAATATTTCTAACTGCTGTTTCATATTGAGATGCTCCTGCAAGTGGGGAGTTTGGATGGGAGCAAATCAAACAGGGGCATCTCTAGGAGCTCCCTGCTGCCTTTGTTTAGGGAAGGGTGTTTTATATAATATGTCTGTTTACTGACATGCTAACTCTGTGGAAATGTATCACTTTTCTCTTGTGTTGTTTATTTCAGTAGGAATATATTACTCTTTAGCTCAGTTTCAAAAAACAGTTACTATCTTAATAGTACCTGGAAATTGAGAGTGTTTTAAAATGTTATTGAAAGTTCCTTGTAGAACACTGTATAGAATGTAATTCAGATGTTTCATATTCTGGGAGAGCTGAGTAGGTATAATGTATCAAACAAAACTTTTAAACAAAAAAGCTGTCTCTTTTAGGATGGATATTATTATGGTATTTTGTAAAAGCGAGTACATCCCAAACTGAAATGTGCATGAGCGGCTTCGAGTGTGGGCTCTGGCCACGGAATTCCCATTAGCATTAGCTTGGCACAGCTCCTTGTCTCACAGACAGTGAAGAACATGCCTTTTCCACCCTTGAGGCAATAAAATAAATTAAAGGGTGCGTCATTAAATGAGTTGAATTTTGAGTAGTATTTTTCATGCCTTCAACATTTTAAAATCAGTTTATCCTTATGAAGCAGCATTTGGAATCTTGAAACAAGGGATGCCTGTTTGTGCCAGTATGCAGGTTCCTTTGATTCTCTGGAATCGTGTATGTGTCAAACAGTCTTTTCTGGTCCTTTTCCCAATGTGGCTTCTGGGTAGTGTCTGTGACTAGAACTCTGTAATTCAGTATAAAAGCACTGTGGAAGGTAAGACATCTTTAGTTTGTTTCTACTGGGTCTGGTCCAGGCTATTACAGCCCCTACATATCTCCATGACACAGAAGCAAGAGTTTCTGCAAAGAATGTCCCCAGGGCCCAACCAAATCCTTCCGCTACAGAAGCTGCCATAGTTTGTCTAGGTTCATTATGTTTATGCTGCCTCCAATTTTGCACTTTCTCTCAGTATTTCCTAAAGAGTCCAGAGAGCATTCTTTTTATCTGAAATGAAAGTTTATTTTTGTTTTCACGGAATAAATGTATATCTTTAGTATTACCATGTGTCGTCTCTAATTAGAAACCTTTTTCTTATATTCTTGTAAATAAGAAGGGGGTCATTTAATTCTTAGTGCATTAGAACACTAACCCCAGAGATGGTAGGATCCACATTTTATCTAATCCTCTTTAATCACAAAATAATGTGGGTCCTTACACACCACCTGAATCTGAAGGCTCTGGAACTCTAGAGGGAGTTTCCTAGCATAGCCACTTCCTCTTTCTAGGTGTGTGATGTTTTATTTCAAGGGATCAAAATGAGCACACTTCTCCCATGTTGATCTGTCCCCTATTTCCCCCCATACAATGGTTTTATATAATTATTAAGAAAGGTATTTCAAACATAATAAATTGACATATTTTGAACACTTAAAGTATATCAGGCACCATGCTACATTCGTAACATAATTGGACACACGTAATTTATAACTTCTATGAGATAGTATCTTAGTTTTACAGATGAGAAATGGAAACTCAGAATTTCTGAGACTTACTCACAGTCAGACAGCTTGTCAAGGCCAGAATCAAGGTTTAAATGCAGGAATGTCCGCCTTCTACTCTATCCTAGTTGTAGGCACGAGCCAGTCATTGTTTTCCAAGTGATACTTCATATTACGACTTCTGAGACTAATGATTCAAAGGGTCTATTAATTGCTTTTTGAGCTCCGTACCTTCAAGTGTTTAAGCTTGTGATTTTTATTACATTTCCATCATTGCTGTGTCTTTTAATGTTATTTTTCCATTGTTTACAACTACCATATTTCTACATTTTACCATAGCCTCTCTGGTCATGCTCACCCATATCTCTCAGAACCAGTGTGTATCAAGTAAAGCTTGTCCATGATAGGAAACAAAGAAGGAACAAAAGACATAGGGGTGTGTGTTGAGGGGGGTGGCATTCACATAACATATTCGTTAGATACATGTGAATATGCAAACATTGACTATAGGAGTGCTTCTCTGGTTGTGCCTGTTGAAGAGTTTTTCTAGGCTGCCTGGCAAGAATGTGAGTAGTTTATGTTTGATGGAGTGTGAGTACCTGCCTTTCTCTGGCCTGATGGGAGTGAACACTGTGTACCTATTCAGTGTGATTCCTTGACATGGGGAAGAGTTGGATTCCTATTTGTAACACATTTCTGCAGTAATATGTTCATGTTGTGTTTGTGGCTGTGGGAATGAAGAACAGGTTAAAGGCTCTTTGAGAGTAATACATGTTCAATATAGAAAGGACCCCTTTTAGGTAAAAGAAGTTAGGAATGAAGATTGGTTCAGACATCAGGAAAAGAGGTTCTTAATCTGCTGATTTGGTTAGAGCATAAATATCTTCCGTTAGTGCATGTTTATCATGCTTTACTTTTTATGTTGCATTTCAAGGACAATGAGGAAGACTCCTGACAACATTCACTTGCATTAGAATGGCCTTTTAGGGTCTAACAAAATACAAATATTGCTAATCAAGAAAATAAAGCCAATAAGAACTAATTATTGTGTTCCAGTGGCTGTAAGAGCATTGAGCTTGTTCATATGATATAAAAAAGTCCTTGTGCTCTGTGTTCAGTAATTTGTAGTATTAATTATGCGACTTTTATATATTGCCAGTAACATTATAACCTGGTAATTTTCCATTGAATTTCTGATTACATGTAAATGTTGGTGTTAATTACATATTACTCAAGAAATAACACAAATGAAACTTCAAATAATGTATTTTTATCTTGATTTAAGGAACAAAAACACCACTCCTACAAACTCCGACCACCACTTCCAGCATCTACTCTGCTTCTGCCATTTCATTAGTTGTATTTTTCTCACACTACTCTTCCATCCCCCTCTATCATATCTTATCTCTTTCAGCTCCTCCCTTTTACCAGCATAGCAATCCTCAATCTCAAGTATTGATGTCATAGTAAAGATATGCATCAAAATAAAAAAGATTACTAATATAAAAGGGAACCGCTTTAATATGATTTCATGTACCAGATTTTATAATCACATAACTTAAGTAACATAACCTAATCTATAAATACCTAATAAATATTCTTGGAACCATAAGGATTAAAAAAAATAAATTTTATCACCTTACAGCAAAGTAGTTTTGCTGTACTGCTTTTGTTGATCACTGTTTAAATTCATGTTTTTCAGTGTATTTGTTCATGATCACTATTAATTTTAATGCTATAGCATAAGATGATGCTATTTGGTATTTCCTTTTTATGGTTGTTTTTTCATGTTTAAAATTGTCTTCAATGTGATAGTATTTAATAGAGCTACTGAGGAGTTTTTGCTCTTAGAGGTACATTAAATAGCCAACTTTCTGTCCCCTGAAATATTGTTTCATAAGAGTAAAGATGTCGTCTTTGACAATTAAGTTTTATTAAAATTTCCTATAGTTTGTTGTGCCATATACAAGACTTATACTGGTGATATGCGATATATAAACACAACAAATTGTGTTTGTTTCTCCAAACAGACTTGGTTTCCCTTACCTTTTTCCCTACCATGTAACTCCGGTTGTCAAAGCCCATATAACAGGAAAAAAAAAATCAGATATGTGCATATACCACGGACAAATCAAGTGTAGTGACTACTTAAAGTACCTTTCAGCCATAATGAGAGGTTTAACCAGCTACATCAGATCCTCATGGGCCACAGATATTATTTGTTAACATGTAAGGGAAACATAAGAGATGATAACCAAAAAGTATCCGCAGGTCAATTCATGTATTTTTTAAAAAAATTATAACAAAAAAAGAGAAACTCAGCAAAAGTATAGGATGTAAAGTCTACGCAAAGGAGCTCATAAACTTTACTTAGATCATTCATTCATTCAGAATAGTTAAGCTCAGTTCTAGCAAACTTGGTTTTTTGGTTTTATAATCTAAAGTGGATTAGAACTGACTACATAAGGATCATATTGTTAGTTTTTCATTTAATATATATTGAACACTTCTCTGTGTCCATCAGCATTCCTCTGAAACAGATTTTGAAAAAAAGATTGCATAGCACTCAGTGATACAGATTTACAGATTTTGAAATCAACTTCCATTGCCATTTAGATTGTTTCTGATATCTCCCTTTTAGAACAAACATTGTGATGGATTTTGCTAAACGATGATTTTTGTCTTCTCCAATTATTTTTTAGAATGGCAGTCCCCAACCTTTTTGGCACAGGGACTGGTTTCATGGAAGACAATTTTTCCAGGGATGTTGGGGATAGGGGAATGGGTTTCAGGATAAAACGGGTCTGCCTCACATCATCAGGCATTAGATTCTCATAAGGAGCATGCAACCTAGATCCCTCACATGCACAGTTCACACTAGGGTTCATGGTCTTGTCAGAATTTAAGGCTGCCACTGATCTGAGAGCAGGCAGAGCTCAGATAGTAATTATTGCTTCCCTGGCCACTCACCTCTTGTTACAACTGTTATATATGTATATATATACATATTGGTACATATGTATACATATAATTGGTACATTATTCAGCAAATGTGTGGCACCACTTTGTGTAAGATAACCGATTTATTTGGAGCCATCACAATAAAAACTGTGCTGAGATAGAGAGAGAGGATAGACTGGCTGAGGCAGTGAAGCCTTCTGTGAGGAGCAGAGAGGGCATTTGTTCTCAAACCTGAAGGATGAACTGAGTCAGCAGAAGTGGAGTGTTCCAGGCAGAGGGAAGAGCAAGTGCAAAGACCCTAAATTAGGAAAGAGCTCTGGGGTTGGGAGAATTAAAAGAGGGTTGATGTGCCAAGATCTCAGGGAGGAAGGGAGGAGTTTGAGTTTATCTCCAAGGAGTAGGGCCAACGGCCAACTGGTTCTTTTGTAGGAGTTTGTGGGCCATGATATAGATTTTGGACTTCATCCTACATGTAGACAGAAGACATAAAAGCAGAGGAGTAATAAGATGTAATTTATATCCTGTGACAAGCAATGGATTGTAGGAGTGGCTGGAATGGGTTCCTGCAGATTAGAAAGCTGGTCACTGCATTAGCTCTGGTGAAAGATAAAGGTGGCTCAAAATAGGGACACAAGAAGTAGAGATGGTGAGAGGCAGTCAGGTTGGGTTATGTTTCGGAGGTAGAGCTTTTAAGGACATGATGGATTCGATGTGTGCCTGAAAGAAAATGAAGGATCAATTACGACTCCTCACTTTGGGGCTTGAGAAAAGTGTGCATTTAATCGTTTAGTTGCTATTGTTCCAACTAGATACAACTTCCATGAGGACAGGGACTTTTTCTCCTTTATTCACTATTCATACCCACTAGCACAAGGCATGCTAAGCTAGAGAGGAGGTGCCCCAAAATATTTTTGAGTAGTTATTATAAAACATTAACACATGATTTAAATTATTTGCCGAATACATTTCCCCTTAGGTTGTATTTTTTTATTTTTTGATAGCTTAATATTCAGAAGCTCTAACTATATTTAGATTTGTGATACTTGTTTTTTTTGTTTTGAGACGAAGTCTTGCTCTGTGTCCAGGCTGGAGTGCAGTGGCGCGATCTCGGCTCACCGCAACCTGTGCCTCCTGGGTTCAAGTAATTCTCTTGCCTCAGCCTCCCGAATAGTTGGGATTACAGGCATGCACCACTGCACCTGGCTAATTTTTTTGTGTTTTTAGTAGAGATGGTGTTTCACCATGTTGGCCAGGCTGGTCTTGAAATCCTGACCTCAGGTAATCCGCTCGTCTCGGCCTCCCAAAGTGCTAGGATTACAGGTGTGAGCCACTGCCCCTGGCCTTTGTGATGCATTTTTATTTTGCTTTCTTATATAAATTTATGTCCATCTATTTATTGCTTCGTGATTCTTTCATTGTGTCTAAAATATCACTCCCTGCTCAAAAGTTTGATTAATAACCAATTTTGCTTCTTATAGTTATTATTTTGTGTTTAATTCTTTAAAAAATCTGAAATTTATTTTTTTATTTTTATTTATTTTATTTTTTTTATTATACTTTAAGTTTTAGGGTACATGTGCACATTGTGCAGGTTAGTTACATATGTATACATGTGCCATGCTGGTGCACTGCACCCACTAACTCGTCATCTAGCATTAGGTATATCTCCCAGTGCTATCCCTCCCCACTCCCCCTACCCCACAACAGTCCCCAGAGTGTGATATTCCCCTTCCTGTGTCCATGTGATCTCATTGTTCAATTCCCACGAAATTTATTTTTTAAATGATACAAAAGAAGAACTAAAATTGATTTTTTCTAACTTTATTGTTTATTAAATTCTTACAAATGGTAGCCTATTGCTAAATGTACTGGATGGTGTTTTTATTGTGTGATTTTCTCCAATGCTTGGAATATATGCACTTTTGGTATATATTTAGGTATATATTTAGGTTGGACTATAGTATTTGTTTGCAACTCATATAACTTTTTATTCCGTACATGCTTTAGAGGTGCACTCTAATAGGGTAGCCACTAGTCACATATAGATATTTAAATATAAATTAATTAAAATTAAACATAATTAAAAATTCTGTCTCTCAATCTCATTAGCCCTATTTCCAGTGCTCAACATTGACACCGGGGCTAAGTCGTACCCATATTAGACAATGCAGAATTATAGAATATGTCCATCAGCAAGCAAAGTTCTCTTGGACAGTGCTGCTCTAGGGAGTCTTTTTTTTTTAAGTTTCTAAAAATTCCCCAAGGAATTTTAAAATTGAAGACCATGATATATTTACTTTGGGGATTATTGGTATCTTGATAATATTTGGTTTCTACTTCTAGGAATGTATTATGTAGGCACATTTATAAAACAGGCTCTTTATTTTCTCATTAAGTTTTGTGATTTTTTTTTCAATGCCATCTGTATTTTTGGTTAAGATTAATTCTAGGAGTTTTTTACTGTTTGAAATTATTTAATCATTAAATACAGACTTAATTTAATAATCATTTAATAAGTTTTACATTCTTCCTTCAGTCATTTTTCAATTTTGGTATTCTACTTAAAATTTTTAAAATGGAACAAGCTTTTTAAAAGTGATTTTGTGCTTAATGTATTTTCAAGTTTGTTAGTATAACATTCTGCTTGATGTTTAAAAAAATGCTTTACTGCCTTTTGCTCTTTAAATTGCGTGTACTTGTATTTACCATTTTTCTAATAAATTTTCAAAGTTTAAAAGATTTTTAAGATTTCCCATACTTTTTCTAGAGAATTTCAGGGCCATCCTGCTTTGAGGCACTCTGAGACTTTAAGATGATTCTGTATGTTCTTACCATGACCTGCCAGGTGCATTTCATCATTTGCCTTCAGGTCATCTTACTTGTTTTACTTTGGAGTTTTACCAGTTGTTTTGATGTGTCTCCTAGGTACTCTGAAGTTAGAAAACTGGTAATAGGGGAAGCTAGTATTTGAACCCCAAACTATCAAAACCATATCACTTACACTTTTTATGAAAAGGGGTACTTACACTTTTTTAAATAGTTGTCTTTAAGAAAAATTTGATTTTAAAATTATATTTAATTTCCAATTACACTGCATTGTAACAACATTTGATTTTTAGAAACTATTGAGCTTTGGAATTCCTGTTGTTTCGTCAGTGTTTGTAAGTAGTTTATGGAATCTTGTAAAGATTTATTCCCTGTTTTTAGGGAACAGCATGGTAACATGTAATTTTGTGGCGTAGGTATTAATCATGAATTGTGTTCAAATTGTTTATATCCTTATTTTTTGTTTCCTCAATATGGCATTGTAGTAATAATTTGTTAATATTCTCCACTCAATATAGTATTGCTGTTGGTATATTTTAACCAAAGTACTATAATTTTCATTTGCTAATTTCTTAAATCTTATGTGATGCCAGTATTATCAGCCTTTCTATATTTTCCTTTTATGTTGACTTGTAAAATCTTGCCTGTTGTTTCATTTGGAAGCATCTTTAACATGTTAAGATGTTTATCAAGTAAAAAATTAATGTGCTTTTTTATTCTAATCTTCAATTTGTTCAATTAAATGTATTCTGTTCATCCTCTTAACTATTGCATTTTATTTTAGTGTTCCTAATGATTATACTTTAATTTTGTCTTTATTGAATGTATTATTAATTCTTGTTTTAGTGTCTTTAAACATGTGGAAGACAGGAATCCTATTCAATGGTATCTGAAAATATTGCCCAATTGGTTTAAAAAATTTATTTTTATCTAATTGTCAAAATCAAAATAATTTAACCCGTCTTTAGAGAGGAATAAAAATGGGATCCTTTGGCTTCTTTTCAGCCCCACTTCCCTATTCTCTATTAATCTAATATGTGTTTACTAACCTTGGTAAAATTTAGTTCCTCTTTTAATATGTGTTGTCTAATATTTTATTTTGTTAAATTAGTCCCAACAAGCATTTAGACTCATCAAAATCAAACTTTTATTTGTAATTTGACATTTATAAAAAAAATCCTTTTATCTTTAGCTAGTTTGTGGTCCCTACAAATTACTTTCTAAGCACAGTTTTGCCATTCTTAATGGCTAATTATTTATCACTGTTGAGAGAACATCTTTTAATAAAGTCTATAGAAATTATACTTTATGATGTAGTTTCTGAGAGCCAGAAGATTGGAGACTGTTTTGGTCAACATTACACATAAATTTCAGAGTTAACTGAATATCATGTTCTTTCATAACCTTTCCCTTGCAAAGTTATGCTAGCTTTCATTTCTTTTGTTGTTCTTTATTTTTTTCTTTGTAGGTGGTCTATTTTGGTAGAGTGCTAGTTTTGAGTTTAGAAAGGTAGACTGGGGGATAGAAAGATGATTCTTTACTCTTGCTATTCAAAAATATAACAAAGATAAACTTAGTGTTGATTTTGTTTTCCTTAATCTCAAATATGGGGGCTTTCTTCAGGCCTGGAAATTCATAATTATGTGTAAATCCTTAGTGTTATACCTACTGCTAATTCACCATTTTCTATTTAGTTAAATGTAAACAGAAATGTAGGATTATATATTATTAGTGGGTCCAGCTCTATAATCCGTCTTCCCTGGTTTTTCTTTACTACCTCTCATCTTTTCGATCTGTTGTTATTATTTTCTGCATTCTCATGCTGTTTGTCATAATTTGTCATCAGCATCACTAATTCAATTTTTCTGCATTATCAAATGTAGAAATGTAGATTTTTATTGTAGTGCTTCTTTTCTTATGTTTTGTTTATTTGAAAGAAGGGCTCCAAAAATCTTACGGAAAACATGAAGTAGATTTTTTAAAAATCATTTTATAAAGTAATTATTTTAAGGAGAAGAAAGTTGAGTCTTTTTTTTTTCAGTCATTAGCATGTTGTTTGTCCTATGTTCCACACTTTTCCTCCAGCTAGAACTCCCAACTCCTAGGTGCACTTAACATATACATTTTTAACAGAGATATAGCCTGGCTCTAAAGCAGAGGATTAATGGACTTTAGGATTTTTATGATCTCCTTCAGCTTTGTCTTGGTTGCCGGTTATTTCTCCTCCTTAGAGATGAAATGGTAAAGTTAGGATGACTCAGCGTGCAGCGTCTAGCGTGATTCCTGGCCAGGCACAGATAGATACTCAGTTCATGCTGTTTTCTCCTTATTGATAGTTCCTGGTAATATTTATGATCTCCCTGGCATTGCAAACGGAACAAAATTGCCATATACTTGGAGGGCTAGTGATGCTAAGGGACTTTGATGGTTATTGGTGTTAAAACAACAACAACAACAACAACAACAACAACAACAACAACAACAACAACAACAGCAGCATAGATTTGGCCCTAGGCGCTAGGTTCTTACTACAGGTAGTCAAAACTGAAGCAGTTTAAAGGAGATATCAAAATGATTTAAGAAGCTGAAGGACAAGTTGCTTCTTTCCAGAGCTGAGAATATGTGTTCTCTTTCATCTTCTGTGTGCAGTACTTTTTCTTCAGCCAGTTCCAGGAGGATTTTTTAAGAGAGTGGCTTTGCGGCTTCATCCACTGGAACATATTGGAAGTGTACCGCTATATATTGTGGAAAATAGAATTTATTGTCTAGCCTATTTTAGAATTTTTTTCATTGGAACGGATTCATTCCTCTTTTTCCCTCTTTGTTTGAGATTTAATGGTTGAGTTAGCGATCTGCCACATTCTATTTGACGTCTTATTACTTGGTGATCCTGGATATAAAAGATGTTACTGTAAAGGAGAGGTTGCTTTTTTAAATTTTAACTCAGCACGTATGAATCTGAATTTTTCTTTATTTTTTTGTCAGTCTGTGCAGTTCTTAAGTACTTTTACCAAATTTAAGACAGCTCACTTCGAGTCATGTTAAATAGTCAATTAACTCTAACCTCCTCAGTGAAGGAACTTCTTTCCCAATTTTGCAACTTTCCCCAACATACATACACATACACTTTGAACTTTATTCTCCACTTCACATATTGCCTTTCAAAAGTTTGTGAAAGATTCAGTAGCTGTGTGTGGAATCCTGGTAGATTTCTTGAGAATATTTTAGATTCTGAACTCATTAACAGCTCATAAAAACATCAGATATACCTGCCCTTCCACTGTAACTCCCGATAACAGGCCACTTATTATATAAGTAAAAACAAATCCAAAAATACAGATAATGATTTCCAGAACCTAATTTAGAGCTGCCTCATTTGTGCCACAGTTAACCCTCCAAGAACCCTGCTAAGCATGATGAAATGGAATTCCCCCACAATTTATTCATGAGCCAAGTCTCCATATGACATATGAATAATTGGCAAGTGCAATGAGTAAAATAAATAGTGAAATTGATATCATATGTCTGTTCACACGTGGAAACAAGGCTTCATAGGAAATAATGCTATAGAATTAGAGTCAAGTTTTCTATTGGGGGATATGCCAGAACCCCAGGTAGGACAAGGGTGTTCCTGAGCAAAGTAGACATAAAATATGGAGGGAATAAAATGACCTCAGGGGTTTGCTGATGTGAGATAATGGTCCACTCTTTCTTTTTTTGATTTTTTTTAATTTTATTATTATTATACTTTAAGTTTTAGGGTACATGTGCACAACGTGCAGGTTTGTTACATATGTATACATGTGCCATGTTGGTGTGCTGCACCCATTAACTCGTCATTTAGCATTAGATGTATCTCCTAATGCTATCCCTCCCCCCTCCCCCACCCCACAACAGTCCCTGGTGTGTGATGTTCCCCTTCCTGTGTCCATGTGGTCTCATTGTTCAATTCCCACCTGTGAGTGAGAACATGCAGTCTTTGGTTTTTTGTCCTTGCAATAGTTTGCTGAGAATGATGGTTTCCAGCTTCATCCATGTCCCTACAAAGGACATGAACTCATCATTTTTTATGGCTGCATAGTATTCCATGGTGTATATGTGCCACATTTTCTTAATCCAGTCTATCATTGTTGGACATTTGGGTTGGTTCCAAGTCTTTGCTATTGTGTATAGTGCCGCAATAAACATATGTGTGCATGTGTCTTTATAACAGCATGATTTATAATCCTTTGGGTATATACCCAGTAATGGGATGGCTGGGTCAAATGGTATTTCTAGTTCTAGATCCCTGACGAATTGCCACACTGACTTCCACAATGGTTGAACTAGTTTACAGTCCCCACAACAGTGTAAAAGTGTTCCTATTTCTCCACATCCTCTCCAGCACCTGTTGTTTCCTGACTTTTTAATGATCGCCATTCTGACTGGTGTGAGATGGTATCTCATTGTGGTTTTGATTTGCATTTCTCTGATGGCCAGTGATGGTGAGCATTTTTTCATGTGTGTTTTGGCTGCATAAATGTCTTCTTTTGAGAAGTGTCTGTTCATATCCTTCACTCACTTTTTGATGGGGTTGTTTTTTTCTTGTAATTTTGTTTGAGTTCATTGTAGATTCTGGATATTAGCCCTTTGTCAGATGAGTAGGTTGCAAAAATTTTCTCCCATTCTGTAGGTTGCCTGTTCACTCTGATGGTAGTTTCTTTTGCTGTGCAGAAGCTCTTTAGTTTAATTAGATCCCAATTGTCAATTTTGGCTTTTGTTGCCATTGCTTTTGGTGTTTTAAACATGAAGTCCTTTAAACAAGCAATGGGGAAAGGATTCCCTATTTAATAAATGGTGCTGGGAAAACTGGCTAGCCAGCTGAAACTGGATCCCTTCCTTACACCTTATACAAAAATTAATTCAAGATGGATTAAAGACCTACATGTTAGACCTAAAACCATAAAATCCCTAGAAGAAAACCTAGGCATTACCATTCAGGATAATGGTCCACTCTTATTGTGACCCTCACACTCCTGAAGGAGGGTCATAACTCAGATCTGCTTCACTTGACCCTTCTCAGGTTTAGAAAACAAATTGGTGTGTCCCAATGTGGGATCTGTCTTAGAATAACCTGGATGGCAGACTGAAAGTGCTGATTCCTGGGTCCTATCCTAGAGCTGCTAAATTTTTGAGAGTGGCGCTTGAAAGGCTACATTTTAATCAAACTTTCGGCATGAATATATTACACACTATAAAGTTAATGTACATAGGGGAGGCCTAGAGGATACGACTAGGGATAAAGTAGTGAATGGCAGAGGCAATAGTAGGCACCATAATATTTTTCTAAAAATGCAGATGGAACCTGACTACATTTTCATAAAACTCTTCCATACGTTTTTGAGGCTTGAGCCAAACGTTGGCCTGACTGCAAGATAGAACAGTGGAATGAGGAAGGTGGTGTGGTATGATGTGCTGCTAGGCAACAGGTGAATGAGTATTTCCTTCCTTTTTGCTATCAGAAAGCATAGGGCCACAGCTGGGGGTTGTGGGGTGGGAATCAGATTAAATGCTCTAATTTTTTTTTTTTTTTTTGCATTTGCTGATAGGATTTACTTGTTTATATTTTTATAAGCCATGAGTAAAATATTTTAAGTGTATCAAAACAGGGGATGGGTGGTGAAAGAATGATTTTTTAAACAGTGGCAGGGAAATAATAACTGAACTAGAAAAAGATTATTCACACATAAAAACCAATATATTTTACTTCACGCTATTTACACTATGCTGGTTGTAGTTACTAGTGGCTCAATGGCAAATCAGAATTACAACAAAGAACAGTAACAGAAACAAACCAAAAGCAAACTAAAGAAAAGCATTAATTCATGTTTGAGGCAACTATTTGAAAATAGGAAAATGTTTAGTCATAGATCTATTCCAGTTAAATGTATTTGTCTGTCTCTGAGGTCTTAGAAACCATGGATTTAAGAGCAACATGAATTAAATGTCCAGGAAGGTGCGAAATCCCCCATACTTGTTGCCAATGCACTGAAGGTTAAGTAAGTCCTGACAAATCTAATATTCTGGAATTATCTTGAGGAAAGGGATGTGCATTTTTTTCAGTTCAAGTAAGAGAGGGCTATTGGTTGAGTAGCTGCTGATGAGAACCTTTCTGGGTCTTCATTAAGTAGAAGCTATTAAATTAACATTGAAATAAGAACTTTACAACTTTTCCCCTTCAACAGATTTGGTAAATGCATTTTGACTCTTACAGTTTAAGGGAGAAAATGAAATTCTGTTCAATTGGAAAAGAATCTACTAAGCCTGGTTTTCTTCCTGCATATGATGCCATATAGACACTTATGTCAGGAGTGCATAGGTATGTGTCTCAGGGAGGCTGGCGCAGAGTTTATGATACAAGTATTGGAGTACTGCGAGCTGCCAGAGGAGAGTTCATTTATGTGAGCTCTCCACCTTTTGGCTTACCCTATAACTTCTGCCTGTAAAGATGCTTGCTTTTATTCTATTGTAGGCTTTGTTATCAAAGGCAGGGGATATTTTCTTTTTAAGATAGCCCTTAGATGCTTCCTACAGGTTGCGATTGCTTGAGCAGGGTGGGCAAGCTAGTTTTGTTATCACACCCTACCCGCTCTCCTAATTCTCCAGAGAGTAAGTGTTCTTCTTAAAATTATAGCTATGTCGAGTGCCTCTGTGTCTTTAGACACTCTTTTAATGTGCTAGTATAAAGTAAAAGTCTTTTTGAAGATATGTTTTATAGGGAGGTGCTTTTGGGAGCCTCTTGAGATGTTCACTGGTACTGAATCGAGGTAGCTTTATGGTGGTTTAATGACAACATAGAACACTTGTAATAAAGTTCCGTGTTGATATGTGTCCTAGGGCATGTTATAATTAGAGCGGATTGAACATGTTGATTTTGTTTTCCCCTCTGCTCACATGGCCCCCTTCGTCTTGTTAGGGTTTTGCAACTGGAGATCTGTCGGAGGTTTTCTTCATCCCCTAAAGATGAAAGAGATCTCTCACAATGGAAATTTGGAAAATTACACATACACCTGTGAAATTAGCGAATTTGTATAAAGTTTGTATTCCAAACAATATGCGGGATCTACAACAATGCTTTGTTTTATGTGAGGATTTTTTTTTTCTGGCTGTGCAAAGAACAAGTGTGCAGGACTGTACAGGCTTAGCGAGAATATTCATCATTATTTACTGTGTCAAACCCACAAGGAGGGCCAAACTGGCAGTGTTCCAGGAGCAGGAGGCACACCTATTTGTGAAAAATGGAACAGATTTCTATCGTTGCCCTCACTTTGACTATTTGGTTCAAGGTGGTGGTGGTGCTAAGACATGTCATTTTGTTAGCCACGTATGTGGGTTAACAATGAAGGCTGGCTATGTTGCTGTCCTGTAAAATCCCACAGACTACACTTGGTTTGTGCATGAACCTGATTATAATAAGGTATTGGAGTGAGGAATGCTGAGCAGTGGAACATGTGTGTGATCTGGCCAGGACCTGTCCCCTCAATCTGATTGTCATTAATTGATTAGCGAGCTTTGCCTGGTTGGACAGAGTACCCTTGCTCATGTCTCAGGAAATGTTAGGCCCTCAAAAGAGGGGATGAAGAGAATGCTTTTGCTGTTGGAAGGTTTTGCTCTTCAGAAGACTCAAACAGCATGCCATAATTTTAAAAAATTGACATACTGTCCCCTAGCTTTGTTTTCATGTCATAGCCACACAGTGGAAGATTCTTTAGTAAAACAACATCCTGGTCAATTGTTTGCATTATCCAGGACTCTTGGCAGATATGTATAAGTAACATTTGAGATCAGCCTGAAGTGGCTACAGGTCTATTCTGTCCCAGAATCATCTGAAAGAATGTTGTTATTTGAGCATTTGCTGGACTCTCTGATGTTATTTGAAAGAACAATTAACCAGCACTAAATGAGTAAACCTAACCTGCCACTTATCAGGATTTGTCCAGGTGAAAGGCAGGTTGATTACAGATCATCAGTTGCAGTACACAAAGTGTCTCTCCATAATTGAGGAAAGGACTCTGTATAAACTGTAAATTATTGTACTCTTTGTATTAAATGACAATAGTGTAATAAATATAATTTATACTATTACAAAGTGACTTTGGGATAGCATTTGTATTCCAGCACAGTTGTTCTCAAACTTGAGCATACATCAGAATCACCTACAGGATTTGTTAAAACATGGATTGATGGCCCCATCCCACAGAGTTTCTGAAATCGGTAGATCTGGAGTAGGGTCCATTTCTAATTTGCCTTTCTAACAAGTTACCAGGTGATGCTATTATCAGGTGATGCTAATGCTGCTGGTCCAGGTACCAAACTTGGAGAACCCTGTGGGCTGATAAACTGCTTGTAATCAGCCAATGAAGCCAGGCATCATTTTGGAAGCAGTTATTTTATTAAAATTTCTTTTTGGAATGTTTTATCAATAATTAATTGCATAGGAAAAGAATCGCTTTAATAGGGCAGAATCAGAATGGGTATTCTAAAATGGAGGATTATAAAAGAGAAATTGACCTACTTGATGAAATGTGGGCTAGATACAAATTGTATTAATTTAGAAGAAAAAAGTTTACATATGCAATGACTAAAACCCGATGCTAAATTTTTTGTTGATTTTCTTCTCTAATTAAATGTTTCCCCCTCACATCTTTGTAGTGAATTGATTATCTTTTCTTCATTTCATTCATGTAACTGTATTGTTACACATGAAACAAAGAAACGTATGCTGAATGTTTTTAAGGACCACTCTTAATTCATCTTTGCCCTATGAAACGATTTAAGAAACTTGGTCGCCAAAGCCCTTTTTTAGTGTTGTTTGGCTACTGCTTCTGTTGTTGTTTTAATTTAACCTGTACCTTGTCTGATTCACTCTAGCAAAAGAAGGAAATATAAATCCATTCTGGAGTTAAAAGACTCCGTGCCCCATTTAAAACATCCTTTTATACCTATATTTAAAAATAACTTAGAAATCACTTCCTTTTTACTTGTACTAGCTTAACTTTGTTATATAAACATATAGGGTATTATACACTAATTTTTGATGTAAACGTATTTGATAGTTTTGCAGAATGCAGTTTGTTAGATAAGAATAGTAGCAATATTTTGATGGTGCTTTGAAATTTCTAAAGAAAAGTGTATATGTGGTATCTCATAGAAGTCTATAAAGTTATAGATTTTGATTAATTCATTTATGCCACATAATATATATAAGGAGTTCTGTGTTTAGGTTCAGATCCTTTCCTTTCTTACTCATAAGTGCTTTTAAAAAAATCTAACGTCCTACATTCATGCTTTTGATGTTTTTGTTGTGGTAGCATTTCTCACTTTGGGGAAAAAAAAATTGCTGCTTGTCTTATCTCACATCTTCAAGATGACTTCTAGCAGGGTGAGAGTACATTGAATAACCAGGAAAGGACCATGGATTTCACACTGTTTAGTGGGATAAACTTTCTCCAACGATAGTAAAAATAATAATAATTTGACACTGTGTCTAGATTTTTTTAAAATTTGCCCAGTATTCTCTCACTTTGATTTGGTCTCCAACTTTATTATAATTAACTTCAATTGAAAAATCCTTATTTTGGTAAATATTAAGTGCCTTGGCTAAATGCAAGGTAATATTCTTGCTGCTTTCAGTTGCAAATGTGGGTAAGATAGAATTATAACAAAGGAAGTAAGAAAAATGCATGGGTAGCTGGAATCTAGGATATTATATGAGAAGCCTTTCCTGCCCACCCTGCCACCAGTCTCATATCTTGTGAATAAAGTTTGTCTCCTTAACTGGATTATCCACTCACTTTGGGCTGGGGCCATCTTATCTTATACGTTGTTGTTATCTCAGTGCTTGTCACAGTGCCTACCATGTTTAGCATCCTCAGTAAATATTATTTAAGTGGATAATGAATAAGTTAATGAATAAATACATAAAACTCTCATAAAGAAAAGAGAATAAGCTAATATATAATGCCTTTCATCGTTCGTACTTATTTTCTGTTAGGAGCTTTTTATTATTGAAATATATCTCAATCATATAAAAATATATCATTTCAGTAATGAATATACTTTTGTATTTTTTTCTTGATAGGGTTACCATCTTCAATAGACTGAGATAACTTTATAGGACTCTGGACTGAGACCTGATTACAAAATATTTGAATTTCAATGCCATCTCTGTCACTAACTTCCTGGGTCAATGCACAAGGCATGTACTAATGAACTGAATTTTCTCAATGCCTGAGTTACTTCCTGAGAGTAAATTAGTCATTAGAGATTCTAGTTCAAATTTGCCTGTATTTCTTCCCCTGACTTTATTTTTCCTGTGATATCAGTGTTTAATCTACTGTGTAAGATTACTTGCTGCTTGCGAGGCTTGCACATGTTCTAAGAAAAATTGTTTTCTTGTTAGCATCATTCAGTTAATTTGAAGGTTCTCAAAGCAAGGCATTTCGGGGGGAATAATATTTACATAATTTAAATTGTTTTCAAGTTTATATACAAAAACTGTTAATACCACCATCTATAAAAATGGCCAAAGACTTTGTAGCAAAGAATATTACTCCATTTTTATAAGATTAAAGAGTACATTTTTTCTCCCTAAAGAAACAATTTGAATAAGACCTGACCCCTTCCCCTTCATTTTTCAATGGTGTGTGGTCAAATTGAATTCTCCATTAAAAATTCTCTAATATCTTTTTTTGCATTAACATTTCAAAACTCAATTTAAATATTCACAGATCTCGTTTTTAATAAACTTAACGAAATTCAGGTAATTTCCTTCAACTTTCTTGATTGAAGGACAGCAGTTGGTACAGATATAAAAAAGAGGTACAGCTATGAGCAAAAGCCCAAAATCAATTATATATAAGAAATAACATAACACATGGAAAGAAATTAATCAAAAAGAAGAATTTCTACCATATGATTCTCTGGTCTGCTACCTGCAGGCAACAAATGTAAATGAAAAAAAATCAACATTCTTCTGGCAGACAAGAGAAAAATTAATAAAAATGTTTCCTTCCTACTAGATCCCCTGATGCCACTATTGTTAAAAGTGAGTGACTGCAGGAAGAACTTGCTCATTTAAAATAGTATTTTTTTTTTAGACTACAGAAATAAGATTTTATTCTTGCTGTTAAGCTCAATTACATGAGTTAGTATGGGTTTGCACTGTCCAAAGAGTGTCCCTCTTCTCTGCCCCTTCTCATTAAATGGCTCTGTGGGATATGCATGAGACAAATGTAATAGGAACCGAGTGAGAAGCATTTTGAGGTGTGCCTACAGGGTAATGATTCATAAGAAAGTCTGTGTGTAGCAGCTGAGAACTCTGAGAGAGGAACTACTAAGAGCCACAAGATATGCCCCAGATAAAATTAGTAAAAACGTATTAGTAATTTCAAGCTAGAAACGTTCCTACTGCATAATTAAGAGAGGAGGGGAACGTTTTCCTGGGATTTAGCTTTTTAATTTAGAGTCGGGTTATTTTTTTCCCCAATACTAATTGAACAAACAGGATATATACGTACAGAACATATCATACTAAAATTTTCCTATTAGAAGAGCTTTATATTTTGTATTTTGTGAATGTTATCCTGAAATTAACAGAAATACAAGCCAAGAATACAGATTGTTAGGCAAGGAGTCATCCAATTTTAGTGTCAGTCCACTCCTTCCTTTTCATCACATAGAATATGTAGCAAGTTTAAAATGAAAAGTTATATTTTAACTCCTTTTACCTATCAACTAAAATAGAGTATACCTATGTAGAGTTTTGATATATTTGTGTATTTATATATTAATCATGAACCAGAATTTGTTTATCCCTTTTTTATATGTATATTTTGAAAGGTAGCATCATTTGACAAATGTGGCTCGATTATGATGTCACAATTCAAACATTATATATATATATATATATATATATACACACACACACGCACATATATATATATCTCGTGTTTAAATATATATGTATGTTTCTTCAATTGTATGATTTGGAGGTTCCTTTTGTTTTATATACATTGGAGATCTTTCTTTGCCTGTCCATTCCTTTGTGTGAGTTGGACCTTTTGAAAAAGAGTTCAAAAGAGCATAAAACAGGAGCTGGCAACTTGGGAGAACACCACCATTTTCATTTTCATTGATTAAGATCTTGAGAAATGTATCCCATTGACATAGATTCTTTGTTCTGTGCACAAGTAAAATGACATAAAGTTTGTGATGAAAATTTTAATTTTTAATATTAATAATGCTATCTGATATTAAAATGATCCAAAATGGGATACATTGGGAAGCTCTGGAATAAAAAGGTTTGGAAATATTTGTGTGTTTTCGGGGCAAATTCACCTAGTGGAATTTCTGTGCACACTGTGATGGATTATTGTAATTATTGGGAATGATAATATTTTAATGTGACTTTCATCCCACCTGTCAGTTGCAATCAAGGCTGCCCAGTATTCTGAAACAATCTCATTTTGCTAGGTGGCTAGTCTTGTGCAGCTTCTAGAATGCTTAGAATATTAATGCATGAAGAGGAGATTGAATGCTTTCTGTAGTTCCATAATGACAGAGTGTCTTGTTTTAATCAAAAGGCATGCAATATCAAGCTAAAGTAATGTATAATACATTAATGCCAATAACTGTTTAAGAGAGAAGATCCCTTTTGGGGGATATTATATCAGAACCATAGAAGTTGGCATTTCTTTCCCCTATTAATACATGATAATGTATATTAATTTTTGTAGAACTTAATTTCATCTTAGATGCTTCTTATTCTGAAGTGCTTTGAATTTACCTGAACAAAGACAATCTGACATTTAGGTGAGGATTGTTGTTCCATTTATAGTAGGCTACCAAAGTAGAAAGTTATTATTGAGACAATGTCTGTCGAAAGACATATGTATTTGACTTAATATTTACTATGTTGTTCTTTATCATTTCTTGCATTTTCTCATTGTTTTGCTTATTTTGCATCATTTTCATCCTTATTCCTCAGAATGCCTATATGTTTTCGCATCCCCCCCTTTTTTTTTTCTGAAATTTTCTTTGTCACCTTCTAGCTCTTACTCCAGTGGCTATGGATGCATTTCAGGGTTTTCTTTAGCCCCCTGAAATTGTAGCAATAATTTTCTTATAAATTCATTTATCTGGGGGACTAAGTGCTCCATTAACTGCTTCTTAACCATGCAAATCCACTTTTTAAAATTTCATTTTATTCAGCTATTACATTACCAGTGTATAGGGTTAGACTATTTAATCTTTAATGCCCCATTTGTCATTTACAAACTGCAGATCATTGAAACAACCACCAAATGAAAAATCATCCGATATACCCACCTTAGGCCCAGATTGCACAGCGCAGCTGTTGGTACTGACTAGATGAAAAGCTTCACTGTACATTGGGCTGTCCATCAGCATCGTCAGGTGTGGTGAATCTACACTTCCCTTCTTATCTTCCACTTTCTCTCCAGAGTGCAAAGGTAGCTGTGGCCAATTCAAATGGTCCTGAGTACACAATTGCCTCTCTTCTCTGAAAATGGAAGTACTCAGTACTACTTTGCACTCACCAGAATTTCCCAGTTATTCTCATTGTTCAACCAGTATAGAATATGAGAAGATGCTTACTCATTTATTCTGAGAGACAATGAACAGTGTTATGGGCCTAACATATAGCACCAGTGTGTTCATAGCTTGAGGATGTAAAACTAATCACTAGCATTTTTAAATGAGGTAAATATTCATATTTATAAACATTGAGACGATTAATTCTGGTGAGTGTGTTTGAATATCTATAAATCAGAAGCAATTGAAGAGCTGAAATTCAGATTTCCTCACACTTGCCTGCCAAGTGGCCTCAATCAGAAGTAATTTTCTCCATGAGGGCACATGGAGCTCGGTCGTGAGCCTTTTCTGAGTAGATATTATTATTTGTGTCAAATTATGTGTGGTGATTTTTCTGAAGTGGACTTCTGTGCCCACTAATCCATACACAGGAGTTTCCTTCATTCCCTCCTTCATTGGTGCTATTAATTGTACTTGTGCTTCAAGTGTCTCTTACCCTTTTAAAATGTTAGTTTATGGCCACCGATTATCTGTAAGGTTTTCCCTGTTAAAGAAACATGCAATGTAGAGAGTAGAGTGAGATCTGATCTTAAACCATAAATATTATGCATTTTAAAAGAAACCTTTTTCCCAAAGCCTGATTTGATGGTGTAGCTAAAGAAATGGTTAGTTATTTCACATTTTAAAGTACAGTAATTATATAAAGCTGACACTTGCTTTGGAAGAAATACAAGTTGGTCATCAAATGACCTTCCTATGGCCTGTTTTAAATATTGGCAATGAGATCTCATGTTCAAAAAATTTTGAACAAATGAGCTTAGTATTGTTCACCTTTTATTTGAATTTTGATAATTCATTTTTAAACATATAGGTGCTTCTTTTTAATTCCATGCTTGGAATTGCAAAGGAATAGCCAACATGTAAAATAAAACAACCCTGGAATAGATAATATTAAGATCTTATCAAAAACCTTGATAAATAAAAGATTATGTATATATAAATATACATATGTATCTGTATATATATAAAATTGCCATAACATGACTTTGACATTTAAGAATAAAAAAATGCTTTATGTGTACATTTTTCTTTCACATTTTCCCATGAGCATTTCAATATAATTTTTAATACAATGATTAAATTTAAATTGATATCATACTATTGAAGCCAATTTGTTGTCATTGAATATTTAAAACAATTATTCATTACGTATTATTCTTAGTAAAATCCTCTTCTAAAAAAGTACCTATGTCTAGAATTTCATTTTGTAAAAGGAAAGCATATATATTACTGTTAATTAAACATTGTATAATATGTATACATTCTTTTTATTATATACAGGCTTTTATAATTGAAGAGCATCCAGAAAAATAGACTTATTTTTATATTTTTCACATTTTATATATGAAAATATCTGTTGGAGCTTTACTTTTCATTAGTAAAACTCAGAGTATATATTCCAAAAGAAGTATATATTTCAAAAGAAGTATATATTGTAATTTCTGTTATAACTGCTATTAAAAGCTACTTTACATGTTGATTTAGTGTGGGTATAAATTATAAATTATGTAAATAAAAATAATAGTAATTATTTTATTTTTGATAAGTCTATAAGACTATCTTTCTGACTTTGGGGAGGTGTCTAATATTTTGGTTGACTTTCAGTAATTTGCGAAGAGCAGCAAGAGAGTTTTCCATTTTTAAAGACTAGATCATAAGCATCTATGAATAAATAATTATGTTAATATGAATTGACCATTTTCTAAGTTACCTATGTTTTATAGTTTTGTTTCTGAAGCAATGCATTTATAACTACCAAAGAGTGGTTTGCATAGTAGTATATTAATTAAAAGTATTTTTAAAATCTCTTGACTCATGCCTGTAGTCCCAGCTTCTCCAGAGGCTGAGGTGGGAGGATCACTTAAGCCCAGGAATTTGAAACTGCAGCAAGCTGTGATTGCACCTCTGCATGCCAGTGTGGGTAGCTGAGCCAGACCATTTCTCAAAAAATAATAATAATCTTAAATTTTCACATTAGCGTTTTCACTTATCAGTTGGAAACCTTATTCTAGTTAACTAACCTCGTGAACTTCATTTTTCAAATCTACAAAATGAAAATAGTCATAATTCTCATACTTACTTCACTGGATTATTTTAAAGATCATGTAAGAAAGTGCTTTGAATAGTATTTCATTTTGTATACATACCACAGTACATCCATGTAACACAACTGCACTTGTACCCCTTAAATTATACAAATAAAAAAATAGAAAGTGCTTTGAAACTCTTACATGAAACAAATGATATAGCTCATGTCTTCTTTTGATCAAATTTGTTGTTATAATTACATTTGTTGAAAAAAAATAAGGGAAATATTCTATTATAGTTCTCATTAGACTTAGCATTAATAATTTGTCTCTTGAAATTATCAAATAAATGGTTTAAGGATTGTAATATTTTACATTCTTACTGTTTTATATATTCTTTGCTTGTCTTGCTCTTTGACGTAATTATTCTAAAAGGTGAAAGATTATACATTTTAAACTTGAAACAGTTAATAAGATAAAATCTAATATGAGATGCATGACTTTTGAATGTGGTTGGTGCAAAAACAAAATCCATGGTTCTTTTAACCTTCTACCTTGAGCATATGGAATGTATAATAAAACACGATATGACCAGAGTTGGAATTAGGGCATCCTTTTCTTCTTAACATTTGCTCTTTTGAAAAAGGAAAGGTAAAACACATTTTTTTAAAGGACAAAGAGACTCTGTAAGAAATTTTTAGTTGGATGTCCCTTCATTTAAACCCATCCAATTATTCTGTCTATGCCAAGGTGTCATATGAATTTAGTCCTTTTACAACTTGCTTTTTGGGGAAACACTAGATACGATACTTATTCTTATTTATCTACATATATATATAAATTGTAGTATATGCACTATTTTAAATTATTTATAAGATTGCTCCTTAGGCCCTGGAAATTTCCTAGGACATTTCTAAAAAGTGAGAGTGAGAGGCTGCCTGAGCTTTGAGTATTTAGCCTGTCTGATGGGACTGCTGCCATGAGTGACAATTAGTACAAATTACCATAATTGTGTTCTTTGGATAAAATGCCACATCACTTCTTTAGGAGCAAATGCAGTTTCTACTTATTAAAATGAGTTGGTTACTTTGATTCTTTAGAGGCAGTCAGAAATTCACAATCAGCCCAGTGGTATTCCCATGTAGTCCACTTCAGATCGGTCTGAACAACTCCAGCCCTCCCTTTCCTTTCAATAAAATAGGTCCATTAATGTAGCGCACCTCACTCTCATTCTCTCCAAGGGAGTTGTATTTTTATTACTGAAAAAGTATCACATAAATACAAATTACATTTTTTCATTAGAAAACCACTTTTCATTTCAGAAAAAATTCAATTAATTATGAATAGGGTTATGCTTTCATCAGGGAGAGAAATATGTAATTTTTCTTCAAGCCTCAAACACATATAATGAAATCTTTTCTCAGAATCCACTCTTAAGATGGATTTTTAAAAGTATAGACTTTATTAAAATCTCAGTTCAATTAAAATGCATTCAATTACTTTAAATCTTTATTAAAATCTCAGGTAAAATTGTACAACAGTGTAAAAGAGACTTGTACTCTTTACCAGATAGTTAATTCTAACAAATGAACATAAAGTGCACAGTTTTGCTCTTAAAGAGCGAATCAAAAAAATAAGTTTGGGGCTTGAGGTTGGGGGTGGGGACGCAATGGAGATGCAGGTTGCTTTCTGTGTTATAACTTCTGACACTGGTTTCCTTGGATCTTTCATCATAGGTCATTGTTTCTTGTATATACGGATGTGGCATTATCTTTTGTGAGTCCCCTTGGTGGTACTACTTAGAGTATATTATTTTTCTCACCACTGTAACAAAAAAAGGCTCTATTTAAGGATTTTATTTCACTGTCTTCCTTGCATATTTTTGGTACAGTTTCCCTGATTCTTTTTCAAGGGCCGCTTGAAGATGCCATTGAAGATGAGGAAGAAGAATGTCCATCAGAGGAAACAGACATCATCTCCAAAGGAGACTTTCCATTGGAGGAAAGCTTTTCCACAGAATTTGGGCCTGAAAATCTGAGCTGCGAAGAAGTGGAATACTTTTGTAACAAAGGTAATTGTTGATGGTTGGATGTAATATGTGAGTCCACTTAAATGATTTTGTAATGTTTTAAAAAAATGCATAATAGTCCTCAGAGTGCTGACACATAATTCAGCCGTCTGAAAATAAGTGCAGATTTTTTTAAACATAAAATTTTATTTCGAGGGACATGAGTAACTCCACTCTAATAACCAGTAATTTTTTATATTGAAACAAATATTTTCATGTTGATTGGCCAATTAACTATGCACATTCTTCATGTTATTGGCCAATTAACTGTGATATATTTAATGTTGATCATTTATTCATTCATTCTTTCAACAAGAATTTATTGAATGTTAATTGTTTGCAAGGCACTAAATTAGGCATTAAATATTAGCACTGAATGAGTCAGAGAGTTCTCAACTAAGGTTCCATCTCATTCCTTTTGAAAACCGAATGCTTTAGGTGTTTAATGTTGACTTTCAACGGTGAGGATGGTGCTGTGGGGATATTGTCAAATAAAAAAATATACATTCTTTCTCCATTCTAGATACTTTTTTGACACATTAACAATATAATCCAAGAAGCACTTGAGACATATCACAGCTTATTTCCAGCCATGACTTGGAGCCAGATGGCCTTGCCAGTGACTGTGTTCTCATGGAGCATATATACTCATTTGTTTACTTTTTTCATAAGTCAGTTTAAGGTTCCTCATGATTCTTATATATTTATTTTTATCAGATTGTTTTGCAAGTCTTTTATCTCCTCCTGCACCAATGTACCGTTTTCACAAATGCTTGGATCACTTTCTTGGTTTAGAACAGCTGCTTTTGCAGAGGGCTTGACTGGAAGTGTATGTTTCTGTATGTCTGTCTGTGTTTGTGTATGCACCATTTTTATTCAGACATGTTTGTTTTTTATGCAGATAAATATAATAAAGTGGACTTTTGTGTGTGTGTATGTTTGAATTTGTTAATCAGACTTCATAGTCTCAAATCAAGAGTGCCAATGTAGCTTCTCAAAAAAATGTCAATTCACATATCTTGGTGGCCATGTATATATTTAATCATTAAAAGTTCCAGTATCATTTTCTCTTGTTGATGGTGTCAACAAAAAAAGTCAGAAACAAAAGATGTCAGTCAGCTCCCATCCCTGTGGTCAGTAGAACCCCTGGCTCTAAAACTTTGGAAACAGAATGGCACCTGGACACACTGAAATTCAAAAAACCTCCTTAACCATGTAGACCTCAAGATAACTTGTAGCATGGTCCTTGTCTCCTACATCAGAGATTTTTAATTGAAAATGAGAAAAGTATGAACAGAATAGCCTTTTTTCCTAGTGTTGACTCAGATTTCAAGCCAAATTAATATTTTCCTTAGTTGCTAGAACCATTAAATTGATGATATGTAGCCATGGCAATAAATCTAAGCTGTCTGGAGATGGATAATTTTTAAATTTATGTTTGAAGACATCTCAATTTTTTTTCTTATTAGGAAATACATCCTTTTGTGCATTGTAGAAGACCTACCTTATGTTGTGATGTTGCAATAAAGAGAGGAATTGAGAGTTAGAAGGTGAATAAAAGAGTTAACGTATGGATTTATACCTTTTGTCAATTTAATTCATCCAGGAAGGCAGTATGATAGGTACTACTGTATGAATTGCAAATTTTGGGACGATCTCTGGTTAAGGGCTATGTTTAATGAAAGAGTAAGGGTTCTTTACTCTTACTCTTTCATTAAACTTTTCATTAAACTTTCAAAGAAAGTTTTAAGGTAGTAATTTCCTGGGAGAAAATAGATTTATGGCAAATGCTTACATGAGGATGTAACTATGGTCTTAGGACAGTCACTCCAGCTATACTAATCAGAGTCTTAACTCATGAAAAATAATGACAGACTTTTAGGAATTAAGAAAAAACATTAAATTACAATTGTTCTGAACAAGATTCAGTAGATATTATTATTAATTTTTTTATAAACAGTTGGAAAAATGTTTAATGTCAGATGTACACAAAATAATATTTAGTATATGATATAGAGACCATATTAAATAATATGTAACATATATGTATTATAAGATAATTCTGTAATGTTTAATTTGAAAGTAGAAGGTCATAATGGGTGGGAATAACAATTCCTGTTTTCACATGATATTTTTCAGGATAAATAGTAATATTACTATTGATAGGAAAAGAATTTCATTATTTTACTCTTGCAGAATGTGTGACCAGGGAATTCCCACTGAAGTCAGTTGGAACTGGTAGAAAAGAAAGACAACTCTTTGATAGATTTTTCATCCCTTGAGGTCATGCAAGGAGTGCTATCCATTCTTCACTTAAGTTGATGAGCTACAATGGAAAGAGAATATTTTCTCTCTGGAAAATTAGAAACTAATCTTTCTGTTGAAATTCTCAATTTTTCTCAGTGACGCATAATTATGTTTTATTGCCAATTGTGAGGAAGAGGACAGATTAGCAATTAAAAGAGTAGAAGTTGCCAGGCCGGTGACTCACGCCTGTAATCCTAGCACTTTGGGAGGCTGAGGCGGGTGGATCACCTGAGGTCAGGAGACCAGCCTGGCCAACACGGCGAAACCCTGTCTCTGCTAAAAATACAAAAATTAGCCGGGTGTGGTGGTGGGTGCCTATAATCCCAGTTACTCAGGAGGCTGAGACAGGAGAATTGCTTGAACCCAGAAGGCAGAAGTTGCAGTGAGTTGAGATCGCACCACCGCACTCTAGCCTGTGCGACGGGAGCGAGACTCCATCTCAAAAAAAAAAAAAAAAAAAAAAGGTAGAAGTATTTAAATGGTTAACAATGCCAGTGTCATTACTGGAAAAGCAAATAAGACATGTTCCTCTGAAGAAAAGTATTTTTAGGCCGGGCGCGATGGCTGACGCCTGTAATCCAAGCACTTTGGGAGGCTGAGGCAGGCGGATCACCTGAGGTCAGGAGTTTGTGACCATCCTGGCCAATGTGGCGAAACCCCATCTCTACTAAAATACAAAAATTAACTGGGTGTGGTGGTGGGTGCCTGTAGTCCCAGCTACTCGGGAGGCTGAGGCAGACAGAATTGCTTGAACCCGGGAGGTGGTGGAGGTTACAGACAGCCGAGATTGAGCCACTGCATGCCCGCCTGGGCAACAGAGCAAGACTCCGTCTCAAAAAGAAAATAATAATAATAATAATATCTTGGGTTCATTAATGAAACTTTTTTTTGCACATAGTTTAAATCATTTATGACAATTTAAAAATTGTTGATATTTACTGGAAAATACATTGGATTATTTGGAAGTTTCTTGGTCTAAAGGCTACCCATGACCAAAATTTACCTGTTACCTAGTTAATTATATGGGTCCCAAGCATAAAAATTTTGTAAATTGAATGTTTTTTTCTTGTTAAACAAAGGATATCTTAAAAGTTCAGATCAAAAAATGTGGCTAGAAGGTCTAAGTTCTCCAAACAAGAAATTTTGACACATTATCAGGGGAGCATACTGAGGATAAACATAGAGTTACTACATATATTTAGTCATATTTTAGCAACTGCATTTTATATAAAACCAATCATATGTTATCATAACTTTTTAAAAGAAAAACTACATTTCTGAAGACATAGCTTATTATAAAGTTTCTGCTTCCTTTTGAAATTGAGCATTTCTATTATACAGGATATTTTCAGTGATGAACTAAAATTATAGTTCTTCAATGGCTCTTATTATTGTAACATTTTTCTCAGTTCCACACTGATATTATCTATGTTCTTGCTGAAGGGCAAGTTTTTCTAGTCTCAAAGTTGCATTTACTAATATTAGTAAAGTTTCTAGTTATTATAAACCATGTGATTAAATAAGACCCAAATCACTCTTATAATGTAAGATTCCACAGAAATGTCCGAGATTGTTGGTCAGAATTTTATGTTAGCATTAATGTATAAAATTCTTAATTATATAAGTCCATCTCAGAGATACCCTTGTTATAGTTGCATGCTTAAAATTTGAACCTGGCAATTCTATTGGCATTTCCTATGTCTCTTTTTATTTTGGATTAATTGCACATTTCATGTTCCTATTTTTCATTTCTTTGAAATGAAATGAACTATGTTGATAAAAAGATGCTATTTGAAATTTACTTTGATACCTTTAGATTTTAAACATTTTAACAAAATATAAAGCAATACTTTCAATTTACATTGTCATCTTTTGTTTATGAGTTTAGAGTACGTGGCATCTTGCCTTACAGTATCTCTGGGAGGAAGAAAACAAGCAAAATTATTTCCTTGAATTTATAGATGATGAAGACATCAAGACTCAGTCCATAAGTGCTACATATTTCCTGTGGTACTGAAATTTTCGTTTCAGTTATTTTGTCTGCCTTTCTTCTGGTTTATGTGCCAGACATGGAAGTACATCAGTATATTTGTAGAACTAAGCAAACCAATATGAACAGAAATATAGGTGGTCTGGAAAGCAACCTTGGGAGTTTGTAGTTATGTCACTACTGGCAGGTGGGAATGCCTATATATGAGCAATTCTTGGATGAACTCAAAGACAGTGAGTTTCAGAGTGGGATTGGCGTGGAGCAGTTCTAATTAATAATTGTAAAGTGAAATAAACATGTTTTGGGATAAATTCCAGGAGAATGTCACAAAATATGTGAACAGGAAGAATCAGATCAATGTCACTGGTTGCTAGTAGAATGTAATGCTATATAAAAAAAGATAACTCAGGTGAGGGGGGTGAGGGATAAAAGACTACACACTGGGAACAGTGTACGCTGCTCAAGTGATGGGTGCACCAAAATCTCAGACATCACCACTGAAGAATTTATTCATGAAACCAAACACCACCTGTTCCCCCAAAACGTATTGAATTACAAAAAACAAAGATAACCCCAAAGAAACTACATGTAAGTCAACTTTGAATTATCTACAATGATTATCTAGAAAAGTTAAAAAGCGTCCTTACAAATTGTTTGCTGATGTTATGATTTTAAAATAAAGGCCAGAAGGGAAAATGATGCTATCAAAGTTGCTTTGGGAAGACGAAAAATCTTTATGCCTCTTCCTTGCATCTAGATATGAAGAATGGTCAGAGACATTCTTGGGTATAATAATGCCCTAGAGAAATGAACTAAAATTAGACCTCTTCAGTCTGGAAATACTAGGTTTAAAAAGAGGGGTCATGATGGAAATACACAAAATAAGGAAAGATATATGGTGTAACAATGGAAATTCTCACTACATTCAAAAAGAGTCCACATAGTGTGCAGAAAGCAAAGGTTATTTTAAAGATTCTTTAACATAAAAAATGTAAAGCATATTAAAGAAAATAGAATAAAAACCTGGGTTATTCAGACTTGGATTTAATGTTAGCCCCATAAGTAATTAATACCAATTGAAAGCAAACATAATCAGATACTTAATAGGACTGGCAGAAACTTTCACTCCTGTTCACTAGGTCAAATTCAATACAACTCAACCCATATATTAAGCATCTGCTTTTTGCCAGACCTTCTTCTCAGAACTGGGATACAGCCTTAGGCAAAAGTCAGTCCCCACTCTCAGGAGGAGAGAGAGAGAGGCAATAAACAATTGAATCACATTTTATAAAGTTCGGTGAGATAGAGGATCATGAGGAAAAATAAAGCAGGCAAAGTTGGTAGAGTGTAATAGTGTGCACACACATGCTATTTCATAAAGAGCGATGGGGAAGGTGAACTTTGACTGGAGACTTGAGAGAAAGGAATGAGCTTCCAGTACTGAGTCAAGTCTGCAGTACCTATGAGGTTAGTGTTATAGGAAGCCAGAAGAGGACAGCAGAGAGCTGGGGAGCAGAAGAGGCACTGTCATACCTGTAGAACCTGCTGCTCTTGGAATCTGTTGGATTCCCACTACTATGGAAGCCTTCAGGAACAGAATTGTGGAAAGAAACTATAGTGTGTGAGCCACAGAAGAGAGTTGCGGTAAGACATGGCCACGACATAGTTTGTATACGCCTGGAGAAGAAAGGCCTGCAGAAAGGAAAGGTTAAGCAGGAAACTGAAACAGGTAAAATGGGGAAGCTGTCAGGGGATACAGATAACTCCAATCAGAATTATCCCTGAAGCCAAGGGCTTGATGAGACTCCATCTGTAGCTCATTAATGTGGTTTCCAGAACAGCAGTTTGGGGGTGTCTGAGGATGATATGAGTCACTTTGTTCCCTTCCATAATAGCAGAGTTGGGTTTGTGTTTTCTATGTCTTTCCACATTCTTGAATTAGAAAGATCAAGAGGCAGAGAAGTAGAACCAGTTTCATCATCGTACTCAACTTCTTCTGCCGATAGGCATCCAGGCTCATTGAAATGTTTCCCCCCTCCTCCCATCCTCCTTTCTTTCTGTTGGTTCCTGTAGTTTTGTGGCTTTGTTTAAAGATTAAGAAATAACAGAGGAAAAGCCATATTCCTCCTTGTTACCTGTAACAAATCTAAGTTAAGGTTATTGGCATTAATCCCTCCCTGCCCCTGGTCCCTGAATGTTAAGGTAAAGCAACAGAAGTTTTGTCTAGAGTCTTAATAACGAAAAGAATGCTTTTTTTAACTGTATCTTTATGCAGTTTTGGCTGTGGGAGTAGTAACCGTTGTTTTTCATTTGATCCCATGTCAAACATCATAGTATTTTGTTTCCTGTTTTCTTATGTTCAGTTTATTATTACTTTTAGTTCAGAAAGTCTATTTTGCTATATTTTATAAATCCTTTCAATGAACATGCTTTCTTTCCTCCTTGGTTATGCCTTTAATGACATGTTTTTGCCTCCTCTGATGCTTGAGTAACTGGAATCAGAAACTGCATAAGACAGCTCTACCATAATCACTTTGAGTTCAATAAGGAAGGGGACCTTTACAGGCAACTTTTTTCCTTTTTTCTTAACGGGATTAAGAAGCTCAGCTCTTTAAATTCTTGCATATAACATTGACATTTCCAGGGTGTGTTTGGACCAGGGAGTTCAAAGAGAAGGAATAAAAAAGAAAAGCCAATATGACTTTGTTTTTTACCTTGCTGGAGGAACTGTTTGTGCAAATCGCCTGTAAGCTTACTGACCTGAATCTTTGACTCCTTGTTTTCTCTGGATTTGGCTGGAGTGGAGACACTGATGGAGCACTGATAGGGCTGATTGAACAGCCCCCAGCTTTGCTTGGCAGGAACCTCCCTTCCCTTCTCCGCCACCTCCCCCTCCCTCCACATGACATTATTGTTCCTTGGCAGAGCCTCTGTTTTCCTGGATTCAGTACTTCTTCTTTTTCTTGAAATTTATTTTAAAATTATTAGTTTTTCTTAGGTAAATCATATAGCCATGCAAAATGAGAAGTAATACTTTTTAGAATGTAAAATTACAGGCTAGTGTCCTATAGGCCGGGGCGGTGGCTCACACCTGTAATCCTAGCACTTTGGGAGGCTGAGGCTAGCAGATCAAGAGGTCAGGAGTTTGAGACCAGCCTGGTCAACATGGTGAAATCCCATCTCTAAAAATACAAAAAATACAAAAAATACAAAAAATACAGGCAGTGGTACACGCCTGTAGTCCCAGCTACTCTGGAGGCTGAGGCAGGAGAATTGTTTGAACACGGGAAGAGGAGGTTGCCATGAGCCCAGATCATGCCACTGCACTCCAGCCTGGGTGACAGAGTGAGACTCCACCTGAAAACAAAAAAATAGTGTCCTATAAGTGCTTTTATCTCATGAGGTTGAAAAAATATATACCTTATGACCTTGTGGCATCACTCTTTTATAGCCATCTTAAAAGTCCCAAAACATAGTTTTTGTTTGGAATGAGATTGATTTTTTTAAAAAACCACAATTGTTGGGAAAATGGGAGAGCATGCGAAGGAACTCTCTTCTTATGAGAGTAAACATATTCTTGGTTTTGATGGAATCGGAAGGTATACAAATTTGCTTCATGACTCAGTATTCTATGTAAGGGTCAGATAAAGCTTTGTCTACTTACCTCATCTCTCATTTCAGATATATCATCATAACAGTTGCAACCAAATTAAAGTGATTAATTTTATACAATGTTTGAAATGACCCATGGTCATTTATATGAGTAACATATGATAATATGTACTACTGTTTAGCATATGACAAACTAAATTCATTGTTCTTTCTGTGAGCTGGCCAACAGATCTCAACTGTGCAGTCTGCTAAAGATATTTTTGAGGCATGTTAAGCTTGATAAAAAGCTCTTAATCTTCTCACATAAATGTAGATTTTCTTATTAATATGTAAAATTTTTCACAATGTTTTCATTATCATTTGAGAAGCAACAGGCAATATTAAAGTGTTTGCCCACCCATTACCTGATGGGATATCTTTATCTCTGGTAGGCCTAAACATAGACCGTGTAATGGGAAATGTAGAAAGCTGTGGTGCGATGAATTTAAGTATAGTAATAAACTCAGCCACTTTTTGTTGTCCTTAAAAGGTCAAGTAAAAATAACTGAATATGTTGCACCAATAAAGTAAATACTGATAAAGGATGCAGATTGCTGTTTCAGCTTCTTTTTTGTCATTCAGTGAGATTCCAGAGATTGGCATTAGGGCTATGTGCCAGTTACAATAATTTTAATAATGGTAATAACAACGTCCATTTGCTGACTGCTCCCAAAAGTCAGACATCTTCCTGTGTATGTATCATCTCTAATCAGCTTACTGTCCTACACGGTAGATGCTGTTTTTGCCTGTAACTTCCAGAGGCTCAGCAACTTGGCCAAAGTCAACAAAACTACTAAAGACTAACACAAAATTAAAACTTGCATTGTTGGTGCTTAATAAAAATAGAGAACTAATTTTGCTTCCTGATGTCCACTATTATATAACTCTTGTAGAAGGAGGGAGAGGAAAACATCTGAAGAAGGTTAGATATATGAAGTATGAAGCTCACTTTTTCAAGGTATTTTTTAACTGGGCATTTTCTAATAAACACTTACTGTACACGATGTGTCAGTCAAAAATAAGGGTGCTTACAAAACCAAATAAACAAAAAGGCTAACATAAATGAATTAGGGATGTTCTTAAAATATTTCTATCTTTTGGTACTTCTTTAAAGACTGTCAGTATAAACCATTTTGTAATAAGAGGAGTTGAGGTTTTGATATAATGTAAGGGGCTATATTGAAAGCATGTTAGTCTCATTATACTAACTGAAATTATATTACCTTGTTTTAAAGACATTCAATAAGCTACAGTTTCTCACTGCCTGTTTCTTATGATGTTGCTTTCAGGTAATTTGAAAGAGTGAGGACACACCAAAATGTGTGTATTTGGGCAGAAGCCAGTAATAAATGGCAGGAATGTTTACAAATCCATCAAAACTATTTGGATAAGAGCTTCAGCCTTGTAGAAATGTTTGCAAAGTGAACTCTTTAAAATAGTTTGACCTCAACACAAAATAAGACTAAATAAAAAACGAAGAAAGGAAGGAAGGAAGAGGGGAAAAGGGCATTGTTTGCAGGGAAAGCTCTGGGCACTGTGAAAACTTTTCACTTTTCTGAAGGAAATGCAGTACAACAGATGGTAAGAGTGGAAGTGAGATAAACATAGGAACTAGAAAAGTAAGCAGTGCATTCTAACAGGTTCTGTATCAAAGATCTGGAGAAGTAGAAAGATTAGACAAGGAACGGTTCTGAAACCTGACAGTGGCTGTATCTTACCAAGTCTTAGCACATAGCAGAGACGGAAAGTGGAATTGCACAGACAGTAGGCTGTGATTATATTTTTCTGACAGAAAGGAAGGTCTCTTTAAGGATTATTTTTAATGATATAAATTTATCAAGCTGGAAATCTATCATACAGATATATCAAACACTTTGCTTACTATATATTTAACAACGCGATTTGATGTAATTTCTATTGTTGCTATATGATTAGCTCAAGACACTGTATTTTAGGTCTTACGTAAACTGTAATTTTTTTCAATGCAAATTATGGCCCAGGCAAGTTAGCCAATACTGAGAACCTATGTTACCTGTTTCTGGTCAGCATGGATATGTATATGTGGCCGTATGTGATCATGCATGTATAGAGGCAGAAAGAGGACTACATAAAGAATTTTCTCATTTCTTAAAGATACAGTGACCTAAGAAGGAGTGACCTAAGAAGGGAAAGAAAACGTGCACAAGTTAGACAAGGAAATATATATATATATATATATGGAAATAGTGTCAAACTTGGGCTGATTAAGGAAACAATGCATTCACTCCCAAGCTTCCTTATGGTAATGTGCATCATTCTAATGTGGAAACCACTCACCAGCACGCATCTGCCTCATTTAATCTGTGCATTCTGTACTCCTATATTCTGTATTGGTGGCTGACTCCTAAAGGGAATACCAAAATACAATAACTTTTAACGAGAAACAACAATTCTACAAAAATGCAAAGTGATACCAAAAAAAAAAAAAAATGGACAGGGAAAGTAGCTTATATGCTAAGGAAAACCCAACTCAGATGTGTTTTATTTACAATATTGGCAGTTGTGCTGGGTGACTTTTAAGGTGCCCCTAAAAATATCAAATTATTAATAAAAGGAATGCATATTGAAAAATTATGTAGTATGCATCTTATTTTCACACTGTTAATTGTCAAATGTATTAGATGTATTCATTCACCTTTTTAGTTTATTTCACAATTGTTTAATTATTTTTCTAGCCAATGATAGACCTAGGACAGTTCAAAACAGTGTGGGACAATTCTGAAACTTGGATAATTCAAATAAATACTGGGTGTCGCTTCAGAATTCTGAGGCTCGTTTGACAGGGGTTTCTGAACACCTGAGCACTGGGGCAGTACGGTTTATCTGAGAAAGATAGTTCTGACCTTTACTGTGGTTACTATGAGGTTAATGAAGCTTAAACTTCAAAACTTCTCACTTGGACAGACTCCTCCCAAGGCCCTGCACCTAATTTTGTAGGTGGGACTTTGAATTCTTTTTCTTAAGGAGGCCCCCTGAATTGTATAAGCTTTGGTCCCCACCAAGCCTGAATCAACCCCTTTTAGTACCTGTAAGTGTTAGTGGTCTTCAAAGAAGACAACCAAGATCAAGAATGTTAAGTTTGTTTTCAACTTCCTAATTTGTTGGAAAACCAAACAGATTCACAAAAAGAGTTTGTGTTTATATTAGATACCTGAATTCCAAATCTATTATCATTATAGGATAAGTTACCCTTTGCCTAAAGAGACCACAGATATTCATGAAAAGCCTGATTTTGAAAGTGCTATGCTAAAAAATGAAGAGAGAGGGAAATAATTTCTACATTTCTGAAACTCTGGAAAATGCTGTGGGTATTATCTGTGTTTTTCTGGTGTTATCACCAGCAGCCAAGAACCTGTTGCTGGCACTAAGGGAGGAGACGCTGTTGGAAGACCTTGTAGTAAAAATAGTCTGAATGCGTCTTGTGATAACTTATTTGGGACTGTCTCTGGTGTTGGAAGCTAGATGTGCATCTGAGTTAGAAGGAGGCTGATGGGACCTAGAATACTCTTTTTTACCCAGAGATGTGGAAACTCTGTTAGGATTAGGTGCAGCTGTTACAGTAGGTTCCCAGAAGTGGCCACAGGACTCTTTGGCTTGTATCCCATTGTCCACAACTTTTTTTTTTTTTTTTTTTCGAGATGGAGTCTCACAATGTCGCTCAGGCTGGAGTGCGATGGAGCGATCTCGGCTCAGTGCAACCTCTGTCTCACGAGTTCAAGCGATTCTCCTGCCTCAGCCTCCTGAGTAGCTGGGACTACAGGCGCCCCCCACCATGCCTGGATAATTTTTTTTTGTATTTTTAGTAGAGACTGGGTTTCAGCATGTTTGTCAGTCTGGTCTCAAACTCCTGACCTCAGGTGACCCGCCCACCTTGACTTCCCAAAGTGCTGGGGTTACAGGCATGAGCCACCACACCTGGCCCACAACTTATTTTTATGATGTGGTCCATGCTAAAAGAGAAGCCTCTGGTTTGTTGTCAAGTGGCCATATGCCCAACTCTAAATTACGTTACTATGGAGGGTTTACAGATTATATAAAATGCATAGCTTTTATTTGCTTTGCTTGGTTATTAGAATAATTAATGAATGAAAGCATAATGGCAGTCAGTGCATTCAACATTCATGCGTTAGCTAATCCAGTAAATATTTATTGAACACCTGCTATGTCAGACATGTGAGACATGCTGTGGATACAATGGTAAGTAAACACAGGGAAGGTCCTGGATATCGTAGAATTTACCTTATAGTGGGGAGGCAGACATTAATAAAATAATCACTCAAATGGTTCAGGGTGGTTTGATCTAGTGAGGAAGGTCAGAGAAAATGTCTGTAAGAATGCGACACTTGGCCAGGCATGGTGGCTCACACCTGTAATCCCGGCACTTTGGGAGGCCAAGGTGGGAGGATTGCTTGAGTCCAGGAGTTTGACACCAGGTTGGCAACATAGGGAGACCTCATCTCTATAAAAAATAACAAACAGAAAACCTAGCAGGGCATGGTGGTGCATACCTGTGGCCCCAGCTACTTGGGAGGCTAAGGTAGAAGAGTTGCTTGGGCCTGGGAGTTTGAGGCCACAGTGAGCCGTGATAGTACCATACCACTGTTCAGACTGGGTGACAGAGCAAGACTGTGTCTCAAAAAAAAGAAAAAGAATGTGACACTTAAGCTGGAGTAGAAGTTGGCGAGGCATTAACTAGGCAAAAAAAGGTCATAGAGTTTCAGGTAGAGGGAACAGCATTTGAGCGACACCAGCCTGGTGAGCATGCAAGGAGAGCAATAGAGACGGGTGTGAGTTGGGCCAGAGAGACCAGGAAGGACAATGATCATAAGGCTAAGGACAGGAAATAGTAGAGACGAAGCATAAAGAGGAAGATAAATGTTCTGAAAGCTGAAATATGAAATTGCAAATCTGAGCTTTCCATAAGCCATAGTAGAGAGAGAAAATGGAAGAGGAAGATAATTCCAGTGATCAAGCAGGAGGAAAAAAACAGGATTTGTCAGGAGAAAGAAATGTTAGCCCTTATTTGTGAGCTCTGAGAGTCATTCATCATTAGAGTGTTTGAACTAGTGTTATATAAAGGGCATTCAGATATGGAACGATGCCTTTGTTAGGCCTATGCGTTCTCTATTGGCTACTTCTCCAGCCTTAGCATTTTGAATGTGTAGCTTAAATAAGGTCCTATTTAACAATACAATGGAATACTTTGATAATGAGTGATTGCTTACAAATAATATTCTTAAATAAACACGGAGGCCGACAAACAGAAGGGAAAGTGGTTTCTTGCTAGCAGAACAATAGAATTGTGATGGGGTTATAGTACAGAATATCCTCATTTAGAGACCATAAGGTGTTACTGTGTCTCTTCTTTGGAACAAGAAATGTCTTAGCTATTTAGAATCTTCCTCTGATGGGAATGATATTAGATACAGTGAGACTTTTTGAAGGGAAGGTAGGGGAAGGGATAATAAAAATTATTTAAATATAAGCTTTGAAATATAAATTTTAGAAACATAGTTTAAAATAGAATGTCGGACTGGGTGCAGTGGCTCATACCTGTAATCCCAGCACTTTGGGAGGCTGCAGCAGGAGGATCACTTGAGGCCAGGAGTTTGAGACTAGCCTGGGCAATACAGTGAGACACTCATATCCACAAAACATAAAAATAATTAGGTGGGCATGGTGGCTTGGGCCTGTTATTCTAGCTACTTGAGGCTGAGGCAGGAGGATTGCTTGAGCCCAGGAGTTCAAGGTTACAGTGAACTGATTGCATTGTTGCACTCCAGCTTTGGCAAGACTCTGACTCAAAAGAAAAAAAAAATAGAATTCCTTGAATGCCTTGTTTTCCCACACTTGCTTATGTATCTCACCCTTTCATGTGCTCGTTGAGAGAAATAATGAGGAATAAAATTATCAAGAGATAATACCGATGAAAAGTTGTCTTATTTCATGTGGAAATTTCCCTTATGCATCAAATCTTCAGTGAACTTAAACTTTGAGAAAAACTATTTTCACATGGAGGATAATATTGATAGCAGGGATAAATATTCAGTACTGTGTTCAATAATTCAATGTTCTTTCTTCCTCAGTTATCAATACTTTAATTGTGACTTTTACATGATGTTGGTAAACATAAACATTAGTATTTTCAATATTTTCTCCTTACTAGCTATGATGAAACACTACAAATGGCAGTAGTCATGCATTAACTATAGAAATTGCGGCTGGGCACGGTGGCTCATGCCCGTAATCTCAGCACTTTGGGAGGCCGAGGCGGTTGGATCACAAGGTCAGGAGATCGAGACCATCCTGGCTAACACAGTGAAACCCAATCTCTACTAAAAATACAAAAAATTAGCTGGGCGTGGTGGCGGGAGCCTGTAGTCCCAGCTACTCGGGAGGCTGAGGCAGGAGAATGGCATGAACCCGGGAGGTGGAGCTTGCAGTGAGCCGAGATCACGCCACTGCACTCCAGCCTGGGAGGCAGAGCGAGACTCCATCTCAAAAAGAAAAAAGAAATTGAGTTTCTTCTCAACATGACAGTGTTAGCCCTGGACCACTGTTATCAACTGTTTCAGGATTGTTTCCTCATCTGCGGTCCTCAAATGTATAGCCAAATAAATGTGGGTTCTAGTCTTTTGATCTGCTTAATCTTTCATATTAAGGAGTCTGAAACTACCGTCAAAATAATAATATTTTGTCAGATAGGAAAGCCCCAAATAAGTTACAAAGAAGTCACATGCATTTTTAAAAAATAATTGTATACTGAATATAACTACCCAGAAGATGGGAAAACTCTGCATTTTATTATACATAAGTAGTAAGTCAAAGGGAGACCTGAGTTAGAAACCAGGATAGGAATCCACAAACATAATGGATCTATTCTTTTCAAACAGTTGAAATTCTTAATTTTTTTTTTTTTAGGTATTGCCATAAAGGGAACAGCTGCATGTTTTTATTTTTGTTCCTGGAGATAGAATCGTGTCTATAATTTGGTAACATAGAGTTAATTTAACATGACATTTCTGTTTGGATAATCTATAACCAAACAATTGTGTTAAGTTACACAATATTGTGAGGCTATTAAGCAAAGCAAACACAAACTGAATCTTAAACTTTAATGTCCTCGCCCTTCCGTATGAGCTGCAGTTTTCTGTTTTTGACTGTTGAAGTCCTTTAACCAAAGCTATCTTGTCTGATGATAAAACCATAAGTGTATGAAGCTCACACATTTTTCATCTCTTTTATGACCTTATCTTTCATGAGCTTCTTCTGTGAAGGTATCCTAACTATAGGAAGCACCTGGAAAACATATGTGATATCTATTCTCTGATAAGCAGTTGTGAACAAGAAAGTAGATCTGTCACTTCTGAACTGTTCATTGTTAAAAAATACTTTGATGATTTAGCTGATTGCAAAATGCATTATAGGGATGACTAACAGCTACAGTAACACTCCTAGTCAAGAAAGTTCAATAGTTATATTGTACAAGAATTTCTATAAGAGGTTAATATTGATAGGAACTACATGGATTAAAAGAGCAAGGTTGAGAAGGGCTGTTTGCTTGCATGACTGCTTTCAAACACTGCTGCTATTCTGTGCTGAAAAAGTGACTGTCTCGGAATGTGGCAAATCTTTAATTTCTACAGAAGTATTTAACTTTCAGTGAAAAGGTGTTTGTTTGTGGTTTTTAAATTATTTTTGCCTGGCGAGTGGAGCCACTGCTTTTACTATCTTACCAACAATACCTAATAAGGTATTTAAAGATTCTGTTTCATATGTTTCAAAGACTATATTCAAGTGCATTTCCCCGAGCCATTTATGCTATGCATTATATTGCTCAATAACACCTTCAATTTCCTCCTATAGGACTCTCATTGATTCTGAAACCTAGACTAAGAAAAATGGAAAGGCCCACAAAATACGTATGATATCTTTTAAAAGAGTAACAAAAGAGTTTAATCTTGCAATGGAAAACCATTAACTTCATAGCCATAATTTTGGAAATATTATAGATTTTGTTACTGCTTGACATTTATTCCATTTCATCATTTTATGAATTGGTCTCTGGATATATATAGTGGTTATCCCATTAAATATGTTTGTGCTTTGCTGAAAATACACTGAAATTTCTATTTAAAAGTATATGAATAAAAAATTTAGAAAGTAAATGAATGGATGTTAAATGAGTTCCTAGCTCTTTCTGTAATTCTCTTCTTGGCATCTTTTTTCTGTCTTCCTTTCCTCTTCCTATCAACACAGCTTGTGAAGCAGTATCTTAACAAACTTGTCGTTATTATCTTGCTATTAATTATTCATTCCAATTTTCCTAAGCTACTCTAGAGTACCGATTTCAAACATAGAATCAAAAATGGATAGAAGTAAAAAAAAATGTTGGTCAATAAAGTCAATTTCATTTAAACTAGGAAGAAGCTTGGGTTAATATGAAAATAAAATTGTATTTATAACTTTTTCATGAGAATATATTGGAAGTAAAGAAGCAAGTCTCTATTGTGAGAAAAAAAATAGTTTCCTAAAAGTAATTCGAAGATTTCATATTTGATTAAATTATTTGTAATCACTTATTTTTCATTAGTAAAAAGCATTAAAAAATGAATTATGTCAAAACATTACCATAAAAATAAGAACTAGTTTTCTGAGATAAAGTTAGAAGATGAAGGGTCTAAAAGTTGGAAACTTATGACATTTTATTTATTAAATAGAAAGAATGTGCTGAAAGCAATTAATTAGCAAGTGTAATGATATTGCAGTAAGTTATGGTAAAAAGAACGAAACTAAAATCTAATTTTTTAAGTGCTCAGTAAGCAATGGTAATTGATTAACATTTGTATGTAGTTGATTTTTCTAAGTGCCAAGTAAAATAGTAAACCTTAGGGAAAAAATAATGCTTATGAAGATCAAATTCGTTAACCATTTTATTTTAATATGCAAGTGCCTGGGCGCGGTGGCTCACACCTGTAATCCCAGCACTTTGGGAGGCTGAAGCAGGCTGGTCACCTGAGGTCGGGAGTTCGAGACCAGCCTGACCAACATGGAGAAACCCTGTCTCTACTAAAAATACAAAGTTGACTGGGTGTGGTGGTATGTGCCTGTGGGCCCAGCTACTTGGGAAGGCTGAAGCAGGAGAATCGCTTGAGGCAGAGGTTTCAGTGAGCCAAGATGGAGCCATTGCACTCCAGCCTGGGCAACAAGAGCAAAACTCCGTCTCAAAAAAAAAAAAAAAAAATTATGCAACCATAATGAAGAAATGGGACTTAAACATGATAAGGATAAAGCAGCTGTCAGATCACATCCTGCTATCTCTGTTGCTTGCCATGTAGTCGACTTTGACGGTAATGTCCTAGTAAGTTAGAGGCATGGTCTTTGGAGTCGGACTAACTTGGCATCAAATCCTGGTTCTGCCACTTACTAGCAGTGTGCTTGGGCATCTTTCCACATCTCTCCCCCTTGGTTTATTTTTCTGAACTATAGGAATATTAATACATGGCAGATCTGTTGATGTGATGTTTATAAAGCATTTAGCAATATACCTAGTGCTGAGTAGTGCTTAAGAGATGATAGCCATGTTTAGATTTAGTATAGAATCTGATCTTGATGACATGATCTATACCTTATTCATCTTTATGATTTCAGTGTTTTCATATAGCAGATATTGAAATGAATATAAATTAAATTCTGTTCCATTCTGTTTTCTACATCCAAATTTATCATTTCATATGAGATTATTTTGTTTTAGTCATCTTTCTTTTTTTATTTGCATTCTTTCTTTAAGAAAAGATTAAATAATTAGAAAGTTTAAACTATTCTTTCCTCTCCAAATTTTTTTATTAATGTGATATATATTGCATACCCCTTACCTAGTTTTATAAGTTGCTCAAAATAGGTGCAAAATGTAATTTATTTTGAGCTGTTAAATGTGTATACTTAACTACTATTGTAGTGCTTCTTTAAATACTCGGCAATACTTATTTTCAGTATCTCTAATTATTTGTAATGAATGAAACAAATTGGAGCAAATCATTCAATGAATCTAGGTTATCAATATTGAGTATTGCTACCAAGTTGAAATCTAAGTTCTACAGTTCTGATTTGGCAGTTAAGTGACATTTAATGAAAGTTTTTTAATCATATGAAACTACTTGTTCAATCAACCCCTTAATAGGTTGAATTACAAAATTTTCATCTTGACATTTTCTATCAGATACGGGATGAGAATGATCAGGGGTAAATTTGGCATATACTGAATGAAGGAAAGGACTTCACTCAGTCGAAGTACTTTTCAAACTCTTTAGCATCTTAAAATGTCTTCTGGATTATACTCTTACCTCATTGAACTATCTAGTTTCACCACCTTCAAGCTGCCATGTTTCCTGCACAATAACTTAATTACCATAATCTTTTCCTATGGGACTCTTTGGGAAGGTGGCTGCCATTTTTAATGTTAAACATTGTTTCTGGCCAGGAGTGGTGGCTCACGCCTGTAATCCCAGCACTTTAAGAGGCCCGGGTGAGTGGATCACCAGAGGTCAGGAGTTCGTGACCAGCCTGGCTAACATAGTGAAACCCCGTCTCTACTAAAAATACAAAAATTAGATGGGCATGGTGGTGCGCATCTGTAATCCCAGCTACTCAGGAGGCTGAGGCAGGACAATTGCTTGAACCCAGGAAGTGGAGGTTGCAGTGAGCCGAGATTGTGCCACTGCACTCCAGCCTGGCAGGGAGAGACTCTGTCTCCAATAAAAAAAATAGTAATAATAAAAATAAAAAATAAAAAGTTGTTTCTAGTCATGTAGCCTCAGGATATTAAACATACAGAGTTCAGTTTCACATCTTCAAATTTTCAGATATTTATTGGTTTCTTCCTCCAAGAAACTTCTGTGGCATCAAGTCTGGGTTTGTTGTCATGCTTGTGTGCTCCTGTCCCATCATGAACTTCTCCCCTCAAAGCACTCATCACACCAGCTTGCAGCTCCCTATCAATCTGTCTGTATCCTACACTGGTCTATATGTGATAGATGAGAGTAGTCATTTGTTTTGTATTCTCAGTGCCCAACACAGTGCCTGGGCCTGAAAAAGCTGTGTTTTAATGAACTAATAAAGAACACTTTGTATCACTTCTGTTTAACAGAGGTGAACATTTATCAATTGAACTGGATCATTTTCTTTAAGTTCTAATTTTTGTGGTAACTCTGATTACTCGGCAATGTATTCTTCCAGACACACTCCTTTCTATTTTTTCTCATTATTTTTTCTTCCAAAAATATGTAATTTGCTTAATAAAATATTTTGGGGTAGACTTAACCATGGTCTCACAAAAATTGGGAGAGAGAATGTCTGAGACATGAGTGTTGTTATGGAATGAATAAGGGAGAACTCAAAAGACCCGAAGTCTGATACGGTATGTTCATAGGAACTTAGTCAATATAGGTTGATTACTGTATTTGTATCACAGGGTCATATCAGTCCCCCCACTGAAATACCTCCAGTGCATCTCATTGCAGTCAACATGAAGGTAGAACTCCAAAATTCATTATATGGCTTCTTCATGGTCAGTCTCTTTTTGTGCTTCTGGTCTCTGAATTTCTATACTTTATGTCTTACCACTTGGAATTATTCATGAACTATCTTTATTGTAGGTTTTTATCAGTGGCTACTGCTCTCATGCATATTGCCTATTTCCCCAACTAGATTATATGGTCCTCAACAGAAAGCACTGTTTTTTTTATTTTTCATATTTCTCATTGTATTTTCAAAAATGTGTGAGTAATGTTAATGATTGATTGAATTTTGCATAGCACCATATATTTCCAACTGAAATGTAACAGTAAGATGCAGGAAGGCTTACTCCTTTGTGTGAATGTAAGGACAATACAGTTAATACCTGAATATAAAATAACTTCTCTAAGTGGTTCTGCTTAGATTTTATTCTCTGTTATCTGGGCACCTGGCTATATAATTTTTAACAGTGTGGCCTCATGGTTGTTTGTTAATGGGTTGCTCTGGGGTTATTATTCAGGTGTTCATGGTTCTCTCCTCAACTGGAGGAGAGATGTAAAGAGAAAGGATGTTTTGGAAAGAATGCCAGACTAGCAATTAGGAGACTCAAATTTAATTTATAATCTTGTACAAACTGCTGTTTTTGGTGGCCTTTATGATGCCATAGCCCTACTATCCTGCTTGTTGGGGAAAGGAGATTTACATAAAACTGCTTCAATCTGCCACCCCTGTGATGTGTGGGAAGCACTTATTGCTGGAACATGATATTTGAGGAAGTTCCTTATGCAGAAACTAATATGGTAGCTGTAAGACCATGGATAAGTTATTGACCCTATCTGTGCATCAATTTCCTGAATAGTAAATTGATCTAATTTGGGCTACATGTTTTCCAAAGTCCCCTCTGGTGCTCAAATCCCTGTGTTTCAAGATTCATAAGGAATAAGAAAAGTGCTTGGAAGGAGTGGATATTATTTAAAAACTGTAGGGTATATTCTCTATTCTTTACCATTGGGGAGAACAACTCCTTTTGTATACATCCCTGAATTAGCTCCCAGAGTGATACTCCATTTAGTCTGTGAAAATGTAATCAAAAGGTCACTCACCTAAGTGGTAAATAATTGTGTAGATTCTAGCTTCCATGAAAAATTAAGTATTGGAAAGGTCAACGTTTCCCCAAATTGGGTCAGGTATCCCTAGTGGCACTCAAGAAGATTAAGATGGTAAACTGATATTTTATTAAATAGCCTTGAATCAATGGTAAAAAAGTTCTCAAGTTTCTTATATTCTTTGTATATCAGTGAGAATGTCTCAATTTCATATTACCATTTATCACTTAAATACTCCTCTAGTACTTGCTACCCTTTCTAATACAAAGCAATGAGATAGAAACTCAGAGTCTAAATAGAGATGGTAGCTAGCATTTAATAGTATTATCTGTATTTTTGTTGAATCTATTTTGTGATTACTTTCTATTTTTGGCATGTGATACTGATTTTCCCTTTGTAGTAGTGATAAAGTTTTTGTTTTTCATATATGTTGTTTGTTTTTAAAATACATTTTTGGTTTTTTTTTTAGTTTATGAAATCAGTTATTAAAAAGTGAGTCAATTTAAATAAAGTAGCACCCAAAATATTACATACATGGTGACTGGCCCCAAATCATAAAAGTAGCATAAGAAGTTGGGAAGAAATGGGGTGTATCAGTAAGAGTCCATCAGGAAACTGATGATGTGGTCACTGGGTTTAACTAAAGGCATTTTGGTGAAGGGATAGTGCACAAGGTGTGGGTGGGACTAGGGAAACGAACCAGGGATGGGAAGCATCTATGGGCTCACCACAGTAGGAAGCTGTTAGCACTTCTGGTCTCAAAAGACACGAGAGAAGATGCAGGAGCAGGAGGGCACCATAGAACAGGAGCTCTAATTCTGCGATACAGTCACTGCTAGCAACTGAAGACCATCAAGAAGGAAGGGAATAAGGGATGAATACCTGACCTCTCTCTCCTCCTACCTCTGATCCTCTGCTATGCTATCAGTGCCTCCGGTGGCTGAACTCAAATCAGAGGCCAAGGGACGGGAGCGGTGGCTCACGCCTGTAATCCCAGCACCATGGGAGGCTGAGGCGGGTGGATCACGAGGTCAAGAGATCGCGACCATCCTGGCCAACATGGTGAAACCCCGTCTCTACTAAAAATACAAAAAAAAAATTAGCCAGGCATGGTGGCGCCTGCCTGTAATCCCAGCTACTTGGGAGGCTGAGGCAGAAGAATCACTTGAACCCGGGAGGCAGAGGTTGCAGTGAGCCGAGATCGCACCACTGCACTCCAGCCTGGGTGACAGAGTGAGACTCCATCTCAAAACAAAAACAAACAAACAAACAAACAAAAACCAAAAAAACCCCTTGGACCTTACCTTGCATTTTCATTTGTCAACTTACTCTCCTTAATTGTGTTTTTATTTTCAAAAAGGGACTGTCATTTTCTGTAACTATCATACTGTACCTACCACAGTTCCTTAAACATAGTAGATGCTCAATAAATATTTTATGGAGGGAATTTCATTGGTATTCATTCTGATAATCCGAACAGGCAAAAGGAGTGAAAACTCTGTCTCAACAAAAAAAAAGAAAGAAAGAAAGAGAGAGAGAGAGAGAGAGAAAGAAAGAAAGAAAGAAAGAAAGAAAGAAAGAAAGAAAGAAAGAAATCAAAGCCCAGGGGCGCCCCGGTGTTGGAGTCTATAGGAGTTCAGGATCCCTTGGTCACAAAGCAGGGCCAAGAAGGAAGAGAGCGGATTGGGGCCAGCAAGAAGGGACAAGCAGAGAATGTCCAGGAGACATTAGGGTTCTCCACCACAGCTAACATTGTGATTCCAGTTATGCCAGTTTGCTAATTACATGACATTAGTTCAGTACTTACATGTATGTAGGGGTGATATTCAAAGACTACTGGTATGGCCTGGGATCTGACCAATCCAAACGGATACCATAAACCTCCTGCTCACCAGGCTTTCATCACATAGTTTCTGGATTGAGAGAAGCAGGAGGAGGCTCAGTAGAGAAGGGCCAGAGCAGGTACAGTCAGGCAGAAGGGAACTTGGTTAGTTCAGGGCTAGCGTCTATGTAACCTGCAAAATGGGGCACAGAAGATAAACCCTTTTTTGTTCCTGAGACTTTTTTATGGTGTGCCTTTATGCTTGCTAAGACTTGGTCTTATTTGTTTTAAAAATGTTTTAAAAATTTGTTTTGAAAACTTGGGGCCGGGCGCGGTGGCTCACGCCTGTAATCCCACCACTTTGGGAGGCCGAGGTGGGCGGATCACGAGGTCAGGAGATCGAGACTATCCTGGCTAACACGGTGAAACCCCGTCTCTACTAAAAATACAAAAAAAAAAAAAAAAATTAGCTGGGTGTGGTGGCAGGCGCCTGTAGTCCCAGCTACTTTGGAAGCTGAGGCAGGAGAATGGCATGAACTCAGGAGGTGGAGCTTGCAGTGAGCCGAGATCGCGCCACTGCACTCCAGCCTGGGTGACAGAGCGAGACTCCGTCTCAAAGCAAAACAAAAACAAAAACAAAAAAACAACAAAAAAAACTTGGACCTTACCTTGCATTTTCATTTGTCAACTTACCCTCTTTGTGTTTTTATTTTCAAAAACGGACTGTCTTTTTCTGTAAATATCATCCTGCACCTACCACAGTTCCTTAAACATAGTAGATGCTCAATATTTTATGGAGGGAATTTCATTGGTGTTCATTCTGATAGTTCTGAAAGGAAAAATATTTTCAAAAATATTTTAATTTAAGACATGGGATTCAGTGGTGTGGTTTATGTATTTTATTCTTTAATATCCACTAGAATCCGTGCTCTCCGTTAAGTAAACTGAGTTCAACAGAGCTGATCCTGGGTTTCTACATTCCTACTCCTTACCTTTATTACAGATTTTAAGTTCATTTTATGAAGCTACACATAGAAATGAAAATAAAATGTATGGAATTTTAACTTCAAAGCTCATATTAACATCATGTTAAATGTCATTCATCGTAATCATGATTTCCTGAAAATTCTGTATTTTCTAAGTAACTTTGGAAGTTCTTAGAAGTTCAGTGTTTTTTTTTTGTATAATCATATAAAGATTTAAGTGGTATTAGAGAGTTGGGAAACTGGAAAATAGTTATTGGATACTTCAGAGAAAGCTAGATAGGCAAGCAATTTAATTTAAAAATCTTGGCATTATTGGCCGGGCACAGTGTCATACCTGTAATCCCAGCACTGTGGGAGGCCGAGGCAGGTGGATCACTCGAGGTCAAGAGTTCAAGACCAGCTTGGCCAACATGGTGAAACCCCATCTCTACTAAAAATACAAAAATTAGCCGGGCGTGGTGGCAGGCACCTGTAATCCCAGCTACTTGGGAGGCTGAGGCAGGAGAATCGCTTGAACCTGAGAGGTGGAGGTTGCAGTGAGCTGAAATTGCACCATTGCACTCCAGCCTGAGTGACAGAGCGAGTAAGACTCCTTCTCAAAAAACAAAAAACAAAAAAAAAAAAACTTGGCATTATTAAATTCAAGGCATAGTTGCTGTGATTTTAGTATTCATGTTTTTTTGTCTTCATACTTTCTTGTTATTTTGTTTCTATTTTATTACCATTTATGGCAAAATATTAGTATTTTAAAGTATGCATTATATTAAAGTGGACTACTTTTCTTAAAAGCAGCACATACTTTGTTACATTATCACTTAAAATGAAGGTACTCATTAATTAGACTTTTTGCTTTTAAAATATGGTTGTATCATTAAGGTTTCTCCTTTGCCATAACTATATTTTTGCTCAGAATGTTACTGCCTTTTTAATGTGAAAATGATGGCATAAAATTGTAGAAACTAGCTGTATTTATTCAAGCAAAAATATAGGTTTATAGTTTCTTTTATTGTGAGGAGTTGAGTCACTGGCTAATCATTTAATTATGGCCTTTTCCACTAAATTTTTAAAACAAATAAGACCCAGTCTTAGCGAGCATAAAGCTGGGGAAAAATAAAAGTGTTCTTCAAAGTAATCTAAATTCAACCAAAACCATAAATATGTCTTATTCTATGATATTTATTTATCTGCATCTTGTCTTTAGAAAAGTTATAATTTGGAAATCAATGAGTTAAGTTTTTCTGTATTGAAAGTCTTAGAAAAAATTATAAACTGCAATTTCATTTTCTTCTTATATATATTAATAACTCCAAAGGAAAATTTACATGGAAATGTTTTTATGTTTATAGTACTTAACTTCATTCATTTATTGATAACAAATACTGATTTTCTTTATTGTGAAGCCACAATAGATATCAAAATAGTCATGAACATTTATTAGTGTAATGACAATATGTATAACAAACCTGTAATTAGATATATGATAAGGACATCCCTTTATGAGGGTGTGAATGTGAAAGAGAGAGCTTTGCTCATTTTCTTTCTCTCCTTGTGTTGGTGTTTTCCAGGTGATGATGAAGGAATCCAGGAGACAGCAGAATCAGATGGGGACACACAGTCAGAGAAACCGGGGCAACCTGGAGTTGAGACAGACGACTGGGATGGACCAGGTAGGGGAGAATATTTAAAATTCAACCGTCTTTAGTACTGTTAGAAATACACATTTTTCTTTTTTTCTTGAACATCAGTTAGCTTGCAAAAAATGTTTTTGTGTGTGCTGGTTACATGAGAGTTTAAATAAAGATTATTATTTTAAAAATACTTCTTAGATTTTTGTTATATAAATTATAAAAACCAAAGTGCTACCTCTGCTTGAAGTTTCTGTCATTTTTTTCTTTCATCTTCATGTAAAATTAGTCAATTCTACTTGCTTCTTTGAACAAAGGATCTTTAAGCTACATCCAAATTTAAATTGGGCACACTATTAAAGCTTACAAACAAGAAACAGTACTTCAAAGAACTATCATTTTCAGTTTAGTCATGTTTTAAATCATAGGTTGAACCTCAATACATATTTAGAAGTTTAGAAAATATCAAAAGATGCCCCCTTTTGATTTAAGGTTTGAGTAACATTTTCATTTTGATGAGGAAAATTACATTTGATTTTAATGATCTTGACATTTAATCATTTAAAGAAAAACAAAAACTGATCAAAATACTCCACCACACCAATATAAATGTATGTAAATATATAACAGTCAAAAGAACTCTGCAGAAAAAAGGCTTTATATTTGGTGCCAAGTAATTTACAATTGATAGTATATTTATAAATGGAGACTATTATGTCACAAGGTTTAAGAATATAAGTGAGTTCTGAGATAGTTTTAGCCGTAATTTCCAAAGCAGTAACATTTTTCATTAAGAAAGATCCCTATATTTCAATCACATTTTCACCCTTGCATGACTTTGCAAATTGCTCTCTGCTGTACGTGAAGAAGAGAGGAACTCCAGCAGTAATTTTCTGAAACCAGCAGCTGGAAAATATAATGCAAACAAAAATGAAGATACAGTATATCTGATTATTATGATGTCATTTCTAATGTTATTCATCATACACACAAATGTTTGTATTCTGTATACTATAACATAATGCTATACAAGATTTTATATCAAAAATGTATTATATTTAAAGTACCTTATTACCACATTTTAAGAGTTTGAAGGAAAATATAGCCTTCTGGCATTTTCACCTTATGGCATGATGCTTCTTCTCAATGTGGGGAAAGATTCCCTCGATTAAAAAAAAAAGTAGGGAAAAGATTTTCGGAACATCTAGGTTTTGTCATGGAGGTTACCTTTAACTTAAAAACAGTGAGTGAACTTTTATATATTATAGTTCCTTTTTTTTTTTGAGACAGGGTCTCACTCTGTTGCCCAGTCTGGGGTGCAGTGGCATGATCTTGGCTCACTGCAGCCTCCACCTCCCAGCCTCAAGTGATCCTCCCACCTCAGCCCCGCAAGTAGCTGGGACTTCAGGCATGCACCACCACAACTGCCTAATTTTTATATTTTTTGTAGAGACTGGGTCTCACCACGTGGCCCAGGCTAGTCTCAAACTCCTGAGCTCAAATGATCTGCCCGACTCATCCTCCCAAGGGAATTACAGGCATGAGCCACTGCACCCAGCCTCTTACAGTTCTTTTCTTTTCTTTTTTCTTTTTTTTTTTGAGACAGAGTCTCACTCTGTCACCCAGGCTGGAGTGCAGTGGCATGATCTCGGCTCACCACAACCTCCGCTTCCCAAGTTAAAGCGATTCTCCTGCCTCAGCCTCCCAAGTAGCTGGGACTACAGGCATGTGCCACCGCGCCTGGCTAATTTTTTGTATTTTTAGTAGAGACGGGGTTTCACCATATTAGTCAGGATGGTCTCGATCTCCTGACCTCGTGATCCTCCCGCCTTGGCCTCCCAAAGTGCTGGGATTACAGGCGTGAGCTACCGTGCCCGGCGATAGTTCCTTATTCATAGAATTAAGTATGTATATGTTAATTTAGAAGTGTTTTTACATTTAAAAGTTTAGTTGGCCTTTTAGATATGCCTGCTTGCGAAAAGGTACATTCTGGCTTACTCTTATGATGGGGAAAATTTGTAGGGAGTAGGTTTTTATCTTTGTTTATGTCTGGGGCCCATAGCTTTTCCAGTGACTTGGGAGTAAGTAAGCAAATTTTAGGGGATAAAATGCCAAACACATGCTGTACACCCAGTGCTACCTTTTTCAGGAAGCTTTTCGAGAAATAAAGTTGTATTTGTGGCTAATAAAAGAGGGGGAGAGAAAGTGAACAAGGTGAAGAATTATGCTGTCATTCAAAATGAAGAATTTTCCATTTTCGTTTAAATTTATTTAATGTATTTAATTTAATGTTTTTATTTATTTGCTGTTGGTAAAAAAACTTTATACTCTTTTCTGGGCACATATGGTTATGACAAAACTTTGAAGAGAAAATATGTATCTCTAAGCAGGTATGGCTACAAAAAAATTTCTTCTTCGTCTATTATAAAATAAATAACAATTTTTTTCTCTATACACATTTAGCCAAAAAAGGGGTTTTATTATTATGAAAATCCCTGAATTGAAGTTGATTCATAACAATATCTATTTATTTACTTTTCAAGGTAGAATATTCATTAATTTCCTTTAATCAGGAGATTAGGGAGAAAGTAGGGGGTATTTCGTGTTTTCGCTATTGCATAAACAGCAATTACTTTGATGTTACTACTGCAAGTTTTGTTATTAATGAAATAGTATTGGCATTTTCCAACTGTAGTCAGAGAGAAAATTGTGCAACTTTTAGTGACAGTTTCCAAATATATTGGAAAATGGGCTTTACTGATGGTTACCCCATTTACCCTGATATGACTATTACACATTGTTTTCCTGTCTTAAAATATCTCATATGCCCATGAATATATACACCTACTATATACCCACAAAAATTAAAAATTAATAAAAAAATAAAATAGGCTTTAGATTCCATGGGTTTAGGTTCAATTCTGGATTTAATACTCACTATCTGGGAGATTTTTGGCAAAAAATTTGGAAGTTTGGCAAAAAAAAAAACCAAAAACCTGTTCTCACTTTACCTATATCCTCATTTGTAAAAAATAGAAAATAATATTAACAACTCTTAGAGAATTAAATCAGATCATATACATGAAATGTCAGTGATCATTATTGTGGCTTTGCAGTTGTTGAGTCTTGAAGCCGAACCTTTAGAGTTTCTAATGCCCACTAGTATATCTGAAGAAATAAAGAGAAAAGTTTTGTCATACTAATTGAGTTTAGCCGCAAATTATTGATTAAGATATGAGGTATTGAAACAGATTTCGATTTCAAGGTCTTCTAATTTTAAGGTTCTCCACCTCAGTTCTGACAGTCACCCTAAGAGAGATGATTTTCTCTAAAAATAGAACAGAGTCAAAGGATGGGAAAATTATCTAAAGAATTTGAGGCATAGAGCTGACGTCATTTAAGATGGATCAGGATTTATCTTTTTTTAAAAGAGTTTGATTGACGACGACTCCACAACCTTTCTTGATGGCTGAATTAAATAATGAATCAACTCCCGTCTGACGTGTTTCATTTTATCAAATGCAGATTCCACAGTGGAAAGTACTTTTTCCCTTATGTTATTCAACTAAAAGATATGTTTTGTTATCACTATTGCTCACACCTTTGTTAGCTGTTATGATTAAGTGGAACCTAAACAATCTTTAAGAAAATTATCTTACATGTAAACATTTCTATGGTGAAATTCTTTCATGTTTAAATGTTTGTGATTCCTGTTTAAGTATACTTCAAATTCCTATGAATCTTTCATGGTTTGAGTGAAAAGCTAGACACACTAAGCTGGTAGGGTTCAAGCCAATATAAAAGTCATTGTCTCATTATTTCAGTACCTCTCAAGTCTGTTTTTTAATGTAATTGTTCTTTCTTCCTTATAAAATTTTACTTGGACACTTCTTTGCTTGGAATCTAATTCACAGAACATTTGCTCTTCACTATTCTGGTTTTTCATCTGTCTTTGCCTATATTTTATTTATCTTATCTGTCTTCTTTTTAGTAAACATCTTTTCTTTTCTTTGATTGTCCTCACAAATTTTGTGTTTTATCACTCTCACAAGTTCTTCAGTTTACCAATATTCTTATATGTCTAATTATTCAATAAATATTTATCTTGCATTTATTGTAATAATTGTTAAAAGCACTTGGGAGAAGTTCAAGGTGTAACATCATGCTGTCTGTATTCTCATTTTTTTGATGTCATTTCCCTCCTGTGGGCTTCTTTAATTATTCATGTACCATATTTGAGTCACTGATGCAATAATTAAGCATCTCATAGAATGGAGAGTAGAGTATGGTTTAAACTACAGAACGAAGTGTACAGATTTTAGATTCTGGCATGTTAAGTTCAGAAGTTCAGGCCAAGCTTCAGTTTCCTTATCTTTAAAATGGGAATAATAATAGCTTGAAATACTGTGATTTGGATGAAATTTGAAAGAGATGATATTTACAAAGTATCCAGCACAGAACTTGGGAGAGAATAGGACTTGCTAAACGTAAGTGGTCTTCCCTTACCCTAGGACTGAACTTTGTTAAACACTTTTCACTCTGTCCTTTCAGACTGACCAATGGTTGGAATGTTGACCTTATTTTGAAAATAGTGTTTACATCCCTGGCGATCTTAAGAACCACATTCCATGACCGAAGTCTGTTTTATGTACTCGTATTTAGAAGGAGACTAGGGAAAGAAAATTTAGGTAAATCTTTATAAATCTGTCATCTACCTTTATGAAACAAGCACCTTAAAAGTCACATCTTACTTACATCAACTTTCAGTATGCTAATTCTCGGAATTACCTTATTAAAACATGGTTACTACTTTTTACACTTGAGAATAGTGAAAATCTGATTTGTCTGGTACAATATTGCATGAAATCTTGGTCTTACCATCAGGCTTATAGCAGCTATAATTGAAACTTCCAGGAGCTCTAATAAAGGAAAATATCATGCTACTTAAATATGCAAATAAGTACATGTACCCACCCCCACAATAACATGTGTTAATGCAGACATACACAGGTATAACATTTTGAGCAGGTATTGAAATTCTTTGACACAAACTTTTCAGGATAAGTATATACCTCTATTTAAATAGATTTTAATATTTATATGTTAAGCTTTGGGTCATTTCAATAAAAATGAAGTAGAAAATCAAACACTATATTGATGATTTGATGAATTAATAGAATAAAATTAGTAATCATTTTTTGTATTATACATTTTCAAATATTAAAACTTGCTGCTACGCTGATAAGTCAGAGTATCCATCAAAGGTAAATTATTTTGGGGTAATGTCATGAATGGAGAAGGCCAAAAACATTCCCTCTGTTTATATCTTGGTTCTGCCACTTACCAATTTTGTGACTTTGAGCAAGCTATTAACACTCCAAGGCCTCAGTTTCCTTGTTTGTAAAATAGGGCTAATAATAATAACTACCTCATTAATGAGATTTTACATCTAAAGCATGGAGCTCAGAGCTTCCTAAGTGCTCAATTAATTACTCTTAATATTACTTTTACTATCATTTCAGCAATTGTACCTGTGTGGCCATTACAATGCCTTACATGTAATAAGTCCTTGTTAAACATTAGTTGCAGTGGGTTAATTTGGCAAATGATTTTGCAATGTAAAAGTCATCGTAGTATTATATTAAGTATGTTCTATTCCACCCGACTTAAAACATGATTCAATTCAAGAATTTTTAATGTAAATAAATTTTCAAAAATAAATGTCTAGGGCAAAATCAGACCTGTCTACTTGTTGCATCTTGACTAAAAATTGGTCAAGGTATCTGTAAATAAGTTGCTTTATACAGTTGCTGTTCAACATTATGGATATATACAGATGATCAGGCAAGTTCTGCTTTGTACTTTAAACTAGTAAGATGATCACTTTTGCATGAAGTGAAACTGTAGCCAGAAGACCACTATGAGATAGAAGCACATACTTAATGATACAGCTTTTTCCCCCTCTTTACTAGTCCAAAGAAGGGCTTGAAGATTACAGTTCTGATTTCGTTTCCTTTTTGATTGGGAAAATGTGGTAGATATAAGATCTTGGAAATGCCATTTGAAGTAAATTAACAGAAACCTATGAAACATAGTTAACCATAGATATAGTCTGACAGTAAGAAGAATATTGTGAGAAGCGGAGGAAATCCTAGAATGACTGTGTATTACTCTGACAGTGAATTGGTATTATCTCTGCTATCAGATAATGCAGTTATCATTAATTTTCACATTTGCATTTCAATCTTTGGAAGGAAATGACTCTTGCCGGATGAAGATAAGAGCTCTGTACCACTATAATGAACCATCATTTTATCTCAATGCTTTGTGTCCATATGAAAATGAGGCAGAGAGGAATGTGTGTGTATGTGTGTGTGTGCTCACGTGTGTGTATTGGGGGGGTCAGGAAAATATTATAACAAAGTGTCAAAAACTGGTACAGACTTTTGAGCCCTTTATGAAACAAGAGGGGGTAAAAAATAAATCTTCTGTAGTGTAGTTAAGTGGATATCGGATTAAAAGATGAAAGCCTGGCTCTTTGTAGAACAGAATGCCACATGAACACAGTAAAAAAGTTCTCTTTTATTCCCTACTCCAGTTTGCACTCTCATATAGAATTAGGACAGACATAAACACAACCAAAAAGAAAAAAAAAAGTAGGTTGGATCACTGGAAAGACAGCTAATGTCTTTGATTCACAAACAACTTTATAAAGTATACCAATTTATTATTACTATTATGATGATTATACTTCTTCAGCTGTGTAAGAATGGGAACTAAGTATATTTAGATAGTGGCTTGTTTTAGAGTTTGCAAACATCTAATTTGTTTACATAAGTTAAATTGAGAAATTCAAGTTAAAGATAATGAATTTGAGATAAATTTTCCTTGGACCTTTTCATTGCAGTGACCTTTTCATGAGACACAGTACTGGAAAATGGATACAGTGTCAAATTTTATAATTATCTTATGGGCCCCCAAATATATGACAATTCACCAATTATTTACAGTAGAAGCTCCCTCTCTAAAACTTACTGATGAAAGCTCTTTTGGGTTGGGTTCTATACCGCCAAATTTATATGTTCAAATTCTAACCTTCAGTACCTCAGAATGTGGTGTTCTTTGGAAATAGGGTTGTTGGAGATATAATTGGTTAAGATGAGGTCATGGTAAAGTAGGGTGGACCCTTAATCCAGTATAACTGCTCTTCTCTGGGAGACATGCAGGAGAATGCCTTGTGGAGATAAAGGCAGAGACCCCAGTGATACTTCTACATGCCAAGGAAAGCTAAAGATTGCCAGTAAACCACCAGAAGCTAGAGGAGAGAGACATGGAACCGATACTTCGTCATGGCCCTCGGAGGGAACCATTGCCGTTGACACCTTGATCTTGGACTTTTAACCTCCAGAACTGTGAAACAATGAATTCCTGTTATTTCAGCCACTCAGCAAACTGACACAGCAGCCAGGAGTTAGAAGGAAACTATGTGGGCAGTCACTTATATGCTTCCCAGGCATACTTTTTACTATAATTTTTAATTTATTTTAAATATTGTCTAAACCTATGAAATATGTTCACAAAAATATATTATTTCTATGAAAACTGTGTTGAAACCTTCAAAAGACTGGATAAAGGAAAATCACTAAAAAATGTAGGTGTGGTCAGAAAACTTTGAATAATTTGCGAGAAAAATCTTAAAAAATGTTAAAGAAACTTCACTTAAATAGCTTTGCAAAAGCTTTTACATCCTCCATTCTAATGAAACAAACTAGAAATCATACATAAAGGATGTGAATGCTGTTTATACAAGTGAAACACAAATTGGTTGGTCTATATAAAATTCTAGACCCTATATCAAAAGTTTGATGCTTTTATGCATTATGAAGTAAAATATAATGCTTATAACACTATTTTAAAAACATTTCTATGGTTTGAATAACCACTACCCACCCCAGTTGTGTCCACTAACAGGGTTTTACTGTGTTCTTTCTCGTTGAACCATAATTCAGCTTAGAATGCATCTCAACAGGGCACTTTAGAAAGACACTACGAGTCAGTAGGAATTGGTATATAAGAAATATCTTTGCCATTCTTTTTATAACCTCCATTATTAAAATGTATGCACTGTCCAGGCATGGTGTCTCATGCCTGTAATCCCAGTGCTTTGGGATGCCTCGGTGGGAGGATCTCTTGAGCCCAGAAGTTTGAGACCAACCTGGGCAATATTGTGTAACCCTCATTTCTACAAAAAATTAAAAAAAAATTAGCCAGACGTGGTGACTGGCACCTGTGGTCCAAGCTACTTGGGAGGCTGAGGCAGGAGGATTGCTTGAACCTAGGAATTTGAGGCTATAGTTAGCTGTGATCCTGCTACTGCACTCCAGCCTGAGCAACAGAATGAGACCCTGTCTCAAACAACAACAACAACAAAACAAAACAAAACGACAAACAAACAAAATCCAAAATTATGCATTAAATATTTATATTGGACCAGAGATTATTGGCATTGATTTCCTTGTACCAGTATTGTGCTCTGCAAATATATGTGAGAATAAATTGACTCTCGTATCTGGAAAGCTGAAAGAAAGAAGTAAACCTGTTTTGTTTTTATTTTGTCTGGTTTTAAAAATAACTTAAGTGGGCTTAAAATATAAGTAAAGATCAACACGATATGCATTAGAAGTAGTTTAAAATCATGAAAAATAAAATAGATGCATAGAGATATAAACAATTTGATATTAATGTGCCACAAATTTGGAACTAAATTACTAGAAGGGTAATATTGACTGAGTACACAGATAAATTAGTTAGGGCAAGTTTATGTTTTCAACTACATATTTAGTATTAACTATATGCAACACTCAGTGGTAGGCCCTAGGATATACAGCAGTAAATAAACCAGAGTGGTCTCAACTTCAGAGAGTGTATGTTCTACCAGAAATTGAAAATTGTTTTAATAATGATTTTTGAGTTCTTATTGCATATGTGATATCTGTTCTCTAGAAGTAACTTAAATGATACCATAAAACTATATTATCAGTGGTGGGGCCAGCCCAGTCTGGTAGAAAGAGATTCAGTAATGACTTCTGTGAGGACCAATCATTTTTAACTTAATTTGTTTTTATTTTTATTTTTTATACTTTAATATGCAAAGTTTTAAACATGCATCAAAGAAGAGGGAAGAGTACAATGAATTCCCATGTACCCATTGCCCAACTTCAAAAGTTATCAACTTTTAGCTAATCTGATTTCATCAATTCCTTCTAAATTTTTTTTTCTGGAGTTTTTTTTGTTTTGTTTTGTTTTGTTTTTTTCTTTTTGAAATGGAGTCTTGCCCTGTCATCCAGGCTGAAGTGCAGTGGCCCCATCTCAGCTCACTGCAACCTCCGCCTCCTGGATTCAAGTGATTCTCTTGCGTCAGCCTCCCTAGTGCGCCACCACACCCAGGTAATTTTTTTTATTTTTAGTAGTGATGGGGTTTCACCATGTCAGCCAGGCTAGTCTCAAACTCCTGACCTCAAGTGATCCACCCGCCTCAGCCTCCCAAAGTGTCTAGAGTATTTTAAAGCGAGTTTCAGAAATCATGTCATTTCACTCACGGGTACTTTGATAGTCTCTCTAATAAATGAGGACTTTTGTTTTAAACAAATATCAATATAACACATAAAAATATTCTTAATATTATCTAAAACTCAATTCATTTTCAAACTTCCCTACTTATCTCAAAAAATTTCTCTAGGGTTGGTTTATTGGAATCAGGATTCAATAAAGATCCATGTATTGGTTTATATGAAAAGTCTTTTCGAATGGAGAGCAGTCTCTCTCCCCCTACACTCACCCCCCACCCCCATACACACACTTATTTGTGGAAATGAATTAATTTCTCCTGGAGTATTTTTCATATTCTAAATTGGGTAGATTGCATCCTGGTGGTGTTGTGTAGCATGTTCTTCGATACCCCACATTTCTTGTAAATTGGTTGTTAATCTAGATCCTTGAATAAATTCAGATTCGATATGGTGGGCATCAGTACTGCCTACACATTGCTTGGTGCTTTTTACTGCTTTATATCAGCAGGCACATAAAGACTGGGTGCCCCACTGGATGCTCCAATGCACTATCAGTACAAGTGTGTGATGTACTATGTGGTAGGAATGCTCACTTGTGCTATCACTAACTTACACTTGCAGTGATAGTACCGTGTATCAGGTGATTTAGGTGTTTCAGCCTGATCCGATGTTTGTGAAGTTTCTGATCAACTTTTCCCTAATAATTATTGCCAGGATCCCTTGTATCTGTAGGATTTGCAAAATGCTGGTTTTCACATTTTGTCATTTTTTATGTGAATGTATTAGCTAAAATTATTATCTTATGAAAGTCTTCCCTTCGTCCACTATTTGGTTAGCCTAAATACTGTTCATAAAGAAAGGGGAGGGTAAATGCATCGTTCTCATTATTTAAAACTTTTTGGAATAGTGAATTGGTGCCTTCACCCTCCAAAAGTGACTAAGACCTCAGGGTGGTTTCTGAGACATTTTGACGTGAACATAATAGACTTTGATAGCCTATTTACTCCTGGCATGATAAAATGTCAGAGGTTCATCTTGTTAGTTTTCTGTTCTAAACCTGGAGTGAGCTGTTTCTCCAAGGATCGTGGGTTACTATTCCTGGGATTTGGTACAAGTTGAGCATCTCAAATCTGAAAATTCAAAATCCAAAATGCTGAGTGCTGACATGGTGTTCAAAAGAAATGCTCATTGAAGCATTTTGGAATTTTGATTTTCTGGTTTGGGATGCTCAACAAGTAATGCAAATATTCCAAAAATTTTTTAAAAATCTAAAATCCAAAATATTTCCAGTTCCAAGCATTTCAGATAAGAGATACTCAACTGGTATTTAAAGACCTCAATCTAGGTAAAAGGGTTGTAAAGTATTTATTTAAATTAAGATCTGAAAGAGAAAAAGGCATTATTAGTTGGACAGAACGTGGGAGGGGGGTTTGAGCAAAAACTGGGATTCGAATAACCTGGGCAGAATATGCAGCTTTTTCAAAACCGTTGTCATGAGAAGGGAGGTGAATTCAAGGCCATTGTGACTGGAGCTAAGAAAACCAACCAAGAGAGTGGTATAAGATGAAGCAGGGTTCAGATTCTTCAGTGCCTTGTAGTCTGTAATACTATTATTGGATTTAAACTCAAAGCCAATCTGAAGACATATAATTCAGAGAAGTCACATGCTCATATTTGCATTAAGAATAAAAAAAGAAACGACTCTGATGACTATGTAGAGAGTGGACAGAAGGAAATAAAAATTCACTGGCCTTATCAAGAGATCACAGTGGCTTGTAGAGAGCACTTTATATATTTGTTAGTGTCATTATATGTGGCTTTCTCTATGTAGAATATTTTGACACCATTTACTGAGGTAAGAAAGACTAAAGGAAAGGCATGTTTATGGAGTAAGATGATGAGTTGGATTTTTAATATGGCACGGTTTTTATTTATTTGAGATATCCAAATGGAGCTGTTGAGTAGAACATTGGTAATATAGCCAGGGGCTTGGAAGAAAGGTCTGGGGTAGAGATAGAAATTGGAGAGTTAGCAGTGTACTCATGGCAGTGGAATTCTTGGGAGAAGATGAAATTGCCTAGTATAGAAATATAAACCAGAGGGCTGCAAAACAAACCTCTATCCCCTAGAGATAGGAGACAGAAATTCCCTATCTTTAGGGGAAGGCTAGAGGAAGAAGAGTCATCGAAGAAGACTGATAAGCAGTGGCCAGAGAAGATGGGGAAAACCAGGAAAATGTTTTTTTTTGTTTGTTTGTTTGTTTTTTTTTTAAGAAGGAAGGGGCTATGCCTGGCTTAAATGGTGCTGAGATGCCAAGATGGAGATTTAAGAATTTCCTCAAATTTAATGACATTCAGATATTAGTGATTTTATCTAGAACTATTTCATGGAGCTCTGGTGGCAGAAACCAGACTGTGGTAGGTTCAAATGAGAGGGAAAAACAAGCACATGGAATCAGCTGTAGTAAACAACCATTGTTGATAAATAAACATATAAAATATTTATTGTCAAATAAATATGTAAAATAAATTTTCTTGGTAAATTAATATATAAAGTACTTCTTTAAAACTCTCTGGTAATTGATTAAAATTATTCATTATCATTTACCTCTTATTTTTGCCTAAGAATTTTCCAGACTTCTGAATTTAGGGGTATGCTTCCAGAGAAATTTGTATTCCTGTATTAAACTACTCTGAATCTACTATCCATTAGCTTTATTAAATTGTTTTAGTTTTTCTTCAGGTTTTCCATAGTATTATTTCTTTTATTGCTTGTTTGTTTTGAGATGGAGTCTTGCTCTGTTGCCCAGGCTGGAGTGCAGTGGCATGATCTCGGCTCACTGCAACCTCTGCCTCCTGGGTTCAAGCGATTCTCCTGCCTCAGCCTCCTGAATGGCGGGGACTACAGGCTCACACCACCATGCCTGGCTACTTTTTTGTATTTTTATCAGAGACCGGGTTTCACCGTGTTAGCCAGGACAGTGATCCACCCGCCTGGGCCTCCCAAAGTGCTGGGATTACAGACGTGAGCCACTGCGCCTGGCCGTGTTATTTCTTTTAAATTTCATCATTTCAACCTTTGTCTCTCAATAACTTTGGTTTATCAAATAGCTTATGATTTTTGTGAGGTTTATCATTTGTAATGTGCTTGATATATTACATTTGCTAACAATAAATTATATAATATACATTTGTACTATGCATTTGATATGTTAGAGGTATGCTTGCTTTTTCAGTAGCCAAACAGATAACAGCCAGTATGTTGTTATTGTATTTTTGTTGTTGTTTTAACCTCAGTAGCACATTTGGACCTTGGGTGTTATTATATCTTTGTCTTTATAATAAACTCATGCACTTGTTTCTAAGATTGATACTTGGAGCTTGCAACTTATTCACTCATAAATGTAACTTACATATGCTTTCTAGATTTTGCACTTCTTCCCCTGCACCTTGGTAGACCTACATTGAATTAATTAATTTAATTAGTTCAAACATTTATTGAAGAAGAACTATGCAGTAGGCTCCCAGGATCAAGCGATGACTTAGTCTACCTTCAAAAGCTCACAGTACAGAGGAGAAGATAGACAAATGATGAGATAATTAAAACACATGGCTGCAGGTACAGTGATAGAGGCATTCACAGTGTGCAGTGTGATGCTGGTGGTAAGACTTGATGCTGATGAGGTAACACAGGAAATAATGATCTGGTCAAGCAATCCCAAGGGAGTGGTAAATTCACATTGGACCCACTTTAAGTTGTTACTCATAGATAGAAAATGGTTTTTGTTTGTTTGTTTGTTTTTTGCAAGTCTAATTCCATAGCATGTGTGGTAAACATGCCTTCATTTTGCCTGCAGAGAAGCCTTCACTTCCCAGCTATACCTGCTACCTGGAAGGCACTGTCCTCCCTGTCACTCTCATACCTGAGGAAAGGACAGACTCTCTGAAAGACGAGGGAAAATACAGTTTCCTGCAGGCAGAGAAGGGACTCCAGATTTAGACACGAGGCTGCCTATTGAAGATGCTTTACATCTACCAACTATATAAAGGCAACAATAAAAGGGTTTGGTAAAAGATTAGCAAAGAAATCTAACCAGGGACCCTGGTGGCCTCACTGGTCTTGTGTGGTGTTTGGAAGTAAGGCTGACTTGGCTCTTGGCTGTTGGAAGTTTTTGGAGAGTTTGAAGGGAATAAGAAAGGAGCCTCAAGGGATGTCCTCTGAACTTCTTGCCTACAGCAGAGTCTTTTTGACAAAATTCCCATAGGCCGTATATTAGGTGTAGTTAAAAGAAGATTGCAAAGTGTTGCATGTTTTCAAATTTTTAAAAATTTAATACAAGGTCACATACAAGGAAGCAAAGAAAAGAGCATATTTCATCTTAAACATACCTTTATCTTTGGGTAAATACACAAAGAATCAAAGATTCCTTTTTGTTTTCATGGCAGAGAATCAGTTGAAATGAATGTTACACTCCGTGTAAAGATAGTTACAACTTTACCGATGGAATGAAATTTAAAAAAAAAAAATTTGTTTTCCCCCCATTACCTTTTCCATATTAATCAATGAAGATTGTTACATTTTTGAACATTGTATTAATAATATAAACTAAAATGAAAACAACAAATAGACAAATATATTCTATCAGGGATGGAGACATGTTGCCACTTACAGAATTAAGTAGGCTATATGCCAAATAATATAAAAATGATCGAGTATCTGAAATTGACAGTGCATATTTTCAGTATGTATTTTTAATAAGCAATGCATTATTTCATATGACATTACTTTTAGTTATATTTTCTCTATAAAACCAATTAAAAGAAAAGCAAGCCAAAAGAAAAGAAAAAAGAGAAGCATTTTCCATCTTCAGAGTCTTTGCTCTTTCAGTTCTATTTTTTTAATTAGATGTTTTCCAGAACATTATCATATTCCTTAGTAGAGAATATTTTTTTTTTTACTCTGTAAGTTGAATAAGGGGGACATCTGGTTCCCTTGCCATTAAACAATAATTATAGTAATATGATTAAAGCTACAGTTTCTTAATAGGGTGATAAAGGAAAAAAACTTTAAAGACATTATTCTCACCAATTCTAATGCTATAACTGGGCATGAAAAATATTCTACAAACCATTTTCTTATTATTAAAGAAGTCACTTGAATGGCCCTTCTTTTTTTCTTTCTCTGAGACAGGATCTCACTCCTTCACTCAGGCTATAGTGCAGTGGTGCAACCACAGCTCACTATTCTCCCACCTCAGCCTCCCAGATAGCTGGGACCACAGGTGTACACAATCATGCCCAGCTAGTTTTTTGTTTTGTTTTGCTTTTATGTTGCCCCAGCTGAGTAATTCTTGTTAATTATGCAAATACAAGACAAATAGGAACCAGAACCTTCCAAACTGGGTGTGTGTGTGGTGGCAGGGGAGGGTGCTTTGTCACTTTGTGATAAATACTCCCTGTCTAGGAAATCTCTGAACCCTGGAAGGAGGTAAGAGACTGATTGGCATATGTACCCTAGGGGCTCTCTCTGTGGTGATCAACCAAACTCCACTACTTTCCCCCCAATTTGGGGTATGTATTGGCCTGCTCAGGCTCCCATAATGTAATACCACAGACTGGGTGGATTAAACAACAATAATTTTTTTCCTCATGGTTTTGGAGGCTGGAAGTCCAAAATCAAGGTATCAGCAGGCGTGGTTTCTAGTGAGGCCTCTCTTCCTAGCTTCCAGATGGCTGTCTTCTTGCTGCATCCTCGCCTTACTTTTTCTGCGTGTGTGAGGACTCCTGGTGTGTGTTCCTCTTCTTACATGGATAGCATTCCTACTGGCTTAGAGTCCTCTCCTTATGATCTCATTTAACCACAATTACCTCCTTAAAGGCTATACCTTCAAAGAGAGTCACATTGGGTATTAGGGCCTCAATATATGAGTTTTGGGGGAACACAGTTCAGTCCATAGTGGAGTGGATACGGTGGCTGTAACCAAAGTCTGCTGTCAGGAAAAAGACAACAAGGGAAGATTTCTGGAAGGCAGATAAAGCCAGGACTCAACACTAGGGCCTTTGGGTTTAAGAGAGAGGGCTGCTTCCCTCACCCCTTGTTCCTAAATCTAGAACCCTCTGGTACCAGATAGCATTCCCTGGGGTCCTGCTCTGGGAAAGAATGACTAAGCTGAGATGTGAGTGTTGATTAAGTGAGTGGAACCCTGCAGCCTAAGGTTGTATAGGAGCAGAAGCTGTTTGGGTATCACTTCAGTGGAGAAGGCAAATCAATTTTCTTGTGCAGGAAAGGTTTTCAATAGTGACACCAAAACATAGCAAGCAAAGCTGGGACTCCAGTGGCCTAACGGATCTGCTGGCTCTTCCAAATCCTGGAGAATTTAGAGAGAATAAAGAAGGTCTCAAAAGGAAGAGGCTTTGCTTGAGGCAAAATTGGGGAAGTTTACCCGAAGCTGACAAATGAGGGAAGAACACATAGGAAACCCAGAGAAGGAGGCATCTCTTTTGCTCTGAAAGGCCAGTTAAGGCCACTTGCCTTAATAAACATGGAAACATCCAACAGGTGGAAAGTGAGAGGAGAGGAAAAGGCATTCCAGCATCGCAGGCACGGGGAGCATGGCCCACCTGGCATCATATGGAGGGTGAAATGGGGTTAGGAGTGAGTTGAGGGCTTGCATTAGACACTCAGGCAATAGGCTTTTAAGAAATTTGGGTAAAATGAAAGGTGTCCACATCATTAATAAGTATTTGTGTTCAGTATGAGAATGCGTTGAAAGTGAAGGAGGAAGTACTTTTACCTTGCTTTGTCTGAGCAGTATAAAGCAAATAAAAGCAAGAGTTTTCTTATGGTTATACATACAAAATGAACCACTTATTATCCTGAAAAGAAAAAAAAAATGCTCCATGCATTGTGAAAAAATACTTTAACTATTTTAACTTATTAAATGTAACAATTATTTTATATTCTATATTAAATTTTGAAATAAATATGAGATTTTAAAAAGCACTCAACTACATATAATGCACTTTTTTGATATCTTTGACATATTGGTGTGGATAATAGAAAAAAATTTTGATTATCAAGAACAAGTAGACATTTTTTAAAAGCTTGAATTATTCATTTATAAAAAAATCATAATTACCATTATGTGGCAAAATTAATTTCTTATAAAATAGCTTTACGGCCTAGAAAATGGAAATAAATTATTTTAGGAACTCATATAGCTTAAGGCTACTATTTCATGTCAATAATTCATGATTAATATATAGTGGAATATTTTAGCACATTTTAAAATTAAAAGAGATTGTTAGTCAATTCAGCTCTCTGGATTTGACTCATTCTTTACTCTTAAAGTAAGCATGGTAAAATAAAAAAACTTGAAATGCCAGATATTCAAATACAGTAAAATGAAGATGGCATTATATTTAACCGTTATAAAAATGCATGAAATATTTCAACCATGATTTAAAATTACCTGAAATTAATAATTCTCCTGATTTCCTTTGGGCTTTTACTATTAAATCTGTAGGATTCAGGATATGTCATCCGGTTAGGCTCACTGATAGTCATTTTCAGAAATTCTAAATCATTCAAATAAAAGGGCCTAAAGGTAAACTTAATAAATCAGTGGTCCTAAAGCATTTATTTTTCAGAGTGTTATTCTTTTGAAATGATAAAACAACTATCTAGGATTAATGTTGAGGTTGTAAAATTCTACTTTTTGGAAATGCTTCCTCTTCTGTGATCTTTTTAGCATTCTCTTTTTCATTCCCATCTCTGGTATCTACTATGTATTAAGAGTTTACTGTGTGCCGGTTACTGTTATAGGCATGAGAGATATAAGAGCGAACAAATTCTCATTGATTTCCCCATAATAACTTTAGGGGTACTATTCTCATCTTGACCAATCAGGAAACTGAGGTATAGGAATGTTAAGGAACTTGCCTAAAATCACACAGCAGATAATCCTGGAATCAAAATTAAGCAGCCTGGTCTCCGGAGATTGTGTGTATGTCACCATTTCATTTATCTGTTTTTCATACAATGAGCTCTTCTTGATTGTCGCACTTATTATTTGCTACCATATTTTGAGATTCCCCTACCTAATTGGAGTTCTTTCTTCTTCCCTAAAATATAAGCAAGGAACAATATGATTTATTTTTCTTTAAACCTGTTTATTAAGTTTAATTTATGTTTTAATAAAATTTTGAGAATTGTTTCCTTTCCAATGCACAACATTTTGGTTTCTGTGTTTAACTCATCATGTATGTGTCTTCATCCTGGAAAGCACATAGTAATCTTAGTAACCTCCACCATTCATCAAGCACCCTGGCTCCAGTCACTGGTTCTCCAGGCTCCAGAGCACCTTGGCTCCAGTCCCAATATGCAATCCCTATTTTATAGCTAAGGATGTTAAGTCTTAGAACCCTTAAATGGTTTACCTGGTTTCATTGCTAACAGAGGAAAAATTCAGGCCTGACCTTACTGCTTCCCTCTGCAAAGCTTCCTGTGCGAAGAAGGCTGGACGAGGGAGAGACTAAGGTTACAAGTCAAATTCCAGGGAAGGAAGGTAAAGGTAATGGGAGACAGAATCTCAGATGAAAATTGCCTTCAAATTCTGCTGCTCCATTCCCCTGCTCAGTAAATTTGCACAAATTACTTAATATTTCTGCCTGTCAACTTTCTATCTCTACAATGGGAGTGCTATATATATGCTTCATAGGGCTTTATATTATATGAGTGAATTAATGAAAAGAGTGCCTGACACTAAGTGTTGTGTAAGCAATATAACCATGACATCATCATCAGCACCGTCATGATCCTTATTTTGTATACAGATTTTTTTTGTCTAAAATTTTGCTTCAACCTTGTGTCTTCTTCCCCATTATATTTCTTTAATTTCTGAATGGCCAAAGAAATAGCGAATCCGTTTGTATCTATGTTGTTCAAAAAATAAAAGTCGTTTATTCGATTCAACGTCCTTGATGAGAGTAAAATGATACTAGCTCAGTTCAAGTTGAAGTGCTAAAATATTTCAGATTGAAAAATATAATTTAGTCAGGTGCTCCTTATGCTCAGCTTCATTCTGCAGTGGATTTGAGATAAATAATAAAAAAAATATAAAATGGTGGAATAAATTATTAAAGCAGATAAAAGAAAACATAGATAGGAAAATGGCAGAGACAAGAATAATATAATTGCATGGGTAACTAAACCATAGAGTCCAAGATAGTTGCTTAAAATGGACTGAAAATATAATTTTAAGCTTCCTTGCAGCCAGTGTTTGCAAGTCTGCCTTTATATTCATTTTTTAATTGATCAACATTATAGGTAACTTTATATATGTATATAAACCATCTCTCTATATTTAAAACTATATATGTGTGTGTGTATATATATACACATATATACATATATAGAGTTTTTATAAGCTATATATGTGTGTGTATATATAGTTTATAAAAATACATTATATAGTTTTCTATAGTGTGTGTGTATGTGTGTGTGTATATATATAACTTTTGTGTTACATGCTCTTTGAAGGAAAGAAAGGATGATCACTTTTAATGATTGGTTATTAGCAGTATTACAGTAATAGCAATGCTGGATTAAAAACTTGCAATTGAAGAAGAGAAGCTCTGATTAACTCAGGACAACATGTTTATTCATTTATCTCTAAACAAACAAACTAGCAAATAAATAAATAGCTAACTGCAAAATCTCATGATTTTAGGGTTCTTCATGTGTGGGTGAAGTGAAAAGTGTCTTATTCATCCAGGTGGCCTTGGGTTGCTTCTTAATGAGAGAATGTGATGGAAATTTTCTATCTTCTAAGGCTGTTACATTTTTTTTTCCCAAAAAGGAAGATAATCTTATCTCTTCTACAGATGACTGCATATTTTATTGCCATCCTTTTCAAATTGAGAAATCTGCATTTACCTCTTAGCGTCTACACTTAAATGCTTGAAGAATCTAGCCCAACCAACATATTGTAAGTGAACTCTTGAATGAGCTGATAGCCATGAATTTTGTGAGGAATGCACATGCCAGAATTAGGAAAGTACAAAATCCCCGCCTCCCCGCTAGGCTGTCTTCTCTGTTCCCTTTGTTTCTTCTGAGGGCTTCGCAGTTTTGCAGAACAGCCTTCTTATCTCTCTTTCCTTTTCTCCTTGGGACTTGCCTTCCACAGACCTCTTCAGACATTCTTGCAGAATTGTTCCCATAAGATCTCTATTTTCAATTGGCTGTATACCTTCCAGTTTTATGGCCCATCCAGAACAGCTCAGTTCACTTTCTGAAGAAGAAATGAGAAAGTGCAAAATGTTACCAAATCTTTCCTCCTGTGTTTTCAAAAAACCACATTTGATGCTTTCTATTTTATATGCTTTTACAGAAATTCTCTTTAAAAATCAAATATATGCTTATCATTATTTTAATAAAAACCTCTGCTGAGTAAATGAATTTTATAGGATTGGGGGAAAAAGTTTGCAATGAATGGTGGATGATACTGCTATTCAATAGGGAGCTCTTAAAAATAGAGCAAATGCATAAGACATTTTTTACAGTTTTCAATTTGTAAGAAAATGATTTCATTAGAGGGGAAAAAAGAGAGAGAGAAAACCATCAGTCAGGATGTGGGAGAATGCAGGCTCCTGATGAGACCAGCGGAGAAGACAAACTAAGTGTATGGATGCAGATTAGGCCTCAGAAGATGAGGGTGTAAAAGGGATTTAATGGTGGGGTGGATTATAGAAATCCATGTAACAATGTTAAATAATTATAGTTCCAGCCGAGATCAAAGCAGTGCTGATTGAACGCCCTCAAGCTGTTAACATGAAGTATCTTGAAGGGAAAAAAACCTGCCTCAAAGATTGGTCAGTCTGGGCAAACAATGTCTGTGATCTGTAGAAGTTCCAACTGTATTGAAAGCACCAATTCTAGGGAATGAAAAATGGAGGAGGCAGCCTGTTAGGGAATTTCTTCTTCTGGAGCTCTCGATCTTAAAACGGACTTTTTAGCTATTTGTAGTTTGTTTGAAAATGCTAAAAAAAAAAAAAAAAGTCTAACCTTTCTTTTGGAGGGTATAGAAAAGATATTCACTCAGCCTGTATCGTAGTTGTCAGTGGGAAATTCTATAATTGATTTTTATTATTCTTGATTTTGCCCTTTGAGGAAAATTTCACTTTCACTGAGTATACCAGAGTGATAATGACTGTAGGTAAGGAAAACTGGAAAAAAAAAATTGTGGAAGATACATTTATCTGCAGAAGGAGCAAAAAATATCTTGAATATAAAGGAAAAACATGAGAATACATTCATGTCTGTGGGCTTGTTTGATTTTGTAATGCCTCTAAGACATTAAAAAATACAGAATTATAAAACAATTGAAATTAGTTCTAAAATGAGACAGCCATTTAAATTAACCCCAACCACAAGTGTTTTGGACAAATTGAATATAGAACCATATTGATATCTACATCTGTAACTGTCTATATATATGATAAAGGACAGAAGGTTGCATAATTTTTACAGTTTATACAAGCATCTTTTATTTAGTATAAAAATGAAATTGTTTATTATTTTATATCACACAAAAAACGCAAAGCCAACAAATACTAAGATTAGATTTATAGAAATTATACTTGTAGACTTTATATTATTCATTAAAAAATATAGTTGATATATATAGTTGAGCTACATAGTAACATAATGATTTAAATTATAAAACTGAAAAGCCAACTATTTGCAATATTTTTATGATATTCCTGATATTGTGGCTGGAATTTTACTTGGAGAGAATTAAAGCTGCTATTTCAGTAAGGTGCCTGGTATTTCTTATACAATGGTAGTTTTAAGATTTAAGATGTATGGGATTAGCTAGCCACTTCATCTGAATTTTAAAAACCTTTATTTTAGGAGACGAACTATTGATCCAAATATTTTATAATAAATACACATTTCTTAAGCAGTTGATGACAACTTGTTAAGGGAAAATTTGGATAGACAAAATTTGAATTTTTGTATTAGAATGAATTTAACAAAATTTTTCTTAATTCAAATGCATTTGCCTAAACATTCAAGTGAGAGCATTTTAAAAGTGAAGATTTTCTGCTGTATGTCTCTTTCTGTTGTAGGAAATAGCTGATATTAAAGACAATGCCTCATTAAATCTTGTGATGAGTGGTTTAACTTCGTGGCTTTTCTTAGGTAAAGGTTTTATGACATTGCATTTAATTTTTAATATTTTAATATGAATGCATTTCCTTTGCCAAACTAATTTTTATTTTTATAGGGGGATGGATGTGTTAGCTGTTAACATCTTTTCTCATCCTTGGAAAACATCATTTCTCATCTGTAAAACATTTCAAAATCATATTTATGTGGTACTGGAAAAAATGCTAAGAAATTATAGGATTAAACTATTTTAATGCACATGTGTTGAATATTTTTAAAACAGTTTAAAACAACAAAACTTACTATAAATTAATTTCTGTAAGCTACCAGCTAATTATTAGTCAATTTTAAAGTTTCTCACATTTTAAAATTTGGGATGTTAGTGATATTCTAAAGCTGGTCTTATGTATTTAGCAACTGAATAATTTGGTTATTTTCACCTTATTGTGCCTTTTAATTTACATGTTCACAAAACATACTTTTCGTTGTTATTCCCATAGGTCCTTCTATACCACAGAGGTTTAACAATACAGAGGGGGTACATTAACTGCCAAGTCGCCTGTCCAGAAATGTTAATTTAGGTTGAAAGTTTAATTGTTTTGTTTGTTTGTTTAAAGTAATATGATTCTACCCCATGTAGCAGTACATACTTGAGAGTAAATACCAGGTGAAATGATTTTCTAAAATTGCCTTACATTTTTTTTTTTAATTTTGAGGAAGTTTTTTGTTCAAGGATACAGGCATCTCATGGCTATTGATGAGTTCAGGACCAAACAAAAATTCTGATATTATAATAGGGTGGAAAAAGCCTAAAATTTCTATTCAGATAAAACTAGTTTCAAGTCCTGTTTCAACATTTGATTACTTATGAGCTGAGTAACTGTGGGCATTTTGCCTAATCGCCCTAAGTTTCAGTTTCCTCATGGAAATGATGCCTACCTCCTGTATCTCTTGTGAGCATTAAACAAGGTCAAGAGAAACATCGTATGTATTTCTTCCCAGCCAGGCTGCAAGAATGGGTAGATGGAGGATTCTTGTGAGAACTGCCCCTCACCTCTTAACATTGAAGACAGATGATGATGAAGTTTGTGTCAGAACTCTGACCTTGAGCCCCACAATTCCTAAATATATTTATTCTAATACAACTTATTTTTACTAAAGTGAAATTTAGGAATATTAAAATGAGAGTGATTTTGTCCAAGTACTTTATGTCTCTGATCCTCAGCTTTCCCACAAGCAAATGAGGATGATAATATCTACTACTGTGCTTAAAGTAGGTCTTAAATAAAAGGACACACAAGATACTTATACCCAGCACATAGAGGTGCTCAGTTATTGCTTTTGTTATCCTAGTCACGACTACTGGAAATAACTGGCTTTTTAAAAATGTTAAGCCCAGCGAGTTAGGAATCTTTACTGAGTTGCTTATATAAAGCAGGAATTCTGCTAGGCCCTGAGATACAGTGGTCAGTAGGACAGGTGTGATCTCTGACCTCAGAGAGCCTGCACTTTACTATGAAATGCTGTTTAAAATTCAGGTAGTTACCATGTCACCATTAAATATATTAAAGCACTTTTAAACAGTGGTTATTTTAATGAATATAAAAGTAGTAGGCTGAGTCTTTGAAGAAAATAAAAAGTGATTAGATACACATACACATACACACACACATGTATATATATACAACATAATAAAAAAGAGTGTTCCTATGCATGAAAATATGCTACCCCTAGTCTCCAGTCTCCAAGTCTCTTTACTCTGGCCATAATTAAAATCTGTATGCATAAAAAAGACAGTGATTTGGGGTTCATTGGAAGGGTAAGGATGATTTGGCAAAAATCTGCTCACCCTCAAGAGTTTCAAACTTTTCTGACTTTATTACTACTCTAAAATAATCTAAAGAGAGAACCCCTCATTTTCTCAACACCATTCTGTCTCCACTATCACTCATGTCCCCTATCTCATTGTTCTTAGTTGGCCTCTCTTATCACTTCTCATAGCTCCCATTTTATCATCTTTGTTAAACAAACCATCCTTACTTCTTCGGTGTCCAGGCCTCCTAGATATACCGTTCTCTTTAGCATTCAACCAAGAACATTTTTCTCCATTGTCACTTGCTAATCTTGTGTCTCCCTCAGGACTCTTCCCAGGGGTACTTGACACTTGCCTGCCATTTTCTCTCTTTGCTCTTAGAGTTCCTCCTTCTCTGCTCCCAAATTGCACTTGTGGCCATTACCCCTGTAACCTCATGGCCACTTCTGATCAGGGAACAATGTCCTCCTTCATATGTATCAACCCTCTTTTACAACCACGCTTTATCCCTCTCCATCACTCAGAATCATTACATACCTAGACACTCCCTTCTCTATGTATAACTGGCTGTGTGTTACTTTGCAACCTCAATGAGGACTCTACGCAGCTCCTGGCTTCATTTTCAGTAGTACTCAATCTCAGCTCCATAACCTCCCATTTCAACATTACTCCTGTTAGCACCTTCCATGGCCTTGACCTCTGTGTGATCTGGCTTATCGTTGCTTTACTGTGAGATGGGGAGTAGATAGTCTTTATGCCCTATACCTAAATCACCAGGAAAAATAATAGCTTAAATGTATTAAGTGAGCATTTATTATGCATATGCGGCACTGTGCCAGACACTAAGCAGAATCTCAGGCAATCCTCTCAACAATCTAAGGCCCTGAGAAAATCATACTCCTTTTTGTTGGCATTGTTGCAAATTTAAGTTATTACTAGTTATTGTATTTATTCCCCAATAACCTTGTATAGAAATCTCCACAATAGTTGTTCTAAAACTCTCCAGTCTTTGAATCATTAATCCTCTTTCCTCTCTGCTTTATTTTTAACTACTCTGCTGAATACAAAGCAGTTTTTTTTTTTTTATGTGAGTGATTCTTTCTTGAAGACCTTTCTAAATTCAAATTCTCACTTGTCCCATAGGGGGAAAAGTGATGGGGCAGCCCAGAGAGCTCTTCAGAGCACACAAATCTAGAAACATTGTAGCTTAGAGGTATTGTAACCACTTTGATCATGGAGCCATGTCACCAGAATTTTTTCCTATTATCTTTGCCCACTTATATAATAAGTTTTGCCAACTTCAAGGTGAATCTGCTTTAATGTTGCTTTTAATTTTCTCAGTATGATCTCCAATATTTCAGAGTGCTCACTCTTAAGTTAATTGCTGCTTGTGATTAAAAGAAGATGGCTTCACTATTATGTGAGAATTTCCTGTAATGATCTCTTCTGTTTTACATCTCTTTACTCTCTCTTATTTTTCCCCTTTCTATCTCTCAATCTCCTACTCCTTTTTATGACTGCGTCTTCCATTTTTCTTCTTTCTTTAGTTTCTACCTAGCCAGTTTCTTCTCTACCTGCCCATTGCTCTCCAGCTGGTGTACTCATTCATGCATGCATGCATTCACACAATATTTCTTGAGCACTGACAGTGTGGAGGGCCAGACTGACTAGCCTCAAATACTGGTTTCGTCACCTTCTAGCTCTGAGACTTTGAGCAAGTCCCTTAATCTTTATGTGCCTCAGTTTCCTTATCAGTAAAACAAGAATAATAGTAATTCTATCAGTATTAAATGCTAAAGTGTGTTGTGAGTTTACCACATTCCAGTAAGTTTTAAAAATTTTACCTGTGTTAACTCATTTAGTCTCATAGAACACTATGATGGGATTCTGTTATTAAGCCCATGTTTTGTGCATGGGTTATATATTTTCATAATTTGCCCAATATCACAAAGCCACATAGCTCATCAGAGGGTTGAATGAACTCGTTCATATAAAGGGCATAACAAAGTGCCTGGCACAGAGTAAATGCTCAAAAACTTTTAGCTAACATAATTATTATTGTCATTATAAATATTCCCATTTTACTACCCAATAAGTACTTAAAATATTAGCCATTGTTATGATAATGACATGTAAGGCAGCATGCTACCTGCCATGAGTGTAAAAGCTATGTCAAATACTGTGACTATTTTCAAAAAACAATATATTAAAGAACTTTCAAAAATAACTTGTTTTCTCTTCCTCTCTACTCTTCCTTTCTCTGCCTCTTCCCCCTCTACCTCCTCTTTTTCTTCTTCCTTCTTCTTTTAAATTTATTTTTTGAGAGAGATGGATAGCACAGGGCTTAATAACAGAGTCAGGAGCCGGGACACCGAACTTATTTCACATCTTGACTCCTGCTGTTTAGCTAGGTGACCTTTGAAAAGTAAGCTAATTTTGTTGTGCCTCAGTATTTTCATCAACAAAATGGACCAAAACTATGTCTACCTTATAGGGTTACTAGGAATATGAGATATCTTCATACTTGTGAATCACAGAGGATGGTACCTGGGGATGGTAAACAACATGGAAGTGGTAGCTTGTGTCTCTGTGTTTACTTAACTACAAATAATAAATGTAAAGAGTTTTTATTGTGCACTTTGGGAGGCTTAGGTGGGCAGATCACCTGAGAGGTCAGGAGTTTGAGATCAGCCTGGACAAAATGGCGAAACCTTGTCTCTATTTAAAATACAAAACTTATCCAGGAGTGGTGGCACATGCCTGTAGTCCCAGGTATTTGGAAGGCTGAGGCAAGAGGATAATTTGAATGCAGGAGGTGGAGGTTGCAGTGAGCCAAGATTGTGCCACTGCACTCCAGCCTAGGTGAAAGAGCAAGACTTCATCTAAAAAAAAAATAGAAAGAGAAGGTTTTTATTGTATCTTTCATTGATGATATTAGTTATTTATGTTCCCTATTCTTAATTTTAAATTTTTAGATATTTTACATTGTTTCCTCTTAAAAATTACTAAATTCAAAATTATTTTAAATTTCTCATTACTATTAATATTTCATATAAAATAATGGCTGACATTTCAAAAAAAATGTTCATTACTCCTACTCCATGAGGTATGGCTCTTGTTTGATTGCTTATTACATATTGAAAATCTTTTTTCTGCAGGTCTCATTAGAAATAGTTTCTGACTATTCCTTTAACTTTTCTCACTCTGACAGCTTCGTTTGGTTCATGATTCTTACACTGCGTTAGGGATGTTCTCTTGTTTGGCTGTTTCCATCTCTGAATTTTCTTGGCAAACTATGTATACGTTCAGTCTCAGCTTCAGGACGGAGTTGGACAGTGATGATTTTTCTGTATACATGACTAGTATACATTTATTGAGTGCTTACTAGATTTGGGGCCACAAAGATGACAAAATATGCCATTTGTAGCTTATGTTGCTCACTGGGTGGAAGAGAGGCAGAAACATACCTCATTTGAATTTGTCATGGTTGACACTATTTCAGGAGTCTAATCAAAATCCCATGGAACACCAAGAAGTTAATCTTTTTTCATTCTGAAGTGGTACCACTTTATCACTTTAAGATTGGGCAAAAACTTTTTGGACGAGGATGGGATAGCTTACTCAGCTAATTTATTGGCAGGATTAACCTGGTGTCAAGTCTGATCATCAGAATGTAGATTGTGGCTGGCCAAGCACTAATATGTTTCTCTCAAAGATTCAGCTCAGAACATTGGGGTTTGAGGGTGGTGAGTTGGAGGAGGTTGATGGTACGCAAGCGGAACCTTTTACATCCTCTCCAAATCCAAATAGAAACTTGCTTGTTGAGAATGTCTTTTTAAGTTCTCTACTGATATCAGCTATTCTCCATTTATTGCTAAGAATTTCAGTTCTTATTAGAGCATAAGGTCTGCTTAATTATAACTCTATCAGAACACTATCAGAACTCTTATCAGATAAGGAGACCTGCATGGTCTCCTTATCATAAAAAGAATTTAGATTAAGCTGCCAGGGTTTGACCTTCTCACAGAATCATTTGGATTATTACCCAAGACCCCAATTTTCTAGCCCAGTGTTTCAAAAAATGTGGTCGGTGGATTACTTGAGCACCATCCCAGATAAACAGAATCATAAAATGCATAAAATTTTATGCATGATGATCTCTGAGAACCTGTATAGACACCTGCAGAATAAACTGGAGGCCACTGAGCTTTAGTTGTCTTACACTTTAGTTGGCAAAGCTTATGATAAAAAAGTAGATCTTAGTCAGTACACCAATATGCTTTCAAAGAATCAAACTAATAATTAGTACATAGTTTTAAGAATAAGCAGAGTTATCCCTCTCATTATTTCCATGGTACTACCAAGTTAAAACATTAAAGCTACTGGGGAATCTAAAGTAACTACATTATGAATTCACTGCTTCATCCAAGTAAGTATCCCTGATGGTTTACTTAGAAAACATTTTATTTTTCACCAACATCACAGAAGGCATGTTATTGAATCATTAGTTCTGATAAGTAACACAACTTAGTCTCTACAACTGGAGAACAATTTAAATATGAAAAGATCACTGACCTCTGACTTCTGAACACTCCTTGTGTTTTGTTTTGTTTTGTTTTGTGTTTTTTGAGACGGAGTCTCACTCTGTCGCCCAGGCTGGAGTGCAGTGGCGTGAACTCGGCTCACTGCAAGCTCTGCCTCCCGGGTTCACACCATTCTCCTGCCTCAGCCTCCCGAGTATCTGGGACTACAGGCGCCCACCATCGCACCCGGCTAATTTTTTTTTTTGTATTTTTTATTAGAGACGGGGTTTCACCTTATTGGCCAGGATGGTCTCGATCTCCTGACCTCATGATCCACCCGCCTCGGCCTCTCAAAATGCTGGGATTACAGGCGTGAGCCACCGCGCCTGGCCTCACTCCTTGTGTTTTGTATTTATTATCCCTTTGATTTCATTCACCTGGAATATGTCTTTCCCCTCTTCTCCTAAAGGGACCTTTTTTTTTTTTTTTTTTTTTAAAGAAACGAGGTCTTACTCTATCCCTCAGGATGGAATACAGTGGCTAGATCATAGCTCACTACAGCCTGGAACCCTGGGCTAATGTGATCTTCCCTCCTCAGTCTTCTGAGTGGCTAGGACTACAGGCACACACCACCATGCCTAGATGATTTTTTATTTTTTTATTTTTTGTAGAGATGGGGCATCAATATGTTGCTTAGGCTGGTCTTGAACTCCTGGCCTTAAGTGATCCTCCTGCCTTGCTTCCCAGTGTGCTGGGATTACAGGCATAGACTGAGATCATAGGCCTGAACCACTGTGCCTGGTCTATTGCATCTTTTAGGATCCAACTCAGGATCTTCTATGATCTTTCTCTCTTTTGTGGGGACCTCATGCCAACAGTAGTTTATACAATTCATTTAGTAAGTAATAAGATGCTACTTTGTGTAATCAAATGCCATTTTGTGACATTGTTTCTCTCACATTGTAAATTAATGTTTATAATCTTATTTTAAACATTTTTCATGTTTATACCATCTCTCCCTGACTAGCTGACTACCTCTTTATTTACATAGTAATGCCCACTGCAGTGCCTCAAAAACAGTAGTTGCTCAGTAAATATTTAGTGATTCGAGATCTATTCAATTCTGGTGGGTTAAGAGAGGAAAGAAAAGAATCAGCTATGCCACAGAAGAGTTGAGGAGAGCTCAAGACAGAGTTTAAAAGCCATTGAGTTAAGATTCCTATTTTAACAATCTTTTATATCCTGAGGAAACACCCACAGAGTAATAGAATTAAAGAAATGCATTTCTCTCCCACTTCCAAAGCCTTCAGAAATATAGGCACTTAGACTTAGAAAAAAGTACTTTGTATTAATACATCTGTTATCTATGCATACATATGCAAATGTGTGTTAATATGTGAGTGTGTATATATAAATATAGGTATATACACAAATATACAAATAATATATAGCACACATACATACACATGTGCAAACACACTAGTTTTCAATAGTGGGGAGAGAATATCATTGACTCTATGGTTTAGTTTTGCAGCTTAGATTGGAAAAGTTCCAAAGCACTTACAGGGCTCTGCTGCCTTAAACAGGCTACCCTGCCATATGGCAGTTTTACTACTGTGGTGGTTTAGTTGTAATTGATTTATATTAGATTATGATGATATACTTGATAGTCCATTAACAAAGTGACTAAGCGAGGTTCTTGACTACTGGATGTGCTCCCGAATAAAATCTAAGATTTTTGTTTTTAGTTTTCTGTTTCAGTCTTTGTTTCTGTCTCTCTTCGCTCTGTTTTTATATCTGAAACTCCCATGCCAGGGGAAAATGTACAATGGGAATGTATTATGAGTCACTTTGTTTTAAGGTTGATAAAAAGTTATTACGTTAGTCTTCAATTTTCAATCCAGCTACAACTATCTACAATTTTCAATCCAGCTACAACTAGCTCTTATTTACCCATGTTGACAGTGATGGGGAAGAGTGAATCCACTGTGATTTAAATAACTTAATTTCACCAACAGTTTAGAACATTATCAACATTTTTAACTAAGTTGCTAGTGAGAAGCAAACATCAAAAGATTTGTGATTTCCCTCCTTTTTGCTTTTCCTGTCTTTTCATAAGGTAATTGGTAAGTTAAAAAAAAATAAGAAGCAAGTTATCTTAAAAACTATAACCCTTTAAATATAAAAAAGAATGAGAATTCTATGGAAAATTTATATCATTTATCTTCTTATAATCTGATTTTATAGTCAATCATTAGCTATCATTCATTAGCTAATGTGCACTTACATAGTAATTTGCAAACCTAATAGGTGAATGTTTAAAATCAAAGCCGTTAAAACCATCCTATGATTAGGTGAGTGTAGAAGTGATTGTGTGGAGACTGTGGCTTTAAAAATATCCATCATAGATGAATTCTCCTTTTCTCAAGTCAAGCATAACAAACATCTTTAGCTTCTTCTTTGCCACAGCTTCCCAGGCCTATCTCCCTCTGGGAAACCCACTTTCTGAGCCTTAGGGCTTCTCCAAAGCACCTTATTCTGTGATTCAGTAGTCTGTATCAGTTCAGTCAAAATGAAAGAACATCCATATAAGCAAATAAAATGTGGATTTAATACAAAGTTCCTGATTTATGGAAAAACATTGGCTAAAAGTACTTCATTTCTTTTACTGCTGCAATAAAGAGAGTTTACAGTTGGTAACATATAACTTAGAGGAGTGACAAATTTGGTACTTAAAAAATATTTAGGTTAAAAACAACCCTGTCACTTCTACTAAGTCATTTTTAGAGCGTAATCATTTTAATTCTTCTCCCTCTAATTTTATAACCACAAGACAACCTTTCCAAGGAAAATCCCTAACCTCTTGTAAAGATCCTCTCTGCTTCTCATTGTTATGACATCTCAACCAACGATTCATTTGAAGTTACGTTTGACCTAGAAATTAGGAAACACTTCGGTGCTCCCTCTTGGTACCCCGTGCACATAAATAAATATCATCAATCCTAAACAGCTTGAATGTACAAGTTTAACATAAAACCTTTGATTGTTGGCAGAGATCAAGTGTTTGAACTGTGTAGTGCTTGTGATTTGCTGAGGAAATGTTAAGTGTCCAGTCACAATGCTACAGCCAAAGAAAATTTGCAAATGCCAAAAGATTTAAGCGGAGGAAGCAACTGGCCTGGATTTTAGATAAATTTGGATATGCATGGTTACAAATTTCAATGTGAATTAGAAAAGCGTTTTTAACATCATCTCTGGAAGTCTTTAGGGAATGGTTTTTTCATGTGAATAAGCAGTGAAAACAAAATTCGTCAGCTGTTGTTAATTTTTAACAGCAGAAATTTTACCCATTAACTTATTGATATAGAGAAATGTTTCTTATCTTGCAAGGCAACTTCTAATTTTCACCTCTGATTTTGGGATTCATTTCAAAAAAATCAGGAGTTTCCAAAAATGAGTCATGAGGAGACAAATTAAGAAAGTGGTGCTCAAAATGAGATGTACATCATAAATATGTATGCAACTTTATAAAACAACAGATAGCCAGAGCTGTAGAGTCAGAATTTTACGGACTAGCATTGGTGATCTTGATATTTTTTTGAAACCTCTATGAGACATTTTGATGTGCATCTAAAAGTCACATTAAAAGCATTTGTCATAATATTTATCCTGAATAATGCCACGAACTACTATTTGGTAGTGCAAATATGACTTTCAGTTGCTCTTAAAAGGGTTTTCCTCAGAGCCATTTGATGACCTCCCCATTACTCTCCCGTAGTCCACTGGAACAGGGGTCCCCAACCCCTAGGCCCCAGACAGGTACAGGCCCATGGCCTGTTAGGAGCCGGGCTGCACAGCAGGTGAGTGGCGGGCGAGTGAGCATTACTGTCTGAGCTCTGCCTCCTGTCAGATCAGCGACAGCATTAGATTCTCATGGGAGCCTGAATCCTATTGTGAACTAAGGAATCTAGGTTGCACGCTCCTTATGATAATCTAACTAATGCCTGATGATCTAAGGTGGAATAGTTTCATCCCGGAACCATCCCCACCCCTCCCCAGGTCCATGGAAAAACATGCACGAAACCAGCACGAAATTTGCCAAAAAGGTTGGGGACCCCTGCTCTAGAGGCTGTCTTCTGTCATAGCACTTTTCATCCTTGAGGTTAGTGTCATACGCAATTTTCAATCTTCTCTTAATTGAATGGAAGTGATGTGGGATGAGAACCTTGTCTATCTTGCTTACTGTATTATTACTAGTGATTTGCATAGTATAGGGCCCATAATGGCCAATTAATATTTATTGAATAAATATAGAACTTAACCTATTGTTTTTTTTGCATTTAAAAATATCCTCTTTTAAAATTAGCATCTCAAATAGCAATTTGGATGGAGAGTGGGGTGGGTGATTGGGGGTACTAGGGATGGTGTTGGGGGTGGGGGTAGTCAATGCCAGCACTACAGCTTTCAAGCCTGAGTCCCCATCCTAGCACAAGGCTTTTTCGTATTCAATCCTGAAGTATTCCAAAAGTCAGTCAGGAGATAGAGATTGCAAATACTCACAAACTGGATGTTTGGTGTTTCATCTTTATTTGTTGTCACAGCTATGCCGGTGTACTGTTCACATGAAGAAAAGGAAATGTTTATAGTAATAAAAACATAACTTAGTAACATAGTATTAAGATGTTCTTTGACAAGATGTATATTCAACTGATAGTGGATTTTTGGTACAATTTTCAAGAATTTTGGAAATTGGTTGACTTGTGCTTAATACTGAACAACAATGAAATAATTTCAGTTAAGTGATTTCTTTCTGCTAGCAATCTTTTTTTTTTTTTTTTTTTTTTTTTGAGACGAAGTCTAACTCTATCACCTAGGCCAGAGTGCAGTGGTGCGATCTCAGCTCACTGCAGCCTCCACCTCCTGGGTTCAAGAGATTCTCCTGCTTCAGCCTCCTGAGTAGCTGGGATTACAGGTGCCTGCCACCATGCCTGGCTAATTTTTGTATTTTTAGTAAAGACAGGGTTTCACCATGTTGGTCAGGCTGATCTCAAACTCCTGACCTCGTGATCCACCCACCTCAGCCTCCCAAAGTGCTGGGATTACAGGTGTGAGCCACCGCGCCCCACATGATATCAATCATATGGGCAGGTATTTTAAAGCTATCCACCATAAGATTTACCAAATTAAATATTAATAGTAGTTTGTAAGTGGAAAAAAATAAAATCCTTTTATAGAATAATACCTAATGATTTTCTAACCATATCTTCTCCTAAAACATAGTTGTTAGTAACGATCTTGAGAAAGATAGCCTGACAATGTTTCATGTGCATTTGCATTAGGTAATGGATCTTCCATTCTACCAAGGTGGAAACTTAGATCCAAATAGCTTGCATGCCTTTTTCAAGGTTATATAATGAGTTTGAATAACTGGGCCTAGAAACTGAGTCTCTAACTTACTTTAAAGTCTTCTTTCCATTATCCTACTACTCTGAGTTTTCTGCTTCAGATCACTCAGGATTAAGGGTTGTATTCATCACTTTTTTCCTTTCTGCACAGTGCAATTACTTCCATGATAAGGATTGTTTAATTTTGGCTCCAGGGGAAATGAAATTTTTCAAGTCTGGGAACATGGAACTCTGATCCAAATTTGCAAAGCAACAATGAGTCATTTGACATAACTCTACTTCATTGTTTTCCTCATTAGACATCTTCCATCTTAAATGCGGCTGACCACGGGAATGGAAGCTCACACACTTGAGTTCAAGTGGCAGCATCCAGCCCCGATACTTTCTGAATGTGTGGTTTGGGTAATTGCTTTGGCTTCTCTTGTGTAGTGTTTTCTCATTTACTAACATCAACATGGGTTAAAACTGATGTGAAGATTGAATGATAATGTATGTTGAACTTCCTGTGTAAATTGTACTGAAAAAATGCTATTTGGATGTTGTTTAAAAATGCAAGTTTCTACTTATCCAACTTTATAGGAATGGAATGTGTCAAAAGAAGTGATTGTCTTCTACTCTCTCCAAGACCCGGTGAGACTGGACCCATACTTAAAATGCCAGAGCCAGGGTTAGCTAAATTAATACATCTCCTAATGGTCCTGATTCCTTCTGGAAATTATCCGGGTGGGCTGGGAGCAGGGTTTTGTCACTCATCCTTGTAGTTTGAGGCTTCCTAATGGCACAGAAATTTATGTTTCATAAAATCTGAGTTAAATAAGAGTGTTAGTACTGGGAAGTACCTTAGAGACACAGAGAACTATAGATTTGCAAGTCTCTTCTCTGTAAATATTAATAAAGACATTTTTCATAAGCATCTTTTTCCTAAACTGTCTCTGGTCATTCTGCTGACCACCAGCTTGGGCGTGAGAAGCACTGCCTTGGAAGACATGGCTTCTTCAAACTCCTAATCAGTATTCAGTTATCCTACTCTAGCAAGGATACCCCTCTGGGTGAGGATTTCGTGGAATGCTACTAAAGTCTATCCTCAGTTTCGAGCCCCAAAACATTTTACTGAGAATAAAGAAGGGACCAAAGATAATACATGAATTTTTATTTATTTTCTGGTTGCTCTTCATAATAATGCAATGTATAGTCTAGAAAAATGGAAATATTTTTTTACAGAAAGTATAACTTTCTCTTTTAAGTGTTGTTCTCACAGGTCATAAAATCCTGAATTTTGTATCATGATCTTAGCTGACGATGGTAAAGTCTCTGATTTGTCTTATTCTGAGGTTAATTTTACATTGACCCAATGCTACGATATTCTGATTGAAGTTTAAATTCAGACCGATTTGTGGAAGCTCATGTCATTTCGAGAAAACTAACAAGACATGAAGGTGTTTCATTTTATTTCCCGCTTACTATCCTTCAGAACTGGCAGAAATAGGTATTTCTATTGTCTATAAAACCTGTCATTTTATTTTTTTCCTAGTAAACATTGTTTCTTTTTAAGACTGTAACATACTTGAGGGCAGATAACTTTTTTTAAAAAGTCATGTTACTCCTTTCTGGCTTCTGATTCTGCACCTTGTACACAGAAGGTAGTGGCTCAAAATGTGCAAATTCTTCCAAAACATTTACATAATGTGGTAATGTCTATAATTAGTTTTAAGATAAATACACTTTAGTTAAAGTCTGTCTAACCAGTGAAATATTTAATACTACCATTTTTGAAGAACAATGATTAGGAGTCAGCCATTATAAACAAGGAGGAAATTGTTGGAAAAACTTGTTGCATTTCTATTTTTGCAGCTCATTGGCTTGTTACTGGAAGTGAAAGAATGTTTATTATTTCAGGAAGTAAAGGCCATTAGAAGCTTATTTGTCTGAGAGAATCTACAATATTGGTTTTCTATAACCTGGGATATGTTATGAAACATGTTTACAAAAATTGTGACTTCAGGCTTGGTGAGCATTTTTTTTTTATAATAGCTAGTCCTTTGCCAGATCTGTAATGTAAAATTCGACCAATTTTTCTATGTATCAGATATCATGCTTATTTTAAAGTATTTTTCTGTTTCAATGCTGTTTTTATTACACTGCATAGATCAAGGAATTGAAATGCTAGTGAGTCACTTGAACTCCCCGTTGAGCATCAAATAGTGGTAGGTAACCACTAGCTGTAAGCTCAGTTATTGCTGTGATAATCTTTTGAGAGTGGGTGATTATGGTAGTACATTGTTTTCTTGCCATTGCTTTTCTCATAGGTAGCTGCTCTTAGCTTCATTTGACTAATGGAAATTTTAAATTCTGCTTCATGGTTCACAGGGGAGTAGAGAGCAACCATATATCTTATGCCCAGGTTTCTGAACTGCATGGTGCTTGAAAGAAAAGAGCAGCATTTACCCAGGGAGCATTGGTACCTTATCTAATTTGCCACTTCTTTCTTCCTTTCAGAATCATTTCATCTTCCTATGCCTGCATTCATGCACGTATCTGCCACTTACACGGAGGTTATATTGCATAACTGAGCCTACAAATATAACTATATCTAAACAATCTCAGGTATTGTCACCAGTATCATTGTAGAGTCCAGGTGCATGTGCTACCGCAGAGAAAATAAGTTATGTAATGTGCAAGCAATTTCTACTCTTTCCTTTTAGCAAACCCTTAATACCAACTAGACTTATATTTTCCTCTTTAATCAAAAACTATTTATTGAACTTATACAAGGGTGGACTACTGAACTAGAATGTAAAATTAATTCAAGAAAAAAAGGCATATTCTGCAAAAGTTGAAAAGAGCCCTTTGCAGGGAGAAGAAATATTTTAAGTTATAACTGCAGGCAATATGTGTTTCCTGAATTAGGGAATGATGGCACTGTGGGATTACATTTTTTTTTTTTTTTTGAGACGGACTTTTGCTCTGCCTCCCAGTCTGGAGTACTGTGGCAGGATCTCGGCTCACTGCAAGCTCCACCTCCCAGGTTCACACCATTCTCCTGCCTCAGCCTCCCAAGTAGCTGGGACTATGGGCACCCGCCACCATGCTCAGCTAATTTTTTGTATTTTTAGTAGAGACGGGGTTTCACTGTGTTAGCCAAGATGGTCTCGAACTCCTGACCACGTGATCCACCCACCTTGGCCTCCCAAAGTGCTGGGATTACAGGCGTGAGCCACCATGCCTGGCTGGGATTACATTTTTTAAAAATCCAGTTCACAGAAGTGGTTGCAAAGGTCAGAGTAAAAGTGGTTTAGTGCGGACTAGGAGAACATGTTACATCATAGTGGGAGAGCCTGTCACATCATACTTTCAGTGTAAGAATATTTCTAAAAAAAAAATTGGGGCTATATTGCTTCCCTTAATTTTCTCTATTTGTTTTGCTCCACTGTATTAATCTGCTTGAGCTTCTATAACAAAATTCCTTGGACTGTGTGGCTTAAACAACTGAAATTTATTTTCTCGCAGTTCTGGAGGCTGGATGCCCAAGATCAGGTGCCAGCATGGTCTGGTTGGTGGTGGGGGCTCCCTTCCTGGCTTGCAGATGGCCACCTTCTAGCTGTGTGCACACGTGGCCTTTTCTGTTTGTGCACACGGAAAGACGGGAGCTCTGCTTTCTCTTCCTCCTCTTATAAGGACTCTAATCCTATTGGATTAGGCTCCTAAATTTATGAGCTAATAATCTAACCATAATTACTTCTGTAAAGGCCCTATATTCAAATACTGTCATAGTGGGAATTAGGGCTTCCACATAGGAATTTCGGAGGGACACAAGTCCCTCCCAAATGTTCAGTTGAGCAACCACCAATGGGTCTGTTAAGTGAATGGTATTAATATAGTAAGAATGTATCTTAAGTAGGTAAGTTAGCATGTAGTTGATATCCAGGTAAGAACCAGACAGCAACCCCTTTATTAGATTGACCTCTACTGAGGCCAGACCAGACTGTCAGTTTTGGATGCAGTCACAAACTAACTCGATAGTGTGTGTTGGAGCACAAATTCAAGCTCAAAATAACATCATCAGCAACAACAGCAACTTATTGCCACAAATAATAAGAAAAATCCCAATTTGAATTTGACTTCTGAGTAAATGATTTGGGCCTGAGTGAATGGGCAGTTATCAACATTACATATATGCACTAAAGTAATCTGTATCCCTTATTATTAACAATTTGGTCATCAGATTGTGTAATGTTTTTCTGCCTGATTTACCAATTATGGCAAAAGGTATGTTTCCATCTTCCATTATGACAATGGATTTGTCAGCTTTTCTCTTGTAATTCACTGTATTTTTACTTTATGTATTTTAAGGCTATGCCATCAAGTGCATGGAAGTCAATTTTTATTTCCTAGTGAATTATTAATTCAATAATTATCTAATTACTCTATCCTTAATAGTGATTTTTTTGGCTATAATTCTGTTTACTCTGATATAGTATCTTTCCTGTACACTTTCTCTATTCCTTTTCCTCTTTTCTTTTTTAGATGTACTTCATGAATGTAGCATACAGGCAGATTTTTAAAAAATTAAATTCAGATGCTTTGTCCATTAACTGGATACTTCTCTTTGCATTTATTGTGATTACTGATCTAGTTCTATTTATTTTTACCATATAATATGGTATACATTTTTTAATTCTTTTTCCTTCTTTTCACAAACTTCTTTTATGTCAACTTTTAAAAAATGTCTTTTTTCCCCTCTACCAACTTAGCAGACATAAATTTTATTTCTGTTTTTTAGTGGTTTTCTTTCAATGTTTATTTTGATATTTCCCATCATAGCAAAATCTATCATTATTCAACATCTATAGTCTTCTTCCAAATATGCAGACTTTAGAATCATTTAATACCCAGGACACCCTCCTATTTTACATGAATTTGTTTCCTAATATTTTAGAAATTTGCAATTATTGTATTACATGTGAAATATTTATTTAGATGCATTATTTTGTTTATCTGCTTATTTACCTGCATTCTTGTTCACTGTTGATACTTGCATCTCATTTCTTTAATCTTTCTTTCCTTCCTTCCTTCCTTCCTTCTTTCCTTCCTTCTTTACTTCCCCTTTCCTTTCCCCTTCTCTTCCTTTCTTCCCTCCCTCCCTTATCTCCTTCCCTCCCTCCCTCCCCCCATCCTTTCCTTCCTTCCTTCCTTCCTTCCTTCCTTCCTTCCTTCCTTCTTTATTTTAACAGGATCTTGCTATGTTGCCCAGGCTGGTCTTAAACTCCTGGTCTCAAGCAATCATCCCACCTCAGCCTCCAAAAGTGCTAGGATTATAGGCATGAGCCACGGCACACAGCCTCCTGTAATTTCTTGAAATAAATTAGTAGTTACCTCTGCAATGTTCTCTTAATAATAAATTCTCAGCCCTTTTGGTCTAAACAAAAACTTTATTCAGCCCTCACTGTTGAATAATAAATTGGCTATATTAAAGTTTATGTTCAGTTGAGCTGGGTGTGGTGGCTTATGTCTGTAATCCCAGCACTTTGGGAAGCTGAGGCGAGTGGATTGCTTGAGGTCAGGAGTTCGAGACCAGCTTGGCCAACATGGTGAAACCCCATCTCTACTAAAAATACAAAAATTAGCTGGGTGTGGTGGCAGGCGCCTGTAATCCCAGCTACTAGGGAGGCTGAGGCAGGAGAATCACTTGAATTCGGGAGGCAGAGGTTGCAGTGAGCTGAGATCCTGCCACTGCCCTCCAGCCTGGGTGACAAAGTGGGAGTCCATCTCAAAAAAAAAAAAAAATGTTTACGTTCAGTTGATTTCTCATAGATCTTTGAAGATATAATTCTATTATTTTCTGGCTTCTTTTCTTGCTGCTGGAAAGATTGTCAGATTAATTGTAATTCTTTTGTCAGTCATCTGTCTTTTCTCTTTGATTACTTTTTCTTTTCTTTTTTTTTTTTTGAGGTGGAGTCTTGCTCTGTCCAGTGGCGCGATCTTGGCTCACTGCAACCTCTGCCTCCCAGGTGCATGCCATTCTCCTGCCTCAGCCTCCCGAGTAGCTGGGACTACAGGTGCCTGCCACCACGCCCGGCTAATTTTTTTGTATTTTTAGTAGAGAGTGGGTTTCACCGTGTTATCCAGGATGGTCTCGATCTCCTGACCCCATGATCCGCCCACCTCAGCCTCCCAAGGTGCTGGGATTACAGGTGTGAGCCACTGCACCTGGCCTCTTTGATTACTTTTAAATCTTCTTTTTTACTTTGATGTTCTGCAGTTGCATATGATCTTTCTAGGTGTGGCTTTATTTTTTATCTTTTTGTGATTTGTGTTTGCCAAATATAATGATTCATTTCATTCATCGATTTCAGAAAGCTTTAGACATTATTTCTTCAAAATATTTCTATTTCTTCACTATATTCTTTTCTTTTAGAATTCATGTTTGAGATATAAACTATTCATTCTGCTCTCCATGTATCTTAATAAATTTTTTTTAACTACTTAAATTAGTTAAGTCTAATCAATGGTTTAGTTAATTAGTTAAGTCTAATCAATTTTTCCTCTGAGGTTTTAATTTAAATATATTTATTTCTAGAAATTTTATTTCATATTTTCTAATTGGACTTCAGTTTTAATAGTGATTTGTTATACCCTTATGGATGTTTTCATTAATCCTATTAAGTCATTAATAATTTTAAATATACATATTTTTGGCATCTTTTTAACTAATTTTAATCAGTTTCCTCAACTGCCAAGGAAAATAATTTCATTTACTCATTGAGTTACTATGGGTGTTTAATTAATGAGTACACGTCCTTAGAATAGTGCCACACTGCCTGACACCTAGTAATTTCTCAATAAATATTGGCTACTATTTTTATTGTTATCATCCCCAGAAGATTATAAGGGCCTGTCCCTGTTTTATCGTTAGGCTGATGAATTTGTGTATTTATCTGTGTGTTTTCTAATTTGGGGTTGTGAGCTTTTCTTAGGGGGCCTTCATCTATGGAAATTGTGGGTGGTTTGGGAAGACATCTTTCTGGAGCAGCTTTTCTATTTGTCAGCTTTGCCCTAGGAATATTACCAACCTAGGGTGTTTTTGGTCCCAACTTATTAAAGGAGGTTTGGATTCTCAGAGATAGGACAATATAAACTCTACAGCCAAACCCTGATAAAGACAGACTAGTGGGCCAATGCTGACATTCTTTCAGGAAGAACATGTGTAATTTACCTCTTAAAGTCCAGAGCCCAGTTCAAGACAAACAAGCTTCCCTGGTAACTTTATACATTGGTAAGTATCGCCCATAGAAGGGCCTGGCTTCATGAAGTGGCCTCAGTTCCAGCGAGTCATGTGGGCCTAAGCCTTAATCATTGACCACATGTAGCCTCAAATGCCCAGGGTAACCAACGACAGAGTCCAACAGCCAGCCTGCAGGGAGCAGCAGCATCAGTCCAGGGGTTACTGAGAGGTTACTGGTTACTGCTTGTTTTTTTTTGTTTGTTTGTTTGTTTGTTTTTGATTGAGTGAGAATAACAAAGTCCGATGTGTTTTTTAGAAAGGCTGTCATTGTAATTAACCAGGCTAGTACATCTGCAGTCCTGGGTTCTCTGGAGGCTGAGGGAGGAGATCTCTTGAGTCTAGGAGTTCAAGGCTGCAATGAGCTATGATTGTGCCTCTGCTCTCCAACCTGGGTGACAGAGCGAGACTCTATCTCTATAAAAGAAAGAAAGAAATATTGTCATTGTAGCCTCTGTGTAACGGCCTGTAAGCCTGGATGTTAGGAGACTAAAGCAATGATTTTGGCAAAAGATGATGAGGACTTGAAAGAAGGCAGGAGAAGCAGAGACTGAGAAGAGGGAAGAGCAACTATAGACTCTAAAAGAAGCTGTAGGACTTTGTTAAAGATTTCAAGAGCAAAGACAGATAAGAGTAGCAAGTAAGAAAAGGTGGACTACTGGGGGAAAGGGACTCTGTAGAACTTTGATAGTTAAGGAAGGATAGGGTAAGAGAATCCAGACAAGGAGACTGAAAAGGGACTGTCAAAATGACAGGAGGAAAACTAGAAGAAGCGATTTAAGCTTCTTTTTTGTAAAAATTTAAGGCATTACCGGTGAATTATGACTTATGCTGACCATCTATTTAGCTAAGCATGGCCCGATTTAGATACTAGAGCAGGTTCAATAACACGGAGATCTATCACCTGAGCTTTGGATGACTCACATGAAAAGCTGGCCAGGAGATGAGAAAATGGAGGCCTCTTTTTAAAAGCTTTTCAGAAATGGATCTTTCTGGTTGTCATTATTCCTTCTGCTTGACTCATAATCCTACTTCTATAAGTGAGAAGGCGATAATCTCCTAAGAATTCACTTGAACCTTATGGAATGGGGTCTGTTACTCAGTAAGCATCTTATTGGATGTCTAGTCCTAATATTTTAGTGTTACTACTTGAAACATGATGCGTGACTTTTCTTAATATATGTATTATGAATGACTTCTCTTTGGACTTAACCTGAACAGTGTTCTCAAAAGAAGTTACCTTGTTTGTGTGTGTATGGTGTCTGTTTGTGTGTGTATGCTGTGTGTTTGTGTGTGTTTTAATCAATTTGGCCTAACAAAGGAGTCCATACATTTTTTTTTCCTTCTAAAACTCTGGAGGGTTGAAATGTTTTTGCCCTTGGAAGATTGTTCCTGATAACTGTCTTGATAACTGTCCTAGGTATTTGCTTGTATTTTCAGAAATAGGGAAAGGGACATTAGCTTTTTAGACTCACTTCGGGATCCTTTGCTATCAACACCAAACTGTGCGGGAAAAGAACATCACTGAAATTTACATCATATAAGAAATGATTTTTTTAACTGAATTGGGTAGGTACCTAGCAATCTAGAGAAATTTCAGATTCAGGGATATTGACAGATAAAGACAAAGCTCAAAGAGATTGATGTGTATAAGATCTGAGTTTATTTATTTGCAATGAAAAATATGTTTGTCAGATGGACCAGAGATTCAAGTTAGTCTTTTGATTATACTTTTTTCCTCTGTAAGCAAGCCATATGAGAAGTCTGATTATTAGTTGGATGCTTAGCAAGGTTGTGATCAAAATTAGGGATCTAGTCACATTACACTAATATTTAAATGTGTACGCTTTTGATAGTCTATTTGCCTATCTTCACAATTAGGATAAACTCACAAGTCTGATGAAGTACTCACAGTGGCTTGTCAGGTACCCCCTTCTCTTGGTTTTTGGTGCTTTCATAGCTTCTTAATTCACCTTCTAAGTGGATTTTTAAAAGCTTATATGTAGTGTGTTATATTATATTTTTATTTTTGAGATAGAGTCTCTCTCTGCCACCTAGGCTGGAGTGCAGTGGTGCAATCATGGCTCACTGTAGCCTGGACCTCCTGGGCTCAAGCGATCCTCCCACCGCAGCCTCCTTACTCGAGTAGCTGGGACTACAGGTGTGCACCACCATGCCCGGCTGCTTTTAAACATTTTTTGAAGAAATGAGGTCTTCCCATATTGCCCAGGCTGGTGCTGAATTCTTGGGCTCAAGCTATCCTCTTGCCTCGGCCTCCCAAAGTATTGGGATTACAGGTGTGAGCCACCATATCCAGCCACAATATGTCATATTATACATCTAAGTTTTAATTTATTCATTGTTTTCCCCATTAGAATGCAAACTCCATGGTTCTACAGAACACGATTTACAGAATCAGCAAATGATTTCTGTAAAGGACTACTTATGGAGTGTATACTTTGACGTTGTTGTGCAAATGCAGCAGTAGACCATTCATAAATTAATGGACATGAATGTGTTCCAGTGAAACTTTATTTACAAAAGCAGATGGAGGGCCAGATATTACCAAGCTCTGCACTAGAACAGTATCTGGCACATAATAGGAATTAAAAAAAAACTCTATAGAATAAATGAAATGAATCAGGAGATTATTACCATCATCATCATCGTCATCATTATCATCATCTACTACATTTGCCCAGGTTTTATTAAGTAATTATTTGGCACTGTGCTAAATGACCTATACACATTTTCTTATTTAATTTGTTACTTTAACCCTATAAAGTCTGTCTGTCTATCTATCTATCTATCTATCTATCTATCTATCTATCTAGCTAGCTAGCTAGCTAGCTATCTGTCATGTCTTTTTTTAGAGTCATTTTAGTTTTACAGCAAAATTGAGAGCGAAGGTGCAGAAGCATCCCATGTACCTCTGCCCCAACATATATACAACCCTCCCATTACCGAGATCCCCCACCACAACAGTACATTTGTTACAATTGATGAATCTGTATTGACACATCATAATCAATCGAAGTTCACAGTTTTCATTAGGGACACCAGTTAATATTTGTTTCAAATGCAAGTGAACAAAATCCCAAAATAACATTGGCTTATATACGAAAGGTTATCTTTCTAAATGTATATGGAGTTTAGAATAAGCAATCCGTGATGTATTGACAGCTCCAGAATTAGGAAGAATCTAGCTTCATTCCATTTTGTTGTTCCATTATCTTCAACCGTGCATTTCCATTCAGTGGCTGCTTGTTAGGAAGATGAGTGCGGGCAAATAGTGGAAGTAAATAGTTTCTGCAACATTTGGATCTTCATTATTTCCATTTTGCAGAATAGGAAACACAGGGTTAGAAAGGTTAAGTAACAGCCGGGCGCGGTGGTTTACACCTGTAATCCCAGCACTTTGGGAGGCTGAGGCAGGTGGATCACAAGGTCAGGAGTTCAAGACCAGCCTGGCCAATATGGTGAAACCCTGTCTCTACTAAAAAACAATACAAAAATTAGCCGGGCATGGTGGTGCGCGCCTGTAGTCCCAGCTACTCAGGAGGCTGAGGCAGAAGAATTGCTCCAACCCAAGAGGCGGAGGTTGTGGTGAGCCGAGATCGCACCACTGCACTCCAGCCTGGGTGACAGAGCGAGACTCCATCTCAAAAAAATAAAAGAAAGGTTAAGTAACTGGCCCAAAGTAAAAGAATTGGAGGAAAAGAGATTCTATGTGAACAAACCAGGCCTCTCAGATCTCTAATTGTCTTCCAATGTTGGAAGCCATTTTCTCTCTTAAGGAAGACTCGATCTGTCCGGGTCCATTATGTAATTTAGTTTGAAACATTATTTTCCATTGGAAAACTCATTTTCTTCTATTTCAAGTGTTTTAATATCATAATGATACTAACACCTTAAGAACCTTAAGAACTACCTGTAATATTCATAAGTTAATCTGAATTGATGCATTTGGTTCTGATGCCATTGAGAGTATATTCATGACTTTCCCATGAAGGTATAATATAGCAGTACATTTCTAAAGGGCACTGTAGTTGAGTCCACAGTAGGGAGAACAGAGGCCACCACTGCCACTGTGTCACCGCATAGTCATATTTTCAGCAATCAGTTAGAGAAAAATCCTGTGCTAAATATTCTCTATTTAGAAGAAATTTGCCAAATAATGTCGGTAATAAGATGATATCACTTTACCATTCATTATGACAAGAACACGTTTCATGTATATGTAAAACGTTATATATATATTTATAGGTATATATTTATATATTTATAGATATATATTTTATATATATTTATAGATATATCTTTTATATATATTTATAGATATATGTTTTTATATATATATATATATATTTTTTTTTTTTTTTGAGATGGAATCTCACTTTGTTGCCCAGGCTAGAGTGCAGTGGCATGATCTCAGCTCACTGCAGCCTCTGCCTCATGGGTTCATGGAACTGTCCTGCCTCAGCCTCCCCAGTAGCTGGGATTGCAGGTGCATGCCACCATGCCTGGCTAATTTTTGTATTTTTAGTAGAAATGGAGTTTCACCATGTTGGCCAGGCTGGTCTCGAACTCCTGATCTCAGGTGAACCACCTGCCTTGGCTTCCCAAAGTGCTGGGATTACAGGTGTGAGCCACTGTGCCTGACCCAAAAAAGCTGTATTTTAAGAGTTGTTTTCTCATTCTTAACTAAAATCATAAGAAATTCAAATTGCTCTATCAAATTCTTACACTTATATTTTCAAAACAAATCAAGCTTCTGAAGATTTTAACAAAGGGGACTCACAACTAATTACCTCATATGATTTCTGTGTAGCTTTTTATAGTAGATTATTTTTAAAAAATGATGTCCTGCCAGGTGCGGTGGCTCACACCTGTAATCCTAGCACTTTGGGAGGCCAAGGTGGGTGGATCACGAGGTCAGGGGTTCAAGACCAGCCCGACCAACATGGTGAAACCCCGTCTCTACTAAAAATACAAAAATTAGCTGGGCGTGGTGGCGGGCACCTGTAATCCCAGCTACTCAGGAGGCTGAGGCAGGAGAATTGCTTGAACCCGGGAGGCGGAGGTTGCAGTGAGCCAAGATCCTGCCACTGCACTCCAGCATGGGAGACAGAGGGAGACTCCGTCTCAAAAAAAAAGAAAAATGATATCCTAGCAAGTTTAAAATTTTATCAAATGTTTATTTTTATTCATTTGAGTTTATTTCTAAACTGAGATGGTGTTATCTTTTATAAACTACTTTCTGGTAAAAGCTTTCCATTTTTATAATTTTTTAAATGCTATATGGAGTTATTTCTACATAAACAGCAATAGAGAACCACTAAAAATCTGTAGTCCAGAATAATAGTCCTTTTTGTTTCTTGCTGTAGCAGATAGACAGACCACAGCTATTGTTGCCTAAAACTTCAAAGGTATAACTATGTTTACATACATTTTGCACATATGTGTATTTGGTTATCAATGTTATATTTAAACAAGTGATATTGAGCTAATTCTGAAGATAGAAAATCCAACTTTTGTTGTAGCATTTTATTTTCATATTTCTAAAATGAGCAATTTGAAGGCGGGAATACTTTCTTATATATGTTTAAATTGTAAGTAGGAAGTATAGAGCCAGGCCCATGGACATGGCTGAGTAAATAAGTGCTTGAATGAATGAAATTAAAAATAAAACTTCCAATCTAATATAAAATGATGTGTACAAAATACAGTACTTGCATGTCTTAAGATCATACACTGAAAACATTTTCTAACATATAACTAATGAAAAATAAGGCTTTTAAAGGACAATATTTAAAAATATGTACTCAAAATTTTACTATTGAAATAAAATGATAATTTTAAAAGGTCATCTTTATATCAAAGATATAAATCCCAAGACCACTCTTCTTGATATTATGCAAACATCTTGTTTTTAGAAATATTTGGTTTTTTAAAAATCTTCTGTCATCACCCACAGTAACACTCTTTTATATTTGGATGGCATGTATATTTAATTGGAAATTGCCTGCAATTTGAAATTCTGAAGACCATTTCAACCAAAGAACTGTTTCACTCTGATTAAGCCACATTGTATTTTACTCTTGCTCATGAAGTATCCTGCCCTCAGCCCTGTTTTCTTTCACCTCTTGGTCAAAGAACTGCATCCTTTCATAGTGAGAAGAGTACATTAAGAAGCACAATAATAATAATAATAATAAATGTTAATCAAAAAACTGCATGTGTCTTTCTGATTGTGCCAGTGTTGTGGTATTCAATTATGCAATTTTCATTGGCATATTAATCATCTTTTCAACAAACAAGCCGGCATTAATTAAAGCAAACCATGGATAAAGACATGTTGCCGGATCATCATTCCGTTTATCACAGTGCACAGGCTGGCCGTTAAGTAAATTCCGGACTGTGAGATGAATTTCAATGTTGGCCTCATCTTTTTTGTTGTTGTTGGAGTTTGAATGCAACTCATCTAACAATAATAACAACAAACTTCAGACTTCACAAGAGCAAGATGAATTTGTCTGTAATTAATGGTGGAAAAAGAAAGAATAGCTGTATGTTTCATATGTGGAATTGGGCCACTTACATCCAAATAATTTTTGAAGATTTTCTGTTTTTTTCCCTTAACTCTAAGTGCCAGAAGGACAGGATAGAATAGTGAATTTATTGCCTTATATCTACCTTGTAAAAAATGTTCTTTGGTAAAGAGTGACTTAGTGGTTATAGATAATATGCAAAAATTGATTTTTTAAAAGAATGTATTATGATGTGTAGTATTTAAACATATGAAACTTAAAATCCTGAATTTTAATTAAAATGAAATATTTGTTGGAAATACAACACAAGTCATTACACTTTTTGAATTCCAAGCTCAATTGCAAATGTCCTTCATCTCTTATAATTTTAGACTCATTCTCAATTCTTCTTTATACGTGATTATTATAGTAGTTCCAGTTTTTCAAAGCCTACAAACATCAACAATAATCCTTATGGAAGAGATAAATCAATTTAACAAACTGTGTTAAAACAAAGAAATTCAAATATGTTTCTGTTTTACTGTGCGTTTTTAAGCTCTGCATTAGACAGTAATTATAATTCATCTTAAAACACTAGTCTCCACAACTGCATCCATTGTTTGTGCTTTTTAAGGATATAGAATTTCCACATGCTGATTATCTGTATACCAATTACATATGTATTTCTCCAACTTTACATACTTTGACATTGAAACTCCACTAAAGGTAATTGCTGCCAAAATCCCAGATTATCTCTAGTACTGAAAAAATAGTATTGAACTTTCTAAAATATGTAAACCTGAAAAAATACTATTTTGTACAAAATGCTTAGACATCTGTTTCACTTCTTAAGAAGAAAAGATACATATATTGCTTCTTGGGAAAATGACAAATGAGGGAAAATTGCCCTACACATAAAGGCCAACAAAGTGTCAAGTACAACAAAGGTAAGAAGTATTTTAGTACCATCAGTGTAAAGAAATAGTGTGAGATTTTACTATTTGCTTACAGCTTTGCTCAGCTCAAGGAAGTAATTATATTCATTTAATAGAGGTTTTGAGTAGTAAATGTAATAGTACACATAAAATTCCTGCCATATAAATCCTCATCGAACAATACTGATTAGTAATGATTATAATTAGATGCAAAACTTCTGTTCTGATTTTAATGTAAATAACTATAAATGAGAATTTTCATAGATTTTATATTTGTAAAATGCAACCTACATTTTTGATACTGTAAAGTAAAATATAATATACAAATACATAGTAATTAATGCCCTGCATTTGCAGTAGTTAGGAATGCTCAATGGATTTGCTTCCTAAATTAATGTAGTATTTTTTGTATATTTTGTCATTGACTCAGTTTTGTTAGACTCTAAGTTGACTTGAGACCTCTATTACTTCCCCACTGTGGAAGCAGCATTTATAAGAAATAATATGGTAGGAGTTAAATGTGATTAAATATGTCTGGCTTTGGAAATGCTATAAATTTAATTATTTTCTCTTAATGACTTTCATTGCAAATTAAAAGTTTGTTCATACAGAATATGGGTTGATCTTAGGACTTCCAGTTATTAGCTTGGCCTCATATGACTTTCTGAGCTTCTGTTTCTTTCAGCACCCCCAAGTGTAACTTAGCAGCTGTCTGTGAACAAAGAAAAATGATTCTTGGAGGTGCTGCTGGAAATTCTGGCAGTGGGATATGGAAAGCATCAGAATCCTTTTTGGAAAAGCAGGTATTTGAAAGTGACAGTTATTTCCAGACTAAACCCTTGAAGAAAGATGATGAAGTCCACAATTTTTTACACTTTATGCCTTGAGATTTAGACAATCTTGTACCGCATGCTATACAACACACACTGCAAGTGATAAGAGAAGTACTTCTTTTGCTCCACCTGTGATGTCACTTGATGACATCATCCGGTTGTGACAAACACTAAAGTTTGTGCACTGTGGTTATCAGATTCTCCCACCTTGGTCTCAGTTCCACTTGCCAGTTGTAGCACTCTGGCCCTGCTGTGGTATTCCAAACCATTACCTTTTACTTTAAACTCTTAATATGTCTCCCATAGATAGATAGATCTATCAATAGTCAGACAAGCAGTTAATCTGTCCACTGACATATCTTATGTTGCTTCTAACCACAGTCTTTTGTCTCTCTTTTCTGTTACAGCAAGCCTTATAAAAAGTATCCTCCTATTTTTTCCTCTATATTTTCTCCTAATTATCCCCATGCTACAGTAACACAGTTCTCAATTTTAGGAATTACTTTGCCTGTCAAACTCAAGGACTACTTATTGCTTGACTTCTCTGACCTCCAAAACAACCAAAGCAACTTCTTGAAACTATCTTCATATTGTTGGGGTTGGCCTTCTCTTTCCCATACCCTTGAAGCCTCCTTAATGTGGGTATTGCCTAAGATTCTGCCTTCAGGCTTGTCTTCTACTCAGCCTGTGCATGCTTCCTGGTGATCTCACCCATATCTGAGGTGTCACTAGGTCAGTGACTTCCAAATATGTAGCTTTAGCTCACATTTAAGCTGCCACCAAAAGTATATATATATATATATATATATATATATATATATATATATATAATCTCAAACTCAACATATCTGAAAGTGAATTTTGCAGCTTTCCTTCCAAATCAACTACTCTTTTTGCATTACACTTTTCCGTGGAAACCATCACCATCTATCCATTCCGCACGCTTAAGACCCAGGTGTCATCCTCGACTCTTGGGTACCTCCCACACCTAATTCTGCAGACGTTGTCTCTCTCCTCTCTTGTATCTGTCTCTATCCCTAGGTGCTTTTGCTTTCATAAGGGCTGTCATCATTTTTCCCTTTGAATTTACCATATTGGACTATGCCATGTCCATGACTTCCTTTCCATATGCTCTCTGCCTAGAGTGTCTTGTTACTCCATCTATATCCTTGACATTTTCCATTGTCCTTTGAAGAAGATAATAACTAAGTTACTGATTCTCAAAGTGTGGTCTCCAGACCAGCAGTAACAGCATTATCTGGGAACTTGTTAGAAAATTCTTAGGTACCATCCCAGACTTACCGAGTCAAAAACTCAGCATGAAGAACCAAGCAGTCTGTGTTTTAACAAGAATTCTGATGTACAGAATTCTGATGGCTTAGGGCAGGATTTGGAAACCTTTTTCTGTTTGAGTCCATATAGCAAATATTTTAGGTTTTTAGGCCAAAAGGCAAATAAAAGGATACCATGTTGGTTCTTATATAATGAAACAGAAAGACAAATGTCCACAAAATTTTTATTGATGAAATTCAAAACTTTATTTGTGGACATAGAAATTTGAATTTTATATAATATTCACATATCATGAAATATTAATCTTCTACTGTTTTAAAAACTATTTAAACATATAAAAACTACTCTTAGCTGATAGCTATACAAAAAAAGGCAGTGGTTGAGATTTGGCCCACAGGCTGTAGTTTGCCCACTCTTGACCTACCTTTAGCCATTGCTAGGTCCCACCAGTCTTCTGTTTATCAAAGCCTTGAACATCTTGTTTACTTTTTAGTCATTCGTTTATGTGTCCCTCTTCTTCACCACATCTTAATCTCCTTGAGGACAGCAATTACATTTTATTAATCTAAATGTCATCGACAAAATGTATAGTCCTTGGCTTAGTAAACATTTGTTCCCTGGGTGCAGCACACCAGCATGGCACATGTATACATAGGTAACAAACCTGCACATTGTGCACATGTACCCTAGAACTTACAGTATAATTTAAAAAAAATTTTGCTCCCTTGATACAGGAAAGAATGAATACATTGGAATGTATAGATTGCCATTTTTTTGTGAATCTTCCACCAATTTATTTGACATGTTTCTTAACCTTTAAATATTTGCTTTTGCTTGTAGAAGTTTGTTAGTTTGCTTGCTTGCTTGTTCCTGCCTTATAAATATCCATAGGTAGGAATTTATTTTATTTGATTCTCTTCCTCCTTTTAAGGATATCTCTACTTCCTCTCAGTCTTTAGTCCACATCAACTGCAAAACAGGAGGCTTTTATTGTGGGTGCCCTTTTTGTCAGTTAACATTTCATCGTTTTTTTCTGAAGAAGAAGAAGAAGAAATGGATATTGACTGTTTGCCATGCTTGGAGTTTTAACTTAAGGTTATTCTTACTCTTGAAAACCTGCTGCCACCAGTTTTACAGTTTCACTGAACTTCTTAATCACAGCCTATGTGTTTTTATCACACCACTATTTTTGTTTAACTTTTTGTTTGGAAATAATTTTAGGGTTACAGAAAAGTAGCAAAAATAGTACAGAGAGTTCCCATACTTTATACCCAGCTTCTTCTAATGTTATGATTTTACGTAGCCATATTAGGATTACAAAAAAGCCGGGAATTAACATGGATACAATGCTATTAACTAAACTCCAGACTTTATTCAGATTTCTGAATTTTTTCTCCTATGAATGTCTTTCCCTATTCTAAGATCTTCACAGTATTGCATTACATTTAGGTTTTGTATCTTTTTTACATTTATTTATTTATTTATATATTTATTTTAGAGGTGTAGGGGGAGTTCTCACTATGTTGTCCAGGCTGGGTCTTGAATTCCTGAGCTCAAGCAATTCCCGTGCCTTGGCCTCCCAAAGTGCTGGGATTATGGGCCTGAACCACCACGCCCAGCCAGCATTGGTGGTTCAGTGGTTTTGTATCTTCTTACCCCAATCTATAACAGTTCCTCAATCTTCCCTGTCTTTCAAGACACTTTTGGAGAGTGGTACTCAAATATCTAGTAGACTGTCTCTAAATTTGGGTTTGTTTCTAATATTTTATCATGATTAGATTGAAGTTATGTGTTTGGGGCAAGAATAAAACAAAAATAATATGCCTTTCCCAGTGCATCATGTCAGGAAGCAGACAATGTTCATAGATCTTATTCTGGTGAGGTTGAACTTAATCTCCTGGCTGAGGTGGTATCTACAGGCCCAGCATTTTATTTAAGGTGATCTCACTGCTGTTGAAGTGACTCTTTTTTTTGTTTTTTTGGTTTTTTTTTTTTTTTGAGACGGAGTCAGGCCGGGCATGGTGGCTCATGCCTGTAATCCCAGCACTTTGGGAGGCCAAGGTGGGCGGATCACCTGAGCCCGGGAGTTTGAGATCAGCCTGACCAACATGGAGAAACCCTGTCTCTACTAAAAATACAAAATTAGCTGCGCGTGGTGGCGCATGACTGTAATCCCAGCTACTTGGGAGGCTGAGGCAGGAGAATCACTTGAATCCGGGAGTCAGAGGTTGCAGTGAGCCCAGATCTCGCCACTGCACTCCAGCCTGGGCAACAAGAGTGAAACTCCGTCTCAAAAAAAAAAAAAAAAAAAAAAGAGATGAGTCTCGCTCTGTCGCCCAGGCTGGAGTGCAGTGGCGAGATCTGGGCTCACTGTGAGCTCCGCCTCCAGGGTTCACACCATTCTCCTGCCTCAGCCTCCCTAGTAGCTGGGACTACAGGTGCCCACCACCATACCCAGCTAATTTTTTGTATTTTTAGTAGAGAGCGGGTTTCACCGTGTTAGCCAGGATGGTCTCCATTTCTTGACCTTGTGATCCACCCACCTTGGCCTCCCAAAGTGCTGGGATTACAGGCATGAGCCACCAAGCCTGGCCTAAGTGACTCTTAAAGCATTCTGATATCAAACCTAATCCTTAGTTGTAATCCAGTGTGACAGAAAAAGACCATTAAAAGCAAACAAACAAACAAAAAACAAATGCAAGAACAAAAACCTAAGCTTGAGTAACATGATATATGGTTTCAACAGTTAGCAAAGGCATTTTTTGGAATAAAAATAAAATAATTAAGCCAAAGTTTAAATAATAGGAATTTGGTATAATTTATTGATTTAGACATATGGTGCTGAGAAAAATGGAAATTCTCTGCCCATATTTATCAAGGTGTATCAAGGTTTAAGCTGGACCCTTTATCTGTTCATTCTCTGTTCACACTGAAAAAAACATATATTAAGAATTAGCTTTTTTACTTCATAATTGCAGAACACTTTGTTTCTCTTTTAGGTAGCTGGAGTGAAGGAACGGATAAGATTATAAAGGCAGAAGCTTAGTGGTCGATAGGCGGTAGTGAGAAGAACTTTGTGGGATGGAGCCATGTTTAGGAAATTGAGTGACAACTTTTAGTCTGCATTTCACTATTCCATATTGGAATACTGCGAGAGTAACAATGGCACTTTGAGTTTGAAGGTAAATTCAATAAATAAAATAATAATAATTTAGGCCAGGCACAGTGGCTCATGCCTGTAATCTCAGCATTTTGGGAGGGTGAGGTGGGAGGGTCACTTGAGCTAGGAGTTCAGGTCTAACCTGGGCAACATAGGGAGGCCCTCCCCGTCTCTACCAAAAAAAAAAAAAAAAAAACAAAATCCAGGTGTGGTGGTACATGCTTGTGGTACCAGTTACTTGGGAGGCTGAGGTGGGAGGATCACTTGAGCCCAGGAGGTTGAGGCTGCAATGAGCTTTGATCATACCACTGCACTCCATCCTGGGTGACAGTGAGACCCCATCTCCAAAACAAGAACAAAAACAATAAAAAATCCAACAATTTAAGGCATTCATTCTTTATCTACTCACATATTGATATATAACATGTATGTAAGCTCTGTATTCATAGCTTGTCATAATGAAGTTGGTTATATTTAAGAAGAATTTTCAGTGGAATTTCTAATTGATTCTTTTTTAATTAATTTATTTAGACATGTGCTGATTGATCACCTACAATGTGGCTAGTGTTGTGTCAGGTGCTATTTCCTCTAAGAAGGCAGAAAATATTTCATGGATAAGAATTAGGAACATCATCTGTCCAGTACACTTTATACAATTTTCAGTTTAGCAATTATTTTGTAGTTTACTTAGTAGCTGTCTCCCCTTTGCTTTGAATCCTAAACCCCTCTCTTTTCATTTTTATATCCCAAGCATCTGCTCTTAGCACAGTTAAATCCCTGCAAAATAGCCGTAACTTGAGTTAAAAGGAGGGAGATGTGGAGGGAAGAGCATATGCAAAGATTCGATGCTATGAGAAAGCTCAGCATGTTTGGAAGCCTATAAGCAGTTCATTCCTGGTGGAGCTTGGTTGGGAGGATGGGCAGTGAAGTTGGAGAGATGGTCAGGGGAATGAATAAGAGGTGCCTTGCATGCTGTGCAAATGCATTTAGACTTGATCTGCACGTGATAAGAAGCCATTATGGCCAGCCTACTAATATCTGTCTCATGGGAGCTGCATCACCATAATAAGAATAAAACCTGATTTTTGGATCCTTGCAGGCATTGGGGCAGGCAGTTAGTAACAGGATTGGAAGTGTGGAATATAAAGTGTAAGAAAAGAGACTTCTCCCCATTTCTGAGCACATAGCCAACTCCAGGAAACATTTAAAATAGGCATAGTTTGCCTCAGCCTCTTGTCCCCTCTTGCTCTCCCTTCCTCTCTCTGCTGGTGTTCCCCACCCTTAGCCCTTCCCTCCTGCCCTGACATCTGCCTGCTGCACAGGTAGGTACCACCTTACTCTTTTTTCTGCCACAATTCAGGCAATGCGACGTCAGTTTAAGGGCATCTCTTCTAGATTCCAGAAAAAAAAAAAAAGGGTGGAGCTGGGAGAGAAAAGGTGGAATGACTGATAGTCACATTCTAAGAATTTCCTTACTTTTCTAAAGAGGATACTTGTAATCCAAAACAAAACAAACAAACAAAAGAAACCTAGAAAAGGTGGAATGACTGATAGTCACATTCTAAGAATTTCCTTACTTTTCTAAAGAGGATATTGTAATCTAAAACAAAACAAACAAACAAAAGAAACCTCATAGTCAGAGGAATTTCAGGCAGTGAGTGTAATAGATTGGAGTAAAATGTATCTGAACGTGAAGGAGGAAATTCTAAGGTTTTAATGGAAGGAGAGAAGATTCCATGGTCAGATTCCCAAGCTCTCTGTACTTTCCACAACTTTTCTTTCATATCCCACAGATACTCTAAACAGCTTAAAATTGAATCTGAAACACTCATTTTTTTTTCAACTCCTCACACCCTGTATAAATTTAACGATTATTTCCAGACCAAAATGATTGTTTTAGAGGAGACCCAGGAGTTTTTACTAATAGCAGTTGTTAAGAGCAGAAAGGAGCTTTTTGTAGGGGCAGAGGTGGAGGTTGGGGGAAGTTTGGAGCATGGGTGATTAGAAATGTAGGATTTGCAATGACAGGATTAGAGTCAAGGCTTCTTCAGAGCGATCACATTCTTACATGGAACTTTCATAAATTAGGTTAAAAATAAAATGTAATCATTTGCAATTCCAAGGCACCAAATAATCTTGGATACGTTTTGTTTCGCATTTTGGTGAAACAGTTACTTGTCTCCGTTATTGCAGAGAAGAATCAATTGGATTTGTCTAAAACTCTTCTATTCCAAATTATAATTTTCATAAGCTGTTTTCTGTACATTAGTGGCTAAATATTAAAAACTTCTGTTATACTGTGTGTTTATAATTGTGATAATTTAATGATTTCTCCTTTTATCATCCCTTTTGAACCCAATACATAGCATATTATTTATCCTACTGACTAGCATGCTAAATATCGGCATGAATAGAATATGACTTTAGAAATTATCGATACAATACTTTTTTTTAAACGTAAGATAAGGAAATACCTTGCTTAAATTTGAGAATAAACAGAATAGTTGAATGTCAGTATAAACCAAACACTTAAGAAATTATTCTAAATAATGTAAGTGAATGGCATTTTTATATTTACAACTAAATGAGGTGTCATTTCTGGCCTGTATCCCTTCTGTGTATGTTATAATTTTTTCCAAGAACAGTTACATCTCTGATGTTTGAAGAATCTTGACAGCTATTGAAAGTAAACAACTACACTGAGATTTTTATTCCTGAAAATAATAAAAAGAGACAGAACGTTAGGTTTTAAGAAGTGATAATATATGGGTTATTAGCTAAGTATATTGTAATGGAAATTTAATTGTATAGTATTGAAGAAAATACTATAATCAAAAAACATTCTGTCTAAACATAAACCTATGTTGTTTTAAATTTTTTTGTCTTAAAAAAACCCATAGAAGTGTTTGCATCAATAAATAAAGATATTTTATGTGTGTACTTTAGTTAAAATAGTCCTTGAAATTCCAATTTAAAGAATCCTGATTCAGACGAAAGCTAAGGCAAATATGTAGATGTCTAGTACCTTAAAAAGACCATAAAGGTTATTGAAATTGAAAAACGTAAAGAAGAAAGATTTAGTCAAAATTAGTTAAGCATCTGTTTACTTCTATAATGATTTCAGGAGAAACAATTAATAAAAGCTCAAGATAAAGTGATTTTTTAAATACAAATTATCAAATACAGACGTGTAAAGACAATTGTACTTATTGTCACTATAACAGTTCCAATTTGTAGTGCCCAACCCTTAGAGTTTTCCTATTTCTTTTGAAAGGTGTTCTGGTAAGAACATGTTTTGATTGTGAAGTTCAAACAATATGAATTTACTTTTCTCTTTTTTTTTTTTTTTTGAGATGGAGTCTTGCTCTGTCGCCCAGGTTGCAGTGCAGTGGCGCCATCTCAGCTGGCTGCAAACTCTGCCTCCCAGGTTTAAGCGATTCTCCTGCCTCAGCCTCCTAAGTAGCTGGAATTACAGGCACCTGCCACCACACTTGGCTAATTTATTTGTATTTTTAGTAGAGAGGGGGTTTCACCATGTTGGCCAGGCTGGTTTTGAACTCCTAACTTCAAGTGATCCACCCGCCTGGGCCTCCCAAACTGCTAGGATTACAGATGTGAGCCACTGCGCCCAGCTCAATTTACTTTTCTTTTTTTTTTTTCTTTTCTTTTTTGAGACTGAGTCTCACTCTGTCACCCAGGCTGGAGTGCAGTGGCACCATCTTGGCTTGTTGCAACCTCTGCCACCTGGGTTCAAGCAATTCTCATGCCTCAGCCTCCCGAGTAGCTGGGACTACAGGCATGCACCACCACTCCTGGCTAATTTTTGCAGTTTCACCATCTTGGCCAGGCTGGTCTTGAACTCCTGACCTCGTGATCCACCCGCCTCAGCCTCCCAAAGTGCTGGGATTACAGGTGTGAGCCACCATGCCCATCTTCTTTTCTTTATGATAAGTTAGTAATGAATTTTTAATTGACTTTTATTCAGAATAAACTATATTATAAAGAATCTCCTATATCTCTTTGAAATTTTCAAACATATGTTAAACAGGTAAAATAAACACAATGTTTTAATTCAACAGAACATTAATATATATTCTTTAGATGATTTCTGATTAATCACCATTTATGGAATTATACATCAAAGTTTACTGTATATAAAATAAATATACATTTTTACTTACATTAAGAACACAAAAGATGACATTAAATAAAAATTCAAGTAAAAGTAGATATGACAATAAAAGTATACACAAATTAGATGTTCAACTTTAAAGTAAGATGGTTCCTCAAAAGAGAAAGAGCAAGTGATATATTAAGAAACAATTACATATTGACTTGGAAAATTATTTTGAGGATAAGTTTTTTTTAAAATATATGAATTATTGAAGAAAGGTTCAGTTTATAATATGATAGAGTTGATTATACCCATTTTGAAAGCATGGGAAGTAAGGATAGATTAGAAAAGAATATCAATTAAAAAACAGATGCAATCAAAATGTAGAAATTGAAGATAAGCATGCTACAGATATTGAGGGTTGAAACTGAAGAGTTACTAATTAATACATGGGAGAACTTAAGGAGGTCAGGAAAAAAGTCACCATTTATGGGGAAAGTAGTGGCTATCCCTAAAAAAGAAAAGAAGGAGAAGAAGAAAAAAAGACGATCTTGGTAATTATAGACCAGTCAGCTTAGCTTTGATACCAAAGTAGATACTAGAGCAAATCGTCAAACAATCAATTTGCAATCATCTAGAAAAGCAAAAGTTAGTGGGTAGCAACCAACATGGTTTTGTGAAGAGCAAATTGTGCTAGGCCAATTTAATTTCCTTCTATGATAGAGTGACAGGCCATGTAGATAAGGGCAAAGTAATAGATGTAATCTATCCGGACTTCAGTAACGCTTTTGATTCCTCTCCACATGACATTCTCATCAACAAGCAAGGAGATATGGTCTAGACCATACTTGGGTTAGGTGAGTGCACAGTTGTCTGTGGATTCATACTCCACGGTTGATTATCAGCTACTAGTCATCATCCACAGGGGCCATATCAATTGGCTTACGAGCAGGTGGTATCATTAATAAGACCAGTTATGTTTCTGTTGATGAAGATGGAATTGGACTGGTATAGAGGCATGTAGATAAGCCAAATCCCTTTTATACCAAAAGGAGAGAGTCCAAGTTCCAGGAAATATTTAGCAGCATCTGGTGTCTTACGGGCACATCTAAAAGGTGACAGTCCAGAGACTGAATAACAAGCAAATAAAGCTATCAGTTTTACTAATTATTATTCAGTCTTAACTGTTGTTTCAAGGTGTGTAAGTGATATCAGGTAACTATTGGATTCTGAAAGGCCCCCTGGAAATAAATTATATTCATAAACTCTATAGAAACCACACATAAAGGGAGCAACTCGAAGAGGGTAGAAGAGGGCTTTTATATTAATCAGGAAGGAATGTTGATATGTAATGGTCCAGAAATAACTGAATGGAGCACCTTTATCCTGACCTAGATTGTAGATTTGAGAACATTTAGTTTACAGATCATATGCTGGTGAGCAATAATAAAATTTGTTAACTATGTAGATAAGAATAAATTTCCAAACAATTTTGACATTTTGGGAAAATAGTCTATGGAAAAAAACAAGATAAAGACCATGGGAATGAGACAGATAAAAGATAGGAAAAAAGACTGGCCTGGCTCTATGCATTGGGAACAGACTCCAAAATATCAGTGAGCCACACTTGATATCTGTGAGCAGGGTTATGTGATATTATTAATGAACTAACCAGAGTGTGCCATGAAAGCTTAACATACTTTAAAGTATTTGTAGAGAGAAAATAATAAACACTATTAGCACATAGTTCCAAGCACCCTTAAGGAAGGTACTATTTACTCACATTGATAAAGTCTTATTTAAGCTATTTGACTAGAAAAGGTATGTGGTAGAGGAGGAAAAGTGTTTTTATTATAACTGACCCTAACAATGACCTAGAAAACAATTTGAAATGATTGAATGATGAACTTGATTCCTTGGCTTGCAGTAGAAGAATTTTAAGGTTTATTAATCACTGCAGTCGCTGCTGGTATCCATTCTGTTTTGTGGCATCATTTGAACCCCATGATTTCATGAATAACATTCCCCTGCAGATAGTTGGTTGGAGCTGCCCTTATTTTTTAAATGTTTGTATTCTGTGGCTTGTCAAGAAGTAAGGAACAGGGCTTTCTTAGAGATAACTCCCCTAGGATTAAATCCAAGGGAGTGGTTCTTAAACATTTTTCTTCCACAACTCCCTGAGAATTCCTGCCAAGAGCACTGCCCATTTCATCCCTCTTAATTGCATACAGGAAGACAGAAGAGGATATTATCATCTTGTCTTTATTTAGTCTAGGGGAACACAAGATTGCTCAGAGAATATGGTTGACTGAGAGTTGATAAGCAGCAGCAGGAGCAGAGGAGAAGTGGAAGAGGTTTTAAGATAGACAAATGCTGCCATCACCATTAACAAGTATGACAAACCTTGGCTCCATGTCCCTCACATGATTGGGAACTTCCTAGTGATGTGTCAAAAAATTACACTTCCTCAGTTTAAGAAACTCTTCAAAGAGAAATCGCAGAAGTGATGGCATCAGAACTTCAACAGCCTTCTTAAATTGGATGTCATTAAATAAAGCAGGCCATCGCGCTTTTTTAGTTTGACTTCTGTGATAGATTTTCAGTTCCTAGCCTGCGTGAAAAAACACTGTAAGTTTAATAGATGTGGCTATAACATGCAGACAATAAGGAATGTTGTGAAAATGCAAAGTTAGTTACTTCTTGAGGATCAATGTGTAGATTTAGCACGTTAACTTGTATTTCGCAACCATGTTCTGACACCGTATAATAATGATTTCTAATTAGAAATAGATGTGCTTATGTTAACATGCCTTGTTGAGTCCTGAGGCTTATTAAGTTTACTTGGGTTCCTAGGGAAGGGAAAAATTAAGAGAGAACAAGTTTAAAGTACCTAATTGTATTTCCCATAAATTATTGTGGGAATAGTATTTTCTTGTTGATGAATTAGATAATCTACAATTACAATTTCAAAAAGAAAAAAGTATTAATAAGGAATGATTACCAGTTTTTTTCTGAAACAAACATATTTGACTATTCACAAAAATGTCAGTCTAATTTGTATTATGAAAGGACCCCAGATTAGATTGCAAGGCACACAGAAAATTACATGGGTTTGGAATACAGATGTAGGTGTGAATCCTGACTCTTGACCACCATTACTTCAGTTCTCTGAGCCTTCGATTTTCAGCTGTAAAATGAAAGAAATTGTATCTACTCTGCAAGGTTAGCTGCTGTGAGAATTAAAAGATGTAATTTAAGGAGCAAACTTGGTATAATCAAAGTGCACACACAGTAGATCGTCTATAAATGGTTACTAGTACTACTAGTAGTAATAGTATTAATAGCACTTTGTTACTGTAAAAAGACCAGCAATAGGAAGTTTAAGAACTGCAACTTTGAGTCACATTGATTTAGGTCTAGAGAAACACACACAGCACATAGGGGAATGCGTCAGTCATTTAGTTTATTTCTTCATTCATTCACTACATAGATACAAACTCAAAATAATGTTTGTCTTAGGACATTTTTAACTTACATGGGAAAATAGCTCCCAAAGCAGCATATTAAAACATACTTTTTTTTTTCTGTTGACATTCTAATAAAGTCAGTAAAATAGAAATACAGTATTTGGCTTTTACTGTTTCTGTAATTAGTTAAATGCTATATTACCTCGCTAAAAACCATGTAAGAAAGATTCAAGTATTCTGCTACATTTCAAATATTATTACTACTCCTTTAAGAAAATTCGTAATAGTTAAGCTAATGATTAATCACTGGTAATCAATGAGATATATATAGCCAATTTATACACAAAAGGCAATAAAATGCCATACCATAAATTCATTTTATGGCTATTGTATAAAGAAATTTCAGTTTCAAATTCCAATAATGGTAAAATATGACATAAAATGTATGAAGAATATTTTAGCCTGTGTTTGATGGAAATATTTTATGGAGGAAAAATATATTGTAACTCTTTTTTTAACAATGATATTTTTAAAGCAGGAATAAATCTGTTTCCAAATCATACACAATGAAGAAGCAAAAACAGTGCCTTCCCCAAAGTCAAGTGTAAAGAAGCACTGTAAATATCATGAATAAATGTCACCTCCTCACAGTATTAATAAATAAGGAAATAAAGCATGTCTCTTATCTTTTTTGGCATAATTTAAGATAGTTTATTATTTTGGAGCAGCAAGCAGTGAGCACTTGTTAGATACCATCATTTGGTCACAGATTTGTAAATATATCAATTCTGTGCTGAGAGAAGGATTATACTCAACCTACTCCACTGAAAATAATTACAGACATATTCATAAATGTTTTGAACATATGAATTTCATCAAGTTTTCATCTACATACACATGCACAGAGTTTACTATTAGGAGTTATTTTCCAAGTGCTTTGTAACACTTGACTCTAAATTGTTTCATTTATCAGGTAGAATCTTCTAATTCAGATTATTTCTTAAAAATGAAATATAATATTTTAAAAATTACTTTGTATTTGAAACTTTTACTTTCCCAGCTAACCAACCTTGCTCAAAGATACCTTCCGTCGGGAACACAATATTTTGTTTTATTGTCTTATTGGTGTCAAAATGGAAATTTGGGAAATGACATTAAATAAAATTGCATTCATGGTGTTTTTTTACTTATAAGAAACATTATCTGCAAAAGATGTATTCACTTATTTTTCAGTAAGTATCGTATCTAAACTCGAAAAGAAATAAAATCATATACATTAACAGGGTTGAAAGTAGATACCTTGCCCAGCAATTTGGGAGGCTGAGGCGGGCGGATCACGAGATCAGGAGATCAAGACCATCCTGGCTAACACGGTGAAACCCCGTCTCTACTAAAAAATACAAAAAATTAGCCAGGTGTAGTGGCGGGTGCCTGTAGTCCCAGCTAGTTGGGAGGCTGAGGCAGGAGAATGGCATGAACCCAGGAGGCGGAGCTTGCAGTGAGCCAAGATTGCGCCACTGCACTCCAGCCTGGGCCACAGAGCCAGACTCCGTCTCCAAAAAAAAAAAAAAAACAAAAGAAAGTAGATCCTTTGAAACAGCATAATAAGAGATAATTTTGGAAATGTAGAGAGAACAGATGGATCTAGGAGTGTCAGACCAAGGCCAGGTTTAAAGTTCATGCAAACAAATGTTTTGTTATTAATAAGATGATTTGATAATGTTAACCTAAAGATCCTGAATACAGTTATCTAAGATGAAAGAATATCTACCTGCATTCGTATCTATGTCTTAACACGTGTCATGTGTCTCTCAATGCTGCAGACCACACAAATCAGAGACTAAGAGTGATCTCAGGTTAGGGGTGAGTACTTGTGTCTATCATTTAACAATGTGAGAATTTCTTCATGAATCCTTTTATTCAAACATGAAGAAATTATTATAGTTAGGCAATCTTACATATTGGGAAGGAACGTGGTGTTTGGTTCTATGTCTAGACTTTGCATGTAACCACCATAATGATTATGGGCAAGTCACTTAATCCAGTTGGGCCTCACTTTATTCATCAGAATGTTTTGGTAATATTACCTATCTCAAAGTGTTGCATGTGAAATTCAAATGTGAAAATACAAATGGCAACACATTATAAACTGTAAAGAGCAATATGAATGTCATGTGCCCTTAGGCACAATGAAGTAGCTTTTATTGGAATAGAGTGTAATGCTTAATGCCCTAATAGAATTATACTGTTTCATTCTCAGGTGGTTTCACTACAGTGTGCAAAAACGGCCCAACCAATAGCATGACTGTCTTATTTAGTCTTGGGGAAAAGTTGTGCTTGTACCCCTGGAGAGGAGAAAACAGTAACCCCACCACTCCCTCCATCATCACTGCCCTATATAATCAGAAAACTGAGGTAGAATGGCGTTGAGAGTAATTGAAACTGATGAGTAGGTTAGGCTGATGGCAGTCTTTCAGCCGTGGTGGAAAATTAAGAATTTCCTTAAATAGAAACAAGGTATAAATAAAATTTATTGGAGAAGAAAAAGTTCTTTGTCAAGGAAGGAAAGAAGGGGTAGTTTCCAGGCTGCTAGGAGTGCCAAGGAAAGAAAAGGTCTTCACTGAGAAGCTGCAGGATTCCAGATGCTTCCAAGAAAATCTTACACCCACCTACTATTACAGTTTAACGATTAATCACGTAACATTTTGAGAGAGTGTCCAGTTTCTTTTGGAGAATACCTCACCGTTTACAGCAGCAAAATCCCATCTGATAACAAGAGAGGTCCTTCTGGCAGCTGCTAGAGTACCAGTCCAACCAGTAACAGTTTCCTGGCCGTGTCACTAATTCCTGCTGGAAACTTATCAGCTTCTGTCTCTAGCAGAAGAGTCCCGCCTGATTAAGAGAAGAGGCTCATCTGCTGGTAGCCGACCCCTACCCCCAACCTCCTCAGTTTATCAGCTTCTGACCAGTTCATAAATCAGTCTGTGGGATTTTTTTTTTAGGGGCATGGGCTGGGGGTTGTTTTGTTTTATCAAAATGTATTTCTCTCGTAACAATTAATACTTTAATAAGAGACCTTAACCAGGAATATTAGGAAGTTAGTTAGAGACGTCTTGCAGGCAGGCGCCTCCTCCCTTGTCAGTGACAAGGTAAGGTAATCCTATACACAGGCTGCTATTGTGAGCTGAGAAACTGGCCTCCTTCACTGCCAGAGACCAGATGCACCTCTTCTATCCTAATCTGTAAACGACTTAAAGGAGCCTTATCTCGGGGCTCTTCGGCTTCATTTCATGCTTGATTTACTTTAATTTGTCTGATAGGGCACAAGGATTTGGAGACAGCCCATCTTTCTGCAGAAAACGTTCAGATTTTTTTTTTTCCCCCTCGCATTGTTGTGTTGGGGTTTTGGATTTTTTTTGAAAAAAAAAAATTTTTTTTTTAATGTGGAAGAAATCTTGCTCCAGTGCAGCAAGCTGCTTGAGTGTGTTTAGATTTAAGCTACCCCAGCAGAAAAGAGTTTGTGAAGTGGTGTGATTGTGTGATGGGCCCCATTTACATTGAAATCACATTATGCGATATATCAGGTTCCTGAAGGGAGCGGTGCAGTAGAGCGCCGGGCCCACAAGATACTTTGAAAGGCCTATATATAGCAGCAACAATTGATAGGAGATTTTACAGGAGACTTTATAAATATGTAAATAGGTGTTATCTGATTGGGTTCTGTGGCTACACATCTGTACCTCAAAGGAAGCAGAGCTGTGAGAACTACCAGGAAAACAGTAGTTTGCATTCTAAGTGAGTCTGAGAAATAGAAATGTTTTACAGGTTGACAGCAGGTCAGGGTGGAGGCACTTTGCATACCTTGGAGGGTAAGCTTCCCTGCAGTGGAAGGGATCCCTTCCCTCTCCCAGAAAGGGAGACTTTCCACTCACCGAGTTTCATTTGTTTTATGACAGTGCTCAGATCGGTAGCTGTTGACCTTTCACCCTTCTTGTTATTTCTTTAAATTGTTCATGCGATATGGTGCCAGGGGGAATTGCTCGTAATGTTTTTTTGCATTTTAAAAAATGTACTTGCAGTGACCCAAGGGAAAGAGAATAAAGTCTTTGGTACATTGATCCCTTGATTAGTTATTTCCTAAATGAAAATGGAAATACTATTAAAGCAGTAATAATGTTACATCTTAATAGTTGAGGAGTCAATAAATGGCTCCCATGAGCTTCATTAAGGTTCTTAATGAAGCCATTTTTGATGGCTGAACTTTACATTATCCTTTTCTCTGTTCTCTCCTCACTTTTTATCATTTTTTTAACCTAGGAGTCATTTAAGGAAGTGAAGTAGTAGTTATGATCTGTTTCACAGATTTTGTTTCATATAAATATCATTGCTACTGCTAAAATAAAGTTAATGCTATTTTGTGGTAAATTTTTATGCAGAAGATAAAACACGAGGATTTATTTTTCAGATAGGACATATTTAAAATAAAGTAGGCAATTTAAATCTGTATCACACTGATACGGTTAGCAGATATATTCCCCATCGATTTCATATTCTTGTATGTCGTGGTCATCTACACATCAGATATATATATATTATAGTGATTTGAAATACCTCCTTCACCTAGTCCCAAAGCAGTAATGGAGATTAACCAGTCCTAGTTCAACTGTAGTTTTCCCCAACATTTAATATTGAGCTGTTCATACCCTTTATGTGGTCTTACCCTTCTTTTTCCTTTGCTACAGCAGAACCATGATTACAGCCTTGTATATCTAAATAGATGGTTCTGGAGACTGTTAAAGAGCCAAGTCACCTCACTCCCTATATGAACTCTGGGATTAAAATAGTTTTTGAACAATTTACATTTAAAAAATCCAAGAAAAGCAAGAACAACTTTATTTCTGGGAAACACTACTTGCGACTATGTTCGTCGGGCTACTTAGAAATATCAGGGCAGGGGTCTGTGCATGTTTTTTTTTTTTTTGTTTGTTTGTTTGTTTCCAAGGAATTGCTTCAATTTGGAATCTTCTCTTGGAGATGATTCACTATAATGAAATGATAGCAAACACCATTCAGTCATGAAATAAAGTGACTGATTATGGTTAAAATATGCAAAAGGTATTTTATCTCTCTGCTTCTGATCTCCCCCCTTCCCTAATTCACAGTAAAGGTCTCTGGGTGAAATGGCATGATTTAAGGTGATTGGAATTACTTTCTGATTCTTGTGGAGAGGTTGCAAAACACCTCTGACAAGAATTGATTGATTATTCAAGTCAACAGTTGTTTCAAAGACTCCTTCCAATGACAATATAATAATAAGCTGTTGGTTAGGAGATACTGGATCGTGGACTCAGGCACTAGGGTGGGGATGTGAGGGACTGGGTCTGCCCCCTGAAACCTCAGGAATGCTCATCACTTCATATTCCACAAAGAGTGTCTCCAAAGAGGAAGATTGAGAAAGTCTTAAAATATGTTCATTGCTTTAGAAATTTTACCCTTTTCTTCGGGTTTCACATATTCACTTCAGAGTGCTTGGGTATCTGTGGTCAGTCTCACAGGCAGTTCCTTGGTGTTGAAGACAACAGGTCTGCAGGCAGTATGGGACCCCTGATTCAGGCCTGCCCATAGCACTCAGGAATGCTGTCTCTGGACCAGCCACTGAATCTTCCCACTGAGCAAGAATGGCCTTCAACACTGGCTGGGCATGGCCAGACTGGCATGTAGGAAGTCTCTATTGTTGATGCTCTCCAACTCCCTCATCCTTCAGCAGCTTCCACTTCTGCTAGCTCCTTGCTCTGCCAGGTGCTAATGTTCCCACCTTTCTTTCACTTTCTATCTTATAGACAAATCTTCTCCCAGGAAAGATTCCAATCAGCCTGTCCACACTGAGAGGTAAATAACCGATGATGTATAAGTTGTTCTCTCTTTACAGCCTATTTGCATTTTAGCAGGTTTCAAAACATAAAGGCAAAACAATTCCTGTTGTTGTAGTTGGGAAGTGGGTGTGCATTTCTCAGCTCTTCACCTAGATGGGGGCCCATGGCCAGAACCAACCCAAATTATGGTAGTGATTGTCATGAACCTTTGCTTTATTTTGACTTTATTATGGAGAACTCTGTTAAATGGACAGAATTATTTAATTTAGACACTTTCTGAACTCATCACATTGCTGATCCAATATTAACATTTTTTTGAATCATATTGGATGAATTGTTTTAGTTGGTATAAGTTTGGTACCAAAAAGTGAAATGATCTAATACAAGCTAGTAATTTATTTTAGAGGAAAAAAGCCTTTCTTTTGAGGTCACAACATTATACCCTGAACTCTTGATTACAGAAATCACTTGGTCAGTTCAGACCAAACCAGTAATCCGAAACCAGCAAGCCCATAGTTATGGTACTCAAGAGTGAACTTTCCTTATAAAAGGCACCACAGGTCAGACGGGGTGGTTCGTGCCTGTAATCCCAGCACTTTGGGAGGCCAAGGCAGGCGGATCACCTGAGGCCAGGAGTTCAAGACCTGCCTGGCCAACATGGTGCAACCCCATCTCTACTAAAAATACAAAAATTAGCCTGGTGTGGTGGCACATGCCTGTAATCCCAGCTACTCGGGAGGCTGAGGCAGAGAGTTTCTTGAACCTGGGAGGCGGAGGCTGCAGTGAGCTGAGATCATCCCACTGCACTCCAACCTGGGCCACAGAGCAAGACTCTGTCTCAAGAAAAGAAGGCACAACAAATGTATATTCTTGAAATGAGCTGAAGACATTGGGAGTCCTATTTAGACTAAATGTTTGGGCTGTTTGGAAAAATATTATTTATATTGCTTACATGTGAAGAGCATAGGTTTTGAAATCAGATGATCATGGGCTGTATCACAGCTTTGACCCTTGTAAACCAGTTGACCTTGGGTCTCAATTTTCTCTTCTATGAAATGGGAATGATAATGAGTACCCCCAACAGACTTACTAGGATTGAACGCTGTATTCTTTTGTAAAACGTTAAGCACCATATCTGATATGATGAAAACAGTCCATGAATAGTGGATATAGTAGTCATAATGTAAAAGATTAGTTTTATGCATTTTTTATCACTAGGTATTCAGTAGCCAATCATGTGGTATACATTCCTTTTTATGCTAGCTTTTAGTGGTCTTTGATTAATGGGTGGACTCCAGAAGTTTTATTTATGTTAAAGGGTGAATGTATCTCAAAAAGAACTGCAGAGAGAGAAATAAGCCCTTAAAAATTTCAATGATTTAATATGCATGGTTAACTTTATAAATGTCAGAGAAGGATATTGTTTGTTTTTCTGTAGATTAATTGGTCAAATAACTGTATCTTTGATATAAGAAGACAGTGGATTGCTTTTACCTTTGGAATTTGAATAGGAAAGATAGTACTTGGAGATTTTTATATTACCTTACATATCATGTGCCAGAAATACATGTATGTATATGTGTGTGTGTGTGTGCATGTTTCAAAATTTTTCTTTTTTTCACCTTTTAAATGTAGAAATAGCTTCAGTTTTCCCTTGTTAAGTCATGGCTTTGCGAGTCTTTAAAGGTATTATTCTAGTTTGTTTTAAGTGTTAACTCTACATGATCAATGGTTTACATTTACATGAAAAGCTGCTTTCACAATGAGTGAGTTTCAGTGGGCTCTTTAGCTCTTGTGTTTGTTGTTGTGGAATGGTGGGCCCAACGTGCAAAATAGCAGATAAATAAGGAAGACCTCTTTTAGAAATAGCATGAGTCAAATTTAGTAAATTACATTTTTCTTTAGATTGGACAGAATTTTCTACCCTAGATATTTTTTAAGGCCCTTTATGAATTCCAGCTTCTGTCTTTTCTTATATTTATGGTTTCACTAAAATCCTCAGGTAGCGAAATACCTGCACTCATGAATCATTTGCAGATAATAGTGGTTTAGACATTCTCTGTTCAAATTGATAATGGGTATCTGATCCAAAGCGATGCACATTTTTAAGGTCTATATAAGGAGCTCATGGGGGAAAAGTCCCTTTCTTTCAGATCTCATGTACATCATCACGTCAGTAGTTAGTATCCTAGATGTAGAAATGTAGAATAAGGCAAACTGGAGAGCTCTTCTATTGTTTGAGTCTCCAGATTACTTTATAAAAAGCACATCTACTCCAGACAGAATCCCTCTTTACTTTGTGCTATTAGCACTCTTGTGAAAGATGGAAGTGTACATTTGCATTTTTCTTTGTGCCTGCATTCTTCAAGTATTTGAATCAGTATTTATGAAATTGTCTTTTTGAAAAGTTATATTTTTAATTATAAAGGAGGAGATCTATGCTTTAAAAAGGTATTGAATTTGTTTAGAATATTTAAACATTTTATATGGTGCTAACATTCTATTTCATTAATGTATGGATTGGTTTATTTGAAGGATTTTCTAAGGGTGGAATACATGATTCACTTCAGGGAGTAATCTTGCTGTAATCACTCACTCTCATTCTGCAGAGTGCATAAGCTGCACCTTGGGAGCTGGTTGAAAACGTGGATTTTTGGATTATACTCACAAAGATTTGAAATTAGTAGGTCCGGAGTGTCTTTTTTTTTTTTTTCCCAAGATTAAGTGTCACTTTATGGCCCAGGATGGAGTGCAGTGGCATGATCTCAGCTCACTACAACCTTTGCCTCCCAGGTTCAAGTGATTCTCCTGCCTCAGCCTCCTGAGTAGCTGGGATTACAGGTCCCCACCATCACACGCGTCTAAATTTTGTATTTTTAGTAGAGATGGGGTTTCACCATGTTGGTTAGGCTGGTCTTGAGCTCCTGACCTGAAGCTATCCACCTGCCTTGGCCTCCCAAAGTGCTGGGATTACAGGCGTGAGCCACCGTTCCTGGTCGTGTCTTTTTTTTTTTTTTTTTTTTTTTTTTTTTAAATAAGGGAGCCAGATAGGCCTTAAAATACATCATTCACTCTCTGATGGAGATTTAAGCAGATAAATTACAGTGTCTAATGTATACATGTAACCTTGATGTATCTAGCATCAGTCCCACTTGTAGCCCAGCTGTACAGATGTCTAGAGTATATTGCGACTGAATGGACAGTGTGGATTCTTCACAATCTCCAGTCTCACACCCAGCTCTGTTGGTTTTTGTGAGAAGCCTCACTATAAACAGCGCATTGCTTTTCCTTGCCACAGTACTTGTTGTGTCTGCCTGAAGCACACTCTTCTCTCACCTCTTTTCTGAGCCTCAGGCCAATTATCAGCTACCCAGGGATGTCTCCTGTTACTTCCCTGAGGGTCTCCATTTTAGGAGCTTTCATCCTACCTATGCTCTTCTTTACAGCACTTGTCACAATTGCAATTTATGTCTCCCTGTGTGAATGTTTGAATTTTACTTGTCTTTTTCACTAGACTCAAAGCTTTTTTTGGTTTGTTTCTGGTTGCACGCAGTGAACTTAATATCGAGCCTGCACATAGTAGGCTCTTAATCAGTATCCATATGAATGAATGCATCAGAGTTAATCCTTCATCTGGCTTTCTGTTAGAGGTACATAGCAATTAAGGCTGTGAATTAACTTACTGACCTGTTAGTGTGAATGAATGTTTGAAGGACACAGGGTATAACATTATCATCTTTAGTAACTCGGGAAGCTTTAAAGGCCCTGGAAGGTAAGTGTTGAGAGGGGAGAGGATGTACACTAAACAAAATCTCTTGAACTTTCTGTTACAAGAAAAGTTAGAAAGTTACTGGAACTATTGAAGTGCCAAATATAATTAACCATGTATTAATTTCAAATAGGAAGATATGTTAAGATAAAGTTTTAGTAAATTCAGATTTTTCTCATGCAAATATTGCTTGTGGTTACTGGAAATGCTTAATACTAATGCCGCTTTCCATCCTCTCTTCAAGAGGACAAGAAGATAGGTATAAATAGGAGGATTGAGTGTTTATTGTGTGCTATGTGCCAGGCACTGTGCTTCTTATTTGCATGTAATTTCTCACTTGATCTTCACTACCCTATGAATAGCAAGAAGTAAGATTAAAAGCTCCAGGGAACATCCATCTACTCACTCAGTATCTTATTTTTTTAAGCCACTCTTTTGTTTTGCTTTGTTTTAGATTCCTAGGCCAAGATCTTTAGTGTCTACCCTGCATTCTTGTATTATTTAGAAACCTTTGTAAGAAATAACAAATCCTAGTATGAATAAAATACAGATAGTAATAATTATGGTTTACAGAAGTAAAAATGGCAAAGGATTATGATGCCCTTCAGGGTTGCAGGCTGTGGTTCTTTGCTGTCTCCAGGCTCTGCCCTACTTTGGGCTTTAGACTTATTCTTAGATTAGTTGCTCTCATGGACTCCGTGCAGACATTGGGGAGTAGGGGAGCTCTTCTCTCTAGGCAATTTTAAAGAAAATATGAACATTAACTCTGATTGCTCTGGCTTGAATTGCATGTCCACTTCTTGAACCAGTCATTGTGCAAGAAAGAAAAAACAACTTCTTTTTTTTTTTTTTTTTTTTTTTGAGATGGAGTTTTGCTCTCGTTGCCCAGGCTGCAGTGCAGTGGCGTGATCTTGGCTCACTGCAACTTCTGCCTTCCGGGTCTCCGGGTCCGAGCAATTCTCTTGCCTCAGCCTCCAGAGTACCTGGGATTGCAGGCGCCCACAACCAAATCTGGCTAATTTTTGTATTTTTACTAGAGATGGGGTTTCACCATGTTGGCCAGGCTGGTCTTGAACTTCTGACCTCAGGTGATCCGCCTGCCTCGGCCTTCTAAAGTGCTGGGATTGCAGGTGTGAGCCACCGTGCCCAGCCAAAAAGAATAAACTGAATAGTCTTAGTCATGTCCTGTCTGTTACCCCCCTTGAGACAGCAGGCAGTCAATTTGTCTTAAGCCACATAGAAATTGAATGCTCATGGGATGAGAAGGAATAGATTCTGGGAAGGCAGTGTGTGTGTTGGTTTTCTCTTGAAACTAATTATTAAAAGGAATGCAAGCAATGTTATAAGATAAATATATTTGGGGATAATTAGTATTTGAAAATTATGTTCTTATCTGGATATACTTTTAGATAACCCTGAATAGTGGTAGTTTTTAAAATATTTCTATTTTTAGTCTTCAAGAAGGTTGGTCTATTTACAGTTGAAATTGGACATTATTTAGGAAAAACACATTTCTGATGTCTCAGTCTGTCCTTAAGGTGGCCATGTATTCGGATGTTTATAATGATGAAATGAATAATTTATAGTACATGGAATAGTGCTACTGGACTAATTGCTTCCCTTTTCTTTTTTTGGCGAGGGTTGCTGTTCTGTATGTCTAATATGGTAATGCTATCATGGGTAGATATAATAGTTAAAATTTGTCAAAAGCAGACTGTGTGTCCAGCACCGTTCCAGAGTATTGTCTATAATTTCTGACACAAGCCTATAAAATAGGCACTAAATACTATCCTCACTTTCCAGGAAAAGAAAGTGAGGTCCCACAATTAGCCAGTGATAAAGTAAAAATGCCAACTCATGTCTTTTGCGTCTATAGCTCTTGCTCTAACCATAGTGTTATTTTCTGTCCAGGGTCTTAAAAATGAAAAGAATCTTCTATTCATCGTCTGAGTAACTTTCACTTACTTGTTGACTTTTTTCCTTTTGCTTCTGAAAACAAGATTTGTGGAACCCTTCACTACACTTCAGTAATTTACTAAAGAATAAAGAATATGGAATAGAGGACTTAAGCTTGTTCCGATATTTTCAGTAAACGGAAGTAGGGTTTATAACTATTATTACCATTGTCAAGGATAACAGTGGTCGAATCTTAAGTAACAAAATATCTTAATGGAGACATTTGCTTAATGAATTATTTGGCAACAGGGGTTCTGATGTCATGTCCAAATATACTCAGGATACACGCTGTTACTCTTAAAAGTGATTTTCCTTGACAACTTGATGATATAAAAATTCTTTAAAGTTATTTTCCTTTAGCTTTATCGAGATATAATTGACAAATAAAAATTATATGTATTTACAGTGGACAGCATGATGTTTTGATATACATATATACTGTGAAATGATTACCAACATCAAGCTAATTAATATATCTATCACCTCACATATTTATCTTTTTGTGTGTTTGTGGTGAGAATACTTAAGATCTACTCTTGGCTGGATGCAATGGTTCACGCCTGTAATCCCAGCACTTTGGGAGACCACGGTAGGAGGATCACTTCAGGGCAGGAGTTTGAGACCAGCCTGGGGAACATAGTGAGACCCTATCCACACACACACCACACACACACACACCACACACACACACACACACACACACACACACACACCCCTAGTTGGGTGTGGGGGCATGTGGCTGTAATCTCAGCTACTTAGGAGGCTGAGCCTGGAGGATCACATGAGCGCTGAGGATCACATGAGCCCAGGAGGTCCAGATTGCAGTGAACCATGTTCATGCCACTGCATTCTAGCCTGGGTGACAGAGGGAGACTCTGTCTCAAAGAAACAAAAGATCCATTCTCTTAGCAAACGACGAATACCCTTGATCATTGTGTGCCTCTCTTTTAGAGCTGGCCAATGTTTACTCTATTACCATAGCATGGATAATATTTTCCTCTGAAAATTTTGTGACTAAGTTGATTTTATCTGTTAATTCAGTCAGAGGCACTTTGAAAATGGATATCATCATTGCTATCTCATAGACACCTTTTTTGAAACTACCTAAGGATTAGGAAAAATAAATGCCATCTTTGAAGAGAGGCAGACCACAATAGTAACTCATATATTCATATATTTGTCACCCTTTCCATCTGTGTTTACAACCCATGCCTACACACCTGTGAATCATCAGCATGTTCATACAGGAGTCTGCTGCAATTTCCTTGTGCTTGGTGGATCTATTAACATAGATACAATTATACTTCATCATTTTAGCTCAGATGGATAGCAACTCGTCTTTCATGGTACAGTTTATTTATTCAAATTAAAGTTTAATTTCACTTGTAGATTTGATAAAATGCTTACTCTCTGTTGATTTAGTCTTCTCAAATGTCCAAACATTTTTATAGTTTTACACATCTCTCATGCATGAAAAATTGAGAATGTGTGTGTTGATTTGCTGGAAATGAGTCATGCACTGAAATCATGCAGATTCCTTTGTGTTATTACAGCCACATAACTGCTATAAGCAGAGAAGAAAAATAGGAGGAGTTGGCCTGAAAGGAGGTGTTTTCAGTGGCAACAAGCTCTTTGAAATGTAATTGTTATGAAGGAAAATATGAAAGCCTGGTTGAAGAGTGCATACCTTTGAAAAATATGTACTAGACAAGCAAGATAATGTAGTATTCTCTAAACCATTTTTGACTTCTACATTTTGGAATAAGGACCTGCTAGGTTATTTTGAACTTGAAATAGACCACAATTTTAAGGAAAGTTGTAGATTACTTTGTGATATATCACTGATGACAATTGTGCAAACATTTAAAGGCACTAAGGAAAAAATAGTAAATGGACAAGAAACTGTTTTGATATGTGTTAGTTAAGGGGAACTTTGCTTTAGGATTTGGAGACAAAAATAATAAATATAGCCAACATATATTTGGTGCTTCCTATGTATCACACACCATTCTACAGAAATAGCAAATATGAATAAATCATTTAATTCTCTCAATGTCTTCATGGGATGTGTACAAACAGCATCTCCATTTTATATGTGAAAAATACTGAGGTTAAATACAATTCAGTAACATGTCTACTGTTATATAGCTAGTAAGTGGCCAATCTGAGATTTAAACCCATTTCCAGAGCCCGTGTGTTTAAGTTATTATGCTATGGTGTATAATTGGTGGGTGAGAAGAAAGTTCATACCTGAAATTTTATATGGTTTTGATAATCAAATATGGTACTGTAAAAATGCTTAGCTCAATGCCTGAAAACTAGTGATAGTTGAAAAATAAGAATTATTATTTACAGTTTTGAGTTAAAGATATAATTTTAAATTATTTGAATAAGGATGAGAAATGATCTCGTACCTGGGAAAAAGAAAAAAAAATTGAGATAATCCTACAGTGTCCTCCCAAAGATGATTATTTTAAGGAGTTTAATATACTTTTGAATATACACTGCTCTGATCCTGGATTTTCATATACTTGTTTGCCTCTAGTGTGTGTTACATGTCACAGACTGGAGATAATGCAGTTAATCGTTTGGGGAACACATTGATATTATGCAGATGTTTTTGAGTTAAAATGAAAATGGAATTCAGAACTCACATACGTATTATAATAAGGGAAACAGTTCTCACACATGCAATATAGGAACACTTGACTTCATGGTTTGGGCTCCTGAGGTCTCAAGTGTGTTGACATTACTTTTGATGGCCTGGATTTTTTTTTTTTAATGTGTTCTCCAGAATTCACTCAGGAATGTTTAGATGTGATTTTGTATATTTTGATTAACCTATTGTCTTGCAATTACTATAGTTATGTAGTAACCTTTATTCCACCTTCATTATGAGAATGCCTGTAGGAAAAATACGTTTGTGCTGGCCTAAAATTCTCCAGTTTCTAATTCTCCTTTTCTAACTAAAAAAAATTGTTTTGATAACCTGAATTTTTTGATAAACTATTTTGTTAGGAACAGAAATATCCTGTTATTGTAGAAGACTATACCAAAGGGAACAAAAATAAAGAAAATAACTATTCAATTGATGAAAGGATCACAAAGACAGATAAATTTAAGTGTTAAATGCATACAGGGCAACAGAACATTGTTTAAGGCAAACATTTTCAAGTACAGAAAGGCCAGTTCCTATCTTAATACCAAAAAAAGTGAGATAGAAAAATTTGTCTTAAAAGACTTTTAAGTTGATGTAAAAATGCAATGTGTAAAGGAATCATGACAACACTTAATATATATATTTGGGCAGCAGCCTCTTAAGTACTATGCAGAAGCTCAACATGCATGTCAATTACTTACTAATATCAACGGGATGTGAAGGCAGAGCATGGAAAAAATAGGACAAAATCTCCACTTTATTGCAGAATCCAGTGATAAGCTTCGTAACACTAAGAGAAAAAATATAATTTAATTCAGCCTAATTAAGTTACACATTGTGGGTACACGCTCACACACATATTTATATATGTATAGATGACATAATCCTTTTCCTCTGGCAGCATTAATCTAGTTGGGTAGATAGGCACGTGCATAGGAGCAGATGGTTGATTGTGATAAGCATTGTCGTAGAGGAACAAAGCGTTCCAGTGATGTACTGGGGTGGAGATTATTTCTGGGTGGGAAGGATATGGGGAAGCTTTTTTTGGAATAGGTGGTTTTTGAGGTGGACTTTGAAGTATGAGTAATTGATAGAGAGATATTTTGTTATATGAAGAAGTGTCCAAGTTTAGATAACAACGTTAGAAAAGATATATGGACAATTTTAGAGAGTGAGAGACATATGGGGAGGGCTGGGGCCTTAAAGTGTTGAGATTAGCTGATAATAGACATCTGTCTACAAGACACTGCTGAAGACTTTGAAGACCATCCTCAGTAGTGTGAAAAATGACTGTGGTCACAATGATGACCAGAAATTTACATATATGTTAAAAATTTGATGTAGCTAAAAGGATTAGGATTCAAGATAGTAGACTGAACATATGTGCCCACAGTTCTTGCTGTCTGAAATCCTGTAAAATTTGTGTATGTGTGTATATATATATACACACACACACACACACACAAACACACACACGCATGCACACACATGCACACCTCCCCCCCATACACACACGGTGATCCAGAAAACAGGAAAGAGGGCCATCAGTAAATCTAGAAACTGTGAGCAATTTCTAGAAGATGGAAAGTAAATAGAACTGTACTCCTAAAAGCAGAAAACCAATAATATAGCTCCAGATAGTTTCAAGAAAAAAAACTGCTTTGAAGGATGAGAATATTTCAGTGAAACTCTTAGCTCAGAGAAATATATTAAGGGGGGAGGGGGGGAGGGATGAGTCAATCATCACAGTATTAATTAATGGCTTTAATAAATTATGTAAATATAAAGGGAATTGCATTTAAATCATAGAATTGATAGAAAATTGTAGAAAAAATATGGAACTCAAAAGTTTAAGGGCAAGAATTTGAAGAATAATAATACAATGTGAAACTTTCTTTTTTTTTTTGAGATGGAGTTTCACTCTTGTTGCCTAGACTGGACTGCAGTGGTACAATCTGGGGTCACTGCAACCTCTGCCTCCTGGGTTCAAGCGATTCTCCTGCCTCAGCCTCCCGACTAGCTGGGATTATAGGCATGTGCCACCATGCTCAGCTAATTTTGTATTTTTAGTAGAGACTGGGTTTTGCCACGTTGGTCAGGCTGGTCTCAAACTCCTGACCTCAGGTGATCCGCCCACCTCGGCCTCCCAAAGTGCTGGGATTACAGGCATAAGCCATAGTGCCCAGCCAAATCTTTCAAATAACTACAGGAAAAAAATAAGGAAGAACTTGCCTTCTATGGATATAAACACCTATTATGTAAGTGCAATAATTAGGTCACTAGGTTATATAATAGTGTAAAAAAAGACAAATGAAAGAGTAGTACAGAATTCATCCAGATATTGTTTCATGCATGTGTAAGTATTTGGTGTGTAATAAATGCATATGAAAGTCATAAATTAGAATGAACTATTTAAGAAATGTCATTTAGTCAATTGTCTTGCTATTTGGAAATAAATAAAATGAGATGAGACCTCAAATTGTTAATAGCTCTGGCTTCTGGTGAAAGAAGTGGAATAAGGGAAGCCTAAAAGGAAAGTTATCCTTTTCAAAAATATATGTTTTGGATGATTTTATTAAGACTATATACAGGCATTACTTATATAAAAATGTAAAAGGAAAAGTTAGGAACGATGTTTGGGAGAACAACATCTTTTAACTTTTCACCATGTAATTAAATGCTATTTTCTACTTAGAACATAATACATCTTTGAAAATGAGAAGTACAACATTGTGATTTATAAATCAGCAGAGTTTGTCTGTATATTCTTCTGTTAAGATGAGCATTGAAAATATATTTATGGCTGGGCGCGGTGGCTCACGCCTGTAATCCCAGCACTTTGGGAGGACGAGGTGGGCAGATCATGAGGTCAGGAGTTCGAGACCAGCCTGGCCAACCTAGTGAAACCCTGTCTCTACTAAAAATACAAAAATTAGCTGGGCATGGTGGTACACACCTGTAATCCCAGCTTACTCGGGAGGCTGAGGCAGGAGAATCGCTTGAACCCGGGAGGTGGAGGTTGTGCCACTGCACTCCAGCAACAGAGCAAGACTCCATCTTTCAAAAAAAAAAAGAATATATATTTTTGTATAGAGTTCCGATATTGTTATTTCAGTTTGAAATTATAACTTTCTTAGGCTCTATTTAGCTGTGTACCTTTGGAAGTTGAAAGCTTTTGTGTGAAACTGACTAGGTTCCATTGCAAAGCCTGTCTTCTTAACCCTGAAGGTATACTGCCTTTCCTTGTAGCTCAGTGGCTATCATACATTAGGCACTCAGTAAATTTGATGAGTGGAAATATAGCCTAATGGTCTGATAGAATTAAATGCTAGGTCTAGTTCTTATTCTAGCCCTAGCTCTGACTTTGAGCAAATTAGTTTTAATTAATTCATTTTTTTCATCTGAAATGGGCTTAAAATTACCTGTCTTACATATTTTTTTTGAGATGATAAAATGAAAATATTTAGTACAGTACTTTGTACATAATAAATGGTCAACAAATGTTAGGTACTATTTCTGGAAGAGGGGTATTCAGTTAAAGTTTTTCAAACATTGACCAAAAAAGCTAATAAAACTTTTACATCCATATTGTGTGAGACTTATACCAGTACCCCAGAGAATGTAAGCTTGATATCACTTGATGTCTATTAGGAAATGCAGAAAGGCAGATCCAGAGTACAAAATGACGAGCGATTTCCAAACCACTAGCTGGTCTTCCATACTGTGTTAGCAATTCTGCAGCCACACTGCTCGCCCTGCTCTTGTGTTGCCCCTCCCCACCAACACCTCCCCAACCAGTGAGTGGTGGGATCGTCAGTATGCAGTGGCCCAACCAGGAATATACTAAGGTTATGCCTTTTTAGACATCAAGAATCACAGCATCCTGAGCTTTGAAGTAAATCCTCTGAAAGAGTAATTTCTTCTCTGCTCTATTGCATCTGTCAATTACTGCACCCCCCTACCTCCGTGCCAGTGGTGGTTGTTACTATGTTGGTGAAATTCTCTGCAGACTGACCTTCAAGGAGCTGTGACACTAAAATACCACAGGCATTTAGTTGCTTTGTTATTTAGAAGAGATGATCAACAAATTGTTTGACATGTTAGGAATTTATTTTTGTGGTATGTTGGGTGTGTATAGCCTCAGCATCAACTGAGAGTAATGATGTTCAGGCCCCCCTGTGGTCAAAAGCAACTGGGAGAACATAGTGGCAGCATCACAGTGAAGGTGTATAGATTATATGTAGCTGCCCATGTGCAAGTCCTGACTTCTCCCCAGACTGCTCCCTGAGCAAGTCTCTAAAATCTGTTTTGTTCACTACATCAATTTAGAGCTGTATCTACCTAGAGTTACTGTATCAAGTAATATATGAAAATACTCATAGCCTCTAAACACATTTGTTAAGTATCAACTATTAATATATATATTTATAGGAAAGTGCTTATACTGCATAATTGAGGCACTTTGGGGAGATATAACTATGTTAATGCTGGAAAGTCTACTAAAGTAGATTAAATGCTATACAAAAGTATAATCTTTTCTGGACAGGTTAAGGTTGTCATAATTGTTGGTTTTTATGACCATAAATTCTGTAAGAGGAGAAGGTCTTTGATTCTCAATGGTATCCTTAGTACCAACATTTTTTCTCCATCATTTGCAGAGTGAATGAGTAAATAAGTGAAAGATGCCTAAACTATACTTATCACTCCTTTCCGTTTTGCCTTATCTAATTTGTCATGGCCCTGGCAATCATAGAAACATTCTTGGGTGTGTGTGTGTGTGTATGTGTGTGTGTGTGTTTCTCTCTCTCTCTCTCACACACACACACACACTGAAACTATTCAATTTTAGCATTGAAAAATGTTCAGGCCAATACTTTGAGCAAGGTACCCTTTCTTTACTCTGTGGGCAAAGTCAGAAAAAGAGTCTGTAAAGCCTTTGGTGCGGAACAGGATTTTCTCTCCACATCAGTTTTAGATGGTATCTGTGATCAAAGAGACATATGCTGTTCGTATGCTTCCTCTGTACTTCAGAACTGGCTGTGACCTGGAGGGTGTACGAGTGCCCTTATGTGGTTGCCTAGAAACTTTGGCTGCACAAGTGTCAACTTTCTTTTACGGCTCTAAGGGAGAAGGAGCCTCACAGAGAGCTCTAGACTTTGTAGAGGGAGAAAAAAAGATTCTTGTGTGTTTAAAACAAGTGTCTCACCAGGAGATAATGGTCGAGCTGTGGGTTATAAATGATGCATTTTGTTCTTTTCGTCTCGCTGATGGCACAAGGGAAAAAAAAAGTTCATCTCTCGCTTATCAAAATACTGTGACATTTCTTCTTCCACGGGAAAATTTTCAATCACAATCTTCTGCAGCAATTGACACCAAATGTATCCAATTGTAAAATCCTACAGTGTAATTAAAACCTGTTTGTGACCCCTATTCTTTTAAGCACCTCACTCAAACTGAAACGTACACACAGACCGTCACTAATATTTGGTTTTAGTTTTGTATTGCATTTCTTTGGGAGCACATCTACTACTTAGGCTGCAAATAGTCTTTGGCTCTTGTTCCGTCAATAGTGTATACTGTTGCCATCGGCACAGTTACTTCTGACCTATCAGCTTTATTCAGTCTGTAAGCTTTGGAGAAAATAAGCCTTACCAAGTTTCTTCGAAAACAAATGTATTTTGAAAGATATTTTAAAAGATGATAAAGGTGAGGGGGCTATTCCGTGCCAGTCACCTGATGAATATGTCATGATTATTTTGTTTTATGAAAATAGTAGGCTCATTTAGGATTAAACAGTGATTTGACAGAAGAGATTTTTGCTCTCCAAGCTGCATGTTCCATGTGTAAAAACCAGACTGGTGACTTGGTCAATGTCAAATCGATAGGAATAAGGATTGTGCAACTAAATTTTCAAATATAGAGTACTAGGCAGTTAGGTGATATGATTTCCATGTCCTCCGTAAGATTAAATTGATTTTGTAATTTTAATGAAAATAGGCATAGCATGTAGAATTTAACATCCCTCTCAGTTGCTTTAGATGTGTTATATAAAATATATGTCCCAGTTATCTAAAGGACAAACCAGTGTGGTGATGTCCCCAGATAAAGAACTTTTAAGATAGCTACCCTAATAATAATTGGAGTCTGCATCCACAGCAATTAAAATAAAGCACTTAAAATTATCAAGGCCTACATTTTGAATGATGGTCAGTTTACAATGGTATTTAAATAATACATGGACATATTTTTATCAGCTTGCCTGGCCTAAGTGCTCAAATAAGTGTTTGTGAAATGAATGATCCCCACACAGGTGTAAAGTACACCCATATGTAAACTCTGTTCTTTATAGCTCTCAAATATTTCCTGATAAATTAATGTATTATATTTTTATAGAAAATTGAGGTGGCAACGCTGTTGTTTTCAACTTTAGACTTTCTTATCACAGTTAACTGAATTGACATTGTAGCTTTTTAGGGATAATTTTTTTCCCCCTTTCTCTTGAAAATATTCTCACTCATGTCCTCCCGGCCTCTGCTCTTCAAATATTCCAAATTAATATACAAAATCATTCCCTCCAGAGCCTTATATCTAATGCTAGTTGAACTTCCTGCATATGTTAAAACCATAAAATCCAAGAAAGTATGAGGAGGTAAAATGAAAACTTGGGTTTATTCACACTACTGCATGTTATTGTCTACTTTGAAGAAAATGCAAGAAGAATGTTAGACACAGGTAAGTGCTCAAATCTGATATGAAGAGAAGATACTCAACTGCTGTATTTGGTTGTTTTTATATGTTTGAAATCATTTTTTTCCTCCTAAATACAGAAACTACCTGACTAGCCTCTTTGATTTTTTAAATTTTATATTTGCATTTGAGGTTACAATATTGAGTCTTCTTAAAGACAATGGAAATGGTGATCTCAAGTGAGATAAATTAAAATGGAGAAAATCAGTATCCAACAAGCCACACGGTTGGGTAAAACGCTGATGGAAAACGAAATCTGTATTTGGGGGTATCAAATATTTATAAGAGCAAATATACTAATTCATACATTCCTAATTCCATAAAAGTATGATTAAGACCAAATTGTGTCACTTATATACAGTCCAAGTTGGGGTACAGGGAAATAAAATGTTTGTAAATTCATAGCTGGGCATGTGTTTTCTCTCCCTTTTTCTCTCTTCTTGTAACATGGGTCTCATCCTGTCCTTCACATCTTAGGTTGCCTCCATTTACCATCTGTGAGACCTTGCACAAGTTATTTAATCTCTCTGTGCCTCAGTTTCTTCACCTTCCCAGTAGTAATAGCAGCATGTATTTCCTAGGGTTGTTATGAGGAAACGAGGAAAGACTACTTGCAAATTGCATAGAACAGTGCCCTAGGACATAGAAAGTAGGGTGAAAGTTTTTGTTAAATAAACAAAAATAGCATTACTCTCCCTGAGTCTGGTTCAGACCTCAGAAATCTTACTATGGGTGTTCTTAGGGACGAGGTATGATGCAGCATGAGCAGCCACACCATCGTTTTGAAAGTATATTCTCCACGTTCAATCTGTGAACTCTCAAGTGTTTTCCTTAAAACTCTAAAAGAGCCTCTGCTTTGGCAAGGACGACCTGGAAATTGGTTGGAGAAAAGGGGATGTTACCCTTTAGTCTAGCACAAAAGTATAAATTTGAAAAACACACAGAGCGAAAGAGCAAAGTTCTCTTGTTTTTTCACTCAAAGAGTGGATAACTATATGGATTTAGAAACATGTCTGTATGGATATAGAGAAAAGAGCAGATTTGAAAAGGGCAGAGTTTTGTTTTAAGTTGTGCGTTGAAACTCATGAAGCAGAGCTGAACCAATGACTGAGTCTTATTAAAGGGGCTCCAGCCTTGGCCAGGCGCTGGCAGAATGCCCTTTTTGTAGGCTTTACTACACTTAAGGTGTTACAGGCTTGTAAAACTGGGATTTTAGGGAGGCAGAGCGGGTTCTGAGACATATGCTGGACTTTAAGAGCTTGTGATTCAAAGTGTTCCAGTGTTAGCACTGCAGGGGAGCTAATTGGAAATGCAGTGTCTCAGGACCCCTAGACTGACTGGGACACATTCTGTGTTTTAAAAAGATATAACCTGGATTTAATCATGAAGAAAGTGTGGCATCTTATGGAAGCATTAGAATTATGTCTTTATACGATGTTAGAACTGTAAAGGATCTTAAAAATCAGCTAATCCAACTTCTTTATTTCCAGTTTCATGGCTTTAGAAGATAGTTCTTCAGTACTTGTGGTATGCCAGGTTTTTAAATTCTATGTTGTGTTGACAAAGATAGATAGGATATGGTACTTGCTCCAGAGGTTTCTGCAGAAGGGGAGATAGAATGTAAACTAGTAGGTAAATAAAACATAGTTTGCAGACTGCACTTCTAGAAATGGATGCAGAGGGCTGCAGGAGAAGCCCTGAGCCCAGGTGGGAGAATCAAGGAAGGCTTGATGGGGAGGGGTGTATTTTGAGCTTGGATCTTGAAGGATGAGTGGGTGTTTCAGTTGATCTGGGGTGGGCTCTAAGATTCTGCATTTCTAAAAAACTCAAAAGGCTATGAAGAAAACTTACAGGATATCATAATGTTACCAGAGTCCAGTAAGAGGGCTTGACCTCTTTGGGAAGTTGGGAAGTCGTGGGAGACTGCCGTAAGGAAGTTGAATTTGAACTAAACTCTGAAGGGTCATTAGGAGTTGACTAGGTCAGGGGAAAAAGGGAGAAAGGGAGAAAGCATTTCAGCATTTTATACACAGGGATGAATGTTGCCATACATATTTACCATTCTGGCCTGTTTTGTTTCCATTATGATAGAATAAAAGAATGAATAGTTGAAAGTTTTAATTTTCCTGACACCAGGTGACAGGAGATTGATAAGTATGGGGTGGATTATTTGGAGAGATCGTGTACAAATTATGATTAGGTCACAAAAGCAAGTATTCATGCAACATAGTTTGGGTAAATGGAATTCTAAAAGCATGAAAGGAAAATGAATTTGAGACTATTATACTATATTTTATGGCGCCAAAAATTTTCATCATGGCATTGTGGAAATATAGGAAGAAGTGGAGATTCAAACTCTCACATGTCACCATGTTTTATGTATGGGCACAATACATACCATGATATTCAGCCACATCTCTTTTCATTCCAGAACTCTAAGCCAGCCCCAGATTCTTAGAAGACCCTTCAGAGTCTGAAGTAAAGAAAGTTTTGAACCTGTTTTTTCATTCTACTGTAGGGCTTCTGAAAACAAGGTAAAAAGCCAAGATGTATTAGTTTATTCTAGAGCTTCCATAACAAGCCTACAGACTGGCTGGCTTAAACAACAGAAATTTATTTTCTCACAATTCTGGAGGCTAGAAGTCTGAGATCAAGGTGTAGGCAGGGTTGATTTATCCTGAAGTCTCTCTCCCTAGCTTGTAGATGGCCATGTTCTTCTGATGTCTTCATATGGCCTTTCTTCTGTGTGTCTCTGTCCTCAACTCCTTTTCTTACAAAGACACCAGCCTTATTAGATTATTGCTCACAGATATTACTTGATTTTACCTTGATTACCTTAAATGCCCTACTTCTACATGCAGTCACATTCTGAGGTACTGGGGGTTAGGATTTCATATGCATTTTTATGGGGGGCACAGTTTAGTTCATAACACCAGGGGAATTTTGAACATAAATTTGCCATCAAATATTACTGTAATATACTATATGTACATTATTATAAGTACTATATATTCCTGAGCTGAAGTCTAGTGACTGTCACAATACACTGAGTAACACGGAATATGTTGCTTCTAAATGAATGCAACCCAGACATAAATTCATGGTTGGCTTTCATGTGCTCTTCTAACAACACAACTCTCAGCATTTTTTTTTTTTTTTTTGGAATTTCTTAAAGTCACCTCTCAGTCAGGACCAAGTGAGCCCACATTGCTTAGGAAGAAATCATCCACCAAATAAAATGGGAATTGCAAGAAGAAGAGCTAAGTTTATGCAGAAAACATGCCACTTTGATTTTTTTTTCTTTCTTCTTTTTGAGATGGAGTCTTGCACTGTCTCCTGGGCTGGAGTGCAGTAATGTGATCTCAGCTCACTGCAACCTCTGCCTCCCAGGATCAAGCAATTCTCCTGCCTCAACTTCCCGAGTAGCTGGGATTACAGGTGTGTGCCACCACACCTGGCTAATTTTTCTATTTTTAGTAGAGACGGGGTTTCACCATGTTGGTCAGGCTGGTCTAGAACTCCTGACCTCAAGTGATCCACCTGCCTCGGCCTCCCACTTTGAACTTTTAATTCATATACCTATGAATATACTTGATTTGAAAAGTCAAAAAAGATGAAATTCCTGACCAAAGTCTGCCTTTTACATTCTTAAATCTGATTAAAAATCGGGCTGGCTTGCTAACAAATGTACTATAATTCACAAGGTATTGCAGTCTTTGGCCCCTGCTATAAAGGAGGTGTGCTGATAGCTGCCCCCAGTGGGAGACTTTCTGTAGCCTTGTAAAAGCCATTGTTATCCCATAGAACCAGCAAGACCAAACTTTCATAATCTTTATGAAAATCTCAGCATCCTTGGTGGATTAGTCTGGCAACAGTCTGATGTTCTGTCACATACTTTTGTTCTGGATCTCCAGCCTTAACATAGATTGTGGTTAGTTCACTGGAGTATCAGTCTGTTCTGGCGGCCGTAACTAAAGACTAGGTGGCTTAAACAACAGAAATTTATTTTTTCACAGATCGGGAGGCTAGAAGTCCAAGATCAGGGTGACGTCATGGTCAAGTTCTGGTGAGGGGTTTCTTCCTGACTTGCAAATGGCCGCCTTCTTGCTGTGTCCACACATGGCCTTTCCTCTGTGTAAACATGAGAGAGCGAGAGTGCATGAAACAGCGAGCATGTGCTTTCTGAAGTCTCCTCCTCTTCTTATTAGGACACAAATCTTATTGGATTAGGGTCTACCCTTATGACCTCATTTAACCTTATTTATCTATTAAAGACCCTTACTCCAGATAAAGTCACATCAGGGGTTAGTGCTTCAACATATGAATTTTGGAGGAGACACAATTCGGTCCATAGCAATCAGTAACCACTTATTAAGACACTAGTAAATGCAAGATGCTGGACTAGGTAGTGAGCTCTACAATGTAAGGTATCCAGGAAGCGGGCCAGCCTAATATGTTAGACTGATGTTTAAATATAATGATGTCCATAGTTTTATATGTAATTTTATGTAAATATCCTATGGTTATTGCTCAATATATATTTAATGAAGTGTTGATGTTTGACTCAAACTCCTTTTTCTAAGAAATAATTGTCTTAAAGAATCCAGCTCTCACAGTGGTAGAGGCCTAGATTGTGGAGAACATGTTTACAAAAGTTACTTCTGTGTTCCAATGATATGGGTTACCAAGATGGCAGCAAGAAGGTTGGTGAAGGATGTTAATTGAGCTACATCACACTTTATATGTGCTTAATTGTCCTCTTGTATTAGTTTCCAAGGGCTGCTGTAACAAAATGGATGGCTAAAATACAAAAGAAATCGATTCTCTTTCAGTACTGCAAGCTAGAAGTGTAAAATCAAGGTTTTGGCAGGGTGATGTTCCCTCTGAACTCTTTAGGGGAATCCTTCCTTGCCTCTTCCTAGATTCTCGTCATTTACAGGGGCCTTGGGGTTCCTTGGCCTGTAGATGTGTCATTCCAATTTTTGCGCTCATTATCACATAGCATTCTCTGTGTGTCTTTGTCATCTCATGACCATCTTCTTATAACGACACTAGTCATATTGGATTAAGGTCCCTCCCTACTCCAGCATGACCTCTTCTTAGCTTAACTAATTACGTCTGCAGTGACCCTGTTTCCAAATAGTGTGACATCCTGAGGTATTGAGAGTTAGGATTTCAACATATCTTTTGGCAGTGGTGGTACAATTCAACCTATAGTACCTCTGAAAGAGAAAATACTTTCAGAATCATTTTTGAAAATGGGAAAATTTTTTGTTTTGACAAAAATATGCAGGATATAACTACCTATTTTCCAAATTCTTACTAAAGATGCCTAGAGAAAAATATTTAAAATACTTAAGTACTAGAAGTATTAATAGTTAAACTAAAAATGAAACAAAGAACTTTTCTGCTACTGTAATGGGTCATTTAAAAATCCGAATCAATTACAGTTCCTGTTGATATTTCTTTTCTTTTCTTTTTCTGAGACAGGGTCTTGCTCTGTTGCCCAGGCTGGAGTGCAGTGGTGTGATCTCAGCTTACTGCAACCTTTGTCTCCTGGGTTCAAGCTATCTTCTCACTTCAGCCTCCAGAGTAGCTGGGACTACAGGTGCACACCACCACACCTGGCTAATTTTTCTATTTTTTTGTAGAGACAGGGTTTAGCCATGTTGCCCAGGCTTGTCTTAAATTCCTGGGCTCAAGCAATCCACCTGTCTCGGGCTCCCAAATTGTTGGAATTACAGGTGTGAGCTACCAAGCCCGGCCCCTGTTGATAATTTCAACATTAAATTTATGTTTTATACAATGTAATTATGAAGAAAAATTATTTACAAAAGGAGTGCCTTATTTATATATGCATGTAAGTCCAGAACTTATATGAATTTTTAAGAGCCAGATTTTCAAATATCTCTAGATAAACTTTGCAAGTTTGGGATTGAATAACTTTTGAAAATTATTTGTTTCTGCCATCAAGTAGTAATATAGAAGGTCAGATGTGAACAAAGTGAATAATTCAATTGCTATTAATTTTTGAGTGGTATTGCTCTACAGCCATAAGACATGATTCTTAATTTTTGTAAAGTAAATCACAGTTACATGTTTTAAAAAGCTAATCAAATGTTAAGATTTTACTTTCAAAGTGATACTATTTTCCCCCATGTTAATGAATAGAGTGCTTGCCTCATACATAATTATTTGGGTCAACTTTCTTTTGGAATAAAAAAGATGCAACAACGTTGACAAATTCCTTTTGTTTTACATGTAGTGATTGTTACATGTAGATCTTGTTACTTGATTGTGCCCAGTGAATGATGTAATTGGGGGTACAAGGTACCTGCTCTGCTGGGCATAATTTTTACTCGTTATGGCTGGTTTACAAGAACTATGGAAGAAACTAGAAAGTAAGAGAGATCAGCAGTGGCATTAAGTTTTTTTTTTGTGACAGAAAGAAGCAAAGGCTGTAGCTGAAAATCCCAACATTGGAAGATTTGTGAGTGCACCTGGGGTGGCAGGGAATGTCTGTATCACTACATTAGTATTCAGAATGATGCTTTTTATATCATAAATTCTCATAATACTCTAGAAAATTTGAATGCGTAGAATTAACAAATCTGATTCAAGTGTAAGGGTAATAAATGAACTTTGAACATGTCTCTCAATATTTACATAACACAAACAAAACCATGAAAAAGATCCTTACATGAAAATACAGGTAACCTGAAACTGCTTTTCTTAAGTCCCACTGGAGCAAAGTAGACTGCAAACATAATATTTCTCTTGCCTATCATATAATTCTCATAAACATATTTCAAATGGACTGGCCATAAAAGGACAGTTTTAGAAGAGAAAATGTTTATAGATTTTGATGAAAGCTGTGACAGTTTAGATAGGAGTCACTCTGGGTGGTCAAGCTCCATTTCAAAATGTGTAAGGAGTAATCAAGGAGATAAGACACTACATTTCTTACACAGTTGTTGATTGATGAGAAATGTGTGACTTCTTGGGCAATCTTCAGAAAACAATTAAAATGCTTCTTATGTATCTGGAAGAGTACTATATAAAGAAAACATATAAGGTATTCCTGAAGAATTTTGAAACTTAACACCAGGTTACCATCCCAGTTTGTCTTATAAGATTAACACAAAAGAGAACCCTATATACTAACTCTGTAGAACATTTCCAAGTATTACTCCTTAGGCCCTTTCCCTCCCTCCCTCCCTCTCTCCTTTCCTTCGTTCGTTCCTTCCCTCCGTCCTTCCCTCCCTCCCTCCCTCCTTACTTTCTCCCTCCCTCCCTTCTTTCCTTCCTTCCTTTCTTCCTACCTCCTTCCCTCCCTTCTTCCTTCCTCCCTCCCTCCCTTCCTTCTTTCCTTCCTCCCTCCCTCCCTCTTCCTCCCTCCCTCCCTCTTCCTTCCTTCCTTCCTCCCTTTCTCCCTCCCTCCCTTCTTTCCTTCCTTCCTTTCTTCCTACCTCCTTCCCTCCCTTCTTCCTTTCTCCCTCCCTCCCTTCCTTCTTTCCTTCCTCCCTCCCTCCCTCTCCTCCCTCCCTCCTTCCCTCCCTCTCTCCTTCCTTCCTTCCTCCCTTCTTCCCTTCCTCCCTCCCTCCCTCCCTTCCTCCCTTCCTCCCTCCCTTCCTTCCTCCCTCCCATCTTCCTCCCTCCCTCCCTTCCTCCCTTCCTTCCTCCCTTCCTTCCTCCCTTCCTTCCTTTCTTCCTTCCTCCCTCCTTTCTCTCTTCCTCCCTCCTTCCCTCCTCCCTTCCTCCCTCCCTCCCTTCTTCCTTCTTTTCTTCCTCCCTTCCTCCCTCCCTCCTCCCTCCCTCCCTTCCTCCTTTCCTTCCTTCTTTCCCTCCCTCCCTCCTTTCTTCCTTCCTTCCTCCCATCTTTCCTTCTTTCTCCCTCACTCCCTCACTCTCTCATCCCTTCCTTCCTCCCTTTCTTCCTTTCTTTCCTTCCTTCCTCCCTTCCTACCTTTCCTTCCTTCCTTCCTCTCTTCCTCCTTTTCTTCCTTCCTCTCTTCCTTCCTTCCTTCCTCCCTTCCTTTCTTCCTTCTTTCCTCCTTTCTCTTCCTCTTCCTCTGTTTTTGTCTGTCTTCCCAATTAAAAGGTAAGTTCTATAAAAGGAGAATTTTTCTGAGGGAAAGCTTAAAAAGCTTAAGCTTATAAAGATTAATAGGAGTTAATTAAAGAGAAGGAGAAGAATATCTAGACAAAGGAACAGCTGAGCATTGTCCCTGGTACATACAGCAGCTCAGTGAAAATACATGTGGCTGAAACCAGGAGAACAAGAGAACAAGGAAACAACCAGACATTTAAGAATTATTAAAGAATTTTGCCTTTGACTTAAGAGGCCTGAGAAGACATTAAATTATTTTGAGCTGTGAGTACTGGAGGAGATGATGATATTTACAGTTTGAAAATGATTGCTTTGGCTGTGGTGCGGAGAACATATTGGGGGGAGTCAGGGGTATGCTTTCATCCAAATGACCAAAGAAAAATCTGTCTATAGTAACAGCAAGTTTTCAGACACTACTTACATTGAGACCATAAGATGGCATTCTCCGAATACATGGTGTATCTCCTAAGACACAGCATTTGGCTCTTTTAATTTCCCCTGCAATGTTCAAATAAGGTCCTGAATCAAACATATGAAGGCATATCATTGGGGAATAAATAGACTGGAAATTCCAAATGTCTTTGCCATTGGCCTCCTTCCCATTAAATAAATAACTACTTTATGTTACGATCCAGATTTCCATAGAAGCTTCATAATTCATAAAGGAAAGACTGTCTGTTTCCCAAGTAACCTTTGTGTTTCTGTGTAGCATACATACAGAACCACAGTTGGGGTTTTTATTGTTATTAAAGCATGCTACTAGAAGCAGTCTTATTTGATGCCCATCTCTTAGAAGCCAGTGTTTCCAAATTAGTTCTAAACCTAAATGAGTAGAGTGAAAGCCACAGTTAAACCCAAATATCAGCAGAGAAAACTGTTGGGGAAATGTTTCAAAAACTCACTCGTATGTTGCATATAATAAACAGGATTTCAACATGTAGTCCATCATATAAATTGAGTATTTTGTTTGCTTTGGAAACCAACTGACCTCTGTGTTATGGTCTACAGTTTCGATTCTCTGGAAAATAATCCTTTGCTTTGATTTTTCTGGGCTTCTTTTGAGCATTTCAAAGAAATTGTAAAGTCAGTCTCAGGCCTAGAAGGACTGTGAGGTTCTTGGAAAATTATAGTGTCTAAATTCATCTGATTATTATAGCCTCCCAGCTTGCTTCAGATGCTCAGCCCTGGAGGGAGAGTTTAACTCTGTCTTCTTTCTGATTAGAGTCATTCATAAGCATGTTACATGGGATGCTAGAGATTTATGTTCATGGACTTCAGTATTCCCAAATGACCACTCTATGACATTACTTTTAACCCTTTGTGACTGTTTTTAAAATTAGGAATTTGATCTTACTTTTCATACAATCATTATTTTTATATTGCCAGGCTGTGTACACAGTTTTATGAATACTTTAATTAGAGATGGGAACTTGTCTGCATAGGCAATAGGCCTTGACAGAGATCTTTGAGTTCCAGAGGGTTATAGAATATTTCAAAGTTTTAATGAGCCCTGGTTTAAACAAAGATGCAGTTTGAAATCACATTATAGTTTAAACAAAAATTCTATGTAATAATAGACCTTGAATAAATTATGTATTATTTAGCCCTAAGTTCTGAAAGAATAAAATGTAGCCTGACTTCTAAAGACACCGGGTCATATTGGGAATATTGCTATTTTAATTTTACTGCTTAATAATGAATGTGGTCTATTTTAATATTTATGTTTTTTTGTCCATATCATCAATTTTCTTTCATCTCAAGGTATTATTATTGGTAGGTGATTGCTAATATATTAAGGAAAAGAGACTCGTATTTAAGTAAATTTTTAATGTTCTTTGCTAAGTTTCTTTTCCCCTCTTGTCCCCTTTCTATTTTTTATGGTTTACTGTGGAATCTTATCTTTTTTTTATGCTGTACTCCTCAAGTTGAAGGTCAGAGGCCGTTTCATAATGCTCAAAAAGAAAACAGATTTCTGTTAAGAACTACTTTTATTTGCACCGAGATAATGGGATCTCTGTCCATGTTACAAACAATGAGAATTCCTTGAGATGTTTAAAAGACACATTTATGAACACAGGACACATTGTTGGCTTTAAGTGTTGTTTTCAAGTTGTGAATGTTGAATAAGATAGCCAGAAGATCACATACCATTAGCATGATGAGTGCTAGGGAGACTTGTATGAAAGCATGGGGGCAGTCAGGGAAGAATGAGTGTCAGAAAAGAGGAATGATATGACCAAGGCTCCCTTTTGGAACCTGTAGGAGAGTTCTGGAATGCATCCAATAAAATGGGCATTTCACAGTGGTCAAATCAAAAGTCTCCTCCAGTGAAAGCATCTTCCCCTGAGCTATAATGTATCAGCTATGGATATTTTTCTTGCTACCTTGTGATTATATTTCCTAGGATAAAACAGTAGGTCATCACTGCCATAAATTCCTAAAATCACAGGAGTAGTAATGATCTTCAAAGTTCTTTTAGTTGCTAGTCTCCTTGCTAAATTGGATCCCATAATCATGGCCCAACAATTGTTTTATTGCATTCATAAAGTTTTAAAGATGAAAGTCTACCAGAGTCTCATTTTTTAAGACTATAAAGCATTGTAATTAGAGTCTTAATCCAGTTGACCCAGTCGTGCCAGTGATTAATTCAGATTTTTTTTTTCTGTTTTCTGTTGAAGTATTAGTTACCAATTCTTCCTTTCTTTAGGCCTAGATTATTAATACTAAACCAGACTACCAAGACATGTAACCATTTAGTAACTTCAACTCCCAAATGAGGAATGGATTATTGATTTTTTCTGGTAGAAAATAAAAGTTAAGACAGCTTCATTGAAATCTTATATCTTTTGTCCAGGCATGGTGGCTTATGTCTGTAATCCCAGGGACTTGAGAGGCTGAGGTGAAAGGACGGCTTGAGGCCATGAGTTCAAGGCTATCCTGGACAACATAGCAAAACCCTATCTCTAAAATAATAATAATCATAATAAATAACTTAGGCATGATGGCATGTGCCTGTAGTCTCAGCTTCTCAGGTGGCTGAGGCAGGAAATTTCCTGAACCCAGGGGTTTGAGGCTGCACTGAGCTATGATCACATCACTGCATTTCAGCCTGGGCAACAGTGTGAGACCCTGACTCTAAATAAAAGAAAAAGAAAGAAATATTATAATATATTTTTTCTTTTTTCTTCTTCTTTATTTTTTTTTGAGATGGAATCTTGCTCTGTCACCAGGCTGGAGTGCAGTGGCACAATTTCGGCTCACTGCAACCTCCACCTCCTGGATTCAAGTGATTCCCCTGCCTCAGCCTCCCTAGTAGCTGGGACTTACAGGTGTGTGCCACCACGCCTGGCTAATTTTTTGTATTTTAGTAGATACGGGGTTTCACCATGTTGGCCAGGATGGTCTCGATCTCCTGACCTCATGATCCGCCTACCTCAGCCTCCCAAAGTGTATAATATCTTTTTTACAGGCTCCATATTGACAACAAATCTTTGCTAATAGATGTATCACCCCTTGCCAATTTAAACAGTAGAGGTACATTATATTCTTAATAGTTTTGGTAATGATATTGAATTCATATCCCTCAGTAAGAAAGAGTGTCGTTTGGTACAGTCTGCACATATTGATTGTAAGTCCCAACCATACCCAGGGCAAGTTATTTATTTTCCTTAAGCCTTTGCTTCTTAATATATAAAATGGGTAAGATGATATTTACTTTATATAATTACTTTGAGGAAGAAAGAAACTATACCCCTAAGGTACCTAATAAGCCCTTGATAAATCATACCCAGGCTTTACTTCTTCTTGACGTCTTCAATTCAATGGAAGGAGAAATATTCCTATTCCAAAGTGGTAGATTTTATTTATCTTGGCTGGTAGACGTTATGTTTAGAACACTGTTGAAATGTCGTTACTATCTCTTTGAAAGTATCTCCTGTCGTTTAGGATAAACATCTTTTTAGTTTTCAACAGTTTAATATTATATTTAAATTGTTGTGTTGTCTGTCCCATAAAGGCCAGGAGATACTTGAGACTGTCACTGATAGAAAGTTCAAAACATTATCCGTGACTTTATTCCATATTATTATGGGCTTTTTTTTTTAGTCTTCCAAGATCATTGTTATTTTCTTGATCTGTTTAAAAGGATCTCATAGCTTCATTTTGAATTAAAACAATGAGATGGAGGCTGGGTGTGGTGGATCATGCCTGTAATCTCCACACTTCAGGTGGCTGCAGTGGGAAGATCGCTTGAGCCCAGGAATTTGAGACGAGCCTGGGCAGCATTGGGAAACCCTGTCTCTACAAAACATTAAAAATAAATTAGCCAGGTATGCTAGTGAGCACCTGTAGTCCCAGCTACTCGGGAGGCTGAGACCAGAGAATCAATCACTTGAGCCTGGGAGGTTGAGGCTGCAGTGAGCTGAGATTGTGCCACTGCACTCCAGCCTAGGCAATAGAGCAAGACCCAGTCTCACAAACAAAACAAAACAAAACAAAACACCAGACAACAACAAAACAAAACAATGAGATGGTTCATATTTTCTTCTGCCTCTTGCCCCTTTTGTTTCAGAAGCCCTTTCTAGGAATGTTCTCCTACCTCAAAGAGATAGTTTGGGATTGCTGAACAGCTCAATAATATTATGAGCTCACCATCAACATGTATGGCTTACAAAATGTCTGTATTCTGTACTATGGTGGTAGATGAATTACATTTTGTTGAGACACCATAAATGGTAATACATATGTTTTACATATTTCAGTTGACTTTATGAAAAGCTTTAATTTGATCCTGAAAATGGGAAGATGATGCATGAAATTGCTGAGTATAGACATATCGGGTCCATCTAATCTATGGTAATTTGTTTATAGTAAACATCATAGGGGTGTCTTTCTGAACGTTTTCTACTACAGGCATTTTAATACACTACACACTTGGAGCCACAGTTTCATTGCAGTGCCTACACATCTTGGAAAAAAGTAATGCTTTGCCTGAGACGTATTTATTGTCTACAGGACAATTTTTATGTAGCGTCGTGACTATGATAGATAGTAAAGAAACCAATAAAACTGACCTCCAGCAATTTACATGCACCTTTGTGAGGCTGGAGGAAAGAACCTTGGATTTATTATATACCTCTTTTTATTGCAAAGTTATAATTATATTGGTATAAGAGATAGTCACTGGGCCCTAAACAGAAAGTTGTTCAATATCAGTACAGTCAGATCATGGAAGACTTCTGTCGTTTCACAAATGTTAAATCCTGTAAGTATACCTGGAAGAAAATTTAAATCTTTAGCCTTTCTTACCTATTCAATTGTTTGTTTTATTATTCATTCATGTTTCCTTCATCTGTCCAAAGAATTTGGGCTTCATGTAACTTTAAAGAGCAGAATATATGCAGAGGTTATTATGGTAATATTTTCAGAAGTGTTATTTATTAAAGTCAGCTTTCCTTAAGCATTTTCTTTTAAATTTTACTTTGGATTATTATATCCAGATCCTTTGTTTTTTTCTTTCTTACTCTTGCTTTCTCAATCTTTATCTCTCTCCCCATCTCTGTCTCTCTCTGTGTTTTCATACCCCACCTATTTTATTTTAAGGTGAAAGCCTATTTTTTAGAATATTCTTACATGATAACAATTCAGTAATACATTTTAATGAGAGCTTTTGGGAGAGCTGAAAGATATTCAGAGGGATTTTGTTGGAGGATGTTAAGCAAGTAGTCTTCATGTTTATAGGTATCTCAATGCCGACTCTGCTACTTGAGCAAGGTTTTGTGAACTAATGACTGAATGTCATCAAGCCTTAGCCTTCCCATCTGCTAAGTGAAAATAACCTGCTTCATATGGTTTTTATAACAGTCAAATGAGATAATGCAAGAAAGGCATCTAGCTTAGTAGATGGCTCATAGTAGGCACTACAAAATGTTAGCTATGATATGTGATAAGTGGATAACAACATGTTTTATCATCAATAAATGACGTTAAAATTCTAAAAACTATTGAAATGAAACATACTTTCTCTTAATAAATGTAAGTTTATTGGATTTAATCCTCTCCATAAAACTTAGTTTGGAGACCCTGTTTTAAAAATGCTCAGTCCACTTAAAACAAACTATGTTGCACGTATTTTCGTGTTTAAGTGTTAAAGTGGCGACTCTGCATCAAGGAATTATTTTCAGCAGACTGCATTGTCTCTCTTCTGTAGTTCTTTCCTGTGAAACTTCCTAATATCACAAAGATGAAATATGAACATATGGCTGAAAGTAAGAAATCGGCAACAAGGTCCCACATTCAGAAGATTGCAGCTGGAAGTATTTTTTCCTTTGCTTCCATTTCATCAAGTTATTTAACTTGAGAAAATGTTTATGAATGTGAATTTATTTTTTAAATTATGCATAATTTTCATCTCATGCCACTACATGACTTTGAAACAGTTTTATGTAGCTGGCAGTTTTGGTAGTTGTATTGTTGCAGACTGACCTGTAAGATTCGAATTTTTCTTTTCCGTAGTTAAAGCATGATCCCATGTCTCAAAATTAGGCAGCTGGTGCTTGTTTGTAAACCAAGGAAGGGAGGGCCTCCTTTCTTATTTTTGATCTACCAAACCTATGCAAAGTTTTAATGTCATCCCTGATGAAATATTTTTTAAGTGCATGCTTTAGGTTAGGCCTTGTCATGCATATTATACTATTTAATTATTACAAGAATCCTGTGTGAGAGGTATTATTTCTCTCAATTTTATAGATGAGGACCCTGAGTTTCAGTTTAAGTAACTATCCTACTATCACACAGTTGTTAAATAGCAAAGCTGGAATTCAGACCCATCTCCATCTGACTTCAAAACATATTCTCTTTCAGTTCCACCATGCTGTGCCTGTACTTTTAAGTGAAATATCATGAATATCCTGGATCAAAGAAGAATCTCTATATTGGAAGAAACACTTGACTTATTGAACAGAGTTTCAGAGGAATATACCCATTTAAATGCATTTACATCTTGCTTAAAGGCAGTACTTTCTGAGGGAACTGAAAATAAGCAATTAGATTTAATTCACTTGTAGGTGTACACCTAAGGCCATACCTACACCAGCTAAATAAATGGAGATTTTAGTATCTTTCACCAGGGAGCAGTAATATCTGTGTTGCCATTTTAGGAAATGTATAATCTTACAATATATTTCCATTTAAAACAGTATAGCAGATTAAATTCATTTCAGCACTGTATATCTCACATTTTACTATTTTATTGCAGTATTGTAATGACTTTATCTGCTTCAGTATAACATCTGAATCTTATAAAAAGGAACAGATGAGAAAATGGACACCAAATGCCATTTAAATCACCTTCATTTTGAAGAAATTGCTAATTTTTTTAATGTAAAAAATTATTTTTCCAGAAATAAAGCAATATTTGAAGATGAATAACAAGTATTACTGATAAGTCTTTGTATATATGGGAAAATAAGTAAAATAAACATACTGTCACAAATTACTTTTTCAGGCTCAGCAGAAATAAAACCAGAATCCAAAGAGGGAATACTTTATTATTTATGCAATTAATAATTTTTATATGAAAAATGGTTATTTTGCTAGCTTTGTAATTAATTTATTGATTGATAGTGAGTAAAAATATCGTAATGTTCTACAAATACGCAATACATATTTAAAAGAGAAATGCAGTCTTGTTAATTTTTAGTTCTTTGGTGGATTAGATAATTAGATATTCAGGATTATTTCTCCCCTTTGAATTGTATGAAACCTGAGGTGATAGATTTTATATTTGCTTCAGTTGTTGATTGTTTTTATCTATAGCGAGATGTGTTAAATCGTTTTGGTTGGCTTTGTTTTGATAATTATAAATTAATAGTTTAAGAGCTCTCAAGTGTCTGAATCCATATTCTTAAATATTTACAGTTGTCTCTTGAATAATGAAAGTTTGAACTGCATGAGTTCCAGAATTTTTTTCAATGAATACAGTTGGCCCCTCCCTATCAGTGAGTTCCCTATCCACAACCAAATGTGGACTGAAAATACAGCGTTCATGGGCTAGCTGACTTTTTGTATCCACAGGTTCTTCAGGGTCTACTGTGGGACTTGAATGTGCGTAGATTTTGGTATCCTGCAGGAGGTCCTGGAACGTATCCCCCATGGACACAAAGGGATAATTATTGAGATAATTATGAATTCACATGCAGTTGTAAGAAATAGTCCAAGGAGATTCCTTATATACTTTGCCAAGTTCCCCACAATGGTTACCAATTTTTAAAACTGTGGTATAATATCACAACCAAGATAGTGACATTTATGCCATATACCTATCTTATTCTAATTTTTTTCAGTTTTGCTTATACTTGTTTGTCTATGAGTGTGTGTGAATGTATGTGCATGTTGAATCTGTAATTTTAAAAATAACTTCTTGTTCTCAGGAAGTCAAGGTGGGTCATTAGGTTGTTACTAGTATCCAAAAAGATGTTTACTTGCTGTTTAAAGTGAACATTGAAATGCATAATTAAAGGCAATACAAGATCTTAGTGATATTAATAGACTGTTTAGTTTGATTTGCATTTCCATGATGAGAAGTTAAATTAAAATCTCCTGGATTAAAGTCGTCTGAAGAATTTACCTCTATCTCCTTTTAAGAGAAGCGAAATACAAGGCCGGGCGTGGTAGCTCACTCCTGTAATCCCAGCATTTTGGGAGACCAAGGTGGGTGGATGGCTTGAGTCCAGGAGTTTGAGGCCAGCCTGGGCAACACGGTGAAACTCCATCTCTACAGAAGATACAAAAATTAGCCTAGCTTGATGGCCCACACCTGTGGTCCCAGCTACTCAGGAGGCTGAGGCGGGAGGATCACTTGAACCCAGAAGGCAGAGGTGGCTGTGAGCCCATCATAACATAGAATCATAAATTTAGTATCCCAGGGGAATTTAATCATATGGGCTCTTCCTGACTCAACATGGATTACATAAAATCAAATCTCTCTCTTTTTAAAAATCATTTCCTTATTTCTATATTTGTAAGGAATTAAACCAATTGGAAGAGTATTAAAAAGGATCTTTAGTCTTCTGATTTTTAAGTGATGTATCTTTTCTTTCATTTATTACTTTCATGTCATCTTATCCTGTATAATTTAAGTCATCCTATATATTTTTGCAAATACTATCTTTCCTCCTTCTGTCCCTCCATTCCTTCCTTCTTTTGTGTATTCAAGTAGTATTTATTAAATCCTTCATTTTATTCCAGGCGTAATACTACATCTTAGGAACAACTTATTATTAGACATGATACTTTCCGTCATGAACCACATAACTTGGGTATAGTTGGCCAGACCTTAACGTTGACATTAGTCAGGCATGCACACACACATACATGCACACGCATGCTACAGTGCTGTAGATATTCTGATGGACGTTAGTGGGAAGGTAAATGGAAGACATGAACAATTCTAACTGAAGATGGCTGGTTATCAAAAGGTGTTTTGGAGGCCTGCCTTTTGATATCAGTTTGTTGATACTATACACACTATTTCCATATTGAGTTATAAAACTAGGAGCCTTTAGTTTTCTCAAATTAGTAAAATGCTGAAATAAAATAAAATATTACAAAATAAATTTCTTAATAATAGGATCACAAAAGCCTTAGTAGAATGAACAATTTAGAGAATGGTCAGTTCTAGTATGGGTGTTAGAATATTTATAAAATAAATGAAGATTTGTCACCTTTATTTCATACAGTAGAATATATTTACGACTAACAGTATTCTACATGAGGTCAGGTGCGCATTGCCATGATTTGTAATTGGAGTCTTCCTTACCCTCCCCTAATGATGTTGGCTTTTTCTTCCCTTGTAATTGATTATGTGTTTGTAAATTAATTTCTCTTAAGTGCTTTAGAATTTATTCTATTAAGTAGTCTCATTTCAAATCTTGTTTATATTATTCTCTTGCTTCTACCTCCTGTTTTAAACTTCAGCTCTGGCCCTGCCACCTTGATAATAATTTCATGCAACAAAGCTGAAACTGAAAAGGTTTTACTGTAATTTGATGTTCTGAAGAAAAGGAGGTCTAATGGTTCATGTAGTTGTGATTAAATATAAAGGTGGAAGTGTTTGCTTCTTCATGGACACAAGTTGGGTTTGCAGTATTGATTTAATAATCTTCAGCTGAGCAAAATTACTTAAGAAAAGTGACCCCCCAAATGCAAGATGATTACAGGGCCAGAAGCAAAGGTGATGCTCATTACATGTTTGTTCAGCAAATGAATAAATACATGGAGTGGTGAGAACTAAATTCCACATGTTCGTACACAGCTTGTTCATGGAACCATCTTTTTTATATATCATGGATTGGTAATAAGCAATGGTAAATACATTCATTGTGTAGTAGCCTTGATTTGCTTTTACTTTGTTGGCTTTGAGAAGTCAAAAGGGTGGATTAATAATTTACATTAAAAATGTTATTTTTTCCTGAGGATATGCTTTATTTAGGTTTAACATCCTTGGTTTAGAAGCTGAAATTATTAGAATGACAAAAATCATGATGATGATGATGTCAATAATATCTGCATTTTCACAGGATCCTAAGGAATAACCTTTGATTTTGATAGAGATATTTGTAAGTGTGAGGAGCTATAGTAATTAATATTTTTGAAAAAATAGTGGAGGAAATGCCTGTTTATATTTGAAACACTGCCAATTTTCCCATCAAGAAATTAGGATTGTCCCTGACTTTTTAATGTAATTGTCCATTATACATTTAATCATTGTTATTTGGTAGATCAGTGTTTGTTCAGAACTTCTGTTTTTTTGTAGTAGCCATCTCTCATGTAAGTTGGTGACTGTTGCTCTTCCTTAATCTTTATCAACTCTTCTCTCCCACATTGCCACCTATCTAACTGCAGTAATTTTATTCAAAGTGTTCTATTGAGTTAGAAAGAAAAAGGAGGTAATATATAAATCTACACTAAATAACTTAGAAAATATAAGGACTATATTCTCAAAAAATTAAGATTGTGCTAATTAATAAAGATGCTTTTGCTTCCATTTTGGTGGCTTACCATGGGCATTATTTTATTTCTTAATTGCTCCTCCTAAGTTTGTTGTGAAAGTGAGACCACATAGATAAAGAACTCAATATAATGTCTGCTATATTATAAGTACTTAGTAAATGCTGTAAGTTTTATCTTCATTATTTTAAAATTGAGAAGAATTGAGGAAGGAAATGGAAAAAAATCTAATGGCAGCCAGTAAGATGAATAAACATTTTCCATTGTTTTAAATATGGTTGTGCAAGTATTTTTTTTTACTAATGCATAAGTGCATTCCTTATTTTCTCCTTTCTGGAACTCTATAATATCAGGATAATGTCAGTGGAGCAGTTAATCCTGGTTATCTAGAAATGGAATGGGTGACCCACCTTTGATGTTGCCCTTTACAGCCACATACCTCTGCCTGGCTTAGCTATAAAGTAGGAAGTACCAGTGTGGGGTTACTGTGGGCTGAATGTCTCCATTACCTTTGGGGGTAGAATCAGCTCTGGGAGCTCTGTTCCTGTTTCCTTTTGGATTCAGTATGATCTTTTCTGCCTCCCTTTTTCTTCACCTGGAATGAAAGTGGTTCTAGGTGAAGGCTAGTACTAGATTGGCTAATTGCGATTATCAAGCAAATCTGCATGTTGAACGAGACTAGTTTTTATCCATATGTTTTATTTTCGTCTTTATTTATTCCCAATTACAAAACACTAAGATAGGCTGGGTGTGGTGGCTCACACCTGTAATCCCAGCACTTTGGGAGGCTGAGGCGGGTGGATCATCTGAGGCCGGGAGTTCAAGACCAGCCTGATCAACATGGAGAAACACCGTAAAAATACAAAATTAGACGGGCGTGGTGGTGCATGCCTGTAATCCCAGCTACTCAGGAGGCTGAGGCAGGAGAATCACTTGAACCTGGGAGCCAGAGGTTGCTGTGAGCCAAGACAGCACCATTGCACTCCAGCCTGGAAACAAGAGCAAAGCTCAGTCTCAAAAAAAAAAAAAAAACAAACCCAAAAACCACTAAGATAAAACTTATAACATGTATTGAGTTCTTACTATGTGCTCGACATTATACTGAGTCCTTTATCTATGTGGTCTCATGTTCATGACAAACTTAGGAGGATCAGTTAGGAAATTAAATTGATTCCACGGCAAGTAGCAACCAGTCGAAGGATCCAGAGTAAATATAAGCTAGTAGTGCTCAAGATGGTTAGCAAAGTTTTTCTAATATGGTCTGAATTATTGAATCCTAGGAGTATATAATTCCCACTTTTAATGATTTATGAAATCAATATAAGAATCTATAAAATTTACTTTAATAATGTCTCATATATTTTCTCCTTATTATCTACATATACAGTTCTTTTCCAGAATAAAAGTATCACAGTTTCCCTTTTTTTGGGGAGGAGGTCAGATTCATCATATCAGAAAATATAAAATTAGGACATTCATGTATCTGGTGGAGGACAAAATATTATAGATGGTTATTATAAATTGAAAGTAAGGTGCTCAAGCCTGTGTTCTTTGCAATGGCAAATCATTATTTTTACTCTAGCTAAGAATTGTGCATAATGATTTCCATATTGCTGTGCCTATTCCACTTCAACTCTACTCTTGCTATACATTTTCTACTTTATTCTGGATAACTGATATTTAAGATGAATAATATAAATAAATTAGAGGCCAGGCCTGGTGGCTCACACCTGTAATCCCAGCACTTTGGGAGGCCGAGGCGGGTGGATCACCTGAGGTCAGGAGTTTGAGACCAGCCTGGCCCACATGGTGAAACCCTGTCTCTACAAAAAATATGAAAATAGCCGAGCGTGGTGGTGGGCACCTGTAATCCCAGGTACTCAGGAGACTGAGACAAGAGAATTGCTTGAACCCGGGAGGCGGAGGTTGCAGTGAGCCAAGATCACACCATTGCACTCCAGCCTGGGTGACGAGAGTGAAACTCCATCTCAAAAAAAAAAAAAAAAAAAAAAAAAAAGAAATCAGAGTGTGTTTAAAGAAAGCTATACTTTAAATTCGTGGTTTTACTTAAGTCAGTGACTGTACAGAGGAAATCAGATGTAAGTGATATATTAACATATTTTGGTAAGTCATCTTTACATTTATACCTATCTTCTTTAGAAACAAAAAGATGTTTTGACAGATATACATAATTTCAAACATAATTTCTATCTTCTGATACAAAGATGTTTTGACAGATATACATAATTTCAAACATAATTTCTATCTTCTGATATTATTTATTAAAGTTTTTGGTGTTCGTAAGCAACATCTACCCATTTGCATGATGCAGTTTTACAAATATCCTTTAAATGTAATAACTTTTTGGCTATGTAAGTATTCTGATATATAGTCATGAAACAATAAAAATGATTTTAACCATGTGAAGTTTTGGTTTTTTTTTTAAAGAAAAGCAGTTGACTTCTTGCATCACATAGGTAATTTATATAATTGTGGTCGTTTCTGAGTGTCTGATTCTGCTTTCAGACATCACACCATTAGTTCTGAATGTGCTCATTCAGAACTTCACCAAGTAGATCATAGGAATAAATGGTGAAAAGAAACTCTTTGATTGTTAGGAACTATACACTGAGAGGACATGATAAATATACTCACCTCTCTGACCTTTAGTGCTGGAGGCGATAACTTTCAGGATCCTTATATTAATTTCAGGAGTTCATGTGAAATTATCAAAAAAGAGCAAAGTAAGTTTTTCTAATAAGAAAAATATTTTATAAGAGTAATATAATTTAAGTTAAAAGCAATTTAAAAGTCATTTTCCAATAATTTTTAGACTATTTTGTCCAAAATTAACATGTTTACAATATTGAACGACAGAAACTCTTACCATCAGTTATGATTTCATGGTCTTAAAACTGTTTTTTTTTACAACAAATTCCAGCAATTTGTTCCATCCAATCTGGCAGTGATTTTTATCTCAAGGCAACGTTCTCTCATTCATTAAACCTCTGCCTTACAATTTTATTGTAACATAACAAATGTGTTAAAATGCTTGACATTCTATTTGTTCATTTTTTGAAGACATTCTTTCTGATTTCTTAAAGGAAAAAGATGGTGTATATTGCTTTAGTCCTTTGCCAATCCTCCCTCTGAGATGCCATTCCTGATTTCTCCAGGTTGCCTTAGGAGATTTTTTTCCTTACTGGTAAAATTTTATCTTATACCTTCAGCAAACACTTGTTATATTAGGTCGTAATTATCTCACCATTAGAGTAAGTCACATAAGGAAAAAGTCCACATTAGATTCATTTTACATCTTCAGTATTCAGCATTGTGACTGGCATTGTAAGTGTTTAACAAATAATTTTGAATGAGTAAATATGTATTTAAGTAAAGTTCAGCTGGATATGATTTTATGAACAAAATAGTCCTGGGAATAGTACTGTCTTCAGAAGTCTGATACATGGTGGGCTATTGTAGGTCTATTGATCACACCTCAAATAAGCATATGTAAGGATTCTCTGTTAGGACCACTCCACAGCAAGAAACTATGCTCATGAGTGATAATATCAGCTTTCCTTCCTTCATTTCCTCCTCCTCTTCTTCTTCAAAATCTGCCATCTCTATACTCTATATTCATGTTGGAAAGGGAAAGATCCAGGGAAAGTGAGAGAAAGGAGAGGAGAAGACAGAGAAGAAGAATAACATATATATGGAACATATTTATAGTTAGCTTACTGGGCATGCTGAATGTGTGATATAGATGTATTTTACAAGTTGGTTAAAGCGAGGGCATGAGATTTTCTAGTTTGCAGTAGCTATGTACAATTTTGCATCAGGTCATTTCTGGAGAAAATGCTATCAATGCAAATGAAAAGATGGGGAGTCGTTTTGGTGTCCTTTACACTTGTTATTCTTGGGAAGAAAAGCTCACAAATCTTCTCTCCCTCCCTCCCTCCCTCCCATCTTCCTTCCTTCCTTCCTTCCTTCCTTCCTTCCTTCCTTCCTTTCTTCCTTCCATCCTTCGTTCCTTCTTTCCTTCCTCTATCTCTCTCTCTCTCTCTTTTTTTTTTAATTGAGACAGGGGCTCACTCTGTTTTCCAGAGTGAAGGGCAGTGGCACAATAACCGTTCACTGTAGCCTCCAACTCCTGGGCTTAAGCGATCCCCCAGTCTCAACTTCCCAAGTAGCAGGGACCACAGGCACAAGCCACGATGTCTGGCTAATTTTTTGTATTTTTTTTGTAGAGATATGGTCTCACTATGTGACCATGCTGTTCTCAAACTCCTGGGCTCACACAATTCTCCTGCCTTGGCCTCCCAAAGCACTGGGATTACAGACATGAGCCATTGCACCCAGCCTAAATGTATCATTTCTTAGGCTAGTAATGCATAATATGTCATTTAGTGCTTATTCTTCAGAGAAAATATTTAGTTATTAAATATACTAAAATACAACATTGAAAGTCTGATTATCAGGTGGAGAGAGGGGACTTCATTGTCTTAAACCAATGAATCTTACTAGCTTTCTTCTTTCTGAAATTTTTGGGACAGAAATGTAAAATGTTTTGTGAACTCTGACACTCACATCATAAGCTTGCCACCCTTAGCCCTGTGATGCTTTCACAGTGTTTTGTTTGTTTAATCTTTCCTACCACCTTACCTCCTTCAAAACTCACCCTGTGGCCCCGTCCTTCAGGCACTCACATTCTGCTTTCCAAATTGACTGGCAGCTAATCTTATAAATGAATCCACTCTAATGGCTGCTGATATGATAGTGGGTTTGAGGTCAATCCTTCCACCTAGTTAAGTTGTTACATTTTTTTGAAACAAGCAGTGTGATAAAATATGAAAGGGTCAGAAAACCAGAATTGGAGTCCTGGTATCACTACTAATTTTGTAACTTAAATCAGTCATTTTAGCTTTGAGCCCTAGCCCAATCAATATGATGATAAAAATTATACCTACTCTTTTTACTTCCTATAGCCCTACCAGGTAGAAAGCATTGTGGAGATATCTAGAAAGTTGCATGTAGGGAGAGAAAATACGTACAAATCACTCTTATAAGGAAGAAAGTGATGAAATGTATTAGAGTAAAAAATCACATACTTTGGGAATTCAACAGGAGCAATCACCTCTGAACTTCTGACAAGGAGAGGCTGTGTGAATCAGGGAAGTGTTCACCAGAGAATGGCAGATAGACTTCAAAGGATAGCTAGGGTTGAAACAAAACACTAATGATGGGTACTTCAATAAATACACCACACAGCTGAAGCCTCCAGAACATAGCAAGACTGAGTATGTACTGCACTGAAAACACAGAGTGTCAAGGAGTCTGCTTTTGGGTAAATGCTTCTCATCAGTTATGTGTAACTTAAGAATATATGCAACCGTGAAGATATGCGATTGTTAATCAGAGACTCCAGAATGACTAGGAAATGGCTGCAGCATTCTTCAGCTTTAAAAAGGATACTTTTGGAGGTATTTTCTGAAATGAATAATATTTTCAACAATATAAATTCAAACTGTAGAAATAAGCAACTTTGTGCCAAATTATAGCCTATAAGTGAGATCTTTCTATCGACTAAGGCATTTTTAAAGTAAATAAATATATAGTATGTTTATTGAAGATGCCACACTGTAAGAGAATTTAGTGCGTGGCACAGTTAACACTTTAATGTTTAGTACTGCATAGGACTTATTCTCCTAAATTTTGGGATCTGCATCACAGTTTCATAACATATTTAGATATTATTTGAAGTGTGCTGGCAGTAGTATTGAACTCAAGGAATGAACTCAAGTATCCTAGGGTCTATATTCATTGGTTATATGTTACATTTTTATTTCTTTATGGTTCTGTTTTCCACTCTATTTTTGAACAAACTCTTTTTAAAGACACATGGTACTTGTTATACTTGTTCTCTGAATAAAAATTTAAAAATCTGTAATGGAATTCTACTTCAGACCAGTCTTCTGAACATTTCTATTAGGGAATGAGAGTACCTCACAGTGTAGTATGAGCTCCCTGGGTTAGACTGAAAGGTTTCAAAGTAATGCTTTTATTTTTCCCTTGTCATTTATTCATCTGTCAAATCATTCTGCCATCCTTTGGTTTTATAATTTTGTGACCTAAAAATCACCTCTCCACTCCCAGCTGGAACCTCCTGAAGATCTTTACTTCCAGGCAAAACTCATTCTAATCACAACTGAAGTCTAACAATATTTACCTGTCAAAGCTTATCAGTATATTTCCTTTCATCTCCAACTATACAATCTCATCATGTTACAATACATGACCATATCTTGGTTTGTTATAGATATCAAGCTAACACAGGATCTAGCACGTCTACAAACAAACAAGTATATGTGATTGTTAAATATCAGCAATGACTTGTGATAAGTTCTAAGTGAATTATCTTCTTCTAAATTAACGACAGCAGCCTATGAAAAGCAGGCAGTTTTAACAGACTACGTGTTGACTAAATAAATAAATAAATGATGTTGATTGACTAAATTTAGTGCCATAAATATCAATGAGTTCTATTGATGTTCTTTAAAAATTATTTCTTCCTATCTTGTCATCGGACAGGATCAATAGTTGATTTTTATCTTGTTTCTTCTTTGGAGTTTTTCCTCCTGGAGAAAAACACACCTTCTCTGACCTGTACTCTTCATGGACGGACCTTTCTGTGGCCCTCCAGCTGGTAGACTGACTTTTAGCTGCTGCACATTCCACTGCTGTTTCCTGTGCTTGCTAGCCAAGTCCTCTTACTTCCAAGATGATACCCCCACTAACTGGAGCTCCCAAAACATAACCTTCCTCTGTTTCTTCACATTTGGATCAGGAAGTAGTATCAGGTCAGCTGTGACACGGGATGTTGTCTAGAAGGTCAGGGAAGGTTTCTGGCAGCAAAGAAGCACACTGTGCCAGGCTTCTTGAGCAAAAGAGTGGTGACCTGCTCCCTCCCACTCAACTTCCAGCAGCTGAAAAGTCTCCAACGACCACAGCTCCACCTTCTAATGACTTTTCCGAACATTTGCAAGAGCTAGTCACACTCCAGGTGAATATTTTCAGACACCTGGGATGGGCTGTTTCTTCCTGTTTCTTTGTTCATATAAAAAGACTTTAGAGCAAAGGGCAGAATATGGCAATTTCTTTCTCCCAACCTTGAACATGGCCTCTGAATATAAAACTTATTTTGTATGCAGTGATGTAAGTGAAGGTCTTCTAGTTATTTCATGGTGGGTTTTTCAGATGTTCTTTTTTTTTTTTTTTTTTTTTAAAGACAGGATCTGGCTCTGTCACCCAGGCTGGAGTGCAGTGGCACACCTGTAGTCCTTGATCCCCCCCGGGCTCAAGCAATCCTCCCACCTTAGCCTCCTGAGTAGCTGGGACTACAAGCTCATGCCACCACACCTGGCTAATTTTTATATTTTTTTGTAAAGACAGGGTTTTGCCATGTTGCCCAGGCTGGTCTTGAACTCCTGAGCTCAAGCAATCCACCCTCCTTGGCCTCACAAATTGCTGGGATTACAGACGTGAACCATTGTACCCAGCCCATGGTGTTGTTTTTAAAAACACTTAGAATTTTCTGTTTCATTACCAATAATATTACTGCCTACCCACATATTTCGTCTTCTCTATTTCTCTATAATAAAAATGACAATTGGAAAGTTTCAATGGTCCTTAAGATAGAAAGAATAACCTGTCTCAGAATAAATCCTTAAGACCAGCCAGAATAATAAGGTAAAAGGTTCCTGAGTTTGTAATATATGTCAATATTTGGTAGCATATAAATGTAAATTTGCTTCTTATATGATGCTGTACACATTGATTTCTATGACTTTTTAGAAACTATAGCCAAAGAGAGCATTTTGCATTCTTGAGAAATACAGTAATTTTACTCTAGGTTTTAGACCATTCCAGTGTGTTGTGTTAGAGTTTTTAGGTACTGAATTCATCGCATGAAAAGGGAATGTTTCTATTTTGCCACCACCATTATGTTATCTTTTCCAGTGCAATTACAAGCTAATTCAGTGCTCTTTGTGTTGGACTAATAGCTTCTGATTTGCTGCTGTCACCCAGTACCTCCTCATGCTCTTTTAATACCATCTGCAGTGCCCCCAGCACTTACCTAGGGTGAGCATTTTTCTCTAAGTAGAGACTCATCTTTGGCAAATCATTAATGGAACATCAAAAAGATCCCATCTGTTAGAGTTACATATGGCTAAGATCAGAATTATCAAGTATCTCATTTTTTCTTTATTCCCTTTTTCTTTTTTTCCTTTCTTATCCACACAATAAATGTAGTTGTCAGCAGGATAAGTTCATGCGCCGGATAAGGTCACAATTTCATTTAGTGACAACTTCCAACAGTAGGAACTTACAAGGTTCGATTTATTAAAGAGTCAGAAGGGATAAGATCACTGCATGGCCAGCCTGATTTATCAGGGTTTGACTAGAGTACTTGAATAGGGAACGTCGTATTTCAAGTTTATGTTCAAAACTGTAGTTTAGTATTTGTTGTGACTGTATGACTCAAACATTGAGAAGGAAAATTAGAAAAAGTATCTCTATAAGGCAATTTGTAGTCACCAACCAAGAACTATCATTTCCTGAGCCAAACCATGCTTAGAGATGGATCAATATAGCATAATATAAATGGTGCTATTTGTCTCAAAATGCAGATGAAACATGGTTATTAATGCCTGAGGAAACACACATAATGGAAAGACTGCAGTTTGGCTGTGAAGATAATCAGCAGTGAAATGATCTAACCCTCTTAGGTATCTGGCAGGCAGCTGTCAAATGGTTAAACCATAAAATAGCAAGAGCTCTGCCATACTTCAGCCACCTTGGCTGACTTTGAAAATGTTTTGAGATTTTTAGAATCTTTGAGTGCTTTTTGAACTCAGCATGACTTCGGGGCTGTCCATGTTTGATACCATGATGTATAATGTCTTCCAACCATGAAGAAAATATAAATATGGGTTCTGACGCTATAGCCTTCTGCTATACTATGGCCTGATAAATATTGTGAGCTAATTCATGTGGTCTGCTTTAAAATTTGGTTGTATATTTAAAACCAAGTTCAAACCAATCCGAATTGTATTTTCAGCAAATGCAATATGATCTTCTGTCATCTCATTTACTTGCAGCTATGTCCTATGAAATCTGAGCCTTGAGTTAAGGGTCGTTCTGTAATTACCTTATATGTTTATATCATCAACTTAATGGTGAATTCAGGTGAAGCATGATTGCTGGTAACTATTCTAAAAGACTCATATCTGTCTGTTCCCCTTTGGTGTGCTACTATGTTCATATCCTTTGCTTTCTAAAGAGGCATCAAAAAGACCATATTAAAAAAATACAATGTCTTGATAGCACTTTCAAAGAAAAAATATTTGAGGGTGTCTCTGGTGATTTTAAGTATTTCTCTCCACCAGTGAATTTCTTTTATTTAGGCCAAAAAGTGGGTTGATATTTTAAAAAGCTGTGGGATGTTTGGTAGTGATTTCTGACTTAGGGCCTTTTTTTTTTTAAGTTAAGCTATCATAAGTCTTTGAGTAATCACAGACTTTTAAAAGTATGCATTATCAAGAAGATAAGAGAAACAGCCCTGAGCACTAACAATATTATCTTTTACCAAAATTGATTAGTCCGTCCTATATGCCTCAAATATTTTCTGTGAACTTACCCAGCATGTTAAAAAATCAGGCTTCTTTTTGAAGAATAACTGCAAAAATATGAACTGGGCAGAGAAGAACATTTTTTATTTTTTTATCCCACTCCGTATTCTATAGATGAGGTAATGTATGTGAACGCATTACATAGAAGGTTGAACAAGTGAAATGGATGCTTGTTGTAATACAAAGAGCAGACACATATTAAGACAACTCTCTTTTGTCTCCAAAAATCAACTTCAATTGTACTAAAATTGAGATACGTCGTATCATCAAGATTTTCATCCCATCAATTGTGTTCCATTTGTATTTTTCAAATATCATGTGTCACAAACTCTATTAATTACCAGGGAATAAACAGAATTATTAAAGAAATTTGTAGATTAAAATGTTTATGTTTCTGTTGAGGTGAACTACATTATCAAGGAGAAACCTACTAGGGAATAATTTAATGCAAAACTGTATGATATTGGACTATAAATGCAATGGGAGTATTAGGGAAGAAAAATTCGGTTTTCTCTAGAATTCAGAGAAGGTGCATGAAGGAGAATAGCTTTGGGCTTGACCTTGCAACATTAAAAGGGTCTATTAAGGCAGGCAGAAATAGGATGTGTCTGCCAGATAGCGGGAACCATTCTCAGAAAGTTATGGGGGAGCTAAACTGGAGATGAGGAGGAATGGAAGGAGAAGAAGGCTTTTTTGACTGGAGGGAAGAACACATTTGGGAGAGCAGTAGAACGCAAGAGTCAGGCAAATACTGTGGAGCAGTATCAGTGGTATTAAAATTCAGGCAGATATGTTCAATTTGGGATGGCCAAGAAGTAGCTAGTGAAGGAACTTGCATAAATGGGTAACATGATGAAAGTGGAGTTTTAATCAGTTTATCCTGGCAGAGATTTGAAACCTGAATTGGAGCTGTAGAATGAATTGAGGCTGGTGGGTTGTCTACATCTGAGTTGATGAAAACCTTAAAAATGCTGATAAGAAGGGTGAATCCAACAGCCAATGGAAAAGAAAATTAGTCAGGATATGAGGAGTGATTTGGATAAAGGTGACAAAGAGGGCACGTGACCACAAGCAGACATCAATGAATGGTTGGATGTGATAATGGAAGTATATGGACATGCTCTTAGAATTCTTCAATTTCTTTTTGGTGAAGTAGCAAATATTTATCAGGTACTTTGCCTTTGCATATTGTTAATCCTCACAGCAACCTTTTTAGAAAGCTATTGCAGTTCCCACTTTGCATGCAGAAACTGAAGTTCAAAGGGTTAGGTAACTTGCTAAGGATCACATGGCTTATTACAGTTACTCTTCTCTCATTCAATTGTGAACCCATTCCAGCGTGTATCCCGGTCTACCACTTTACAAAACTCCTTTCACTCCAAATACCTGTGATTGCCATCTCATCCAAAGGAATCTTTCCAGTTCTTCCCTTCCCCCTTCCCTTTTCCCCCTTCCCCCTTCCCTTCCCTTCCCTTCCCTCCCCTCCCCTCCCCTCCCCTTTGACAGAGTCTTGCTCTGTCACCCAGGCTGGAGTGCAGTGGTGCGATCTTGGCTCACTGCAACCTCTGTCTCCCATATTCAAGCAGTTATCCTGCCTCAGCCTCCCGAGTAGTTGGGATTACAGACATGCACCACCACAACCAGCTAATATTTGCAGTTTTAACACAGATGGGGTTTCACCATGTTCACCAGGCTGGTCTCAAACTCCTGACCCTCAGGTGATCCAATCACCTCGGCCTCCCAAAGTGCTAGTATTACAGGCCTGAGCCACCATGTCTGGCCTCTAGTTCTTTTCTTACTTTCATAAATTTTCAGATTCCTTGATTGATTCCCCTCTCCTTCAAATTCTCAATCAACCCCTTGGTGTCTATGGTACTATATCCAATTTCTTTTCTATGTCTCTTGCCAATTCTCCTAAAGTTTCTATGCCTATTCCTGCATCACTATGCCTTTGAAGGTCTTTAGAATTCTGTCCTAGGTCTTCTTATTTATCATGATATACTCTTTAATCCTATGGCTTGTATTACCATATACAAGGTGGTTTTAATTACTGAATAAATGCCAAGACCTTGCTTCTAGTTAAGACCTTGCTTCTGGGCCCCAGGCCTATACTTGCCTACCTAAAATCACCTATTGCCTTCTTTATAGCTACTTTAATATCAACATTACCAAACTATAACTCCTTATTTTACTCTTAATTCTTGCTTTTCTGTGTTCTTCTGTCTCAACAGGAACATGGCCATTGGCTCATGTGCCTAAGTGAGATACCTGTGTAACATTCTAGGATTCTCTCTGCCCTAAGTTCTAAAATCTGAACAATCACTAAGTTCTATGACTTTTACTTCCCAAGCCATATGGATTTTATTTCATGGATTCATCCAGGTTCAGGCTTGTTTTGTTTTTTGCTTTATTCTTTGGCCTAACACACTGTCTGGTACTTATTTATAAGTACCAATAAATATTTATAAAATAAATGAATGAATAAACGAATGAATGAGGCATAAAGGAATAAATAAATCAAATAAGAATTGGAGCTTTTCCATCTTATTTCAGAATATCTAATCTTTTCAAGTCAAACATCCATCCTCTGATAAAGTGGTTCGGGGACTTAAGTCTGTGACCCACCAGCCCAGTGCCCTTCTACTTCTCATAATATGTTGTATGTAGGGAAGGAAAATCATGCTATCATGGACTGTCAGTGTTGAAAAACAGCTTAGCAAGTTGTGAGTGAGTGCAAACCACTCTTTTAACAGTGACAAACCAAACACTCAGGAAAGATATAACTTATTTGAGGCCGTTCAGCTGGTTATTGAACAGAATTGGTGTAAAAATCTTACTTTTAGTGCAGTAATCTTTCCTCTATTTCATAACACCTATTAATTTTTGGAAAAAAAATAAAATATCATACTCTTAAGCAATATGTAAGTTAAATGTAACTTCCCTTTATACAATGTTTTGTTTCTTTTGCTATCCTTAACCTATGTAACCTTGGTAGAATATACATGCTAATTATTTGCGCTATGCTTGCAGTTTTTAGAAATGCTATTGTGAATAAATGAATATTTTTATTTAACTGTTTCAGCATAAGAAAGGATTTTCCTAAACCCTGAAATAACTTGTTGGCAAGCAAGAAAGGAGACTGGGGTATTCTTGCTTGTCTAGTAAAGTTGAAAAGATTGACTTGATATTTTGAACAGTTACTGGACTTTCTGTTGTGGCCATATTTAAGAGCTTGTAAAAGTATTTTTGGTCTGCTTAAAATTTTAATGGATAATCAAAGACACTTCAGAAACTTTGGAGACATTTGGATATCACTTTACAATCTGCCCCAAGTTTGTAGTTCTTAATCCATTAAAAGACAGAGCTGCTTGTAAATCCACAGGTATAGATAAGGAGTCACTGTTTACTGAGTCCAAACCCTTTTCAAATGAAATATGTCAGTGGCAGAAAGAGAGGATGAATTACTTTTTTAAAGGGTTTTCAAAGATTCTCATGATTCCTCTGGTATCACTTAAGTGTGACATGACTGGTTTTTTAGTGTGTAAAAAAGCAAATTATTTGGGTATATTTTTATGTAGAAAAGAAGATTTTTTAACTTGTATTTAGCTGAGAGATTGAAATGTATTTTATTTTAAATGGTAAATTGTAAATAAACTGTTTTAAATGTAAGTAAGTATGGTTGAAAAAAATACTGAGAACTCCTAGCCAATAGAAATTAAACAGTTTATTTTCAAATAAGAAAATTATCCTAAATATTTCAATAAAGAAAGTGAATATGCATATATTGAGTCGTGTTGTCCCACTGATTCCTCTCTGACATCAGAGTAGATTGTTATCTTTGTGCTCTGTCTCTGAGGGTGTTTCTATAAAGGGTCTGTCATTCCAATGCATTAATCAAAAAGATTGCACAAAGATGAAAAACATTTTCAGAGGAAAATCTCATAAATGGATTTGTTATTCTGTATACAGAAAACAAATTATTGTCTTTCCATAGTTTCTGGACACTGGATAAGCATCAGGATCTAGTACTTAGGCATTAATATGTTATTTACTATACGTATTCTATTTATATCTTTCAGACATTCGGACTTATTGAATCTTTCTGGGCTCATTTTCCTCACTGCTGATCATCATTAGCTGTTGATATACCAGAATTTAAAAAGTTGGAGAATGTGTATTTGTCTTAATTTAATGTGTTCTTCAATTTTCAGTGTATTTTTCAAGTGGTAAAGAAAGAGTATGAGAAGAAGGGTGAATGAAAGTGTTGTCACTGAATTTAAATTTTTGATTGGGAACATGAAATTGTTATGAACATTGCATCTTTATTGCTCAGATATAGATAAATTTAAATTTTACCATGGACACAATTTAACCACTACCGAAATATTTTAGCTGATTGTAGTTTATATACTTCAGTTTTGGTTTTCAGGATAAGCAATAATGAAAACATGAACAATAATGTCTGGTATTTAAACTATTAAAAGGAGGTGACACTAAATAGAGAAATAAAGAAGAGATAGAATTGAACTCAGGTTGGCAGTGTTTCTTTTTGAAAAAAAACTCAAGATTGAATCTATGTATTTAAAGATAGCTACTAACTTGAAAAGAAGCTAAAGCGAGATTAAGGCAACAATTTCATATGTTACCTGTCATGACATATAGCATTTAGAAAATGTTATTACTAGGCCAGGCGCGGTGGCTCACGCCTGTAATTCCAGCACTTTGGGAAGCCGAGGAGGGTGGATCACCTGAGGTCAAGAGTTTGAGACCAACCTGACCAACATGAAGAAACCCTGCTCTACTAAAAATACAAAATTAGCCGGACCTGATGGCGCTTTGCCTGTAATCTCAGCTATCTGGGAGGCTGGGGCAGGAGAAACTCTTGAACGCGAGAGGCAGCCTGGGCAACAAGAGCGAAACTCTGTCTCAAAAAAAAAAAAAAAAAAGAAAGAAAATATAAGTACTGAATATATTCTATTCTATTTTCCTCAGCTTTCTATTCTATATGGATTTTCAGTGACATTAAAATTGACGCAAAAGTAATTGTGGTTTTTGCCATAGTTTTGCACCAACCTAATATTTCTTTCTGTTTCATTCCTTCATATTCTCATGTCTGCTGTTGATCAGGCTGAAAATAAATAACATTAAAACACAATGAAGTTAGGTTACTGAGATAAAATTTTTAAAATATAAACATTTTAGTATGGTGATATGGCATGGTAATACTCTTTGGGGAATAAATATCCTAGATATAATTATTTTAAAGACAGGCTGCAAGTCCTGATTGTGATTTTTTTTCTACCTATCCCAAACAACATTTAAGCTATTGGCCGTTTTTTTTTTTTTTGAAATTTTGAGGCCCTCTTTTATTTATTTGTATATTATTCCATTCATTTATTTCTTAAGCAAGCATTTAATGAATTCTTACTTTATGCAAGTGTGTATACTGTCTTTACTTCCTATTTCCCTTTATAGGTTCCAAAATATTACTCTGGAGTAAATGAAAGGAAGAAGACCTTCCAAAGCTGGTTATTTCTAAAGTATTTTTTTGGTACAATAGAGTTCTATTCAGTATACCAAATACAGAAAAACAAGTAAAAACTCCGTCTAAACATTTTTTATTTGAAAAACATGCCTTGCTATATATTGTACATGTAGCCATTTTACCTATTGAAACTGGTAGTCAATTTCAGAAAATTACCAAGTACTTCAAAAACTCTCCAGATATTGTTGTTTGACAGTCTTGAATAAATACAAGAATTTTAGCACAAAATGATTGTCCTACTGTTTCTTGTCTACCTGTTTTGGCATTGGATCAGTGCTTTTTAAGGGAGTGTTACTGTTTCTGGTTCTTAAAGACTTAACTAAAAAGAATTGGCTTCAGTAGATGATGCATGTGAAAAGGTGAAAGGAAGAAATTGGACTAAATTTGAATACAATTTATAAGGACAAGTTTTATTTTCCTCTCAGGTTAAGATGAGTTGTTTTTCAGACAAGCATAATTAATTCTCTTTATATGAATCCTGAGAATATCATGTGTGTAAAGCAAACACACAAAAAGAGGTGGCTGCTGATAAAGTACAAGTAAGTATTCTAAACACTTCTGTTCCTTTGTCTGCAGGAGAGCTGGAGGTGTTTCAGAAAGATGGGGAACGAAAAATTCAGAGTCGACAGCAACTTCCAGTGGGAACAACCTGGGGGCCGTTTCCTGGGAAGATGGACTTGAATAATAATTCTTTGGTATGTGGATATTCCGAGATGGTTAATATTTTGTCATCGACTGTTAGTATTTTGCCATAGCTCAGAAATTCTCTCTGCTTGCTTTCCAATGAAATCACTAAAAATAACCATTTGTTTTTGCTTTTTCGTGGACAGCAAAACTTGGATACTTTTCAAGTGGTTTGTGTCTGACAGTAATATACGCAGAATTTAGACAGAAACAGGTTACTCATACTAAATTGTGGCTAGTAAGGTAATATGTAAGGTTATTGCTTTATCTGCTTAGCCAGACCAAGACTGTTCACATTTAGTAATATATAAAATTGCCTTTATTTTTCAGATGACACAAATTGTCATCCATTACAGGTTTTCATGAAGAACAAGAAATAAACAACTTTGTTTTTCCTTGGTAATACTGTTTGTACCTTTAAAAGCAGGGATGAGTGGTCAGCATTATAATTTTTGTTATTCAGCTTTTTTGTAAAAGTTCTGAGAACAGAAAGTCTATCTCTTGCCATGATTATGTGGATTATTGATTAATTAGATGTTTTAAAAGTAATGGAGGCTGGGCACAGTGGCTCACTCTTGTAATCCCAGCACTTTGGGAGGCTGAGGCAGGTGGATCACTTGAGGTCAGGAGTTCGAGACCAGCTTGGCCAAACATGGCGAAACCCATCTTTACTAAAAATACAAAAAAAAATTAGCCAGACATGGTGGCGGGTGCCTGTAGTCCCAGCTACTCGGGAGGCTGAGGCAGGAGAATTGCTTGAACCCAGAAGGCAGAGTCTGCAGTGATCCAAGATCGTGCCATTGCATTCCAGCCTGGGTGACAGAGCAAGACTCCATCTCAAAATAATAAATAAATAAATAAATAAATAAATAAATAAATAAATAAATGGAAAGGTAGGTAGTTTGGTTACATTTAAACTTTATTTCTTAATTGGATATATAAGTTTGCTATTCCTGCCTCAGCAACTCACCACAAACTTTGTGCCTTAAAACAACATAAACTTATTATCTTGCAGTTATGGAAGTCAGAAATCCAAATTGGGTGTCACTGGGCTAAAATCAAGGTGTCTGCAGGTCTGAACTCCTTTTCGGATGCTTTATAGGAGAATCTGTTTTCTTCCTTTTCCAGTTTCTGAGGGCTGCCCGTGGCCCTTCCCTCATAGACCCCCTTCCATCTTCAAAGCCACCAGGGCCTGATGGTGTCTTTCGCACGTCCACATTCCATCTCTGACTCTTCTGCTTCCCTCTTACACATTTAAGGATGCTTATGATTACACTGTGTCTGCCTGGGTCGTCTAAGCTAATTTCTCTATTTTAAGGTCAGCTGATTAACACTCTCAATTCCATTTGCTTCCTTCATTTCTCTTTGCCATGCAAAGGAATGTTCGCAAGTTCTAGAGGTCAGGATGTAAACATCTTTGCAAGGAGCTATTCTGCCTACCACATGGGATAAAAGAAAAACAATAGCTGAAAACCTCTCTTATAATAAGTGATAACACAGGTGATGAAATTTGGGAAGAAAAATGTTTCATATTCCTTAGAGGATCCAGAAATTTTATAAGTATTTATTCCCCTGAAAGTCCTTCTCTCTAAATGCCATTTATGTAGGAACAGTCTTGTGACTTTTAAATGACCCTATCTATGCTAAAGGGACATAAGAACTCCCAGAGGGGTTTCGACAGGTGTACTGGGTTCAGCAACATTACATTCCTTTTTTGATTTATTACATGAAGGAAATCCCTTCTTCAAGTTATTACATGAAAGAAATTGATACATGTGGATCTCCGTTTATTCAGTACCATGTGGATGTGACAGAGGTTGTTGGTTCAACTAAAAGTAATGATTAGAATAAATAGGAAATATTTGTGTTACCAAACTTTTAAAGAGTGCATGAGATCCCAGGGGTATATTTATTACTTTGTACATTCATGTATTTATCCATAAAAGGATGAAGTAGGGGTTTTCACATACATTTAAGGACCAAACAAGTTGACCTTACAGTCCAGACCAAATATTTAATATTCTGGGCAATTTGTTCTAGGTGGACCAGTGCAGCTACTTCAAAAGAGATTTGTGATGTAGCCACAAAATGCAGGCCTCAGTTGATTGAGTTGTATTAACAGATTGTTTTATTGATTCCTTTCAGAGAGCAATATTAACTGTGCCCATTTCTCAAGCTAATGAATGTTAAGAAAGGCAAGAGAAGGATTGTCTAAACATCAAAGATTGAATTAAATGCTATTCTGAACTTATTTTATCTGGGAGTTTCTGTTTGTCTTCTAGCATTGCTTACTAAACATTTTAAACTATATCATATTTATCTTATTTATCACAGTGTATCAGATACCAATGCAACCTTTAATCATTTGTATATTTCTTCAAAAGTGTACTGACACTGTATCAGCTATAGTTGACATGCAAGATGAACATTTTCCAGTTTACTATATTAAAAGGATATATTTACTAAAATGCTATTTTTGATTAATCTTGCTATTACTCTCTGTATGTATACAGAATGGTAGTTTTATGACATTTTTACCATATGCTAAATCGTGATGGATAGAAGATAAACCTGTCTGAGAAAGTTTGATTTTTTTATTTTTCATTGAAATAATTTCTGATTTTAGACAGTTGATGTCATTTTGCTATTTTAATAGTTCTATATGACTGTAAAGCTATTTTATGCCATATTTAATATTTTTAAAAGGCGTTAACTTATATGAAATTTTCAGAATTTTTGATACTATTTAAAACATGACTACTCTTAAGTTTATCAACAATTGGGTAATGGGTGATTATTATTTATAGAAAACAATTTTAATACTTCAGTTTTCTTCTTTTGTCTTAGGCTTTAAATATCAGATTATTTTATTTAGTTAAAATACAGCATTTTTCCTTATTTTAAAATTTAGTTGCCTCACTAAAATATATTTTCAAATGTTTTTCTTTTGAAATAACATCCTCTTCCAAAATTTACTTCTGAGTTTATATCATTAAATACTACTAGTATTATTATTCCTACTACTGTTACTACTGTACATCAAATTGGTTAACATATATGTCTGAAAAATGGAAATAGATTAGCTCATTTAGTCCTCCAAAAAACCTGTGAATTTGGTTCTATCATAAATCATATTTTACAGATAAGAAAATAAAAATTCTCACTTCTGATTCGAGAGTCTGCTTTTTTAAAGACTCTGCCACACTGCATTCTCAGTATAACATCTGTAACATGATTTGAGCATGATAAAATTGTTGATGATTTCTTAACATGAATCATAAATTTATAAAAATCTCTGGGAGGAAGTATGCAAAAATTAGAAATATACCTTTTTTTCCCCGATGGGCAAAATATTTATTATGTAATTAGACTACTTGAGCAGTTAAAAGTTAATTCAAAGACTTCTGGAGTTTTGTTACCTCTCATAATTTGGACAGTACTATAATATGTATTTGAAATCATAAATATTCCTTATAATAAAATATATAGCCTACTACCCCTTCCCTACCCAACCTTGAATCAAATTTGGATTAGCGCACTCTCTTAAATTGCTTATTCGCCAACTGATGTAATGTTACTCTGCTCAAACTCATGGTGTTGGCTCGGGAGATTCAGCTCACTAATTAATCCAACACAGTAATTAATTGAGTCACCATGCCAGATGTCAAATCCTTTTTATATCTTTCAAGTCCCCATCTTCAAGTACATTAGCAATATGCCACCTTCTGCAGGAAGCCTTTGCAGACCAGGCATTTAGATGTATATAGAACATTTTAAAAAACACAGAAACACCAAACAAATTAGTTTGACAAAAAGTTGTTCTTGGAATTATATAACACACTGAACATAGAAATAGAGTATCTTTTGTCCACACCTTATTATCTTGGTAGATACTTCATGCTTTAAAAGTTTTATAATAGCAGCAGCAGCATAGTAAATACTTTCATTGGGCCAGATACTGGTCAAAGTGCTTTACATGTTTTATATCATATTTACTTCTTACACAAGTGCAAGAGAAGATAATATTTATCTCCTTTGTTGCAGAGGCGTAAACTGCTACTTTGGGAAGTTAAATAACTAGCCTAAGGTCAACTCAGTCTGATTCCATAACACATGCTCCAGTCTTAGAAATGTTTTCTGTGATGTGGTAATAATAATACTGCCTAGCTTATAGGAATTTTGGACTAAATGAGATAGCATATGTGAGTTATCCACACATTTCAACTACTTTTACTAGTCAGTAATCTGTGGAAGTGAACCCATTGAAATCTTTCAACTTTAAAGCAAAAAGCACTCTTTAAATTAAACAAGTAACACTATAAACCTTGGCGTTAGGGGATTTTTACATGCCTAAATTTGACTGTTTGCCAAGGGCTCTGTCTTAGGATTCTCCAGAGAAACAGAACAACAGGATGTGTACGTATATAGCCAGAGATTTGTTATAAGGAATTGGCTTGTCCAGTTATGACGGCTGGGAAGTACAAAATCTGCAGTACTCAGTCAGATGAGATACCCGGGAGAGCCAGTGGTGCAGATGAAGTTCGATAGCGGTCTTTGGGATATTTCCTCGTCTGCAGGGAGGCCAGTCTTTTTGGTCTATTCGGGCTTTCAGTTGATTGGGTGAGGCCCATTCATATTTTGGAGGGCAGTCTGTTTTACCCAGAGTTCACTGATTTAAATGTTAATTTCATTCAGAAACGCCCTGTGAGTTGGCAATTAAAATGAACCATCACAGGCTCCGAAGGTCTGCACTACCTTGCAAGTTTCAGTTTTTTGAGGTATGACCTTATACCCCTGAAAAAATTGATACCAGTGAGGGAGCCCAGCTTTCTTTCCAGCATCTCACCTCATATCTCAGAAATAACTTATATTAAATACTATCATGGTAGCACAAACTTGGTGTTTTTGAAAGTTTTGCAGTTTTATTCACTGAAAAAAAATCAAAGGACTACTGATGAGGAAGAAATTTTAAAAATCACCTTAAGTTCTGATCAATATCTGGTTTGGATGTGTTTTAGAACATCTATGTTTATATGTTGTACCTTTGAAGATTTTCCCCATATTCTCCCAAGGACAAAGATCCTTGCAATAAACTAAATCTCAGCTGTGCTAGCACGTGGTAGTGCTTAGCAAGTATCAAGCAACAGTGATTACTTGGAAGGTTGGGTGTCTGAAATTTAAATGGCGTTTGCCCTCTCTTGCTTTTAAATATTATCAACTGTTGATAGCTAACTATTCTGATTGGATTCAGCCAACTGCTGGAATCATACAACATACATAGTTAATTAAATAGAAAGCCCCAGATTACTTACAACATAATAGTAAACTCATCGCAACCTGTTAAATTCAACAAATGAAATTTGACAGAGAAATCTCATTTTATTCTGTTCAATCAGAATAAAATGTATTATTTTCCCACAGGGTATTTGTGATACTGAATTTTTTTTAAAAAAATGAAATATACATATAAAGGGCACTATAGATATTTTGTTGACCTAATAATGAAATAATGCATGTATCAAATTGCATCTTAAAAGTTTTAAGATAGTCATCTTTATAGAAATGTGGTTAAGGAAAAAATTAGAAGTTCCTGATCTACCTGCTTATAATTAGAATTATTAATTGCCTCCATTTATCCCTTTGCAGTTTTATCTTTTCCAGTATTCATCTTTTATCTTAATAATTGCTAGTCTTCAAGCTTCATATTGTACATATCCTGTAGCAAATATATCTCTACCTATGTCTCCAGCATTCACCTCTATAGGCAAAGGCTGCTCAGTGGGCACACCTGTGACTTTTCTACCTGAGCACTTTTTTCCAGCGTTAAGAGCAAACTCCTTGCAAGCTGGGAAAGCTGGAAGTGCTGGAGATTTCCTATTCCCAAAGGTTATCCTCAACCAATGATGGACAGAAAGTTGGTGGACTAACACCTCCGCTTCCCTTCCTCTTGGTTAGGATATAAGATGTGTTCTATATTGTCTGTTAGAGTTTGGCAGTGGAATTGAGCTCTGATTGCCTTGATAGTGAACATTTTGTGGACCTCTTCCCTTTCCTGCTTACTTCGCCACAACCTTACTGGAATTTTCTGGGATCAACTTCCCAGTAAACTACTTGTATTTGAATCAGTCTCAGGGTAAGCCTCTGGGGAATCCATACTAAGACAGCCTCTAAGATGTAATAATGAAATAAATTTAAAAGCAATATCCAAATTATTATTGAGATTCTAGAGGACATAGAATTATTTAATCTTTATTATTCAATTTTGGACCTCTACTACTGGTACATAATCGGTATTCAATAACTGCTCTTTAAAATAAAAATCTAATCGAATTGAATTTGCTTATCAGGAACATTCTCACTGACTCCACCCATATTCTCCATCTTTCCCATCTCAATGGCATAATTTATAATTTTGCTGAGGCATGACTTTTTGTTGAGCCTCAGATTTCATTGATGTTGACATTGTGAATGATATCTTCCTTCTTAATATTCATTTTAATCTGGGCTCAGGACTACCATACTTTCCTATTTCTCATATCTCTCTGGGTCTTAGCTCTTTTTAATTTAACTGTGAGTGTTTCCCAAAACACTTCTGGCCTTTCTTCTCTTCTCCCTCTGTTCCCAGTGCCTCAGGGAGCTTATCCACTTGCAAAGCTTCAGCTACTAATTTACAAATGACATTTAAATAAAAAAATCTCTAACCTTGGCTTTTTACCCTTTCTCTAATAGCACATTTCAACTGTTTTGCAAGCTTTCCCATTTAATTCCTCCAACTACACAGTCACAAAGAGAGTTTATTCCTGTCTCCACAGACAGCCTCTCTTTTCCATGACTTCCAGCTTTCAGTCACCTTTAATCCTAGTCCTCTGCCTCTCCTTTCGTACCTCTGCAGGGAGTCCATTCTCTCAATTATCCTGTGTCTTTTCTGCATTTCTACCTCTCCTTCTCACATCTCAAATGCTATTCACACACAGTTACACATACCCATACCTCTCTCCTTTTGCCTGTAACTACTACCATCTCTTTTTCCTTCTATTCAGAGTCAAACATCTTCCAAGACTCTCCATTTCATGTCCAGAAACCAAGCATCATAACTCCTGCTTTCGTAATGATTGTTCTCCTCTTTCTGTCCTGCTACCACTGCTTTAGTCGAAAGCCCCACCGCTTCTCTCTTGATTATTACAATATTCTTCTGTTCTCTCTTGTCATCTTTTTATTTACTCAGACCACAGTATGTCCTGAAAGCAAAACTACAGTAGTCACTTAACTCCTGTGCTTTAAAATCATTCTAAAGGGCACGAGAATACCCCAAGGTTTTGGTAAAGCCTAAAAAAGGCCTTCCTGTTACTCACCTCCCCAGGTGATGCTCACCTCCCCAGTTCTGACCCCTTTTCCACTCTCTTATAGACTTTAGGCATTCTGAACTACATGCAGTGCCCTGAATGTCCATTTTTTTTCCACATCCGTACATTTGGTCATGCTGTTTTATCCTCCTGGAAACCCCTATTCCCCCCTCCCCACCTATCTCTCTTCATCTCACTAAGTCCAATACTTATTTAAAGACTCTGCTCAAAGTCACTTCCAAGGTAGACCTTCTCTGAAGCCTCCTGTCTGGAATAGATAACCACTCTTGGAGTATTTCCCTGGTGCTCTAGGTTTACTAGGATAAGAGCACTGATCACATAACTGTGAGCTCCTGTTTGCTTGTCTATCTCCCCTGCAGACCATATGCTTATTATCTATTTTTTATCTTTCTATCCTTCCCACTTAGAACAATGTCTAGCTTATACTAAGAGCTCAATGAATAACATTGAATGAATCAGCACATTAATTTTTTCCTTTCACTTTTCTCCATATCAGGAACAGCTGCACACCCCTCCTTATTCAAGACCCTGCATCCTTCCTGAGGCTTTACATCCATGTCTGTTTCGTCTGTGATCTTGCTTCATCTGCCTAACTCAGCAGAGCAATTACCACAGGAAATGCTATCTTGTACCTGTTTTATTTGTTTATAGACTTGCACTTTTATTTTAGTCTCGTTTGAGAGGAAACTTCAGTAGGACAAGATAACTATGTCTATTTCTTCAGTTTTTATCTCATAAGGAGATATGCCCATGATGGTTTCTTGAGAAAAGTTGACTAATTTCGGTGTAAGATTTGCAACCCTTGGATGCAGCTAGGAGGATGAGGTGTTGCGCCTAGTGAGGCAATTATGATTTGTTTACAACAGACTCAGTTTTAGATCCCTCACTATGACATGGGTGAAGGCCAAGAAGGTGTTCTGCTCTACCATGCTTTCTGTGAAGTCTCATCCAGCCTCACACGTTCCAGTGACAAACCATCTGGGAAATTCCATCTGTCTCTGCTTGGAAACTGAGGTGGCAGTCGCCCACTGTGAGCAATTTTCTATTAACTTCTTGGATAAGATCAGTCAGATTTATACTGAATTGATGGGAACCGTAAGAGCAAGATTGTTCCAAGAGAAGACAAATGTACTGATTCCTCTAATTGGGCTTAAGCCAGTTTCATTCACAGACGCCCTTAGGTTCTAGTAGTGCAAGGACTTATAACCTTTTTAATTGTACCCTGTTCCTCTTGGGAAACATTGGTGAAATTCATTATTGATGGAGGTTGTAGATTTGTCCCTTAGGGAGGGCAAGATCCTGGCTTCTCTTATACTCTATCTGCTATGTGGAGAATTAATGGAAACTGAGTGGACAGAAAAGCTGCTCAAAGAAGACTTGAAGGCAAGAAATGTAATGCAGCAGAGCCTTGGAAAGTGATGCGTTGGTTTGGTTTCTAGAATTAGGGTAGGGTTTTTGTTGTTTTATTGATTTTTATTTTTATTTATTTTTTTTTTGATGGAGGGGGATTACTCAGGGAAAGAGGAGAAAGAAGTTTGTGTGGAGGCCTCAGTAATCAAAGGCCTGCTATTGAATGTGAGTCAGAAAGGAAGAAATTAAACACCGAAGAATTATTTCACAATTGAAATATGTAGAAGCCAGAGAGGTCAATTGCATATTAATCTGAAGGGATTTGCTGTGTTATAATGCAGATATAGTTATGATGTTGGCAGTGGATGAAAATACATTGTCATATGGCACAATGGTATTGAAATGAAAACCTGAATTTGTGCCCTTCCTGATAATTTTTACTTGCCTCCAAAATAATACCTTTTGTGTATAGCTAGCCTGTTAACCTCAATCTCATCCTGACTTACTTTTTCTCCTGATGGTGAAGTCTTTCCAGGTTCTTTACATTTGGACTTGGATTTGAAAGGTGGAAACACAATTCCTTGCTATACATAGACAATTTTATTTATGGACCTAACTTACTCTCCTCTGCCTGAAATTTTAATACATTTTGGCCTTTGGTTTATATGGCTAAACCTATTTACCCTTAGTTAGGCCAAGTTTGAACTTTTAAAAAGAATTATTTTTACAAGATTATTCATTGTTCCCTTTTCCCAGAACTCCAAGGAGAACTTTTGTTGAAGATGATCTTTTCAGTTATTAGGACGATTAGTGCTATTAATTTAATTAATTTCTGAAAGGAGGAATTGTTTATGTCATCATAAGATGATCAAAGCTGATCCACTCTATGTGTGTAAAGTTGAGACAAATGAGTCACATAACCTTTTCCCACAGAGGATCGGTGTGAAGGATGAAGAATCACTATTGATTTATAGCTCCAGATACTGTTTGTGGGAGTTGTGATTGTTCCCACACATAGGGATCCTTACATGAATTTTCTTAATGCAGATTTCATTGCTACTGTCATTTCTTCGTATTTGCCAAAAACAGAATCATGAAGGCCTAAGGTGGAAGTGGGTGGATATATAGCATCCCTGCCTCTCTAGGGAAATCTATCACCATCTTGACTAGTGAGGAAGTGGTTTGTAAAGCATAACTATTGTTTTTGTAACACAAATTCTAAAATATCAATCTTGAAATGTAGTTTTCCCTGGAGGGGAAGGTAGAAGTAACAAAGCACTGTGAGGAAGAGTTGTTCATGGAGTTGACCAAACTGTCCTCTGTTATGTGCTGATAGGTCTGGCATGCCTTTTAAATTCTTTCTATTTGATGTTTTTGAGGAATTGTCATTCTATACTGATTTCAAAACAATTAGTTTGGCAGGATATGCTTACATGGTTGTAACAAATATTGTGCCAGCATTATGAGGACTTAGCATCAATCTCAGCTTGACATGACAATTAATACATTCAGTAACTTGGAGATGATAACAGAGAGAATGGAGATAGGTACCAGTTTGTACTCCTTCAGTTTGGTCTTAAAAATCAAAATTACTTAGGGATAATGCTTTGTCAAACTCTGATAACATATTGGACTCTGGTTTTAATCTAATTTTCAATAAATATTCCCAGGATGGGATTCACCAAGTTTCATAATTTAACTGTAGCTCTCAGGTGGCATTGACAACCTTTATTATCATATAAGGTTTTCCTAGCATTGGCAAGTTTGTGACTCTTTCCAAGCCACTGCTATAAAGCTCTGTGTTGATGCTGTGTGGTGGTCCAGGGGCAAGTATTCTTGGGTAAATTTCTTTTTTTTTTTTTTTTTTTTTTGAGACGGAGTCTGGCTCTGTCGCCCAGGCTGGAGTGCAATGGTGCGATCTCATCTCACTGCAAGCTCCACCTCCCGGGTTCATGCCATTCTCCTGCCTCAGCTTCCTGAGTAGCTGGGACCACAGGTGCACGCCACCACACCTGGCTAATTTTTTGTATTTTTAGTAGAGATGGGGTTTCACCGTGTTAGCCAGGATGGTCTCGATCTCCTGACCTTGTGATCGCCTGCCTTGGCCTCCCAAAGTGCTGGGATTACAGGCGTGAGCCACCACACCTAGCCTCTTGCATAAATTTCTAATAAGAGAATAATAAAGTAATATTTATTACATACTTTGGAAATTTGAGAAATTATTTGAGAAACTCTCTTGGAGATTAACATATTTTTGCCTGTTAATTTAAATATTGAATTTAAAGTTGTTCTTTTTTTTTGAGACAGAGTTTTGCTGTTGTTCCCCAGGCTGGAGTGCAGTGGCGTGATCTCAGTTCACCACAACCTCCGCCTCCCAGGTTCAAGCAACTCTCCTGCCTCAGCCTCTCGAGTAGCTGGGATTACAGGCATGTATCACTATGCCTGGCTAATTTTATATTTTTAGTAGAGACAGGATTTCTCCATGTTGGTCAGGCTGGTCTCGAAGAACTCCCGACCTCAGGTGATCTGCGTGCCTTGGCCTCCCAAAATGCTGGGATTACAGGCATGAGCCACCGTGCCCAGCCTAAAGTTGTTCTTTATTATTCATTGACTCTTACTTCAATTTTCTCATAAAACCCCTTGTCCCAGCTTGACAAAACTGTGGCTTCTTGATTCTAATAATTTCAGCGTCTTCTGTGCCATTTTGTATCACTTTCTATTTTTTAATGGCAGGAAACCAGACTAAAGCATAGAGTTATGTAGGTTGGTCTGTGGTTTTCTTCTCATACACTTTAGTTCCTTTTCTGATGGTTAAAAATAATGAGCACAACTTGTCGCAGGCATAATGTCTCCCACAAGGCTTCAATCAAGGGGACAGACAGGTCTTGGTGTCATCTGAAGGCTCAGCTAGTGGAGGATCTGCTTACATGCTCACTCAAATGACTCTTGATTCAGTGCTTGGCCTAGTGGGCCTCTACTTAAGGCCACTCACAATATGGCAGCTGGCATCCCTCTGAGCAAGCAGATGAGAGCATAGGACAGGGAGCCCAAGACAAAAGCCACAGTGCTTTGGTAACTTAATCATGGGAGTGGCATCCTATCACTTTTGCTGAATTCTAGGGAAGGGAATTGTGCAGAGCTTGAAACCAGAAGGCTGGGATGACTGGGGGCCAACTCAGAGGCTGTCTGCCACAGAAGGTAATTTGCATAAGTAGTTAACCTGACCTGTGGATAGGGAAGGACTTTCAAATACCAAGAGCCATGGGAGCAATCACAAAAGAAAATTCAGTGAACTTGAATACAGACAACAAAACTGTATGCTATACAGCATCATAACCAAAATCAAAGATTAATAAGTAAAAGACATTTGTGAAAATGAGGTATATTTTATTATTATTCATTAAAATATTTATGGTTTCTCACATCTGTGATCAGTGGCTTCCTGATTAATTTATTTAGATATTAATTTTGCAATAAAGACAAATTAAAATATACAAAACGTGATTTGTACAAAAATTTGGTGGGAATTGGGGATCAAAAGTAGTTTGCTGAGTGTTTCTTCTCCTTTGGTAATTTTGAGAAATATACACCCACACACTGTAAAGATCAAAAGTGGGAGAGAAAGTATGGGAAAGAGCCCGTGATGGGGTCAGAACAGCCTGATTCTAGTCCTGTTATTACTCAAAGTGGATGTGCTATCTTGGGTAATCATACATGCTCTTAGTTTCCTCTTTTATAAAATAGGGGTTATTATACCAGCCCTACAACATAGAATTGTAAAGTTATATAAAATTATACGCATTTAGTCACTTTGAAAAACATACAGATTGTTAAACAAACCTGGATTCCTTTTATTATGCCTGTGAATAGAAAGTAAATGATTCATTCCTTTAATTCCCCAAGCAGTGCATCTAGTCTTTTCTCTTCTGTTCTCTCCCTAAACATACTTTAAAAAGCAGGTTTTGTTGTCATACGAATATAGCTTCATATACGTGTACTCACACGTATCCATACACACACATGCTTACTGATTAGCTGGCATGAATATTCTGAGAACTCATAGCCTAGATAAGTAAACGGTATGGACTTAGTGCATTTATCATCTAAGCAGACAGTCACCATAGAGGAAAAACACATATTTTTAGGAAGAGAAAGAAAGGTTAAGTGGTCAAACTGCCTTTTGAATGATCTTGGCTTCTTTGAGTTTTCTTTTTGTAGGGAGTTATTCTTCAGAAAGCATTTCTCAGGTGTGTGATTGGGGATTTCAGACAATTGGAAAAGTAATTTACCCTGTCTGATTCACTTTTGAGTTAGGTTTGTATTTTAAAATGTTAACTCAATTCTTTCATTATTTATGGCATTTTAGAGCTCCATACAGAATGGAGTGAATAAGGCAGTCATAATGCAGACAGTGATGTACTGTGAAATATGAAGAAATGGGGACAGAGTTTTGGAAGAGCAGAGGCACGTCACGTGCCTTAAGTTTTAGCTTTTATTAAGAAGTCAAACAAATACCATTTGTACCTCATTACCCTATGTGTAATAGTGTAAGCATTACCCCGCAGACAGGAGCAGTAAGAGTCCCTCAGGTTCTGATCCTAATCTCGGATGCGGCATTACCACCTCTCCTCTGAAAGCCACTGCTGCCCAGGCACACGCAGCATATTAGTGCATTTAAAGGTACCCAATTATATCCATGTGTGCATCTGAGATAGGCATCAGGACCCAAGTACATGTTAAATTCAGCTCCTATAGGAAAAAAAAAAATAGCACTTGCCTTTATTAAAGAAGTACAGAAGTGGTGGAAAGAAAATTTGTCCTTTATCTGAATATTTTCAGCAAGAAACCTAGGCAGTGTTATTCTTGGTGCATTTCTTCAAAACTTTGTGAAAATGACAACTCTTCAAAGGAGGCAGACATGTGCACAAGTGTCCCCCCGCCTCTGCTGATATTCCGGGAGGAGAAGGGGTGAGGGAGGAAGAGTGCGTGATGAAAGTCAAACAGTGGTCGGCTCCATTACTTCATTAATCAAGTGGAGGCATTCTGAAAAATGTTTCTCTTTGGTTGCAGCCATCTATTTTTTGGTGTTAATCTGCGCCCTGTGGCAGGGTTTTGTGAAAGGAAACAATGAGCCGTTGTATCACCCCCCTCCCTTTCCCCAATTGTTGTAGCCCCTGTCAGAAGGCTCCGAGGATGATGCAGGTCTGTATCAGCCTGATAAGGGAAAAGAGGATTCAAAATGGCTTTGGAGAGACTCCGTGGGAGTGGAGTGTGCTGTTTTGGACTAGATGAGCTAGGGAATATGGCAGAGGCCCTTAATGGGATCCTAAGGCTTCAGTGCCAAACCTTCTGCTGCTTCTTGAAGATTTTCTAATGAAATATTTTAATGGTAAAATTCTGTGACTGTCATAGGGGCATAGGTTCAAGATGCTGTTTTAAGTCATTTGCTCCATAATCTGTGATTAGTCAATCCAGGTCAAAAAGACAGAAAAAGAAAAAAAATATCCAAACTCAAGAAACCTGTCAGAGTATGTATTAGGTCACTTTTATTCTGTTGACAATGAGTGTTCAATTCACTGTCATCATGAGCTCTGTACAAGTGGCCTGTACATTTTATATACTGTGGGTTCCTATTTTATGGCTAGATGAAATATGAAGCTATCTTTCATAATGCTGATTCCATTTTGGCAGGCCTTTGGATCCACATATGGTTCAGTTAAGCTGTTTTGGAGCCTAATGTACCTTTGTTATTTATTGAGATTTTTGAAAGGGGAATAAGTGGGCTATTTTTACTCTGCATTTAAAAAATACACATTAAATGTTTCAAACATAATTCATACAGCTAAGAAAATTCTAGTGAGCTTTAGAAACGGATCTGCTATTCCTAGGACAGCTAAAATAAAATCATTCCTACCCATGAAGGAAAAAATAAAAAGACAGCTAAAGCTCCAGCAAAATAGAACCACTATCTTACAGCACACGGTAATAATATATACGCAGAGCAATTAGTAAACATGGTCAAGAAAAGTGGGCATCAAGTCAATACACTGTAAAGTTTAAGTATCTTTAAGCTTATAGATGATGCTGAGATTTTTTTTTTAACTATTCCTCCTACTATTGGCCTGGTGTCTTATGAATAAACATAGAGGCACAAAAAATTAAAAACAGTGGTTGTCAGATGAGTGAATGATAGGGAAATACCTCACATACCATGGATAGTCCAGTGCTTATCTAGAAAAACTTAGCTGCTTGGAGGTGATGTTTGCTCCCCACTGCTGAGACCTGATTGGTAGAGGGCAACTCCACCTTCAGATTTAACGTTCTTGTTTTGGTGAGTTTAACTCAGACTCTTAACTATTGGTTAAAATAATGTCTGTGTGAAAATACAAAGAAAGATAGAAGAAAAGTGACACATCCTGTCATATTGGAAGACAACTTTTTGTTTCTAAAAAAGCTTTGATAGGATAGATCTATTTGTATGTATTTGTATATTAATGCTCCTACTTTGTAAAGAGCTTTCAGATTTTTATATGGCCATTTATGTATTTTTATATGGTCATTTATTTTCACTTGAAGTTAATCATTAAGAAGGCTTTTTAGAATGGACCCAAGCAAAACAGTTGGCTATTGTCTGCATGAAAGAGTAGGGATGGTCCCTTTTGGACATGTCACCCTAACTAAATCTCCAGCCATATTGTGTGCCTTCCTATAATGGTTTATTTTGCTCAAGCTTCAGCTATCTTTTATTAGTTTCCTTTATAGTGGTATGTTATTTTTATCATCTTTACAGTCATATGAAAGGGTAGTGGAATAATCATTTCCCTTATTTCATAACTATTCTAACAGTTTTCCTCTGCTGAATCTAGTAGCAAGTAAATGACTATTAAAATGTATTTCTTTCTTTAATGTTTTGTACATACAGCCATAGAAGTCTTGAAGGAAAACTTGACTCAGTATTTATTTAGCATGTTCCATAAGTCAGGAACTCTTCTAAAATGTGGGATACAAAAATCTGAATGCTTCCCACACAGAATTGCTTCATGTAAGAGTATTTAAATAGAACTGAATTCTGTCCATAGCCTTTATGTATATTTTTAAGTAAACCTAACAAACAAAAAGTAGTATTCACATGTGTGCAGGCACACACACATACATGCACATGCATGCTCATATAGAGTAAACAGTTGATTTTTAAGCCAACAAATAAGATAAAAATGAATACATTTGTATGTTTTTCCTATTCTTTATACTCTTAACTTACACAAATAAAATAATCTTATGAAGTAAAGCACACCTCTATTATTGAAAGAAATACACAGATTTAGTCAATATTTTTCTTGTCATAGTTTAGATATTATAAATATTAAGATTGTTTCTAACATTATTTTTCTTATAATTTCATTATTTTACATCATGGAAAAACTGAATTGCAAAATTATCATGAAGATACTTTAAGTACTCTAATAGGTAATATAGAACAAGTGTAGAGCATTTCATCTGTAGGATGAAAAAGTTGTTTACAATTATTGACCACATAGAGCGTTATAAAAAGACCCAATTTAATTAAAGTGGCAAATATGGTGAGGAAACCAAAAAAAAAAAAAAGTGAGAAATGAAAAAAATGCATGCAGTGAAAAGTGCTTCCATATTATTTGATCTTTTGTGAGTTTTTATTTCACTATTGTGCATTGTCTGTGAGCATAAATTATTGAGAACTGTCTGTAACCTTAACTAAGATGGTATAATAAATGTTTGCAATTTTACAAGATTCAAACAATTTAATTGAATTAGGGATACTGAATCTTATTTTTGGATTCCAGTATTTATCTCTAGACTTAAGAAATAGAGTTCTTTGGTAATAATGTTATCATTACGAAGTATTGCTACTATTTGTCACAAATCCTACATACCACTCAAGTGATAGAGGATAAAAGTATACTCAATCTTTTGATTGTTATTTTTGTTTCTCCTTAGCTACTGAGAGCTTTGAAAGGAGAAGCATGACATCTTCTTTCAGTTGCTTTGACAGCATCTAAAGGAATGGGCAGCCTACCATTTTCATTTTGCATCTTCTTGATAGTTCTCCAAGTATCTTTTGCTAGTGCACACACAGTTATCTTAAAGTTGAAAGGAAGGAAATCAGTAGAAACAAGCAAAAGTACAGACTATTTTAGCTAATCAGTTACTACAATCTGATATTCTCTTACCTTATTTTATATTGTTTTACTCCAGTTTCTCCAGTTTTACTCCAGTTACTCCAGTGAACTGAATATCTTTTATCATCAAACAATTCAGAGTATTCTTAATATATACAGCATTTAAAAGTTTCTCAGTAATTTGCTTCCATTCTGCAGATGTGATTCATCTGAAAATCTACATAATTCATGTTGACCAATTGTAAAATGATAGAATTTTTAAAATAATTTACCTAGTGAACCTAACATTGTGAAAGTGTTAGATTCCATGGCCACTTCACCTGGATATTAATATTAATACTATCTTGGTAAGAGCAGTGCTTTGATCACTGGAATATGTGGGAATAAAGCAGATTCCACTATGAAGTGACTTTTCACTAGAGTGGCTTAAGTTGGAGCTCAAGTTTCTTTATAATGCTTTTAGAATAATGCTGTATATTGAATGCAATTGAATATACTAGCAAACTGATAAAAGAGAGGTACCTTCATAACTCCACAGGCATAATTACATTTTTATAGTTTCCATTGATATTTACAATGCTCATTATGGCATTAACAATCTGATCCTAAATCAGGATGAAGTTTGTTATTATTCTGTGCGTTCTTATTTATTAAATCATAAGTAAACCTTCTGTTGAATATTTCTATTAACCATACACTCTGTGGCATATAATGACACGTGGAATACTAAAGAAAAAATTGTTTCTTTAATGACAATGTAATTAAAGGTGCTACAATTTTTTAAAAAATGTTTAACGACTATATTTTTGTCAAATTCTTGTAGTAAACTGCATTGCCTGATACAGTAACATTTCTGGATCTGATTTTATCTTTTTTTCTGCAAAGAGGACATCTTGATTTTAAGCATTTAGCATCCTATATTTCTGTTCGTAATTTGTCATTGAGATTAAATATGTAAAATCAAGTTAGAAAGTAAAAACTAGCCTTAAGATTTTTAAAAAGAACTTACTTAATTGAGTCTGTTCAGATCTCCAAATTTCTTCCCCCATCTTCACTCCCTCCCTTTTTAGAGACAGTATCACTGATTCATAAGGATTATTGTCTTTGGTTCTTGTGTCAGGGAGTTGAGAGGTGGAAGCAGGGGACTGCACTTTCAGGATACTACATGTGTGCTCTTTGATCTGAGGTACAGTGTGCCTCAGGGAGTAAGTTCAATCTTGATTTCTTTAGTCAATCATCCACTATCAGGTACCACTGTCCTGATTAACAGGCTGAAGAAAAAGAGCATATCGTGGGTGTGTGTTACAAAGATGAAAAATACTGATGAGTCTGTTGGCAGCAGAGTCAGCCTCTCGTTGCACTGTGTGGCATTTGCTTTCTCTTTGCGTAAATCCCCTTAGTGTGTGAAGGAACAAAAATCAGTATTTCCATGTTTCTTTCCACAAACTGATAATTTTTTTTCAGCGTGGTAGTTCTCTTTATTTGTTTAATCTTTTGCAAAATGAAAACTGGAATGAGAATTAGCAGGATGAATCATAGTGCTTTCTAAAAGACTCAAATATAGCTGTGCCTGCTTACCATTCCTGCCATTCTGTGAACCAAGCCATTGGCTAACCCCTGTAAAGTCTTCAGCAGCACACACCTGTGCTCTCCCTATCTCTTCATCTGGTGTTACACACAGATGTAAAATAGTTCTCTAGACCCAGAAGGGCTTCAGTATCTATCTACTACTCATCAAGGATATCCTTCCCGAAAGATTAGTGTGTAAGGATTTTCTGAATTGCTTTTCTTATGTCTTCTCTTCTTTGGTCGAATTGAAAGAAGGACTGGCACCAAACATAAAGATATGTGCTGATAACAGCTACTGTTGTTAGTTGTCTTAGGTACATATTTGGGATTTTTCCATGCATATTGTATATTGTTGTGTGAAGGCAGAATTGGAAGCTCTGAAAAGACTTCTAAATAGTGAATATATACCTTGTATCTATCTTTGCCAAATTTTATTAACCTATTTCAAAATTAAAGTTTTCTACTGACAATATTAATTTTTATTTGCCAGTACTTTTTCTAGGAAAAATACAAGGTACAAATGTAGTTGCATCATAAATACTTATGGTAGGCTCATGTCCATGTGAATTTATTTATTATTATACTTGACCTTGATGATGGAACCAGTTTGATAAGGTTTAAGGTCAATGACTACATTATTTTTAGACAAGATACAAAGTGTAAAATACTCTGTTTCGCTTGACGATGTTAACAACTAGTAGTGTTTAAGTTTCTCTCTGCACTACTAATTTTTCATTCTCAGTGATTATCCAAAAGATTGCAGCACCTATAATTAATTACTCATTTGAGAAAAGAAACACAAACTAAGATATAGTTTGGCCCTTTTCTCCCTAGAAAAGTCCTGACATAGCGTGACTAAGAATAGTAACAGTGCAAGTAATAATCATCATTCTCTCTCTCTCTCTCTCTCTCTCTCTCTATATATATATATATATAAATCACTGAGAGAAAAAATCTTTTTGATCACATTTACTAATTAATTCCCTTATATTGTTTGCTTAACTTTAAATGTTGTGTCATGGTGAAAATTACAATGAAAATTACATTGTTATCTCTATTTTATAAAAGACGAGTGAGTAGTGACCAACTCAAGCTAAACTTCTGTGTTTTATTAATTATTTGAACTATTTTTCACTAATATCTTCTTCATGGAAATACTTATTTTATCAATGTAACAAGCATAAAAATCTCAGTAAGTAGCAATGGATTTTATATACTAGATTTCCAGAAGATGTAATATTCTACTAGATGCCATTTTATCTATGTAATTGTTAATGAGTTTAAAAAAGGCATCCTAAAGTCATCTTGACTTTTTTATAGATACTTCCCTAGTCATTGAGAAATAAATAATGAAGTGGTAATTGTGAGCTTTTGTGTACTAGTGCATAGGGGCCAAAGAATGAATGAATCAATGTGATACGTGGGTCCTAAATTTGCAAGTTGCAATAGATACTTTGGAACCAATCCTGCATTAAGATGCCTTTCGCAGTATCATGAGGATATACTAAAGTTGGGCCCAAAGCTTAAAGAATAGAAACAAGCCTTTTCTATTTCTTATGATAGAGATTAATTTATCAGATTGATGTCTGGTAGACTGCAAATAGCGAATGCATTTAACCTCTTTTGTAGCTAGAACTAACCTGTTTATAAATACTGTAATTGGATCAGAGCATAGAAATAACCAAAATGGATATAATGGGCAAAAAGACAACTGAAATGCACCCATATTAATAATAAAACGGCAATTTTCCCCTTCCAAGTTCATTGTGCTAAAATCATTCTACACCTCCCTCTTCACTTAAAATCTACAATTTAAAACTTTAAAAAATAACTTCAACCATACCTAATGCCATAAACTATGATTCTCACCACCTTGTTTTATCTCACTCAAATTTATTTAGACCCCCATCAGCCCTGCTCTTTCTTGTGCCTGGCTCTATTAATGATAATTACTCAGAATACTATCCCCATTCTGTGATACCATCACATCGTTGTGGGGAAGATTGTGATCTTATCCCAACCTATTCTGTTTAACTCTGACACTCCTTCTATTATAGTGGGGCCTTGATAAGATCATGCCTGTTAGGATCAGACATTAGTTGGAATCAATATTTGAAAATGTGCCTGTTTCTGTTTAATAGTAAAGTTAGTGTGAGGGTTGAAGTGAGATCATTTGTTGGATGAGATTGTACAACTTTATCTTTCTACTACTTTATGCTCAAAAGCACAGAATGAGGTCTCTGGGAAACCATAATTTTACTGACCAATCCACCCGGATATATTAGCTTTTAGGTAGGTGACCTACCCTGAAGGGAACACATATTTTTTAAACTGGTTGAAGTCAGAATAATGAGTTTGAAAGAATGAAAGACTGTCTTCAGAATGGTTAGTAGAAACATAATTAATTCAGTGGCTCTTAACTAGGGCCAGTTTTGTGCCCCAAGGGACACAGAGGGCTGTCTGAAGACATTTGGCAAAGTGAGTGTGAGGGAAGGGGACTTAGCAGTGCAACTGGCATCTAGTTGAGAGAGGCCAGAGTGGTTACTAAAATCCTGCAATGCACAGGATGGCTCTCTACAGTAAAGAATAATCTGGCCCCAAAGCTTAATAGTGCCAATGTGGAGAAACCGTGATATATATACTGAGAATGTAACAAAATATAGAGGTGTTTGGCAGCAGTGTTTGTTTGTTCGTTTGTTTGTTTAGACAGGGTCTCACTCTGTGCCCAGGCCAGAGTGCAGCAGCGCAATCTCCACTCACTGCCACCTCCACCTCTCGGGCTCAAGCAATACCCCCACCTCAGCCTCCTGAGTAGCTGGGACCACAAGCATGTGCCACCATCCTTGGCTAATTTTTGTATTTCTTGTAGAGACAGGGTTTTCCCATGTTGCCCCAATTGGTTTCAAACTCCTGGGCTCAAGTGATCCACCTGCCTCGGCCTCCCAAAGTGCTGGGATTACAGGGGTGAGCCACCGTGCCCCTCCTGTTTTCAGTTTTTAGTGTGACAATTTATCTGCCCAGGAAGAGCAAATACTGTGACTGTCTATGTTGCTCGTTTTTCTTGTTAGCAACACCTGGTTAATTTGTTATTAAGAAATACCTTTAAGCCATAGAAATTTGGATAGTTTCCTTCAACTTTGTGCTGAATCAAGCTTCAGGTAGAAAAAAGTGAGAAATCAGTTATGCAACATCTTTGGTCTTTATGAAGCCAGTCTCTTTATTCCTTACTGGGTAATATAATCCATGTTTGGAATTTATTATTTTTTGAAATGAGTGAAATATGGAATGGAATATCTATATTTTTCACTTCTCAAACCTTCTCCAACTTCATGATATTTGCATATTTGATTATATATTTTGTTCTATATATTTTTGGTTATATATTGTTTATATATCATTTTGATGAAATAACCCTGAGTATTATATTTTTCCTAGTATCTGGGTGATTGTTTTTGCATAATGGGTGTGAAAAAAGAGAAATCACAAATTTTTAAAAATTTCTAAGCTTTCTAATGCTTACAGAAAAAAAATAGAGCAACAAATCTATAGCATATTTCTGAACAGTAAATTTGGGGTTATCTTTTTTCGGTTTGTGCATTTTATAATTACTTAAATCTGTGCAACTGAGTTTTGAGACTAAGCTCTTTCATCTGCAAAGACAGTAAGGGGAATTTTTTTCCTTTTTGTATAATTGAGAATCCAAAAAGCTTTTTTTCCTGAGTACTCAGATGGGAGCAAACAAAGGGGGCTAGAGGTGCCAATGGCAGTAAAACCATGGAAGATTAGCACACTTCTTTTGATGAAAGGTGGCCTCCCAGAGAGTTGAAGAATAAACATATGGGCTGGAATGCCGGCTAGGAGAAAAGGACCTGAAGGAATGAGAGAAGTATTCCACTCCAGTCAGGTTAAGGGGTCAGTACTCTGAACTGAACCTGTCAATTCATCACTCATTCTCCATTCATTTTAGTAAAGACATCATGGAGTATCCTTTTCACAGACTACTGTAGTCATAAGACCTGTAAGAAAAGGTTATTTGCTATGCCTAGAATGTTCGTGATAAGATGGCAGGTTAATCACTATTTTTCTGCTTTATTAAAAAAATTCCTCATGAAATAAAATGGTTTATCGTATTTTTCTTTGGTTTTTTTTGGTATTACATTTTTAAAGGCCTGAATTATATTTTAGTCTTTTTTTTGGCAGCTGAAATAATTGTGCAGATGCAAAATTATTAATTCTAAATATTGAGACATTCTAAATTATACTACTTATCAGGAATGTACTCTGCAAAAAAATAACATAATTGTAGTAATTAAATGTTTTTAAGGTTAACTTTGAAAACACAGGATGACTAATTCTTTTTTAACTTTTATTTTATTTTTTTTCTAAAGTTTCTAAAATTACACATTAGGCCTTTATATCCACAACAAAGTATATCCTATGTATTCTAACAGCAAGAAAAAAATATTTAAAGAAAATATATTACTTCCTCCTAGTACTTCTGAATTTGAATGTGCCAAGAAAGGATGAGTAGGGGGTTTAGGCCTGTGTATCAATTTCTTTTTCCCGTGGCGTCAAAAACACAAAGTAGTCTGGTTTTGATGGAGTTAAATAAACTAAAGACAACCCACTGCTCCCAACCCTCTATCTCCTAGTACTTCACAGTCCAACAAGTCATTTATTCTTGTAGAATAAGATAAGTCTTTATGTGTTTGTGTTTGGTGGATTAACAACAGAAAATTAAGGAATTTTACAAAAATTCCAACTTGGCAAATAGTAGCAACCCTTATCATGTGGAGGCCTGATAAAACCCTCTGATAAAGCACCAGGGAAACTAGTCTGGACAATGTCTTAAAAAATATGAGGTATCTGACAGTGGTCTGTATCTCACCACTGGAGTTGGGACAATCAGTTAAATGCAAACACCACTTTAGATAATAGAACTGTTATTTGTAACTCTATGTTTCTGTCTTTAAAGGTAGAACGTTGGTTATGATAAGGGGTGTATGTCTGTAAATACTGTGTAATGAGAGAAGTGCTTTTTCTCATTCTTATCAATTTCAACTTAAAGCAAATGAGCCTTTTTGGGAAGGAAAGGAAAATTATGGTGGAATAAATAATAGTGCTCATAATTTAGGACAGGGAAGCATTGGGGCCTAATCCAGACAAGGCAGTGCTTCACACTGTAATCCTCATACATTATCAGTTATTTAATATTCATCACCATGTCATCAGACCTATATAGAAAATACAGTTTTTAAAAAGACCTTAGTGTTCCCTTTTATTTTTTGGATTTCCACACTAGGTACTATGAATATAAGGTTTCTCTAAGAAGGAGGCATAAAACAGCTGTGGTGAATGTGAATAATAGTATATGTAAACCTTTTCAGTTTGTGGTTTTGTTTTATTAGTTTTTTTCTAACCCCTCCTCCAAAAGTATCAGCACCCAGCACTTTCTGGTTTCCTCTCTGAGGGTCTAGATCCCTGAATCACTTCAACCTTGACTTATTATTTGTCTGAAATGCATACCTGTCTGTTCAAATAGTATATGTGCTCTGAGTAGTAGATTCATAGAGAGTAATTTTATGTGTTTTGTTTCATTCTTTATTCATTATTTAACAAACATTTGTCATTAGCTAAAGAAGTGCCAGACACAATGTAAGATGTTGCCGTGTACTTGAAATAGACATTGGTGTTGCTATCCTGGAGATTATATTCTAGTGACAAATACAGACAAATAAATGTGCAATTACTATACAGTAGGCAATTAGCAATAATATTATTAGTTATAAATAGAGGAAATATAGTATAGTAATATAGTACCTAACATGTGGGAGGATTGCTTGACCCCAGGAGTTTGAGGTTGCAGTGAGCTACGATCATGCCGTTGCACTCCAGTCTTGGAGACATCTAGAGCAAGACTCTGTCTGTAAAAGAAAATAAAAATAAAAATATAAAGAGAACCTAAGATATATTTTAGGATGAAAAAATAGAAGGGATGTCTAAGAAGAGGCCTGAAGAATGAGTAAGAATAAATTGAGAGTATTTGCATGAGTTAGGAGGGGTCAGGATGTAGTGTGTATGTGGGGGGAAGGGGTGTGTGTGTGTGTGTGTGTGTGTGTGTGTGTGTGTGTATGCACACGTGCTTCTATGTTGTAGAAGGCAGGAAATGGGGAATGTAATTAATGTGCAAAGGCCTACAGGCAAAAGAGAACATGGTAAACTTCAAGAATTGTTGAGTTGTCCAGTAAGAATGAAATAATTATTTAGTTTGTTTTAAAGTGTTTCAATGAGGCACTAAATCCTCAGCCTAGTTTACTTCAAGGTATACTGCAGATTTTTTCGATGTAATGTTTTACTTTGTTTTGTTTCACCTACAGCACTTCTTCTACATGTTGTCAAAAGAGCTTAGTAGTAGAAATAACCAGTCTTCCTACAGCTTTCTTTTTTATCGCTTTCATATTTTTAGAGAAGTACACGCAACCGAGTTGTGCTGGAATTTTTTTATTATTATTTTTTATTTATTATTTTTTTGAGATGGAGTCTCATTCTGTCGCCCAGGCTGGAGTGCAGCGGCACAATCTTGGCTCACTGCAACCTCTGCCTCCTAGATTCAAGTGATTCATCTGCCTCAGCCTCCTGAGTAGCTGGGACTCCAGGCGTGTGCCACCATGCCCAGCTAATTTTTGTATTTTTAGTAGAGATGGGGTTTCACCATATTGGCCAGGCTGCTCTTGGACTCCTGACCTGGTGATCTGCCCATCTTGGCCTTCCAAAGTGCTGGGATTACAGGCGTGAGCCACCATGCCTGATGTTGGATCCTTTTTTACTGAGATTGATCCAATATCAAAGCATACCTGAAAATTTTTGACCTTATTATCTAAAGTGTTTATCCTTTAGGCCACTATATATGTATGTGTGCATATTTATATATAAATATTTTATATATATATATATATTCTTTTGAGCAGACATAAAATTTGGGAAAATATTTCTGCTTTCATGAAGTTTGCCATCTAATTAAACACTCATCCAGAACAGATAAAATTATTTTAAGCATTGTATGCAGCATTAAAAGCTTTGGACTTGGCCAGGCACGGTGGCTCATGCCTGTAATCCCAGCACTTTGGGAGGCCGAGGCTGGTGGATCACAAGGTCAGGAGATCGAGACCATCCTGGCTAACACGGTGAAACCCCGTCTCTACTAAAAAATACAAAAAATTAACCGGGCGTGGTGGCGGGCACCTGTAGTCCCAGCTACTCGGGAGGCTGAGGCAGGAGAATGGCATGAACCCGGGAGGCGGAGCTTGCAGTGAGCAGAGATCGTGCCACTGCACTCCAGCCTGGGTGACAGAGCAAGACTCTGTCTCAGAAAAAAAAAAAAAAAAAAAAGCTTTGGACTTAACAGTCTTAGAGATGAATGATACCTATACGGAATAAAAGTGAAGATGATGTGTCTCATAGCACTAAAATAAACGACTGCTTCTGGTATAAGCAACGAACTACCCTTTATTTCTAATTTAAAGTGTAGACATTTTACTATGTTAATTAACATCAGTATAGTCAAAATGCTTTCTGCATAAGAATGTATGCCAAATACCAAAACCAAAGGAAAAAATATGTAGTTCAAATGCTGAATGCTCCTTACATTGTAAAAGTACTAGCAGGCACAACATAATCCAAAAAGAAATTGCTGGTAGGTCTCTTTTCAGGTTTCTGAAGAGCACATTTTTTTTGCATTTCTATAAAGCACAAATAATAATGGCAGAATTCCACAGTATTATAAATTAGGAACCAGAAATTATAGGTTAGTTATATGGAATAAAGAGTGTTTCTCAACCTTGGTGCTGCTGGCATTTTGGACCAGATAATTCTTTGGTGTGGGGGCTGTCCTTTGCATTGTAGGATGTCTAGTGTCATTTCTGGCCTCTACCTACTAGATGCCAGTAGCATCCCCCTGGTTCTGACAATCAAAAATGTTTCCAGACATTTCCAGGTGTCCCTTGGGGAGCAAAATTGCCCCTAGCTGAGAACCGTTAAAATAGAATAATTTAAAAGACCAGTAGTATGGATTATGAAAACACGAGCCCACCACAGGGAAAGTTAAAGTCTATGTACTACACTTGTTTTTTAAGCTATATTTAGCCTTTAAAAATTTTTTTTCCTGGCTAATTAGGCTGTCATATTTGGTGACAATGGATGCATTTATAATAAAATATTGTTTGAATTTGAAAAATAAACCTATCTTGCAAAATATATAAGCAAGATAAGAATTGAATTAAAATGCATTAGGTGATATTTGATCTAAGGAATAGTCTGGCTACATATATCGGGCAGAGACATGGATTCTCTTGAGATAGGCAACTCAGTCTCTGATGCGGTGAAATCCACAATTACCCCCAAAATACTCACGGTTTATGGAAAAGAAAGAATTTCTATGGGAAATGTAGAGCAAATGGAATGCTTGGATGACACAGAGAATATTTTTCTTCTTTTAATATTTTTTTTCCAAAAAAAAAATCGAAACCACATTTTATATAAAAACTAGTATCAAAATAAAAAAGCATTTTTATTTCTCTTCTCCCTCCAGTTTGAAAACACTTCGTTACATAAGATTCTTCCCATTGACCCTTTGGGTCCTTGTGCAGCCTCAGTTTAGGTCTGTTAGAGGAGCCACTGCTCTGTGGGGTAGGACTTCAATCTCAGTGGAAATGATGATGCTGGAATCAAACTTTCAATCTTCTCTAAATTTCTTTTTTATTGGCAGCTTGAATGGCCTACTTTATTCTTTTGCAGTAGGGCCTTCCATTAGGTATTTGTTTTGTTGACATGTGAATGCTCTTTTGTCAAAGATTAACCACACTGCCTCCTCACAGGCAGGATGCCATTTAAGATAGTCTTTTACTAAATTCTTAGAGTAAGGATGTATGTCAGGCCAGTTAGGGGGCAAGTTTAGGTGACAGCTGATGATGAGTAGGCTTGGTACTCTCTCCTCATTGAGCTGTTGAGAAGATGGTCACAAACCGAAGTCAGAGGAAATGCGTGATCTATAGTGTACACAGTTGAATGAGATTTAAGAATCCTTAATCCCGTTATGTTTTAAAACCTTTAGTAACTCAAAACATGTTACAAAGCGGTTAGCCTGGAGAGTCAACTGAAAAGGTGAAAGCTCAATGAAGGGTGAGAGAAACCCTAGTAGTTCTTAGAAACCAAACTCCATGGAGCCCCCTCTAATCCTGCTATTATTCAGTTCCACTTGATAATTTACAGGCAATATCGGTGTCAGAATTTTTTGTGCCATTAAAGTTATGACAGACTGTCATTTCATCATGGTTTGGATGACTGTCAGAAATAGTGTATTAAAAATGACAATCCCCAATTTTATCATAGATCATCCAGACTTTGTTAAATGCACATAACAATACATTTCTCAAGCGTCAACAAGGAAGCTACCTTGACAAATCCTACCAGCCATATGGCTATACTTTATATATATTTGGCAAAAGTGACTTTTTGTAATTAAAGCTACTTTGCCAACAAAGCTCAAAAAACGAACTTAAGAGAAATTAAGGATTCATAATATAGAAATTGAATTTAGTACAAACGGAATGTTCAAGAGATGTTTGTGGCATTATTTACGTTAACATAAAAGAGTACTTTTTTGTTATTTGAATTAATTACATTTGACCATCTCTATTACTAGCCTAGTTTTGAGGTTTCCCCCACAAAACACATTACTTGCTTTCTTCTTTTTTCTCCTACACTTTCCACTGTGCCAGTCATATTCTCTTCATTTTTGGCACTTTCTCTTTAACTCATGTTCTTTTTTTGAAACGGAGTCTTGCTCTGTTGCCCAGGCTGGAGTGCAGTGGCTCAATCTCAGCTCACTGCAAGTTCCAACTCCCCCCGGGTTCAAGCGATTCTCCTGCCTCAGTCTCCCAAGTAGCTGGGATTACAGGCACGTGCCACCAAGTCTGGCTAATTTTTGTATTTTTTAGTAGAGACAGGGTTTTGCCATGTTGGCCAGGCTGGTCTTGAACTCCTGACCTCGTGATCTGCCTGCCTCAGCCCCCAGAGTGCTGGGATTACAGGTGTGAGCCACTGCTCCCGGCTTCTTTAATTCATTTTCTGATCCATTTTGTTTACAGCTGCATATGCTATCTTCCCCTTTCTTTTTGAATTAGCCTCTGAATGGCTCTCTCCTTCACCTTTATTATTCTGCCTGGGTTTTCTAGGCTGAAACTCCAACAGGTAATTTTGCTTGTGTGCTTTATCCCTTGCAGTATTAGTAAAGGGGCTATTTTTATTTCTAAAGTGCCACATTTTAATTCAGCTTCCAGTAATGTCACTGTGAGATGCTGAGACTAAGAAACGCCCTCTAATGTGTTACAACCATATAAAACTATTGTCGTTACTTCTGTTGCAGATAAGAGACCTGTGGAGGATAATAACCACAATATTCAGGGCCAAAATACTTCAGTGTCATATAGTGTACAGCCTGTGGTCATATTACAACTTTATTACCCATTTTTCAATGCTTCTGTGTTAAGCCACACACATATTAAAAATGCTGTGTTTATTTCATTCTTATGATGCTGCTTTGGTTTACTTCAGGCCATGATTAATGGTTTTGGGGGCCATAGGCATAGATAAAGGTGTTTTTGAGTTAGTTATTTAATTCGAAGAAGAGAAATGTTTTGTCCAAAACTTTAAGAGTGCCCTATTATGGATGTGGAGGGCTGATGTGATAGGTTGGAATATTACACTGAAGAATTTCATGTAACAAGAAAAAAGTATGTGTATACGTATAGACACACATGCATGAGTGTGCAAGTGCATGTGCATACGTGCGCACGCACACACACACACACACACACACAGAGTCAGTGGAAGTGTAGCTGACTTTACCAGCACCCACTCAATCACTTTACACAAGACACATGGTCCACTTTAGGAATAAGCAAAACCCATATATCAGACTTGAAAGGGTATAGTTCTGCCATAGTATTAGTAGTTTGGGACCTATCCAGGAAAATAAAAATAGGAGGGATTAAAGGGCTAATGTAAGGTTATTATAAGTATTTATCAGTTGTGGGCAGATAAGTTAGTGGGGTAACAACTACCCTTGTTCTCTTAAAATAGCTTCAGTTTTCAGACTTAACTCCACACTAAAGCTCGGAGCCTTAGCTTAATATTCACAGATAAAGAAAAAAAGTAAATATAGACTATGAATCAGTTTGCTGATTTTGACTTTTTCTCCCATGGAGACCACAAACTGGGTTATGAACAATAAACTTTATATAATCATGAGATTAAATTTTCAGAACTTCTTAGAATTATTTGAAAAAAAAAAGCAACAACAACAACAAAAAACCAAGTGGCATCTAAATGTTAATAAATAATATTGCTTTATAAATTGGATTACCTAAGATTTTTCATTTATGATAGTTTTCTGTCACAGTTTGTTCATTGGATATAGGGTCTAATTGTTCATAAATATAAAACACTTCTTCATTCTTATAACAGTGGAACTTATATAGACAGTACTGTAAATACAGCTTTTAATCAAGACATTGGAAAAATGTTAATGCCTTTGAGTCTTTAATACAGTTTTAAACTTGTACACCAGAAAAATCAAATCGATGCTAAAATATCACATTAGAAAAATTTTATTTAAAGACTTGTTTTTTTAATAATACTTGATAAGCTTCAGAAATTGGGTTATCTTGATGAAAAGTATGCAGCAAAAATATAGTCATATTCATATTGCTGAGTAGAAATGCAATTTATAAAGCTGTATATAAAATACCCAGTAATATCATCATTTGTTAGCTTGCTAAAATAACACAAGCAGTTATTAAAGTCCTCCAACACCTGTATCAGCACAATATTGATACTCTCCCAATCCACAAAATTAATAACAAGGAGATGGCAAATTTGGTATCCTGAGTCCACAGAAGTAAAATATAATACCAGTGAGGAAAAGGTGAAAATAGAAAGAAAAATTAACACCAGATAAAGCAGAGTTGTTTTGTTTGTTAATTGTGTAAAAGAAAAATTTGGTAAACATTTTCATTCTGTTCTCAAAACACAAGCAGCTTAGGGTTAATATTTCATCAGATCACTATTAGGCTTACAAGGCATTATGAAAACCCTCTGAAAAATGGTTAAATTCCATTTCAAAGCACTGTAGTGAGCACAGGAAACATGCAGCAAGACTTTACTGTCATTTGGATAAGAAAGGAGGGAGACTCAAAGCAAAACTATCAAAAGGTCAGGAGGCTGCTTTACTCTCGGTAATTGCCTGGGAATCTTTTTTTTCCTTCTTTTTTCCCCCCTGATGCATTGTTTTCAAAGGGTTGTCTGAAATGTAAAAATATAAAAATGCAATCATATTAAGAATTGAAAAATCATCTGGAAGGGTTAAAGGACTTTCTTATTTCTCATTTGGCCATTGAAGGGTGGCCAAATTGGCAGGCCATCCTTGAAACCCCAAAGTCTTTCACATTTTGGTGCAGTTACATTTGATTTGAAATACATTTTTCCAGTATAAAAATGTTAACTATCTCCCAGTGCAATTGAAACCTGTCTTGTGTCAAAAACAGGAAATTCTAAGGATAAATAGACTGTGGATATATGTCAGATGTTTCTCTTATTTTTTTCTCATTTTCTTTTTTAGACACACAAAACCCATATGCACACACATATATTAATATATATAATATATGCAGATATTGATGGAATTCTGTGAGTTGAAAGAGGAGGAAGATGTCTTGAAGGATCCATATCTCTCCCACCAGATTTGTGCTATTATCACTGAAATGTGGCCTTCAGTCTTGAAACAGTTAAAAGAGTTCTAAGGCCACAAAAGGAGAGATGTCTTCAGAATTATCTCCCGCCTCACATTTGCTCTTAGGCAAGCAGTTTAAAAAAGCCCAGTGATTGAGCCAGTGATCCAATTTGAAATGCAGAAATGATTAGAGCTGCTTGCCTCATTTCATATCGAAATTCTCTGATTTATGACAGGGCTGCAGCCAAGATCTATCTCCAAAGGGAATTAGTGTGCAAGTTTGCATATTTTTGTTATTTAGGTTTCTGATAGCAGCTGCTAGCTAGAAATACTGAACTGGGAGGAGGTGGGGCAAGGATTTTCAGCCACTGGAGCAAAAGAAAGATAAGAGCTTTCTGTTTAGGATATCGAGACCCCTTGACCAGCATGTATCTGTGTTACATATGCTTCTTATATGTGTGTATGTCTAAGAACTTGTTAATGGTATCGACATGAGTGTATATGTACACATAAATTATGAGGTTCAGGGAGCCCAGGAATGTATTGGAATGGTTAATTCTAGTAATGGAGAAAAGAATTACCAAAATTCTGTCTTCATGTTTTAACTACTGGAATTTTAATGAGGCATAATACTTCAATCATGCAACTGACCTGTGGGGCAGAGTATAGAACATATAATGAAACAGAAATAGAATTCTGAAAAAAAAATTATTACCTTATCTGGAATTTACATGAAGTGTTAACAGGAAATTATGCAGCAGTTATAAATGAAAAATATGGGATTTAATGTACTTATTAATAAAGATTTGTTACATACATGATACCAGTGTCCCAAATCTGCTGTCCGCAGCTGTCCCCAATTTCTAATGTTTCTGTCCTCAGATGCCTCATTTGGAGTCATCTTATTACCATGTAAGCTAATGCCAGTTTCTCTTCAGTGAGTATTCCATTCCAAGAAAAAAAAAAAAAAAGGAAATTATCTTTGTGCATAAGTCAAGGGCCGAAGACTTTCTATCAGTTACATTAAAATATTGAACACACACACAACTTTGTTGGTTGTGTTAGTGCTTTTCTTGAGTTTGTAGATTTTAATCACAGTTGCAAAAAAAATTGTGATTTTTCAAGTAAAAAAAAATCCCTGAAAGAAAGATGAGCGGCTGTCAGTCTACATTAGTACTGCAAAGAGCAAAGAAATCATCGTGGGAGAGTTTATTACTTTAGCTGCTCTCTGGCTCCATATGGAGTCATTATGGCCTGGAGTCTTAACAGTGCTCCTCTGCTGACCTTACCATAATGCAGCAGGGCTTCTAGGTATTAAAACCGCTCTCATATTTCACTGAGTATTCTCCAGGGGTTCCAGGGTTATTGTAGTAAAAACTTTAAATTTTGATTACCTTGTTCGTTGACAAAGAATGCAGTAAGATCTTTAAAGACATCTTTAAACCTAAATGCCTGAGTTATTCCTTTTAAATCAGCCTGTCTCCTCTCCTCTTGACTTCCAGCTAACTTGCCTAATTTCAAGACAGTAACTCTTCATGTGGTTGTTGTCTCTTGTGTTTGAGAACCGTGTTGTCCCAGTAGCTCAAACATTAATTTCTAGAAGATTCCTTATGCCAAGAGGGTCTGGCAGTAAATTTTAATTTGATTATGCCTTTTAAAACACAGAATGGACCTTTTACTTTTAATATGGTAGCACTGTTGAAATGATTTTTTAAATTTTAAGGATACATTAAGTATTTACTACTTTAACTCAGCTCTACATTGTAAAGAGTCATAGATTTTATGTATAGTAAGTGGTTTTATTAAAAGCCTAAATATTAATAGTAAATATTTTGGTTCAAGGGACTGAGCTTAGTGTTTTGTTGCTTCATATTTCCATAACTCTCTGAAGCTGATATAGTTCTTCCATTTAACACATGAGAAAACTGAGGTTTCAGACACTCCTCAAAAAGCGCAAAGCTAATTAATGTACAAATTATGGATTTGAACTCAGATATGACTTCAAAACTCTTTCTGCTTTAATTTTATACTACCTCCCTACAGTTCCATTTTAATAATGGCCCTTTTCAGCACTCATGTTAATCATGACTCACTCATGGATTCAGCAAACACTTCTTAATTCTTGCCATGAGCCAGGCACTATGCAAAGGTCTCAGGTTATACCAACTATATTTAGTCTCTGCCCTCAAGGAGCTCAGTCCAATGAGAGAATCAGATACATAAACATATAACTATAGTATCATAAGATGATTTCTGATGGAGGATTCTATAAAAGTTGTTTCTTTTTATAAATAAGCAGTAGAAACAACTTCTAGCTAACTTAGGCAAAAACAGAATTATGGAAAGAATATGGGGGAGTTTACAGACTCTGTGGGATGTTAGAGAACCAGGTTTAGAAAAGGACAAAAATCAAAGCAATTTGAGAGTAAAGAAAGTCTAATAGTAGAAACCATTGTACAGTCTTAGCAGGCACTTGCATTGGCAAGAATAAGCTTCAACACATTTTGGTCTTTTTATTTATTGGTTCAGGACCTAGGTCCAGGGAGGGTGTGCCTTATTAGTCTATCTTTGGTCACATCTGTGTCTCTAGACAAGAGAGAAAAGGGCCCCTATTTTAATAAGCCAGTGTGTGTGTTCAGTGGAGGAATTACACCCAAAAAAACATAGAAAGAGCTATTATCCAAAAGAGCTGGACCAGATGCTGGCCATCCATAAACAGCAATTATCCAACAGGGGTAAGTGTGAAGATTAAACATTTTACTGTCTCAGATGCCCACAGAAGGCTTCCAGAAGGTGATTTTAAGAAGAGTTTTGAAGGATGAATTAACTCAGAAAATAAATTGGGACTGCCAATTCCAGGCAGAAGTAATAATATATACAAAGTCATGAAAGCATGAAACAAAGAAGTGTTTGGAGGAAACACACAATATCGGGTGAAACACGGCTAGTAGTAAGGATTAAAGAAGGTAACAGGAAACTTTCCATGCTTTCCCAAGAAATCTGGATTTTATTCTTTATTCAATGGTACTAGAATAGAGAACATTAAATATCGTGAATTTTTTTGCCAACATTTTTTATCTCCTTCATGGCTAAAATAATCTCTTTTATTGGTTTTAGCCATATGAATAGGCACATAACTTCTTAGAGCTTTTTAATCTATCTATTCCTCATGATTAAATTTCAAAATAGAATAATATACTGCTAACATCTTATAATTGACTTCCAATATCATCTAAAATCTATGTGTATTTCAAAACCATATAAACTGAGAGTATAGCAAAATTATCTGAAATTCTCCTTTTATCTGAAAAAAAAAAAAAACCAACAACAAAAAAAGAAGTAACCAGTTATGTTAATAAAGTTACCAAAATAAAGTGTTTTGTTATTTAGTAGACACTACTTCTGTGCACCCTGTTAAGATTTATGGCAAATGGTAGTATCCATATCAAAATGGAAGAGCAGGTTGTAAGTTGTGTGAATGAAAATATGTTTGGCTCTCTGATCTCTTCATGTCTGGTCCAGTCAGGTTAAAAGGAATAAAAATCAATGAAGAGGAAGTCAGCAAGAAAAGGGAGAAAACAAAAGAGTAAACAATCAGAGGAAGAGTAAAAGAGTTTTCTTTCATTTTCTTTTTCTTTCATCCCTGCATTTTCAGAAAGAAAGAAAAAAGAAGGAAACAAAGAAAGAGAGGAGAAGCACATTTATAATGAAAGTTACATATTTCTCCACCACCATCCTAGTTTTTACCCTGGTTGCAAATAGATTGGCACTCTCCCTGGTTGTTCTGGTATGCCATACCTAGGGAAAGAAGGTATTCTACTTTTCCTGTGAAAACCTTTGCAAGTTTAGCACCAATCCTAATACTCTTCCAAGTTTCTTAGTCAAATTTGGGATCTAAAGCTTCTTTTGTGTATCAGTGGTGAGAACAGAGATCATAATAGTTAAATATTTTGTTCCTATAAGAATTTAACCAATTTCTAGTCATCGTATAAAGCAACTCATGATAGAGAAGGAGGTCTCTGGGTAAGGCTGCCTTTGTCTGCTTTTTTTTTTTTTTTTTTTTTTTTAATGAGTGATTATGAGATTCCTGAGCAGATAGAGCAGATAGGGAAAGATGGCCTGGAACTCTATCTCTAAAACTTCAATTAAGCAAGGTAGTATCTGTGGTGATTTTCAGTATGTGGCACCCAGGAAAGAAACAGACATACTCCTTCCTTTCGTCTTGTTTCTCTACTCTATAAATTTAGTTAATGCTGTTGTTTTTTGTAAAGTAGAATTGAAATTCTACATTGGAATATTTTTATTTTTCAGGCTTATACATTTGTGTTTCAATTTCCTGACACACCTCCTAAATGTAACAGCTGCATTCTTACTGTTAACCAGTATATTTGAAAGCTGTACCTTGGTATCTGTGAAAAAAAAATGCATTATTAATAGATGTTGAATTTTGGGTTGCAAATGAATGTTAGGGCCCTGTTATGCCTGGGTTCTGTTTAAAATCACAGAATATCAGTAATAAATCTTTGAATTGGCAGGAGTCGACATGGTCAGTTTTTAAAATGCTATTTCATTTTCTATGTGTATTTCTAATCATTCTGGAGTTACACAAAATTTGGGTGAAAGTAATGTCCAATGCTGGACTATTTCTACTTATTTAAAACTAAGTATATGGAGATAATATGTTTCAAATATTTGACATTTATGAAGTTGCGTGTGTGCATGTTAATGAGAAAAAGAGAGCAGACCTAAACCTCTCCCCTGTGTGATTTTCTCATGAACATGCCATGTACCTTTCATTAACACTAGATAAAAGCACAGTAGTTTCTTGTTAAATAAAAGTAGTCATTAAAGAGTATAGAGAACAATTTTGTTTTCTCTTTTTATGTTGAAGCCATTTTCAACTTTTTCTTTGCATTGTTTTTCATCATATTTAATGCAGATAAATATTATAATAATGATAGGCTGCTATCAACCCATCTTAATTTAGTAATAAAAAGGATAGCATAACAATATATTTGAGTCTCCCTTCTCCTAAGTTACTAAGAAAGTATATGGTGCAGCATGTTTTAAATGGTCTCCTATTTAATTTTTCCCATGAATAATGTCTTTCATTTGGGAATGATAGTGAATCAAATTCCTAATAGTACCGCTGCACTATAACTACATTATATAGGACTATTAATTAGGATAAATATGAAATTTGAATAGATATTGCAGGTGTGAGACATCAGATGAGAACTCAAAAGGATTAAATTCTGCTGGGGATTGTTATTTCAGTTCTTTCCAATCCTGTTGTTCTGCTGCATAAAACTTACTTTAGTACCTCTCTAGACTGTTATAACATCTGTTGTTCTTGGAAAAAAAAAAACCTTTTTTTTTTTTTTTTTGGTCAGAAATAGCTGTGTTATTCTGCAGCATTGGCCCAGAATGCCTTGCAGGGAGTGAGCTGTGTTCTTCTGGTGTTCTGACTAATTAATTCCCATGAGACCTGCTCCTTGCAACAGGGCTTGCTTGCGCGGAGTCCAGCAGTGGGAAGGACCGCCTTTGGGAAGGTCACTTGAGAAAGCTGTCCTACACATGTGTGTTCATCATGTAAATAAAGAAGAAGGTGAAGGATAAGAGGGTTGAATCCAGGGAAGTTTTATGAGAGAGAGAACTGATAGGACTGATTACTTTTATTTTGATAAAGGGCTTTTTTCTCTATCACCATGAATGCATTTTAAACTTAGAATATATGCTTGCCAAATGATAATCACCATCTCTTAGCTTTGCTTCATCAAATTGTTTCAATGTGATTAAATTTTACCAACCAGGTAGAAGAGTTTTAAAATTAACTTCTGGAAAAATGATCAGTTCTTCTTTTTCTCTCTCTTTAAAAAGTGGAATAATGCCATAGATGTTCACAAAACTCTGCTACCTCACTTCACGCTTTCTCACGTTAAATAAACTAGTTTTATTTCCAAAATGCTGACTTTCTACATTTGCCTCCTTGTTCCTACATTTCCCTCATAAAAAAATCAGTTTTAATTTATTGGGACTGACCAAGAAAGATAATGAAGTCCTTTCAAAAACTCTTTATGTGTGAAACCCTGGAGGAAAACCCTAGAGCCTTCTTACTTCTAGCAACCAATTACTACATACAAAAAAAACTTTCCCCAATTATGAAGTCCACTAATGCATTCTGCACAGACTCAATTTCACGAACTCTGTTGCGGAGGCACCCCTCACATAATTAACAGCAAGACACTGCATGTGGTCAGACCTTCTGCTAATTGATTAAATGAGTCTATTCCTAAATCAGATTCTAATCACACTAGCTAGCATGGCTATGGAACACAGCGTGTATAACAGAATTTCCAGAAATCCAAACTGTGGACCCGCAAAAAATTTAAATTACTCATTGGGGGAGCTGCTTCAGAACTGAACCTAAGAAAAAAATTAAAAGGCCACCTTGCTCTCTTGAAATGCCACTCTCCCTGGGTGTCTTTCTTTAGTATTCCCACTTCTGTTTGATCCGTGTCCTTTTGTGATTCATCATCCACACCTAAACGATATAAAGCATGTCATACTGTGGCCCTGTCTTTATGATTATTTTAGTTAACAAGTGCTGGATAGTTTGCCTGCAGTTTCCTAGTATAACACAAAACCTCCCATCTGCTTGTCAGTTTTTCTTTTTTCTTTTTCTTTTCGTCTTTAAAAAAAAAAAAAAAATGAAGGCTGTGGTGTTCCCTAAGGGTTGTGAGAGAAGTTCATCCCATTGAACTGGTCAGCAAGATATCATTAGCTCGTTGTGTACATGAAATCCAGGGGTTAGAGCACCAAGCGTCACAAGCCAGTTTCTTTACCTCCTTGAGCTGATCAGAGGATCAGAGTATCAAGGAAGGATTAGCACTGACTTGGGATTTGTGTGATTGGTTAATTTATTGCGGCAATGGCAGGCCTTTCATCTATGGCAACATTTAATCAGCACAGCCATGGAGGCTATTACCGGTTAGCTCCTTTCTCAAGTCAGCCAGGGCTGCACCATCAGCCCTATCACAACTCCCCTGAAATTTCCAAATTATCTGGAACAGGCTTTAGCCTCACAGTAATAAAAATTAGAAGAGATTCCTGATAGCACTGGTGGAAAAGGCTTTCACTTGCACAGGGCAAATTATAAATAGTATGAATGTGCACTTTAAAAAAAAAATTCTCCACCTCTTAAGAGATGTGCAGGACTTATCACCCCTGCTCTGATCCAAATCCTCATGGTTGAAAATTTATATTAGATTTTATCAGAGAGGCCTAAGTCTAGAAAAATCAATGAAGGTTATCTTTTATGTTGCAGGAACTTGTGGAAATATTGATTTTCATTTTATAGTGAATTTGGAGCATGAGTTGGTAATCACTGCTGAGCCGACCACAATGTTTGCCTACTGTATCTTTTACTGAGTTTTGCTCAAGTATTTAAGATAGTATTCCTGTTGATTTTAGTCTACAGTGTGAAGACAGATGTTCCTAAAACACAAAGTTGTACTTGGGAAAAAATACACCCGAAAGCTCCCTATTTACAATAATGAGATCAGTATTTTGAGACTATATTTTGACTATTAATGATGGATTTGGGAATAAAATATACTCTGAAATGTTTGTAAGATTTCTTTTTTGCTTCTGTCAAGTTTATAAACCAAGAGAAAGATTATTTTTGAGTAAGGAAAACTGCATATGTATAAAAAAATACATCATTGAAACATTGAAGTCCTACTAAGAAAAGAGGGATTTCTTTTTTTCAATTAATTATTGTCTTTGTATCTGACAAATATTAATCAAAAGTTTCCCTTCTGTTGTATTTTTAAGGTTTTTGTTTCATGAATTTGCTAACTTATTTTTATTTCATTCTTTCTCTTAAAATTTAATAAATGCTATAGTTAATGCAAGTTAAAAAGCATTAGGGAATAGCTGCTCATTTTTTATTTTTTTAAAATTGTTTAAACCCTTTTTGCCTTATTTATGATTGTTTTGGATAATCATATGATGATTATATTATTGTTTACTTATTCTATATCTCTAAAGTGTTTATAGCAATAATCTTAATTCAAGCAGAGAAACTTGTTTGCAAGTAAGAACTCAAGGATAGACTCAGGAATGCTTATTAGTGACTTGATTCTTAAGACTTTAGCATGACTATTGCAGTGTTTTCCTTCATATTTTCTGAGAGAATAATGCCTTTACATATTCACTATGAATATTTTTAAAATGAGAATACATGTAGATATAGTCTTATATTTTGTTGTGCACTAAGTGCTAGATCATCATTTAGTGTTCAGCTTTAATCTTCTCCTAACAGTCTAACAGAGTTCAGTGACAGACTGCCCTGGGTTCCATGGCTGAGCCATCCTGCTCCTCCCTCTCACCCTGGGTTATGCTCCTGAACTTATACTTGGCAGCTGACAAAGAATCGTTTTTCTCCATCACCACCTGAAGCCCTGCACCATACTGCAAGGCTTAGGATAATAGCCAGCAGTCTTTTTTATTCCTCTAAGCATAACCAAAAGATGTCTAAGCCAAGGAATTAACAAGGTAACATATGAAAACACCAAGCCCAGTAGCTGGCACATGGTAGGGCCTGCAGATGGCAGTGACTAGTGCCATTATTGCCTGGGAAAGTCTGTAAGGGGACTCCAGAGAATTCATCACCTGTTCCCTGGTCTTGTTCCCTAATTAACTGGATTTGGACATGTCTATTCATGGTCAAACTTAGCTAAAATGGTGACAAAATTGCTTAGTTTATTTTACTCCCTCTGCTCTGTTCTTATTCTGCTCTTTTCTGTGCTCTTATACCCCTGCCCTTCCTTACTCTTCAATTCTAAATTATAGCCAAATTCTTCTAAAAGTAGAGATAACAGTATAACCCAGGTTTGGATGTAACCTTATACCCCTCTCTGTCTTTTGTTCCCCCTATTTTTCTTCTATATAGGAAATAAGATGTTGGGACTAATAGGACCAAATGACACAGAGAATTCTGAGGATTTGCAGAAAGTCACACAGTTGATGATGGTGCCTGCATTAGAGACCTGGGCCACTCTATTTCATGGGGGCACGGGCATTAGTTGAAGTAAATGAGAATGTATTAAGAACTCTTTGCTGCAAGCTGTGGAAACACAGTTGAATCAGCTTAAAGAAAAGGATAAATTTATTTATTAGAATTGCAGAGTATTTTATGGATACCAAGGGCAGGAATTCACTGGGCCTCAAGATTTATTAGTACTGAAGATTCAGAAACCCTCAGGACGCCTTCAACATTTGTTATGGCCTCTGATTTCTCCAAGTTGGCTTCATTCTCCTTCCTCTCACGTCCAACTGCTCCTTCAGTAGACAGAAGCTTTGAACTTGATAGCTCATACTTGCATCTACCAGTGAGTTATGCCCTTGACTTTCTTGATTCTGTCATTGAAAACCCTAAGGAAAAGACTTACTGTCCCAGCATAGCAGAGGAACACACCTAAGGCTAGGAGGTAGAGAAGTGATTTTCAGAAAAGTAAAGATATCGGAAGACACTTCATAAGTGCTCACTACAATTGGTGACAATATAAACTGCCTTTAGAATATGAAAGCCTCATGAAAAAAAAGGATTGGTTTTTGTTCTGTGGATGCAAATTACAGGAAGATAGATTTTAGTCAATATAAATATGGAGCATGGTAAAATACTGAGTTTATCTCTTTGTCCAGTTAATAGAAATATTTAAATTTGGTTAAATGAAGCCGAATTATAACTGTTCCCACTTATGTTCCCTACCTGACCTTCTCTAGAAGAAAGGATTGCATTATCTTCAACCTGGCCTAAGTGAATTTCAAGATTTCAAAATTAAGATTCATTGGGTTTATGTTCCAATAATGGTTTTATAAATATTGTATGTTTTTAAAAAGTGAATTCCTATATTAAATGGCTCATGCCTGTGATACATATGTGTGCATTTGTACATACATGAATATGTGTGTACATACTATATATTTGCCTGTGACAGATTTGACTTGCTTCTGTTATTCTGGCCATGAACTTGGCATTTGTGTGCATCAGCACTGAGTATTTTATGTAATATAATTTAGGCTAAATTATCATAAAAAATTATTTGACTGGTAGAGGCCACATTCCAACCAGAGAAGTTCAGAGGCATTCATGTCTTTCTTGTTCTTATTGTTGCTTGCCCAAAGCTCACAGACTGGATACTTTTTAAATCAAGTCACATATTCTCCCCAGATTTATTCTGAAAAGCTTATTGATAAATTATTTTTGAAAGCTTTATTTTAACCTATGTAACAAACTAAATTTTCTTTCATATACTTATAAATGTACTATGATACATGGAGAATAGTGATTCATTTCATGATTTTTGCATAGTGGAATAGTAGGCATTGTCTCTCCATATGGCAGCTCTTTGCTGCCAAAAATTGTATGGTGTTAGGCAATAGCAAAGGGATTCCATACCAAAAGGTGCCTCAGCTTTGGTTACCTCACATAAAAAGAGTTGGCATAGAGCATTTTACAGCAGTGGTGTACAAATTTAGAATTATACAGATTCTTGCTTACAGCATGGTATATAGGGATACTCAAATGTTTCGTCGCTGGGTTAGGAAGACATATGACAGTGCAAATATACATAATATACTAATCTATTTAGCCTGAGGACAGAATAAAAACTTATATCAAGGATATTAATGTACAATGAAAAATGGTTCTGCCTAATTGGCAATGCAAATGAATTGTAGTATGGACAAGCATCTTTGTGAATTTATATTTTTTCCCCAAAAATCTGACTGTTAATTGTTAAATGTTTTATTTGTTTAATAGATAAGAATGGTCCCAGTTGTAAATGATTAGCCTTATCAGTATTCAGAATGTTTCTGTAATATTATCTATGTTTAGAGAATATTCATACACTTTGAAAACGTGGAAATTATGATCTTTTGAATCAGACATCACCCACCAGTGTGAGTCCTAGCTGTAGTACTCATTAGCTGTGTAATTTAGGCAAGTTAGTTGACCTCTCTCAATTTCAGGTTCTTCATCAGTTTTTTAAGAAAATGAAAGCAGGTGGGGGTTCTTATCCTGCATAGTGATAACGCTTGATTTTATCTACTCCATCAGTCCCTCCTTCCTGAAGCACTGTCAGCACTTGGCTCCCATGACATGGCCTCTGTTGCTTTCTCCACCTTACTGAATGCACCTTCTGTTTTCTTGGCCAAGAAACTAGCTGCTAAATATTGAGTCCAGGACTCCGGTCTATTCTTTTCTTTAGATGGTCTCATACCACATGGCTTTAACTTCCATGTTAAAGCCAAATTTAAATCCCCGCCCGAATCTCTCATCTGAGATCCAGACTCATATTTGTAATTGCCTACTTGACATCACTGTATCACAATAGAGATTTGGAAATCAGAACTCCAAAACATACACCCTAAGATGACTCCTATCTGAATCTTCCTCATCTTCATAAATGTCATCATCATTCATCCAGTTTTTCAGACCCTCAAATCTGGGAGTTAGCCTTAATTCCTCTCTTTTCTTCACTGACTCTATCCCCAGCAAGTCAATGAATTTCGCTTTCAAAATCCGACCACTTCCCACCACTTCCAGAGCTATCCTGGTTGAGGACACCATCATCTCTTACCAGGCCTCAGCAGCAGCCTTCTCACTTGTTTCTATTTATCCTTGTCCCACAAAGACTGGTCATCACATCACAACCCAAGTGGTATTTTAACATGTAAATTACAGCATGGTATTCCCAAGACCATGCAATGGCTTCCCATCACACTTGGAGTAAAATCCGAAACCTTTTCCGTGGTCTCCATGGCTCTACATGATCTGGACTTTTTCTAGCCCCTAGCCAATCTCTGCCTTGCTGACTTCATCACGACCACATTAGTCTCTTTTCTGCTATAGAATTTGCTGGATTTTCATCTTGATGCCTCTGCTTTTGCTGTGCCCTCTGCCTCGAACATTTCACCTACAGACCTTCATATGGCTCACTCCTTGGCTTCATTCAGGAACATGCTCAGATGTTCTCTCTGATACAGAGCATTCTCTGGACGAACTTAAACAGATCAAGCAAACAAGACTCTGTTATTGTCTCTTTATATCTTTATTTTACCTAAAATCACCTTATAGTTAGTGTTCATATATATCTTTTTCTCCCTAATAAGTGGGTGAGTTCCACAAGGACAGATTATCTTGTATGTTTTGCTATTTCACCAACACCTAAAACACATCAAATAAATATTTGCTGAATGTATAAATTGAATAAAATGACATTTTAAAAAGATCTTAACATAGTGCTTAAAGCAGAGTTCAATAAATCTTAATTTTCATTGCCATTCTCATTCTCAAGTAAATTAATTTGAAATAACTCCTCTGTAAAGCTGTAGTTTGGATAGTCACTTTGTTTAAAAACATTAAAAATGTTCAAAATCTGTTTGGCTTTTACAGTATTAATGCCACCAAAAGACAGCGGAGATAGTAGAAAACTGTGACCCAGGTTCAAATCCTGACTTCATCACTCTCTCAATTGTTAACCCAAGATTAGTCAATACAATTCTGAATCTTTCTTTCATTACCAAAGAAAGGCAGTTAATAATTACTTCAAGAGATTTTTTTTGAAAACAAAGTAATACACATTTACATTATGCAATATTTGAAATAGAATGGAATTTAATTAATATGACTTATATCTGAATATAATGATTCCAAGTTATTGCTGTCAGCAAATTAAATTAGCAACTGATTTATTATTTTATCTACATCATTAAAACTGTTGATAGATAATTCCATACAGAGGACTGACAGTTGTGGATTTCAAAATATTGAGGTTGTGCCATGAACAACCATTATTTGTAAATTTCTTGCAATTAACTTCTGTGTTGATATGGAAAAAGTATATTTTAGTATATTTTAAGGCTTCCTGAGTATGACATTTTTTATCTAATGAGAGTAATATTTGTCATATCAGCCTGATTGGTTTCTCATTCTTCTATGAGAAAATGGGGTAAGAAAGTTGTATTGATATGTTGAGAATTGCTCAGTGCAACACTATATCTAGCTGTATGCAATGCTCTCCATTTTCAAACCTATACTAATGACTTTGCTATGTAACTCACTTCAGTACTTTCTGGGCATTTTTCTTGGCTGCCCAGCAAGTTTTAGATTGGAGGCTATGTTCTTCCCATGAGCTCTTCGTTTATCCTCTTCCATCTGATGTTGCTCTGAATCATGAGTGCTGAGGTCTGCAGCAAAGTTTGTCATTTTCTCTTAATACCTGGTATGGAAGTGACTGGTCATTTGGTTTTAAACACTGACAGTTTTTCTAAGTATTATTTCATTTTCCATTCTCTCATTGAGGATAGCTTCTTTTTAAAATTCTCACATATTTTTATTTATATTTCAAATAAATAAACCAAATTAACAACAAAATAGCAGAAATGTTTATTGTGTTTGTGTGTATGTGTGCAAAAACAGAGATGAAACAAATATTTATTGGTGTTTTCTATGTTTGCCTCTAAATATTATCTCTCCTCACCCTAAGAGGACACTTTTTTATATTGATTTTCAGGTAACACTTTTTTTCTAGTGTTGATTATATGCTGCATTTCTTCTTCTTCTATATACGTTCAGAAATATATGTATTTCCATATCTTTTTTTCATTTGAGTTGTTGTAGTATGGTGATGGAGAGCTCGGGCACTGGAGTTGAAATGCTTGGTCTTAGATCTGAATTCTGTCACTGCTGAGCTTGTGGCTCTGGGCCACTTTACCTTTCTCTGTGCTCCAATTGGCTGGTCTGTGGGAGTGGAGATATTAATAGAACATATAAATGCATGTTTTGAATTTTAAAATAGGTTATGTATGGAAATTACAAAACACAAAGGCTGGCACAGAGCAAGCACTCCATAAATACTAACCATTATTGTCATTATGTTAATAAACCATTACTGCCTGTATTTTCTATATTCTTTTGGAAAATTATATGTCATCTCCTGGTAACAGTCCCATGGGACCGTGATATTGCCAAATAACACAATGTGGGAGCTTAAAGAAAGTTTGTCCAACCATTACTTTCCAAATAAAAAAACTGAAGCTTTGAGAAACAACATAGCTGATCACATATATAATTAAAGGAAGAACTGTTTAGGATATTCTGCCCATGGTTCTTTCCACAATTTGTTTGTTTGTTTGCTTGCTTTTGGTGGAGAGGAGAAAATAATAAGTTTGTCTTCAACTGGCTTTTATCCCCCTCCAAATTATCCTCAGCTATGCTGTCCTTGGATTCAATAAGCCACTCTCTTCATAAGACCATACCAATTTTCTAATAAAGCTCACACAGATTTCGTGCCTTTGATTTTAAGATTTCTACATAGGTCCCCTCAGATCTTCTCAAATTATTTGATCCTCTCTCCTCTTCGGCCATTCCTTAGAATGTTTTCTATAGATTTACAGAATTGGCTTACAAATAGGTAACACCTTAATAATGTAGTTTTACATGTCTTAATTATCTTCTCTAAAATTCCTCCTTCCTTCCATTAGTTGATACCTCAGATTCTGCCAAGAAAACCTTATCTTTTTTAACTTGAAACTTGGTTTACTGATGGAATATAAATGCCTAGAAAGTACATTAAAATGTAATAAATTTTATCTCATATTAATGAGAGATCTGAGAAAAGAAGAAGGGAACAGAGGAGGACCTTGCTATCTCCGATGAACACCCCCTCTCACTTTCACTCTCACACACTAGTATCTTTCATCTCCCAATTAATGAGTTATGTTTAGATTCATAAAAATCTATAGGAGGAAGTGACCTTTGAGAACCTTGAGTTCATTCTTTTCACAGTGGCAAGAAGTATAACTCCAAAGAGTTAAATGCGTTTGTCTAAAGTCACCTATTTGTGGCAACAGATGGCCTCCCCTTACCATCTCCCTAAGCTGAATACCTTCTACCAGGTAATCAGTACCTCAAAGTCCACTCCACTCTTTCCCAGTTAAGCCAGCCTCCATGTTCACTCTCCTGTGTGTTCCTGAATTTGTAACCAGTTCCGCTACTTTAGATCCCAAACTCTAAATTAATTTTTTAACATCTTTTTAATGATTTAATATATCCTAATATGTAGTGAATTAAATATCCTTACCTGGAGGAATATCAGTTATTCTGCCATAAAGACACATGCACACAAGTGTTCATTGCAGCACTATTCACAATACCAAATATACGGAATCAGTGTAAATGCCCATCAGTGACAGATCGGATAAAGAAAATTTGGTACATATGGAATACTGTGCAGCCGTAAAAAAGAACGAGATCATGTCTTGTGGGAACATGGATGGAGCTGGAGGGTATTATCCCTAGCAAACTAATGCAGGAAAAGAAAACCAAATACCACACGTTTTCACTTGTAAATGGGAGCTAAATAATGAGGACTTGTGAACACAAAGAAGGACGGACACTGGGGACTACTTGAGTTTGGAGGGTGGAAGGAGAGAGAGAAGCAGAAAAGATAACTGTTGGGTACGGGGCTTAGTAACTGGGTGATGAAATAAGCTGTACAACAAGTTTACCTGTGTAACAAACCTGCACAACGTACCCTCGAATCTAAAATAAAAACTTTCTAAAAAAAGAAAAAATCCTTAAAAACAAATTTTACTGGTTATTCTTGCATGTTACACCTTCTTTTACACTTCTGATCATTAACTGCAATTATTACTCCCTGTAAGGAAGGCACACTGCATACTTTGTGTGAACATTCAACCAAAAATGTAATTCATTAATGTATCAAACATTTTTCACATTATTGCTATGTAATGCCATATGTAAAAGTTGAATATATTATTTAGAGTTTAGAAAGGCTAGAGAACACCAAGAGTTTTTTTTTTTTTTTTTTTTTTTAATCAGTGAGTAACTAATAGAAATGGGTAAATGTGTAGGGAAATTTGGGTTTTTAGAGAAGATGAAATTCATTTTAGACATGTTGAATTTGAAATTATAGTAAGAAAAAGAAATACAAATATCCAGGAAGAAATATCCTTAAAGGAACGCAAGGATATGGGAGATTAGCTAAAAGCTGACAATATAGATTTGAGAGTCATTTGCTAGTGGTGCTGTTTCTTTGCAAAATTCAGCATGAAGAATCATAAAAATATAGAAAGTTAAGTGATTCATGAACATTAACTATTTTTTTAATTAGTCATAAAGTATTTATTGATGAACTATTTAGTGGGGGGCGTATATCAACATTGCTTCTGAAATGATAAAAACTAGAAGACTGAACAAGGAAAGAAGAGACACATGGAATAAAATGTAGACAAATGAAATAGAAGCAAATGCAATGACACACACACAATTAAAAAAAAGCAATTACAAGCAATATATCAACAAGTACAAAATGGCACAGCACAATTATATTCCCAGGGGACATAAAAGGGTGAACTGAAGGAGGGGAGCGAGGTTAATTGGGAAATGCTTCCTCAGGGCAATGAGAGCTGAACAAGATCTGAAGGAAGGGATGGGTTCAAACTGGTAGAGAGGAGCATGGAGGCAAGCCAGGAGCATGGAGGGAAGCCAGGATGGAGGGAATGGTCTTAAACAGAAGAGGAAGGGAGAAATCAAGCACTGCATAGGGAATAACAAATGGGATCTTTTGCCTCCAGTGGAGAGGACAAGTGGAAACTTATCAAGTCATCATTCTAGAAAGGTTTGGAAGGGGAGTGGTGTGGAGGCAGTGGGAAGTGAGAGTTTTAAAGAACCTTGAATGTAATGATGTACTCTAAAAGCTACAAGCATTTTAATTGTATTATACAAGTTAGTTTTCTAAATCTATTAATGAATTCCTAGTGCACAGCCTCCCATTGCCAAAGTTACATGGAAATGTGCGTTCTTATATCACTGCCCCGCCTTGCGTTGAATTCCCTTTTTGGTTTAACTGTAAAAAGAGAGTAGACAGTGCCTGATGGATATTTGTTCTTGGCTAAAACTCTGCATAGTACTTTGAAATATTATTCTTCCTAGCAAATGTTAACAGTTGCTAATGTCATTCAAAAATAGTTGAGGAAAATATGTTTGTGAAACATACAGCTCTTACTGTCACATCATTTCCTGAGTGAAAAGAAAATACAGTGGTACTTGGCTATTTATTGAATGGAAATCCTTTAATGTTGTCAAGGATTTCACCAAACTAATGCTGTAAATAAGTGGGAAATCATGTGCCCTCTGTTTTAATGTCTGTTTCTTCATGATGAGGCAGCCACCCCACTCAGCAGTCCAGATGGAACTACCACCCATCGCAGCCCTCTTGTCCTCAGATAGGATAACCAGAGCATAACTACTTTGGAGCAATGCAATTATGAATTTCTTGAGGGGGAAAAAGGAGAGATAAGTTCAGGGAAGTCAGCTAACATGGTATATGGGTAGTTCTGGGCAGCAAAAGGGTTAATCAGATTTTCATTTTAGATAGTCGCCTTAGTAACAATCAGAGAGCCCAGGCTGTATCTTTTCCGTTTGTGGGGAATGTTTAGATTTACAGAGTAGCTTAGCTTATCATATACCTACCTTGATTGCTGGATAAGGCTTGTGATTAAAAACAGAATAAGATTCATTTTTATAATATTGTAAAGAAGAGCAAAACATTAAAAATGATGTCACTGATGGTCTAGGGTTCTGGGAAATTACTGATATTGGAACTGTGGTGCTGACAGGGCTCTTTGAAAAGTTAAAATAGAAGAAGGTCAACATCTTTACCTTTAACTTTTACTGAAAATGAGTCTGTATTTACCATTTTTAGGAGTGAATTGGAAACTAGCATATAATAACTAGCTAACAATGCTAGAGGAGAAATTGGATATCAACTTCGTTTCTATGCCAAATTGCATTAAACTCTCAAAGATGTTTTTGTTTTATATTGTATATTGGGGGCTCTGTGGCCTTTTAATGAGGAATTGAAAAAAAAATAGGTTTGAAAAGCATTTATTTTCAGAAGTGTCCAAAAGAGTGGACCAGTGACACTAAAACGTTGAAGTCCGAAATTCATCCATTGTCCAAATAGCAGGAAAACAAACTCAACAATCTGCTCTGCACATGGCCTCAAACCTCACCTGGAGAGACAGATTTCCTAAGGGCAGAGAAAAGCATTCAGTCTGTTTTCCAGGACCAAGACTGTCTGGAGCAGCTGCTGCCAATTAGTGACAAGTGATATGTAGGGAGGCCATGATACATGTAGAGCTACCAGAGTTCAGCAGTTTCAGAAATTACTCTCTGAAGAAAGAAGAACACAATTCTTAGGAGCATAGTTCATTGCACTTCCATGGTAGTAACTTGGTAACCAGTGAGCCTACTCCAGACATCTCAGAAGTCAGGATGTCAGGCTTCTGTGGCCATTGAGTTTATACATTATTTACAGACAGCTCCTGACTTACTTTTGCTTATTATATTAACTGAAAAATGCCCAAGTTGCACCCTGGCCATTCTGCAGTGATCAAATATTTAGCCAAGAGAGCCACTGGAGAGACTTAAAAATAAAATGAACAAACAAAAACTTGGAGGAGTTAAAGACCATATCTCTTTAGATTTGGAGAAAGAAAAACAAATTTTGAAAACGAGGAACAGCTTAATAATTATAGATAAATCAGTGGCATAGCAATCATTCATTCCTTCATATCAATTCAGTCAGATTGCCTTCCTACTCAGAACTGATCCACTAAATGAATAGAAGTGTTTGTTGGCTTTATGGTGAAAAAGAGAAAAATGGTCATTTTGGCACATGGAGTAATTTGTAAGACAGGACACATACTTCAAATAAGGAGCCTGGTTTAGGGGAGTTGAAGAGGCTCAAAAACTCCAAGGATCAGGGACAACAGTTTTGAAATCAGGGAGACAGGAACAGAGATGGGAGAAGGCTGAAGAGTACAAAACACATTAAAAATTTACCTGTGACCAGAAAAAGAAACATTCAATCTCCTTTTCCCTCCTTTAACAAATTAACAAAAAAAAATTTTTTTTTTTTTTTGAGATGGAGTTTTGCTCTTGTTGCCCAGTCTGGAGTGCAATGGTGCGATCTTGGCTCACTGCAACTTCCACCTCCCGGGTTCAAGCGATTCTCCTGCCTCAGCTTCCCGAGTAGCTGGGATTACAGGCACCCACCACCACGCCTAGCTAATTTTTTGTATTTTTTAGAGATGGGGTTTTACCATGTTGGCCAGGCTGGTCTCGAACTCCTGACCTCAGGCGATCCACCCAACCTTGGCCTCCCAAAGTGCTGAGATTACAGGCATGAGCCACCACGCCCAGTCTGACCCTTATTCTTAGACACAAGAATTCATATTTAATGCATGGCTAAATTAAGAGCTAAGTAACCTACTTATAATCCAACCTTGAGACTTGACCATTTGTAATATTGAGTCTATGCAGTTCTTTACTCATTAAGAACTGGGTAAGATATAGACTGTTTTTAAAGAAAACAAAATCCAATAGGTTCAAAATTTCCCAGGGATTTATAAACTACCATTTGAGAAATGCCATCTTAAATAAACTAGAATATTCTATTTACTGCATTTCAAAAGGGCATTTTTACTATAAAATAGCTGATTTGCTATTACGCATTATAAAAGTGCATTGGTTTTCATGTTTGTTATATTAGGATATTAGGATTAAAATGAAAACGTCCAATTGAAAAAAAAAATGCCCATAAATATTGAAGCCCCTGAGAGGTCTGCAGTCTCTGGTTTGAGAAACCCTGGTAAAGGTGAAAAATGTAATTTCAGTTCCAAATGGTACATTTTCAAATGAACTTTTAGAGTCTATTTATAACTAGGATTCCCTGTATTTAATCATTTCACACAAATTTTTTCCTGGTTTGGTTAAAGAATGTCTTTAGCACAGTCATCTAACATTAACAACATAATAACAAGATTGTTGACCAAAAACAAGCTATAAATATTTGGTTGGAGTATGAAAGAATTTTTCAAATGTCTAATAATATATCTAGACTTGGCTCTGCATTAGAAAGTCTGTGAACTTTTCTGTCTCCCTTGCTCTCTCTTTCTACAGGGTCACTACATATTTTAATTGTCTGTGTGCCTGTAACATTTCAGCATGTGAACCAACATATAATAAAAAATGCAGATGTTCCCAAAGCTGAAATAAAGAAGATAATTTTGGTTTTACTAGGGAAATAGTGGAAAGAAAAAATGATCATTTTCCTGGCTTCTAATTCGTGGGGGAAACTTGGATTATCATTTACTTGACAAAGTTGACTTCAATCACTATCTCAAAATAACTGCCCTTTTGTGATCTTTACAACACTCAGGATTGCCTTTGTCCATAGTAGGTGATCAGTAAGTGTCTTGTTGATTGGTTTATTTGATTAAAACAGATTTAAATGATTTCAGTAGTCACAATGATATATGTAATAATAATTAACAGCAGGCAAAATAGGTGATTGTGTGATTTAATTGGAGATTTTAAGCCAGTTGTTCAATACGTCAGCATAGCCAAATGATGACTGAGGCTTGTAATGATACTGCAGAGCACACCATGGTGAAAAGGGAGAGGAGAGTGGGGAGGTGGGTGGTTGAGAATAGACAGGGAAGAAGACGGGGCTGGGAGGAGTGAGAACCCATAAAAGAACACTGGAGAAGATCATTATAGAAAATATGAGTAATTACTATTAGAGTAAATGTCAAAATATTATGGATCAGAAGCTGATGAATTTTAGTAAAGGATACAAAAATTTTAGGTGAAGAAAATAACAAATGTGGTAAAAAAAATACAGGAACAATTTTGCAAAGGAAGAATGTTGAAAGGTTCCTCTGAACTTTGATAGGAAGGAAGAGCAAGAAAAATGAAATACAAAAGTAGTTCTGGTAGTTTTTGGTATCTTTTTAGCGTCATTGAAGAATAATTGCTCTGAAAATCACCTTAGCATCTTACCTTGTATATAGACTAGGTCCTAGTAGGACCCATTCACTTTCAGGTTTACCAACACTCACTAAGATAAGGGTGTTCAGTTTAAGACTCTGTTATGAAGAATGAGGAGAACTTGGCCACGTTTCAGAGCAAAGTAGTAAAAATAGTACCGTGAGAAAAGATTAGGGTTCCAGAATATCAAATCATTTTGCCCCCCAAAAAAGGCAAAGTTACATTTATAAAAAGAATGGAAGGTACATGAGAAGTTACATGATGTAACTGTCTTTCAAGATATGAAGAGATATTATTGTTCAACTAGAATTCCATCTTCACCTCTGAAAGCTGAAAGGAAATGAATTTACATAACAACTGGAGACATTAATATGAGGTCTCTTTATGGTTAGATTTTTGGAATCTAGTAGTTTCCAACAACAACAAAAACAACAAAAATTTGCCACTTGCCATTAATTACCTTCAACACATCTCTTAGTTCTCTTACCCATTTTATTTTAGCCAATCACAGATCATTATTTTTTTCCAAACAATTCCAGGCATACACATTATTTTATTAGACAATAACAGAAGTGCAAGATGTTAATTATTATTTCTGTTTCTAACTTTATATATTTTAAGTATGAGCATGTTGCATGTTTGCTTCATATGTTTTCAGCTACCCTATTGCATTTCTTTGACTCATTTATGTGGAGTTTCCTAAAAGAGACTTTTAAATCAATACTGATTCATCAGTTATGTCTTCAAGTTTGCAAATTTCATGCAAAAAAAGTTTCAGTAGACACCCCTCCCTAAAATCTTAGTCATATTTTGTCTTCTGTAACAGGATCCTAAAAATAGCTGAGAAATTCTGATGCTTTTTCTTTGTTTACTAATTTTAAGATCATTATGCATACTCTAATGCATAATTATAATTATGCATTCATGATGTTACTTGTGCAGGCTTAACTCAGAAATAGTCTGAAGCAGCTAATCTTGAAGCTACAGGCTGTTTCCCATCACTTAGATTCTGATCAGAGCTGTTTGTCGAGTCTTATTGGAACGCGGGACCCTATGCACCAGTCCCAAGGCTGGACACTTCATTTTTATCACTAGTTTCACTATTTGCCCTTTCTCCTTCCCCCCAAATCTTTGCTTTTAAGACAGGAAAACCTACAAGATAATTTGGTTTTATTGTATATGTTTAGTCTATTCACAGCAATTAAATGAGAGGGGTTTTGAAAATTCTCCAGTTTATTTATAATCCATACTTGACATTATGCATAAAAAATGAAGACAGTGTCATTTTTCATGCTTGAGATTTTACTATCAACTGGCCTTATCATTGAATTTACTTTAGGGTTACTTAAACTAGTCTAGTGCAAAACTATTAAACTTTCTTCCATGTGTTGTAGAATAGTGTGATTTGGCCCAAAAAGGAAATTGTTCCATGTGTCTTGTATGGTATGCCCTTATCAATATTTGCAAAGTGTTCACTGAGTGCTTATGGAGGGAAGGGTACTATCTACAGCACTGTGAAGGGTAGTAACAAGTCTCATTTAATAACATGAAAAAAAAAACACTCTTATGGTCTTGGTTATTAGAAACTAGAACTTGGGTTAGTCAGTAATAGCACAATAATGGAAATATACTCTCAAGTTTATTGCCTTATCTGGGGTGCACAGTCTCAGAAGATATGGAAGACAGAGTAGTAAATAAAAGCATTTTGCTCTAAGAATGTCAAGGACAGAGCAAACTCTGAGTTTGTAGTTTTACTTTTCTGCAAAGTTGAATTAGGGAAAATTCATTTTGATGTGAATTAGCGACAGTGTTTTGATTCTGAAATATAATGAGGGAGAATCCCAGTCGAAGAGTGTGCATAGGTGTATGTGTATTTATTGAAGGGACTCTTTGCTTCTAGGGAGTGGGGCACCTTTTTGCCATTTATATTTATAGTCACTGTGCTTATTCAAATTGCTAAATGTTAAAGCCCATGAATTTATTTTTAACATCAAGAAAGCAAGCAAAGATTTTAAAAGGCTGAGAAACACTGGAGAAGTCTGTTTCATGAGTTTCATCTATTTAGAGTACATGAAAACTTAGAGTCAGAAGGTACCCTAGACATTGTGGAGTCTTGGTCTTTTCCTCTAAAAATGAGGAAACTGGCTCAGGGAATTCATGCATTTTTGACAAAGGTAATCTAACCACTTACTGACAAAGTTAGAACCAAACCTAAGTTTAGTGAATTTCCAGATCATTTTAGAAAATATGTATAACTAGCGTGAAATAGGAACTACTTAAGGAAAACGGCATGGTGTTCTTAGTCATGGGGGATTTTGCTTTGTTTTTGGCTTGGTTTGATTTTAGTTGACAAATGAGGCAACATACAAAAAATTAAATAAGTACTTAAGATTATGGTATTTAAATTTAAGGCTTTTTATAGCATATGGTGTAAGAAGAATTTGCATATTCTGAAATGTTTATACTAGATAAGGCATTCCCAATTTAGAGTCCAAGGAAGGGAAGTAGCATAATTAGAAACTCAATGACCAAAGCCTTTTCAAACGAATTCCCAAATGCCCTACAAGCAAGTTTTTACATTTGATAAGTACTAGTGAAAACAATACATAAAAAATCTGAAGTAACTTAAACATAGTAGTGTATTATTTTATAACCAATAGATACAGCTTTTCATCATGTAAGGGAAGATTTTACTCAATTTCCATTTAGTTGCCATTAAAATCTTTTCATTTTGCTAGCAGTGGTAAAGTTTTCTCCCCAGGAACAATCTATTTACTAGATACAAAGTAAAAAGATTAGTCAAAGTAGTAATTTTTTTACACATTTATATTTATGACACATTGATCATTCTGTTAAAGTTGGATGTAATAAATAGGCATAGGTCTTTTCACAGAAATTTAATCATTTCTTAACTTTTGTCTCATTTACCCAAATCAGTACACACAATAATTATAAATGTGCACTTACTGTGTTTCAGGTATAAGTCTAAGTGATTTATAAGCGTTATTTAATATTTGCAACAGGTTCATATGGTATAACAATAATAATAATAATAATAAGGTAACCAACGGACAGAGAAGTTGTCCTACTTGATCAAGATCCACACCATAGTTTGGGTGCGGTGACTCATGCCTGTAATCCCAGCACTTTGGGAGGCCCAGGCGGGTGGATCACCTAGGACCAGGAGTTTGAGACTGGCCTGGCCAACATGGTGAAATCCCATCTCTACTAAAAATACAAAAATTAGCCGGGTGTGGTGGTGCACATCTGTAATCCCTGCTACTCATGAGACTGAGACATGAGAATCACTTGAACCTGGGAGGTGGAGGTGGTAGTGAGCAAGATCATGCCCCTGCACTCCAGCCTGGGGGACTACTGAGCAAGACTCTGTCTCGAAAAAAAAAAAAAAAAAAAAAAAAAAAAAAAAAAAAAAAAGATCCACACCATAAATGGGTAGCAAATGTTGGATTTAAACTCAAGCAATGTGGCTCTAGAACTTAGCCACTGTGTTTTCTGCGTCGTTTCCTCATCATGTTCATCACATTCTGGAAGCATTTTGTGAGTATGCCATAAACAATACTTAAATTATATTTGAAGTATTTGGTTGCAGACCCACTGAATCAAAATAACTACCTTTTTTTCACCTCTGCACTATTTCCACCCTGTGCTCTTTACTGAGGCTTCTTTTTGTCTTCCCAGTTTAAACTTGAACTTCTGCTGGCAGGTGAAACTGCTCTGTCAGATTTTGATCCAGTCTACCTGTGAGCAACACCAATCTAATCTGAGGAACATACTAATTAAACCCAGCTTGAAGTATGTGTTTTAAGTGTAGAATCCTCCATCAGTGCGCCTAGATTTGAGTGCAGATTAGGTTCCCTAAGTGGTTGCATCCAGAGGTTCTGAGGAGTGGGATAGACCTGCAGGAATGAAGACCGGCCAGACCGCCTGCTCAGATTGCATACTGATGCCTCACCACAAAGTATAATGTGATGAGGCTGTATTGTGGTGAGGCTGTGTTATGGTGAGGCTGTACTATGTCTGTTGACCATGGTGTTGAGCACCAAGATAATACCATTCTTCATTTGTTCTTGTGCAATCAGTGCTGAATTGAGTGAATTTTAACCGAAAGTCATCTTGAATCTCATCATGAATTCTACTTATGATTGGAAACATTTTTATAGGCTTTTTAAAATCTATTCTATGTTATAATCATCTCTACAGGTATAAAAATGCCTGCAGTCATAAAAATAAAATATTAAAAAGTATTCGCTGTTTTTCAATATTTTAAAATCACTAACTAGACTATGTTCGGTCTTTTCCCCTTATTCCTACTTGATGTCTGATATTGATATTTAGTATCTCAACTAGACTTACAAGACCCCAAACTGTGCAAATGTGAGAAATAATTCACCACAAAAGCTATAAATTTCACAGCTCGAAAAACCCTGAAGATTATTAATGAGGCACCATGTAATTAGCCTATACAAAGTGCAGCTAGGAATCATGCATAATGTAAAACAGAAACTGCTAACCACTGACTCATGGAAGATCATTTAAGCTAGTTTTCATGGACATGAAAAATTGATATTTAACACAATTCCTAAGGAGAGTCTCATTGCTTTAACACCATAGAAAGAATTATGTTTCTTATAGATTTGCTAAGAGAAAAATAGAAGGCAGTTCATGGCTAAGGCAATTTCTGGCAATGTGAATATGGACAAATTGTTTGACTTTTTAGACTCTCAGTTTTTATCTTTCCAAAATGGGCATAATGATCTCTTTCATAGAATTGTTGTAAAAATTGATTAAAAAAAGTAATGTGGCACCTAGAATTTTAGTACTTCATTATGGCTTAATAAAATCTTATAGATCATATATTAGAGCAATGTGTTTTCTAGCCAGCCAAAGTTCTTGTTTTACTGAGAATTCTGTACTTTTATGGAAACACATTTCTTTAGAAATACTAGAAACAAGCATTTGCTTACATGGAATAACATATCCAGTGCTGCTTAAGCACATTGCATATATTAACTCATTTAATCACCAAAATGACCCTATGACATAAATGCGTTTATTATATTTTATTTTGGAGATGATGCAAGTAAGATGCAGAGTACTTAAGTAACTTGCCCAAGGCTATACAGCTATGTAGTGATGGTGATGCAGTATAAATTCAATCAGTCTGGCCCCCAAAATACAAAATTTTAAACTATCTTTTTACTATTAATGAATAAGGCATGCTGAGATAATGAATATATGCTAAAACTGATATATACATATTCATCTTGGTTATATTTCCCAAAATATATTTTCAATTTATTTTTAAGATATACTTCATTTAGCAGTCAGAAATTAAATGAATATATATTAAAATGATGTTTAATAGATGCAGAGGTGCATGGATTAAACCAAAATATTCACATAAAAGATCATTATGATTAGGTTTTAAACATAGTTATAAAAGCTATAAGCCATATTTTTAGAGACTTTTATTTTAAATTGGAGACGGCCTCAGTGTTATTAACTATAAAATTAAAGTGTGGTTCAATTTGTCATGAAAATCCTTTCTGTTAACCGCTTCTTATCTATTACTATGTTGTTGTTTGGTCATGGACCATCAAATATGTGTGTTTGGTCATGGACCATCAAATATGTGTTGCACCTTCCAAATGTACCATTCATAAGCTTAAAATATAATGAGCTTGATTATTAATATTGACAATCTACGTATATGTCATTTAGATATTTTTATTATTAATATATTGTGAACATCTTGAAGAAATGTAACTCATATTTCATCTCTCTATTCTTGAATATTCTACATAGTAGATAACCTATAAATGTTACTGAATAAATAATGAATATACTTAATTTATTTAAAATTATAAAATGATTATTTTATGATTTTTTAATTTTTTTAAATCATACTTTAAGTTCTAGGGTACATGTGCACAATGTGCAGGTTTGTTACATAGGTATATATGTACCATGTTGGTGTGCTGCACTTATTAATTCATCATTTACATTAGGTATATCTCCTAATGCTATCCCTCCCGCCTCCCCCCACCCCGCGACAGGCCCCAGTGTGATGTTTCCCACCCAGTGTCCAAGTGTTCTTGTTGTTCAGTTCCCACCTATGAGTGAGAACATGCGGTGTTTGGTTTTCTGTCCTTGCAATAGTTTCCTGAGAGTGGTGGTTTCCAGCTTCATCCATGTCCCTACAAAGGACAAGAACTCATCCTTTTTTATGGCTGCATAGTATTCCATGGTGTATATGTGCCACATTTTCTTAATTCAGTCTATCATTGATGGACATTTGGGTTGGCTCCAAGTCTTTGGTCTTGTGAATAGTGCTGCAATAAATATACGTGTGCATGTGTCTTTATAACAGCATGATTTATAATCCTTTGGGTATATATCCAGTAATGGGATGGCTGGGTCAAATGATATTTCTAGTTCTAGATCCTTGAGGAATCGCCACACTGTCTTCCACAATGGTTGAACTAGTTTACAGTCCCACCAACAGTGTAAAAGTGTTCCTATTTCTCCACATCCTCTCCAGCACCTGTGGTTTCCTGACTTTTTAATGATCACCATTCTAACTGCTGTGAGATGGTATCTCATTGTGGTTTTGATTTGCGTTTCTCTGATGGCCAGTGATGATGAGCATTTTTTCATGTGTCTGTTGGCTGCATAAATGCCTTCTTTTGAGGAGTGTCTGTTCATATCCTTTGCCCACTTTTTGATGGGGTTGTTTGATTTTTTCTTGTAAATTTGTTTAAGTTCTTTGTAGATTCTGGATATTAGCCCTTTGTCAGTTGGGCAGATTGTAAAAATGTTCTCCCATTCTGTAGGTTGTCTGTTCACTCTGATGGTAGTTTCTTTTGTTGTGCAGAAGCTCTTTAGTTTAATTAGATCCCATTTGTCTATTTTGGCTTTTATTGCCATTGCTTTTGTGTTTTAGTCATGAAGTCCTTGCCCATGTCTATGTCCTGAATGGTATTGCCTAGGTTTTCTTCTAGGTTTTTTATGGTTTTAGGTCTAACATTTAAGTCTTTAATCCATCTTGAATTGATTTTTATATAAATTGTAAGGAAGGGATCCAGTTTCAGCTTTCTACATATGGGTAGCCAGTTTTCCCAGCACCATTTATTAAATAGGGAATCCTTTCCCCATTTCTTGTTTTTGTCAGGTTTGTCAAAGATCAGATGGTTGTAGATGTGTGGTATTATTTCTGAGGGCTCTGTTGTGTTCCATTGGTCTATATCTCTGTTTTGGTACCAGTACCATGCTGTTTTGGTCGCTGTAGCCTCGTAGTATAGTTTGAAGTCAGGTAGCGTGATGCCTCCAGCTTTGTTCTTTTGGCAGATTATCTTGGAAATGCGGGCTCTTTTTTGGTTCCATATGAAATTTAAAGTAGTTTTCTTCCAATTCTGTGAAGACAGTCATTGGTAGCTTGATGGGGATGGCATTCAATCTATAAATTACCTTGGGCAGTATGGCTATTTTCACCATATTGATTCTTCCAATCCATGAGCATGGAATGTTCTTCCATTTGTTTGTGTCCTCTTATTTCATTGAGCAGTGGTTTGTAGTTCTCCTTGAAGAGTCCTTCACATCCCTTGTAAGTTGGATTCCTAGGTATTTTATTCTCTTTGAAGCAATTGTGAATGGGAGTTCACTCATGATTGGCTCTCTGTTTGTCTGTTATTAGTGTATAGGAATGCTTGTGATTTTTGCACACTGATTTTGTATCGTGAGACTTTGCTGAAGTTGCCTATCAGCTTAAGGAGGTTTGGGGCTGAGACTATGGGGTTTTCTAAATATACAATCATGTCATCTGCAAACAGGGTCAATTTGACTTCCTCTTGTCCTAATTGAATACCCTTTATTTCTTTCTCCTGCCTGATTGCCCTGGCCAGAACTTCCAACACTATGTTGAATATGTGTGTTTGGTCATGGACCTCAAATATGTGTTGCACTTTCCAAATGTACCAATCATAAACTTAAAATATAATGAGCTTGATTATTAATATTGACAATCTATGTATATGCCATTTAGATATTTTTATTATTAATATGTTGTGAACATCTTGAAGAAATGTAACTCATATTTCATCTCTCTATCCTTGAGTATTCTACATAGTAGATAACCTATAAATATTATTGAATGAATAATGAATATCCTTAATTTCTTTAAAATTGTAAAACGATTATTTTATTATTAGTTTTTATTATTATACTTTAAGTTCTAGGGTGCATGTGCACAATGTGCAGGTTTGTTACATAGGTATACATGTGCCATGTCGGTGTGCTGCACCACATGAAAGAGGGCATCCCTGTAAAATGATTATTTTAAAAGCAGAATAACCTAAATAACACTTTCAAAATAGAAACAATATAGAGAAATCCAAAAGTAATGCTGATTAGTTATTACTAATTGGAATTATTTTATATATAAGGTTATATTATTTATCTAGAAAAAAAACAAAAAGAATTATTTATCTGGCAAAAATAAATAAATAAATAAAACAACTTGGCCCAAACTTCAGTGTAACACACATGCAAATAATTGTAGAATTTAACTCACTGGTATTTCCAATCAGCAATTTTTAATTGATCAGTTTGTCATGTTAGCATTATTTACAAATCCTTTCCAACATACGCATTGATGCTTTTATTCGTATTTCTATTATTTTTATAAAGAATGTGATAGGATAGAGAATTGAGAAAGGAGTTACTAAAATGTAATTTTCTCTTATGACTGAGAATATTCTCCAAAATCTACCTGATTAAGAAATTAAATATTTTAATATAAAATTTCAGGTTTACAATGAGCACAGAGATCTTGCCTTTCATAAAGAGCATCCCATAGAAAACTAGCAACAACAAGATTTAAGACATTTTCCAGGGGCACTATTAATAAAGGTTTATCTCATTTGATTCTGACTTCTTAGCATGCTCCATTAGTTGCCCCAGGCTGACAGAGATGCTGAACAAAGGTCCTTTGGGTTGGGAGCATGTTGAGTGGATCTGTTTGGTTGAAGTCCTTTTCTCATTGTCACTCCCAAGGAAAGCAAGGAAGCAGCCTGGCTCCAGAATGAAGACAAGTGACTTGGGCACTTGGCTTTTACTCTGTAAAAGTGCAGAATTAGTATAGTCCTTCTGCATCTGTTGATTTGGTGAAAAAACAAAAACAAAATAAAACAAACAAAACTGAAAACCACTCTTATGGTTCTGAATCCTGATATTAATATAGTAAATTTTAAAACCAAATATACAGTTTTTCTTTTAACTACATGTTCTTTTCATAATGTGTGTTCTTATACCCATCTATAAACATAAACTATTAACTTGCTTATATTTTGAACTGAAAATATACCTGATATTACAATATTTGAATTGATGGAAGAAGTTTTACTTTAGATACTTAAACATTTATAATATTTCTGTTACTAAAATGTCTCACAGATTAGATAAGCTTTGTTCAGCTACTCTAACACTTCCACACTTTTGCCAACTACTTTGCCAAGATTTTATTTTTTTTGCACCTGACTTTCAATAACTTGACTTTTAATAATTTGTCTCAGAAAATCTGCCTTCCCAAAAGATACTATAGTTATCACAGCACCTATGATATAGTTTAATAATTTCACACACTTTTTCCCTTTGGAGGGGGATCCCCTTCTTATTTCCATTCTTCTAGTTTTGCCATAGACTTCTTCCATTAACTTCAAATATTGTAATAACAGGTATATTTTAAGTTCGAGATATAAGCAAGTTAATAGTTTATGTCTGTAGATGGATATAAGAATACACATCATGAAAACAACATATAATTAAAAGAAAATTGTATATTTGCTTTTAAAATTTACTATATTAATATCGGGATTCAGAATTGCCCTCTTTTTTGGCAGAGGATTGGCTGAAACAGTAATAAAAAGAAGTCAGCCTGAATGGTGACTGAGAGATTCATTACATATTTCAGTGGATTCATTCATGAAAGATGGACACATCTTAGCGTCTGAAGATGACTTTGTGCAGGGTAGTGTTTTCTCTCTTCCACAGAATACCTTTGGGTAATTCTGAAATACAGACTGTTGAACAGAATTGACCACTGTATTTTTTTTTATAGTGGTTTAAACAGGGCATTCACAGTTGAGTTAGTATGTACCTCTGTTAGATACTCCTTTTATTCTTCAGGCTAGCGTTTTTATTTTAGTCACATCACTTTCTCTAAAAGGGTTAAAATATCAAAATGTAGTAAGTTAAAATGGCTTTATTTAGCAATTGGCCAATGCAAATAGTAAAGCTTCCTTAAGTAAGTATAAGCTCAATGTGTTGAGCTTTCCTATATATTTTCTTCTCCATACTCAGAATTTGAGTGAGATTTGATGGGAATTCTACAGTAAAAAGTCTTATAATAATATCGTTATGAAACTGTAGTACATATGAGGTCATCTTAACAGAGAAGGAAGCTGAGACCTTCAGAGGTTAAGTGACTGGCCTCAGGTCACACAGCTGGTACCACAGCTCTCTGGATCCCTGAACCCTGCCACAGGTTTATGTGACAGCCTTACGTAAGAAGGGGTACTCGAGAGCAATTTACTTTTCTCTTCCCAGAGATTCAGCACTGACACACTTTTTGCACATTGCACTAGGTGCAAGCCCAGAAATTCTGCCAGGAGCAAAACAACACTCCTTAAACACCCTGTGACTTTCAGAGCTGTATAAAATAAAAGGTTGAAGTTAATGATTGCCAGTTTGGAGGGAGTAGTTCCTCTTCGGAGCCAAATGTATGTGGGGAACAGATGAGGCTGTGGGAGTGAAGTTGGCAAAAGGGAAAGAGAAATGAGTCTATTCTTTCTGGAAAATGAAAGTATAATAAATATCTGAATAGCTTAGATGTTTATTTTCATCTAGAGATTCTTCCCATTTGAAAATGAAATATCTATATCTTTAGAGTGAGTAATCTTGAAGAATAATTTTATATTATTTTTTAAAATATCATGAAATGATATTTGGAAGCAAACATTGTTTTTAATAGCCCATATCTGTAGAACTATTTGTATTTTCTCTTCTAACAGGATCATTACTTCTTATGCTGAAATTCCTATATTCAAGCAGTGACTCATGTTAAGATAATATGTTCCAACAATTTGAGAACTAAAAGCAAATATACCTCAGAGATAATGATTATTTAAATTTTTGGTTCATAGAGATAAAACTGTCTGACATAAGGAGTATGGACATAATAGCCAAGAATTCTATCATTTTATTTCACACTCATTTTGTTTTTGAAAAGTCTCTTATCATATTTGAGATCCCACATACCACATTCTACTCGAAGACATTTGTTAGCAGAAGTTCTCTGGAATTTCACTCTCATGCTGTTCTTACAGGATATTTTGTAGAACTGTGCTCCAAGAAAACTCTAATTTAATGAAATCTTCCTGGAATCTCCATTCATAAATCTATTCTGTGCCTAATTATATAGTGTAGTGGTTCTCGTTATAGGATGTTGCTAATGTCTTTCCCACTTGTCCTTTTCACATATTTTCTAATTTAGGAGTATTCTTAATATCATTGAGCTTCAGTTTCAAAAGTAGGTATAGCATATAATTTTTTTCAAGCAATGCAACTTTGATAATGTTTTAAGAAGTTGAGTTTTGTTATTTCCCAAACAATAAACACAAATAAGATAGGTTCTTTTAATAGGAGTTTGGAAGTTTTCTAAGTTACTTGCTGAAATCTCCTTATATATAGAATCACATATACACACATGCACACTTTGCAACTCTCACTTAAAGGACATCCCAATTTAATTCAGTGGCCATTTTACTCCATTTTTCAATAGAATCACAAGATTTTAATTGAAGCAAGTGACATGGCTCGCTGTGTTTGGTACTTAACATTAACTGGTCATGGGGAATATTCAGGTGTTATCTGTGAAAACCTATTTTTTTTTTTTTCAGTTGGACTTTCACTCTTATACCCCAGGCTGGAGTGCAGTGGTGCGATCTCGGCTCACTGCAACCTCCGCCTCCCAGGTTCAAGCATTCTCCTGCCTCAGCCTCCCAAGTAGCTGGGATTACAGGTGCCCACCACCAAACCTGGCTAATGTTTTTTGTAATTTTAGTAGAGACGGGGTTTCACCATGTTGGCCAGGCTGGTCTCGAACTCCTGACCTCAGGCGATCCACCAACCTCAGTCTCCCAAAGTACTGGGATTACACGCCCAGCCTGAGAACCTGTTTTTATATCACATCAATAATGTTGACCCTACAGGATCACATGGAATGGAATGATTTTGTTTATGTAGTTTAAAATGACACTCTATTTTCTGGAAAAAAAAAAAAGAGAAAGAAAGAAAGAGGGAGGGAGGGAAGGAAGGAAGGAAAGAAAGAAAGAAAGCTCTTTTGCCTCAATAGCATCAAGTGCAAACTTTCACTCGGTTTAACTTTCAAAAGCTTAACTTACTAAATGACATTTACTAAAAAGCACTATTTTGTTGGGTGGAACTTATCATACTAAAAGTTGTATAGTTCCAGTCACATTAATAATGTTGAGACTCTAGACCATGCCAGGATTACTGAAAATTCAATCGTATAAGGTCTTGAATTATTCCTGGGCATATTTTCCCCAGTCTTAAGTAGTCCAAGATTTTAAATTGTTATGCCCCCATAGCTGTTGGTAAGGGAAATTTTCAAATTCAATTCACTGTCCCTAGAGATTTCACATAGTTAAAAGGAGAGTGATACAATATTTTCCTGACTGTCAGATTGAATTTGAATTGAATTCCAGGGTGGAGAACTGCTTGGATACATTAACTGAAACTTTTGCTGTGTAAAATTTTGTGTGGTTGTACAAGGTCAAATCGCGTACAGCACCATTTTTTCATTTAAATGTGGGGAATAATGGAGTTGGGGGGTTGGCAGTGGTGGTGGTGTACAATTCCTAAGGGCAAGGAAATGTGTGTGCGTGTGTGTGTATGTGTATGTGTGTTTCTGGTTCTCACAATATAAATGTAATGTCTATAGTAATTTTAAAAATCCTCTAGGCCTGTTGTCAAATATGCTTTATAGCTGAGAGAATATAAACAGCTATGAATTTTTAAAAGAGCAGTATTTAGCCAAACAGGCCTCAGTGCTTTTGATCTGTTACCCAGTTAAGGAAGCCACACACCAAAAGCATTTTCAACAACATGAAACTATATCTCACGGCATTGGCATGAGATTCTCTAATGGTATTTTTGTTGTATTTCCTAAACTAAAGTCAATGGAGGCCAATTTTTTAATCAAATAACACTTCTGTTAAATGGATGTAATGTAAAAATAAGCTCATCTCATGGGAAGATTTTCCTATGACTTTTGGCTCTTTCTAACCCTCCTTTTGGAAATCCTCAATATCTTTTTTTTCCAGCAAAATTTGGAATCCCTGGGACAACATTATGTCACCAGTTTCTTGGGTTAGTCCTCTATTATTTACCTTTGGGCTGTCGACTTTTATCTCCATTAACCTTTTGGCTTGACTATAAACATTTATTGAAGGCTTCCTCCTTTGTCGGTCCAGTAACTCTAAAGGTTAGTGAGAAGTGGATGCTAGTCTGACCTCTCTCATCCACATTAGATGATTTTAATTATTCCTAAGAAATGACACTTTTGACCCATTTTGTCCTTGTCAAGTTTGTCTAGTTGTGGGCTGTCTAAACGTGAAACTCTGGGTTCAAACCGTGTCCAGGAGTGTAGAATTTTAAAATGTACAATGTGGAGCTTCAAAAGTGCACAAGATTTCTTTTTTTTAAAAAAGAAGACATTCCAGTTTAAGTGAAATTCAAGGCTATTGTTATGTACCTTGAATTGATTTATTACTGGAAAAGACTGCCTAGATACAGACAAAATACAAACTTGAACCTGTAAAAATTCAATATTTCAAAATGGAAAAAATGGAGAAAAACTTTGTATAAGTGAGAATAAGCTAGGTTTTGCTGAGGCTGTATGCAACCCTAATACTACAACAGCTTTGTACCTGAAAAAGTTCATTTCTTTCTCATACTCCCTGACCACTGTGTTTGCCAGTCCACCTCTTTGTTTCCATGATTGCTTCAGCAAAAGCAAGGCATAATGGTGAATTGGCCATTGGATCTTACGGGTTCTGTGTAGGAGTGACACAAGCCACTTCTTCAATTTCACTGGTCAAGCAAAGCCATGTGGCCAGATCCAACTTTAAAAGAGATCTGGAAATTGAAGAGTTGGAACTAACTGATCAGTAGCCATAATGACTATCACAACCTTTCAGTTAGATAATAAAAAGTTTTTGTCTGGACATCTATGCTAATCACCACAAATATGACCAGAGCCTGAGAAATAGTGGGATTCAGTAAATGCTTTTTTGTGTGTTTTATTTCATTTATTTATGTAGCTATTCAGCAAAAGTTTGATCTGCATCTGTAGAGTACTAGGTACTTTGCTAGTTACTTCATTCAAAAGCCTCTGAAATAAAAATTAGCCCCACCGTGCTGATGTCCATTCTGAAGTTCAGAACACTTAAGTGGTTTTCTAGTCATAGATGCTACCAGTGGCATGTGTCAGGATTCAAACCTAGAAAATGTGACTCCAAAAACAATAATGTCCTTTTGTTATACTTCAACTGTAAAGTCAATGATGATTCAGGATATGATGTATCTGATTTTATAAGCAGGAATTATTACAGTCACCATTGTGTATTTGCTTGTATTTTAAAGCAAGAACACAGTATCTCTAATTGACGGGAACAGGAGGCAGAGAAATTCTAGGCAGAAAAGGGTGGGTCGCTGGCAAAAACCCCACCCTCAAGCCAAAAAGCCTGAAACTGTGGCCCAAAGTGAGAACTTCTATCCCTGTTTTCCCACTCAAATGTTGCCTTTTCCTCAACCACCTACACTGTCCCATCATATGCCTATAAAAACCCCAGCCTCAGCTGGTAGACAGGACTACGGCTGGATGTTGGAGAGAAGCAGCTTGACTTCAAAGGGATGGTTTGATGGTGCAACTTTGGAGAAGAATCTGGCCAGAGACGGTCGGACTTCAGGGGAAGATTACCTACCCACCCCGTCCCCTTTTCAGCTCCCCTTCCCACTGAGAGCCACTTTCGTAGACAATAAAATCCCCTGCATTTACCATCCTTCAATTTGTTCATGCAACCCCATTTTTCCCAGACCACCAGACAAGAGCTTGGGAGCCACGAGTGAGGATACAAAAGGATGTCACACTGGCCCTTTGCCCTCGCTGGTGATGAGTAGCATGAAAAAGCAAAGGACCCACTGAACTGTTAACAGTTAAGCTGACTGCGGACAGCAGAGCTAAAATAGCACTGTAACAAGCCCTCTTGGGCTTTGGGAGTCACAGTCACCCCTGCCTGTATGCTGCTGTGGGGCCTGCATGGAGTTCATTCCTGCCGGCACTAAAGCATCTGGCTGCTTCCTGCACCTGCTCACCTGTGCACTCCTGCAAGAGGTGGAAAACAGCAGGTCCAAGTGAATGGAGTTTGGTCCCACTGGCACTGAAGCGGCTGACTGGTTCCAGTGCTTGTTCACTCCAGTTCCCATACTTGTTCGCTCATGTGCTCCCTCCCGCGAGGAGATGAGAGCAGCAGGCTGAATAAATGGGGCACCCCTGTTGCGAGTCCTGTGAAGGGGTCAGGGAAATATCCTGCTTCATAATGACTTATAAATAAATGATCAATGACTGTGGAATAACAAGGTATATTTGATGTTATTTCAACTAACGGGAAGCTATTTCACACTTTTGAGCACATTTGATAAGAAATTTAGTTATTTTTGTTTTAACTGTAATCAATAAATGTGGATATCTTTTGTGTTAGCTTTCTATTGCTGCTGAAACACACTACCATAGACTTGAGGGCTTAAAACAACAGAAATTTATTATCTCATATCCTGTAGATCAGAAATATGAGTACAGATTTTGCCAGACTAAAATCAAGGTGTCAGTCTTCCTGATGCATTCCTTTCTGGAGGTTCTAGGAGAGAATCCATTTCGTGCTCATTCATGCAGATTGTTGGCAACATTTGGTACCTTGATGTTGTAGAGCTGAAGTTCCTGTTTCTTGCTTCCTGTAAACTGGAGGCCATTCTCAGTTTTTAGACACCACTACATTCTTTAGTTTCTGCTCTCAGTCCCCCATCTTTAAAGGTAGCAAAAGCAGATGGCATTTTTTTCATGTTGAATCTCTTGGATTTACTCTTGCCTTTCACTTCTAATTCTAAGGATTTATGTGATTAGACTGGGCCCATCTGGATAGTCTAGGATAATCTCACCATCTCATGGTACAAAAAGTTAATCACCTCTCTGAAATACCTTTTGTCAAGTAAGGTAGCATATGCACAGGTTCCAGGGGTTTAGGAAATAGGCATCTTTGGGAGACCATTTTCCTGCCTACCACACCTTTTATATCTGTTCTCTTTTCCCAAAATGTTGTGCCAATTGTACCCATTGTAGAGTATGAGATAAAAATTTTGGCCTGACTTTCCTTGTTTGTGATATCTGAGAATTAATGAACTTTAAAGTAGCTTCTAGCTCTTAGCATTCTAGAATTTTATGAATTCTTATGTTGGAGACATGGGAAGTGAACCTAATGATCAATGTGGATATTATTGTTATTTTCTATTCATGGATTTTTCTGGAGTGTAGATTTCATATAATCCTGGCTAACTCCTTCCTTCTCACACTTGGTAATCTTCTTTGAAGTCAGTCAATCTCTACAAAAGTTGACTTCTTCAGAAAGAAATTGACTTACCTCCTCAAAGCTGTAATAACTGGTCCCTTGAGATTTTTTATCTACTTATTATTTACTTTACAGCTTGGGTATAGCTTTCAGCAAGTCTTTGCTCCATTTTTTTTCTTCTGCCTTATTGATTTGGACTACAATAAATTGTTTTCTCAATTTTTTAATAAATCCAATTCTACTTGTACCCAGGCAAAATAAATGTTTGCCAGAGTTTTAAAATATATAATGCCTAACTTACCATTAGGAAATACATGAATTGATTACTTTTATATTTTACTCATATTATCAGTTCATCTAATCCTTAATTTGCTTATGTAGAAAATGGAGAAAATGTTAGTACCTAACTTCTGGAGTTGTAAAAATCAAAAAAGACCATTCAAGTGAAATGCTTACCTCAATAGCCAACAAGTAAACCATTAATATTGTTTTAGTAGTAGTAGTGGTGGTTGGAGGGAGGGGGGAGTGGAAAAACTCATCCTAAATTGCCCAAGACTTTTCAATTTTAGCATTGAAAGTACAGCCTCCTGGGAAACCTTTCAGTTCCAGAAAAACCAGGATGGTTGTTCACCCTAGGGGTGGTAATATTTGGAAACAAAGCTAATATAAATATTGGCTGTGCCCTCTGCCACCTACCAGCATTTGACCTAAGGGATATTATTTAATTTTTCAGTTGCAATTTTCTTATCTGAAAATATACATGAGGACTAGGTAAGTAAGGGAAGTACCTAACAAAATCCTTGCACAAGTAGCCTAAATAGTAGTACCCTTATTCCATCTCCCTAAAAAATGTTTATTGGCTTCCCTCTGCTTACAGAATTAAGCACAAGAAGTTTTACCTAATACATCAAGGTCTTTTAAAATCTGTTTATAACCTGCCCTGCCAGATACATATGCTATTACGTTCTTTCCATTTATCAATAACAATAATATTAATGATGATTATGATAGATAATACTTTTCTAGTGCTTTCTACATAGCAAAAAGAGTGCTAAAGGCTTCATAAGAACTTTAAACACAGTCCCAGAACTCCCATTTCCTGCACACTTGACTTTGTTATAGACTGTTCAGCCTTTGCCCACACTGTTTCCAGCAACTGCACATTCTTCCTGTTTATCCTTTAAAATCCTGCCCGAATGTTGCCTCTTCTATGATGTGTCCCCAGACTGCAAAGGATGGGAGTTTTTCTCTTTTCCTCATTGACCCCGAAACAATTGATACATGTCTTAGCACTTCCTACCATGGTACTTTTCACATTATATTAAACATTTTTATTGTATCTGTATCCTTCACCAAAAAAGACATACTTATATTCCTAGCACAAGGCACAGGATTGAGTTTGCTTATTTGTGAAATGAATGGAAGATTATGGTTTTGGAAAATCAATTGATTTACTTTATACTAAAAGATTCTCTAAAGAATGTAAGTGATCACTATCTATTTTTTATATTATCTATGAAATTATTATAAAAGTTAATTTACTGTGTCGAAATTCATAGGATTTTTAAGAACTATGAAACAGGTTGATTAAATAATTTAAAATAATTATTTTTCGTGAAATAAGATAATCTGGGAAAAATAGGCCAGGTGCCTGTTTTGAAATCGATTATGTAAAATCAGAAAAGAGTGGATGTTACAAATAAGTCACTGAGTGCCCCCTGCATAGGCTTCCTGAAATGGTGGACTCCTTCCTCCGACTTGTTCTGCCTGTGCCTGGAGAGCTGCAGATCCTTTGGGGTTTTGTTTTGTTTTGTTTTGTTTTGTTTTGTATTGTTTTGTTTGAGACAGAGTCTAGCCCTGTCACCCTGGCTGGGGTACAGTAGCACGATCTTGGCTCACTGCAACCTCCACCTCCTGGGTTGAAGCAATTCTCCTGCCTCAGCCTCCCAAGTAGCTGGGATTATGGGCATGCACCATCACACCTGGCTAATTTGTGTATTTTTAGTAGAGACGGGATTTCACTATGTTGGCCAGTCTGCTCTCAAACTCCTGGCCTCAAGTGAGTCATCCACTTCGGCCTCCCAAAGTGCTGGGATTGTAGGAGTGAGCCACCACGCCCGACCACCAGATCCTGATCTATGGATTTATCTGTCAGTCTGATAGTAAAAGGAGAGCAAAATATGCATCATTAGGACCTAATACTTAATTGGATTTGGATCACTATCATTTCATATAGAACAAGTTTGTTTCTCCTCTAATTCTATTTTGAAAATTGAAATACAAAATAATGCTTCGTCAGACTGATAACAATAGGGATAACTTGATAACATTTTTGTCTATATTGTTAAAATATACGTAGAATATAAAATTACATCTTTTTCGCAAGGCTTTTAGAGAACTGCTTCATGGTTATCTTTGCCAACTATTAAGATACATAGTTGAAAAATTAAGACTCCACGATGAATCAAAATATAAATATTAAAGATTAATGTATTAGAATTTGTTATACTTGATTTAGTTATAGTTTATACTCTGTTTTAATATTTGAAGTAGTTTTTTTTCAGACTTCTTTTTAAATCCATCATGGTTGATTTTTCCATTAAACAGTATATTTTATAGTAGTTTTAACAGTTGTAATATAATTGATATTTTAATAAATGGGTCAGCATTCATTTTATGCATAGTTTTCAGTACGGCTTTGCAGTTAACAATGGATCAGTGTTTTATGTGCTATCATTGTTGTCATGAGGCAGGTGAAATGGGTTTTCCAGATTCCTGAAAGTTTTGAAATCACCAGATTATGTGGAACTCCTCAAGTGAATACTTGTTAAGGCCAATTTGGGAAATTTGTGATAGCATGCATCATGTGGAAAAGTCCCAGAATGGGCTGAGATCTCTTTGGCAGGATCATATCTAGGTGAAAATTCAGTTCAAAAATTACCTTGAGACCCTTGTATTGTGCTCTGTGTTGTGGTTTCATGATGTTTGATATACAGAACATGGACTGGAGAACGATAAAAGTGAATGCCGGTTCACGGTGACTCATCGGGAAACACAGTCTTGCTGAGACATACTTATTTCCTCCCCAGTTTATTTCCAGCCATGTAAATTTATCCACGGAGTTTTACAGATAAATAATTTGGATGCCAAACAGCCAAAAACTGTGACTATTTTGAGCCTTCTATTTAACATGTACACTAAAAATACTTTGTTAGAATTATAGCACTTGTCTCCGTGCTTCTGTGGTTCTCAGAGCAAGGGATGTCATGCTTTAGTTGCTCTGCATTTGAATTTATTCACGATTCCTCTTTTACAGTCTTTCTGGAGACAATGTATGGTGCATCATTAGCATTATTATTATTTCAGTTACAGTGAGACTACATATCCACACTTAGGGGGTTGGGTAGATTTCATTATTCATTCAGAATAAGTTCTTACTCTAATATAAATGTTGCTCAGGACAGAGCTTTGAAATGGATCCTGATTCTTTAAATTCTTTCCTGTCTGTTTCAGGAAATAGTGAGATCCTGTTGATAGTAAAGTACAATGTGTCTAAAGTTCACTTCTAAACACTCTGCTCTTTGCAATGAAAGTCATCTGCATTCTCTTTATAATTCAGAGCCACAAGAGATCTGTCTAATCTTGGAGATCTGATTCAGTATCATTTAGGAAAAAAAAAAAATCCTTGATAATATTTCTACCATTCAGATTAGTGAAAGCAGTAAAGCTTTACAGCTTCTGTCGTCTTAAAAAGATATCATGAGACAGGGGAATAAGGACTTGGATTATGGTTTGGGAGATTTAGTTGTTTGTAAAAATAAAATGATTAGTACAGTTATTATTCAAGTTTTTAATCAACGGAAGCAAATGGCATCTGTTTGTTATCATTCTTTCTACAGAAGACAAAGGCTCAGGTCCCAATGGTGCTGACTGCTGGTCCCAAGTGGTTGCTGGATGTGACTTGGCAAGGAGTGGAAGACAACAAAAACAACTGCATTGTGTACAGCAAAGGTAAATGCAAGATTGTTTCCCTCTCTCTTTGGAAGTATTAAAACCTGAGCATTGCAAAACAGCACCAGAAGAGCTGGAATGGAAGTACAAAGTATAAATTGATCCTCTTCCTTTTTTCCCATTTGAGTTCCTCTAATGTGTATTTTCAGTAAAGCCACCTGTTTTTCTTTTTTTTCTGTACAACATGAAACAAAAAGTGACATACCATTAATTTACTTAGTGCCTTATACATTTACCTAACCCTGTATTTGAGTGGCTTGACTAATATCTTTCTCTTGCTGTTAGTATCATTGATAGCCAGGTTTGACGAAACTCCAATTTCTCCTTTTAGACATTATCTATCAAAAAGTAAAATCCTTCTAAATTTAACAATTTGTGTCAAGGTGCATGGTCCAAGAGGCTCTACATTCTAGCCAGTTTCCTGAAGTCATGCATGATGAGAGGATAGCTGGAAATGAAACCTTTGCAAAGACAGAATTCTTCCCCATGGTGATTTCTGAAGGGCAGGAGGCAAACTCTAAAGAGGAAGCTGATGACTTGCAGGGCATTGCCTTTGATTTGCTCAGTGTGACATCAACCCAGACTGTGTCATGTAGCTGCACCCTGGCTACAAAGGAGCAGCAGCTCCATGATGGCACATTGTGGGGCTGGGGCTGACTGTCCATAGCACAGGACCTTCCTCACGTGTGGTGTAGTTTTGGGGCACTTTTCTCCACATTCAAGTCTTGGTCCTAGCTCTGTACTCTTACAGTATAATCCCTAATCTCACTTTTTCATAAATATTACAAAACCTTGTGCTTCTCATGTTTAATTTCTCTTGGCTTTCTTTTTAAACCAAATAGACCTACTGAGATCAAAGATGTATTTGCACATTGAACCTAGAAACCATAAAAGCATACAAGGGAACAAGCAAATAAGCACCCCATCAATATATTAACATATAAAACACTAATCATAACATCAAAGACTCTTAAAAACTTGCTAGAAACAATTACAACTTGTTCTATAATCATTACAATTTGTACACTTATAAGAGGATTGTCTCTTAACTACCATAAGCCTTTGAAAGTTGAAACACCAGAAAGAGGGAATTTGCAAGCTAAAAAAAAAAAAACAATCTGCACACCAGGATCTGATTATACTTTTTTCCTTCTATAATTACTGGTCCCATACCCACTAATTTTCTAACCCGGAATACCTGTGGTATGCTGGTGGGAGCTTTCAGCTAAAAGGGATGTGAGATTTTCTCAGGATATGCCAATATAATCTATCAAAGTGAAAAGAAATGGTATAGGGAATCAGTTTACCAATGCCGACATTCAGAATACAAAAGATACCTTGGAATGTAGGACCACTTGTTGGGGACAAATTTCTGTTGTACAATATTTTATCTTCATTGTATCAATATAGTATGGGGGAAACATGGCAATACCTGGTCCCCATTTATGATTCAAATTCATTGCATTTTTAAATCAGCTATTCTTTTAGTAGAGATAATTGTTATATATTTTGAGTATCCCTTATCCAAATTGCTTGGGACCAGAGTGTTTCAGATTTCAGATTTTTTTTCAGATTGGAATATTTGCATGTACATAATGAGATATCTTGGAAATGAGACCCAAGTCTAAATGTGAAAGTCATTTATGTTTCATAAACACAAATTATACATAACCTAATGGTAATTCTATACAATATTTTTATAATTTTGTGCATGAAACTAAGTTTTGACTGCCACCCATTGCATGAGGTCAGTTGTGGAATATTTCACTTGCGGCATCATGTTGTTGATCAAAAGGTTTTGGATTTTGGAACCATCTGAAAGATTTTGGATTTTCTGATTAGGGATGTGAACCTGTATAACAGAATTGGAATTCTATGTTTAGTGGAGTATGCTAACTTGAGCAAACTTATGTGTTTATGGTTGGCTATACCTTATATCTTTTTGCAATAAACAACTTAGAGTAATTAATAGAAGCTTATTAATTCATTAATTAACTGGTAAAGCATGCATTGAGTCCAACTATGTGCTAACCTTGTACATTGATGATAATAGCCACCATTTATTGGGCACACCTTGAATTCTCTTCTTGATGCTCCCATGCCAAATTGTATGTGCTTCTCTCATTATTCTCTATTACCTTGTTTCATGATCATGAATATACAGTTTATGTGTCCAAAAAGGAGTAAGTAAAAAAGTTTAGCTGTGATGGCTTGCCTCTTTAATCTACTCTATATTTACTGAGGGCACAGATTGTGTCTTAGTCACCTTTCTATTCCTGGTCTGGCATGCTACCTGTACAAGAAAAGCACTAAGTAAATATAGATTGGTTGACCAGATGAACAAATGATGAATGGTTGCCAGACACTGAAATAGACATTTCACATACTGTGATGATGAACTGTATGAATTGCTGCTATTCAATAATGTTTTAACCTGTAAAGGGTAATTTGGCATCGTTCAACTTACAAGAACAATTGGTTTTGCAGTTCAAATGCCAGAACTGTAATAACTACTGCGTATGCTTTTTAAAGCTTAATACTTATTTAATAGCTCCTATGAGATAATCAACATACTACCCCATTTTACAAAGGTAGATAAAAGACTTAAGTAGGGTAAATAATTTGCCATGGTCACATGGCTAATAAGTGATTGAGTGGGATCAAGCATACATTTGTCCAACTTAGGGTTGGAGTGATACATACTAGAATATGTTCTGTCTGCATTAAGCTTCAAAACAACTCAATGAAATAGATAGTATTTTCTCATTTTACACCTATGACTTAGAGAGGTGGCATGATTGCCTGTGATCATAGAGAGCTAACAATAGAGCTAAATTCAATCTACGTCTTGACAGCTCCAAATTTTGTGCTCCTTGAACTACATGACTCTGCCTTTCCCTTTGCCACTGTTAAATGATGAGTAACAATCAAAACCACTCGGGCTTTTATCCCTAGAAATCACAAAATATATATATTAAAGTGTGGCATTTCCCAAAATGTATTTCATGGAACCCTAAGATTAAAGAAAAAGCCCCATGACCAAATATCATTTATCGTAGCCCTCTTGAAAACTCACAATGGATGCTGCTATTAATGATCTAGAATTATGCAGTAAAAAACAAAAGCAAAAAACCCTGATCATTTGCATTTCAACATATATTTTTATTTCTCTACTTTGCTCCAGACTCTTCTTTGATCTTCTACCTGGGGTTCAGAGGCCTGGAACTAATTTCTAGTATTTAGAGTGCCTTTAGAGGGAGGAGACAGCTCACCCAGAGCATGTCCCAAAGTTGTGTCAATACCTTAATATTCTGGGATTTTACTAGGGATTGTTTGGATCATGGAAAATATGATCCCGGGAGGCACTCCTACTCGTATCCAAACACACTGGACTCAGGAGTCGTCTGTCTCCACAATCTGTATGTATGATAAGACTCCTCAAAGCAAAAGCGTTTTGAAGATGGAAGGGTTAACAAGTGTTAACTTGAAACTCCACAATGTTTGTGGCATTTTCGTAATGCCTATATTATTTATTAATTGGGCCTCTTTTGTTTTCAAGTGGTGGAATTCTAACTGAAATTAGCTTCTGCCAAAAAATTGTGTGTGTGTGTGTGTTTTGGGGTAGATGGGTTCATCTGCTCATATAACTGAGAGTCCAGGGATATTCTGGATGTCAGGAACTGCTTGATTCAGTTGCTCAAACTTTGTCCCCAAACTCTCTCTCTCTATCGTCTGGCTCTTCTTTCTTGTGTGGGCATCATTCTCAGATAAGTAGTGGCAAGCTCCAGACTTATTCCACCAGCATAGCAACTTCGGTGAAAAGAGAGCTTTTCTGGGTTTTGTGATTAGAGCACATCACATACCATTCCCTGAACCAATTAATCACTATGACTCTCCTAGGCAGGCCATAGTCAGCCTGGGGCCTAAAAGTAAAATTAACCCTGCATGAGCCACTGAAATGGAGGAGAGGTAGTTCCCTAAATAAAACCAAGGATATGCTGCCACAAAAGAGTGGTTGCTTGTTGGGCCAACATCCATGCTCCCAGGTATCACATATTATTTCCTAAAGTCTAAAAAGCTCTCATGGACGATGAAAATTAAATTCCTGATGCCACAATTGTATTTATTTGTTTGTTTTCCTAAAAACCTAAACTACTTATAAACTCAATGCCAAATCATTATTATAGGACCTGGCTATCTGAGAACATATCAGTATCTGTTTACAAATAGAAGATAAATTGCAGATGTGTGACATTTTGCAAAAATGCCTTGACTGAGATTTTTGATAGTGTTTTCTTATGGTGTGAAAATAGGCCCATTTAATGTTTAACTATTACCATCTAGGAGGCATGCTTGCTTCCTAAAGTGTTCCTAAATGTAGGCTAGTAACAAAATTAAATATGACTATAAATCTCTCCTTGTCAGCGTGTCCATCAAATAATTATTATAAAATAAAATTGTATTATATCACTTAGTGCTTTTTGACAGGTTGCCATCATCTTGTTTTATAAAAATTTTTAAAAGTATAGTAGTTGGCATTAACATTCGAATCTGATGTACATTGTTCCTGCCTCACCTACCCCTTGTCATTCCAGAAAGTAATTAGGTCATCCAGACATTGATGGACCAGACCTGTTGGGTCGTCTGTTTTTTGCCATTATTCTCAACAGACTCCAGATAATTCTAATTTACTTATCTCTATGGATAAATACTAAAAAGCATAATGCTGAAGTTAAAAGGAGCTCTGCTGGAGAGTAGGGTGAGCAAAGGCCTGCCCACTTACTCCTAAAATCCACTGTCTGTTGAGCACTGATGATCTACTTCTTTACCTTACCTTCTTATATGCTATCTACCGTTTGCAAAGTATGGTGACCTTTTCATATGAAAAACAAATAGTGTACTTAGAATTTTACGTTTTGAGGATATTTAAAATTACACCTTTAGCATCTTTCATGTGGGTTTAATCACTCAGCTTCAAATCGGGAATAATTACATTATTTAGTTTTTCAATTTTCTTGTAGTTGTTATTTCAAAGTAGCCACATTCTCTAGGTCTCCAGATTAAGAGAATAAACACTGTCAATCAAGAGAGTGAAAAAGTATCTGCTAACCCTCACTCTCACCTCAACAACATAATATTTCTTTATATGCGAAGCCACAATATTATTATAAAAATCTATATTTCATGTGTAACCTTAGACAAATCACTTGCCCACTCTAATCTTGATTTTCTCAGCTGTGAAAATGGAATAGCAATGGCTACCATGCAGGATTTTTGTGAAGCACCCATTTACATGATTGCAGAGGTTATGATCAATATTATGTTGCTGATTATCATACAAGCAGTCCTTGTGGTCATAAGTCAGTACACACTGAGAGAAAATGAAGCCAGGCCTCCATGTTGGTATCAAGCATATAGTGATATCGTATTTATAGCGAAGACTTCTACAAGTCTTATTCAGTCACTTTGAACCCACAGAATATTTGCAGAGATCTGTGTCACAGAATTAGAGACCTGAAGCCTGTCTGGGAGCATATCATTGGATTTTTTTCTTGGGCACGTGATACTTTTATTTTAGTGAAAGTCTTATATACAATGCTAGTATAAAGATGAAAATGATGATATTATTAATACTAATAATAGCAATTACTATTTATTAATCTTTGTTCTATTCTAGACACTGTTCTAATCACTTTACGTACATTTTCTTGCTTACAATACAAATTCATGATATCGAAACAGTGCTTTTCCCATTTTACAGATGAATAAATTTAGGTTTCGATGGGTTAAGTAAGTTAAAATGAAGAAGTTGGGATTCAATCTTAAGCTTGTTGACTTCAATTCCCAATTGTACAATCAACAAAATTTTGGAAGATGCCATTTACTAAGCCAAGGTTACAGGTTATTGCCTTTCTTTGCAAATTTGCATACATATTTATCAGCAATTTTTTTTCCCATTCTTTGGCTTGACTTTAAAGAGATTATTCAAACACTAAAACAGCAGTGGCAGCAATAGTTTATGCTAATTTCTTTGTTGTTTCTGAGACCACAGCAATTTCAAATCATGTAGACGGCTGCACAGCAATCTCAAAATCATACTATGACAGCCTTCAAAGTTCTGATTTTGCAAGGTTCTTATGAATTTAAGCATGCAATTAGTTAATTTAACCATTTTTGAATGTCCTTTATGTCCAAGGGCCTATTCTAGGCACCATTGAAATAATGACAGAAATTCTAGTATGATTTAGCTTGAGTAAGTAACTTTCTGCACACTCTCTAAATTAAATTTTCAAAACAAATGTCTTTCATTACAAAGATTCTTGTAAAAGTCCGAACCATGTTCCACCTTAAAATAGATAATCTGTTGCATGTTACTAGAATTTTCAAACAATAGCTTTGTCTAATGTGGCAGCCAATTTTCAGAGTAGCCCAAAAGTTAATGTTTAACTTTACCTAGAGGGTATAATGTTGTATAAATAATAAACTAATTTAAAAGGAAAAATTTGCGTTCATATTTTACGCATTTATTTAACTATTCAGTAATTCATAGAAAATGTATAACCATTGTCTAATTTTACAGTATTCTTGAAAGAGGGTGAGTGCCCGAACTAAATATTTAGCAGTGGGAATTATAAAATCATAAGGCGATTAAGTTAGCTAGTCGCAGAATTCCAATATTGCTTTTTAAATGACTTCAGGATATAGGAGGTACTAAGGTTATTATCTGTTATCAGGAATACAGTGGAATTGTACAACTGGATAATAACCAAACAAACTGACACAATGTAAAATTACATTATCAGTGTGTTAAAACAAAATTGCGCCCTAAAGGAGTCCACATGCCAGCTCAGAGCTGCAGTGTAATTATGCTTAACTCTGATAATTAAAATACTACGGAGATCAACAGAATCATTTTCATTAAGAAAATTATTAATGATGGTGGTATAACAGTAATTGATTGCAGAGCACCACAGGATAACGCGATGCCGAAAACCCATGTTTCATGAACATCTGAGGCTTTTTCTGGTTACGTTCTATTAATATTTTGAGGAGTGAGCAATTTATTATTCCTTTCCTAGGAATCTATGATTGTAAAAATGGCTGCTTTTTAAAAACCACAGTTTTGATTCAAATTGTCATTTCTAAGGGGTTCTTAAGGTCAAGACAAGTGACCCCACTAGTGACTGTGTTATTTAAAATAGAGCTGTCTGTTGCAAATTGCAGAATGGCAGCAACTTCTGCAAATAGTGAGCCTTGTGTCATTTCCATTTCTTACTATGCATTTACTGTTTTTACTGTTATGTTAGTGATTTATTGATGTTATTTCAATCTGAGTCTGGGTGTACTGAATAGTTTATTGTCTTTAGTTATTACTACTATATGCTATATGATGTGAAAAATACATTTGTTTTTATATCAGCATCACTGTGAGTTTCCTTAATGAAATGTTGGTAAATAGCCCTGCACAATAATCCCACTAATTACCTTAGTTGATTAGATGTGCTGTCCTATTTTGGAGAAAAAAAATATCCTAAACCACCCTGGATCCATGCATGAATGAAGCTTCTGTCTCTTAACGGTAGAAACCCAGTTAGAATCCTGGCAAATGATAAGAACTAAGAATATATCAGTTTTATAAGTATAAAAATGAGAAATGAAGAGTGGGGTCTTTGAGAGGTGACTCACTGTCATTCAAGGATGTTAGCTTGTCATTCAAAGAGATGCTAATCTTGAAAGCTACCCCCAAAAGTATCTTTGTCAGTTGAAATGAGGGACAACTCTTTAGGGTAGATTTTTTTTCAGGGTAAGATACTGAGAATAGTTTTTAAAACACTGTATTATGTAGAAAAAATTATTATAAGATAAATCTAGGTGAAAAAAGGCAGAATATGCGGCTTTGTGCCTAACATGATTATGCTTAAAAACTGTATGCACAGGAAGACATACTGGAAAGAAACAGTGTGAAATTATAAAGATATTTCTGTTAAAGTGGCAAGACTTAGGGAGATTTTTGGTATCCTTTTTCATAATTTTCTTCACTTTGATTATTTTACTTATATAATTTAAGATAAATATTTGCATTTGAAAATCATTCTTTGTCTTAACTACATTCTTACTCTTCTTTTTACACAACCCAACTAAAACAAAGAAATCTTTGCCTTATCCACAAAGTGTCCTTCCTCCACAGAATTTAAATTGTTTCCTAGTGATATAATTACTTTTCTTTAGTAACTCTGTGAAAGTCCTGCCACTTTGTTTTTCATAAGATAATTTTCCAAATAAAATACACATAACTGAGCACATGCTCTGCCCACGATATGGCCCAGGTGTCATGAGGAGTACAAATGAATATGAGACACCCCCCAGCTTAAGAAGCTTATTGAAAGAGCTTACTTGATGAAAGATGTATAGTAATGAATTCAGTCTCATACAGTCAACAAATGTTCACAAAGATGTGGAATTTTGGTTGGATATTGAATGTTGAGTATCAGTTTGAGTAATGGGGTGAAGGCTTTTAAGGAGGTTAAAATGTGTGCCTAAAAGCTCCTAGGCTACAATGCATACAATGTGTTCATGAGTGTATCTGTTCAGTTTAGTTAAAGTTGAGAATTTACAAATGTGACTGTTGAGGAGCAGGCCTCCAAAAGTTCCTGAGAGCCATGTTATGGACACACTTGAATGCTCGTTCTGAAAACCTTAGCATGGAAGCAGCGGGGAGAGCTGCTGACATTTTGAGGGTACACGTGATGAAATCGAGATTCTAGTAAGATTATTGTGTCAAAAGTTAAGCATAGGTCCATCCATTAACAAAACCAGGACTTACGTGTCATGAAAATAATGGTGTTACACACCTCTAGAAAACATTAGTAGTAAACCATCTGCCTTACTTCACTCATTACCAGACTTCGACAATTTTTCAACACCAAATGAACCTGCAATCTACTCACTGCATCACCATCGTTTTCCTATCAGCCCCTCCCATGCTTACTTCCAGGTTACCCAATGTGGATTCCATGGGTCTGTCATTCTAATCACTTTCTTAGACTCCATTACCCTTCTCTCTCTCTTTTTGGTCTTTACTGGCCTGGTAATTCCTCATTCTAGTTAATCCAGCTCTCCACTTTCTCCTGGCCACATCCAAGCAGCAGATATTAGGTAAATTAGTATTTGTGAAGTACCTAGAATAGTGTCTGGTCCACAATGAGTACTATATAAATGTATGGTAAAAATAAAACAAAGGAATTACCACCAATACCAACAACAACAAAAAATCAATGCTGATCAGTGTTATGTTACTTTTGACCACAAGGAGATGTGAGCCCTCAGTATACGTGGTCTGACAATCAAAATTTGTTCTCCTAATCAGTCTTCAAGGTACTATTTCAGACTTCTGACACCCCAAATATTTAACATCCTCTGTTAAATAATGTCTTTACTTCTTGTTTCACAAAGAAAATGAGAAAGTGGTAGCACACGTAATGCTCCAAGGATCACAATTGGACTGATTACAAGGATTGATAAATAATGCAGAGCCAAATCTGACCCATGACCTGTTTTTGTAAATAAAGTTTTACTGGAACACAGCCACAGCAATTTGTTTATACATTGTCTATGGCCACTTTCACGTTATAACGTCAGAGTTGAGTGGCTGGAACAGAGACAATCTAGTTTGTAAAACCTAAAATATTATGTGGTTCTTCATGGAAAAACTTGCCAACTCCTGAACTAAACCTACAAACTTATTACTTGGCCTTATATGATCTGCTCTTGGATGCTTCTGTGGCTTCTCTTTCCATTGCTCTTTAGCTACTTTGTTCCAGTTGCATGGGCTCCTTGCTTTTGCTTAAAAATACAAACAGTGACACTACCTCAGGGCCTTTGCACTGTGCGCTGGCTCTGCATTGCTTTTATTTTTCTTTCTTTTCTTTTTTTTTTTTTTAAAAAAAAAACAGGGTTTTGCCATGTTGGCCAGGCTGGGTCTCAAACTCCTGGCCTCAGCTTCTCAAAGTGCTGGGATTACAGGCATGAGCTACCACACTCGGCTCTCTATGACTTCTTTCTGAACTCCTCCAACATGTTGCCTCCCAAATTGTCTGTCTGAACAGTCTGCCTAACTACCCTGTCTAAAATGCTCTGTCTCTCTCTCTTTCTGTTTTTCTCTCTCTCTCTCCCTCGCTCCCCATACCCCCATCACCACCATTTCTCTCTTTCTCTCCCTGTTTCTCTCTTTCTCCTCTATATCCATCAGTTCAGGAAACTATAACAAAATACCATAGACTTGGTGACTTAAACAATAAATATTTATTTCTCATGATTCCGGAGACTGGGAAGTCCATGATTAGGATGCTGGCAGTTTCACACTTGGTGAGAGCTCTCTTCTGGGTTTGTGGATGGGCACCTTCTTGCTGCATAGTCACAAAGTACAGTGGGAGCTAAGGAGATCTCTCTTGCTTTTCTTCTTATGTGTACACTCATCCCATTATGAGAGCTCCACCCTCATGACCTAATTGCCTCACAAAAGCCTTACCTCCTAATGCCATCACATTTGGGGTTAGAGTTCCAACATATACATTTTGGGGAGACATAAACATTCAGTTGATAACCTCCTCTGTATCAGTTATCTTTATATTTGATATTTGATTATTGACCAAAGAATTTTAATGTCAGTTTTTTATCCTTAGAATGGGAGTTCTATAAGGACAGGGATTTTTTTTTCTGTTTTTTAAACAGTGCATGGCACATAATAGCTGCTCAATGAATATTTTTGAATAAACAAGTGGATAAACCAGTATGATGCAGTTTTTTCTTTAACATAGAAAGCTATGATGTCTATTTAATAATAGTCTTACAATATTCTTCTTGACTTTCTTTGACTTTCTACAGTATCCTAAAACTTTATTATTTAACTTTGCTCCTTTCACATTTATAATTTACAAGATTTATTTTCTCTGTTGTTCTCTGACTATTGTTCTCTGACTATTCTTTTGTTTATCATCTTGCTCTTTTTATGCGAATAGTCATTCTTTTATCTCTGAAGATAGAAACTGGAGGACATTTGGGAAGGGATATGTCCTGTGCATTGTTTCTTTTCTCTTGCCTATTCTGTTCCCGTATTTAATGTTGACACTTTTCTCCAATGGCTTGAGATACATGGATGTCTGCTTTTTATTTTAAGAGCAGGCCACTGTCAACTAAAGAATGACAAGGCTCATAAATTTGGAAAGGAGAAGTTTATTTCTAATAAAGTGTTGCAGCTTGTATGGTGACCATTCTAACAGGCTGGGAAGCATAGCCTACACCCAGAAGCCAAAAACAGATACTTTGAGGGTGGGAAGAATAAGACAGGGATTTATGCTGATCGAGGTGGTGAAATATACAGAAGCTATAGGAGGAATATTTATAAAAGGAGAAATGGCCGGGCATGGTGGCTTATGCCTGTAATCCCAGCACTTTGGGAGGCCAAGGCAGACGGATCATAAGGTCAAGAGATGGAGACCATCCTGGCCAACATGGTAAAACCCTATCTCTAGTAAAAATAAAAAAAATTAACTGGGCATGGTGGCACACACCTGTAGTCCCAGCTACTCTGGAGGCTGAGATGGGAGAATCGCTTGAACCCGGGAGGCAGAGGTTGCAGTGAGCCGAGATCACACCACTGCACTCCACCTGGCAACAGAGTGAGACTCCATCTGGAAAAAAAAAAAAAAAAAGAAAGAAAGGAGAAACATGCATATGCATAAATGAGCTTCATGCTTCTCTATGGGACACGTGTTCAAAAAAAAAATAATAATGGTGGCATTAGCATGATCCAAGGGTGGGGTTTTCGGTTCTTTGGTGTTAAAAGGTGAAAGAGAGAACATGAAAACTCTCACTGCACATCCTCCACAGACCGGCCAGAACCACTCTGTGGTTAGCAGTCTCCCATCAGGAAGGAATGCTGTTCAGTTGTTTTGTCAAAACTGCAAAAGGGAGGGGTAGTGTCGGGTGGTTCGTTGATATCAGGGATGAAGTGAGTCATTCTGTTTAACCTTTAGGGAAGAAAGCCTAATGACAATTAGCGATGAGGGGTATGATGAGGCATATCTGACCTCCTATCCTGTCATACTCAGGAACTCAGTTATGAAGGCTTCTGCGGGGTCCCCTTGGCCAGGAGGAGGTCTGTTCAATCTGCTAGCAGACTTAGGATTTCATTTTTTATTTCTCAATACTAAAGGCTGCATGGAAAGGCAGCGTGAGTAGGCAGGACTTATCAACTGGAGGATTTTGCATAGAATCATAGGCTGATGACAATCCATTCATGGTAATGAGGTCCCCAAATAACTGTGTATTTAATACTTTGATCTCAGCATGCTTAACTTCTCCCAAGAACAACAGTCCCCCGAGATTTATGAACCTTGCAGCCAGCATTCTGAAGGAGAGTGGGACCTGGTGGTGCGTTGGGGAAGTCCTGTCTCATTGTTGAGATTGTAGATGATCCCTTATTCTTCTAATTCAGATGTCATATTAGCACCTGTCTTTGCTGAGCCTGTGCCCCTGGATCTAAAGGCTCTATACGCCAGTTTTCCAAAGATTAAACCTCCATCTCCTAACAGTGGGAAAGGGATGTAACCTAGCTCTATAGGAAATGGCTGGGCCTGGAGGGAAACAGCTTCGTCCTCAGAATGCCTGTCCAAGTTTTAGCTCCACTGCTCATCCTCCCTCTCAAGGTACCAGGTGCCTTTACTTCCTGATCTGTTTTGGGATTCTGCAGACGAAATCTGCCTGCTTCTTGTTGGCCTGCAGCTCTTCAAGTACTTAGATTTCAGCTTTCTGGCTGTGCTGTGTCATTTCATCAATTTTCTAGATTCCAATATTTTGTTGACTTCTATTGTATAATCTGCCCTGTCTCTTTGCCCTTATCACCTTGTTTTCTTCTTTACTGTCGTTTTAGTAAAAGGAAGTAGAAATAAATGCATGCAATCAATTCACCACTAAAGTGCAATCATTCACTTCCTTAGTAGGAAGCCCCCTTTGCTCTTTTTTTTTCTTTTTTATTATACTTTAAGTTCGAGGGTACATATGCCCAATGTGCAGGTTTGTTACCTATGTATACATGTGCCATGCTGGTGTGCTGCACCCATTAACTCATCATTTACATTAGGTATATCTCCTAATGCTATCCCTCCCGCCCCCCCCCACCCCACAACAGGCCCCAGTGTGTGATGTTCCCCACCCTGTGTCCAAGTGTTCTCATTGTTCAATTCCCACCTGTGAGTGAGAACATGTGGTGTTCAGTTTTTTGTCTTTGCGATAGTTTGCTGAGAATGATGATTTCCAACTTCATCCACGTCCCCACAAAGGACATGAACTCATCCTTTTTTATGGCTGCATAGTATTCCATGGTGTATATGTGCCACATTTTCTTAATCCAGTCTATCATTGATGGACATTTGGCTTGGTTCCAACTCTTTGCTGTTGTGAATAGCACCACAATAAATATACGTGTGCATGTGTCTTTATAGCAGCATGATTTATAATCCTTTGGGTATATACCCAGTAATGGGATGGCTGGGTCAAATGGTATTTCTAGTTCTAGATCCTTGAGGAATCACCACACTGTCTTTCACAATGGTTGAACCAGTTTAGAGTCCCACCAACAGTGTAAAAGTGTTCCTATTTCTCCACATCCTCTCCAGCACCTGTGGTTTCCTGACTTTTTAATGATCACCATTCTAACTGGTGTGAGATGGTATCTCATTGTGGTTTTGATTTGCATTCCTCTGATGGCTAGTGATGATGAGCCTTTTTTCCTGTGTCTGTTGGCTGCATAAATGTCTTCTTTTGAGAAGTGTCTGTTCATGTCCTTTGCCCACTTTTTGATGGGGTTGTTTGCTTTTTTCTTGTAAATTTGTTTGAGTTCTTTGTAGATTCTGGATATTAGCCCTTTGTCAGATGAGTAGATTGCAAAAATGTTCTCCCATTCTGTAGGTTGCCTGTTCACTCCGATAGTAGTTTCTTTTGTTGTGCAGAAGCTCTTTAGTTTAATTAGATTCCATTTGTCAATTTTGGCTTTTGTTGCCATGCTTTTGGTGTTTTAGACATGAAGTCCTTGCCCATGCCTATGTCCTGAATGGTATTGCCTAGGTTTTCTTCTAGGTTTTTTATGGTTTTAGGTCTAACATTTAAGTCTTTAATCCATCTTGAATTAATTTTTATGTAAGGTGTAAGGAAAGGATCCAGTTTCAGCTTTCCACATATGGCTAGCCAGTTTTCCCAGCACTATTTATTAAATAGGGAATCCTTTCCCCATTTCTTGTTTTTGTCAGGTTTGTCAAAGATCAGATGGTTGTAGATGTGTGGTATTATTTCTGAGGGCTCTGTTCTGTTCCATTGGTCTGTATCTCTGTTTTGGTACCAGTACCATGCTGTTTTGGTTTCTGTAGCCTTGTAGTATAGTTTGAAATCAGGTAGCATGATGCCTCCAGCTTTGTTCTTTTGGCTTAGGATTGACTTGGCAATGCGGGCTCTTTTTTGGTTCCATATGAACTTTAAAGTAGTTTTTCCCAATTCTGTGAAGACAGTCATTGGTAGCTTGATGGGGATGGCATTCAGTCTATAAATTACCTTGGGTAGTATGGCTATTTTCACCATATTGATTCTTCCAATCCATGAGCATGGAATGTTCTTCCATTTGTTTGTGTCCTCTTTTATTTCATTGAGCAGTGGTTTGTAGTTCTCCTTGAAGAGGTCCTTCACATCCCTTGTAAGTTTGATTCCTAGGTATTTTGTTCTCTTTGAAGCAATTGTGAATGGGAGTTCACTCATGATTCGGCCCCCTCTTTGTCTGCTATTGGTGTATAGGAATGCTTGTGATTTTTGCACAATGATTTTTGTATCCTGAGACTTTGCTGAAGTTGCTTATCAGCTTAAGGAGATTTTGGGCTGAGACTATGGGGTTTTCTAAATATACAATCATGTCATCTGCAAACAGGGACAATTTGACTTCCTCTTTTCCTAATTGAATACCCTTTATTTCTTTCTCCTGCCTGATTGCCCTGGCCAGAACTTCCAACACTATGTTGAATAGCAGTGGTGAGAGAGGGCATCCCTGTCTTAATGCCAGTTTTCAAAGGAAATGCTTCTAGTTTTGGCCCATTCTGTATGATATGGGCTGTGGGTTTGTCATAAATAGCTCTTATTATTTTGAGATACGTCCCATCAATACCTAATTTATTGAGAGTTTTTAGCATGAAGTGCTGTTGAATTTTATCAAAGGCCTTTTCTGCATCTATTGAGATAGTCACGTGGTTTTTGTCTTTGCTTCTGTTTATATGCTGGATTACATTTATTGATTTGCGTATGTTGAACCAGCCTTGCATCCCAGGGATGAAGCCCACTTGATCATGGTGGATAAGCTTTTTGATGTGCTGCTGGATTCAGTTTGCCAGTATTTTATTGAGGATTTTTGCATCAATGTTCATCAAGGATATTGGTCTAAAATTCTCTTTTTTGGTTGTGTCTCTGCCAGCCTTTGGTATCAGGATGATGCTGGCCTCATAGACTGAGTTAGGGAGGATTCCCTCTTTTTCTATTGATTGGAATAGTTTCAGAAAGAATGGTACCAGCTCCTCCTTTTACCTCTGGTAGAATTTGGCTGTGAATCCATCTGGTCCTGGACTTTTTTTGGTTGGTAGGCTATTAATTATTGCCTCAATTTCAGAGCCTGTCTATTCAGGGATTCAACTTCTCCGAAGACTAAAGTCTTGGGAGGGTCTATGTGTCGAGGAATTTATCCATTTCTTCTAGATTTTCTAGTTTGTTTGCATAGAGGTGTTTATAGTATTCTCTGATGGTAGTTTGTATTTCTATGGGATCGGTGGTGATATCCCTTTTATCACTTTTTATTGTGTCTATTTGATTCTTCTCTCTTTCCTTCTTTATTAGTCTTGCTAGTGGTCTGTCAATTTTGTTGATCTTCTCAAAAAACCAGCTCCTGGATTCATTGATTTTTTGAAGGGTTTTTCGTGTCTCTATCTCCTTCAGTTCTGCTCTGATCTTAGTTATTTCTTGCCTTCTGCTAGCTTTTGAATGTGTTTGCTCTTACTTCTCTAGTTCTTTCAATTGTGATATTAGGGTGTCAATTTTAGTTCTTTCCTGCTTTCTCTGATGGGCATTTAGTGCTATAAATTTTCCTCTACACACTGCTTTAAACGTGTCCCAGAGATTCTGGTATGTTGTGTCTTTGTTCTCATTGGTTTCAAAGAACATCTTTATTTCTGCCTTCATTTTGTTATGTACCCAGTAGTCATTCAGGAGCAGGTTGTTCAGTTTCCGTGTAGTGGAGCGGTTTTTAGTGAGTTTCTTAATCCTGAGTTCTAGTTTGATTGCACTGTGGTCTGAGAGACAGTTTGTTTTAATTTCTGTTCTTTTACATTTGCTGAGGAGTGCTTTACTTCCAACTATGTGGTCAATTTTGGAATAAGTGCGATGTGGTGCTGAGAAGAATGTTGATTTGCGGTGGAGAGTTCTGTAGATGTCTATTAGGTCCGCTTGGTGCAGAGCTGAGTTCAATTCCTGGATATCCTTTTCTTATGCAAGCTTCTGCAAAGTTTTCTGACCTCATTCCTTGGACTTCTTCAATTCTAGCGTCTTCTTTCTTGTTCAGTTTTTGTCTTTAAAACTCCATTGAAGTGACTCTTACAGGTCTCCTGCAGTCTACTTGTTGCCAAGTTTTCATTATGTGGGGCTTGATCTAGTCATCCCCTTCCATGCCCAGTGACAAGTCTCTCCATATATATAACTGTACATCCACTGCATGTTGTCATTCTTTAGTTTTTTTCTCCTCATTTATGTATTTTCCTTTGACTACCTCATTTATATTTTGTAACTACTCAGTGCCTGAGAGCCTCATCTGTTACTGCTCTTCCCCAGAAACTCTATGTTTCAATCATACTCAATTGTTTAAAGTTTCTCCACAAAAATTAGCCGGGTGTGGTGGCGGGCACCTGTAATCCCAGCTACTTAGGAGGCTGAGGCAGGAGAATTGCTTGAACCTGGAAGTTGGAGGTTGCAGTGAGCTGAAATTGCACCACTGCACTCTAGCCTGGGTGACAGTGAGACTCCATCTCAAAAAAAAAAAAAAAATCCCACCTGTCCCTTGCTTGCTTATATCTACCCTTGGACATCATATTTCCTTTGCCTGATAACCTTCTCACCATCTGTATCATTTTTAACAGGTACCATTAAATATTTAGTGTGTATCAACACCTCTAAAAGGCCTTCTTTACCCTGTCCCCATAAGAAGAAAGATCCAGCCCAGGGTGGGTATTCTACCAAGCTGGATGTGAACACCTCAAAGGCAACAATTCAATTTTTCACCTCTGTAACTCCACAGCCAGCGCACAGTATACACCCACTGAATTTTGAATTATTATGTAATGAGATTTATTATGCATCATTCAACAGAATAAACTCTAGTGTTACCTGATTGAGTTTCAGAAATTACTCATGTGGAAATCATTTGAAAATCCAGTACCCACAATGGATTCTCCCCATGTCTCAAAAAATGTAACATTCCTTAGTGAGATTTTTAAAATACCAGAGAATCTAGATGAAGAGGATTCCTTTGAAATGTTGCATATATACATAGCATATATTATGCTGCATCAGTCAGCATGGCAGTGTATACAAGAATTTGAAACAAAACCTACATAGATGCAAAAGATGTTGTCAAACCACAGGGTTTGGTTCGACATCTTTGCATAGCAGCCATGCCAAGTCATTGGCTTGCTATTACTGGGTGGTTCTTTTTGGACCCACTTTACTGGTAAATAGTAACAGTGTCTGTTTCAGCTCTTCACTAGGGGAAGGTCAGTCAGAAACCTCTACTCTTTGCTCTAATACCTGAAATTGGAGGCTTTTCATTTTACCACTGATGTAGAAGTCAAGCCCATTTTTGAAGCCTATTTTTAAAATTAAAACGTCACCTTATATGCCTGACATACAGTAGTACTTCAGAGAAGTTGTATTCTCATGAGGCTGTCTGAGGCCTGTGAAGACTGTCAAACAACAGTAGGGTCAACCAAATAGTATACCATGGTGTTGCAAGCAAGAGTATTCCAATCAAGGAAATGGATCAGAAATACATATAGATAAGCTATTCCCATCTATTTATGCATGTATTTCTAGCTACCTCCTATTGAAATTCAATGACAGTAAATTAAGCCAGTTTTTCCTTTAGAAATCTAGTACTCACCATCATTGTCTGGTATACATTGTTAGTAAAGATTTTCAAGAATGATTATTCTTTAGGTCAGCTACGTTTAGCTTGTGCAGTCTTTCAAGAAATGGACGTTTCAGAGGTACATTATAAAAATTTAAGATTTTCTGAATATTTATCAAATATTTATAATGAGGAATTTAAGATTCCATAATTCATTTTCTCAAATCAGTAATATATTACATTTCTGTTCACCTCTCCCCGAAAAAGATACATGTCTATAAAATAGTAAATACTCTGTGGTCTCAATTCCAGAACTAATCATATTATGCAAATAAGGCCTTAAGTAAAATAGCAATAAGTCTTCAATGTTGCTATGTTTTGAGTGTAGATTTCTAGATTAAATTATGAAGTTTTTCAATCAAATGTTCTCACCTATCAAATCCAGAATGCCTTGACCTTAACCCTGTGGAAGCAAATAATGTGGACTGTGAAAGACATTTAGGACAAACAATAGCTTAGTTTAGATAGTCTTGCATTTTGACTAGAGATACAAATAAGAAACAAAAACGAAGTAAGTAGAAAATGTAGTTTAAGAAAGTGAACACATTACATTTATTTTATCCATGGCTTTAAACATCACTGTTTAAGTTACCTATCTCAGGACAAATTAAGATAATGATTTTGCACACATCCAGTAATGAAGCAAACTGATACAAAAAAAAAGACCATTGTATGAAATTTGGAGGTGGGGTGTTCTTTAAGTCATTGAAATGGTAGTTGAATTGCCACTATATGCCAGGTAGAGAATCTGTTAACTTTTTGTAATATGTTCAAGTTATGTTTTACCTTCATTGATACTATGATATAGCTTGTCCATATCTAAATTATTCCGCCTTTTAAAAATTTGACTAATGTCTTACTACTTAACACATAATGTGCCAAGCAGCAATATAACATTGGCTTGTTAGAAATGTAAAAGCTCAGGCCTCACTCAGACCTGCTAAATCCATATGTGCATTTTAACAAGATCCTAGGTGATCTGTGTGCACATTCAAGTCTGAGAAGCCAGGGTCTAGTGATTACTGATGTGATTTTAACAGAAAAGGTACACTGTGGGATAGAAACAGTTAACCTTGCTACATAATGGTGTAATGACTCTCTGGCAGAGACTTGTGAATTTATTTGCATGTTAGAGGCAAATAGAAAACACAGAGCATGAGCGTATCATAAAGGAAAAATAAGAATGTTGAAAAGTTCTTCCTGTTTTGTCTTTATACAACAGCTTGTGTGCTATCTTTTTTTTTTTTTTTTTTTTTTTTTTTTTTTTTGGCACTCCCTCTCATTCCCACAAATGGGATTATAGAAAAGAAAAGAAAAGAAAATGCTGCTCTACTCTACTTAATGGGAACACTTATTGCTATTTGTCTTCTTCTCTCCAACACCTCTTATTTTATATTAGGCATTAAATTGCAATGCTGCTTCTTTTCATTGTAAAAATGTCCCCACCTGTATGCCTTCAAATCAATTCATTGTTATTTTGCAAAACAAAATGCTAAATAAGTACTTAGGGGAAACACAGGCCCCTTGACCCCTGGAACTCTCAGGAGGCTTGCCTCTGTCATCCTTCCTGCGAAGTAAAAGAGGAAAAAAAGAGAAGGAAAAAAAAAAACAAATTTGCTGAGCCACACATTTCAAGTTGTCGACAACCCCATCCACGAGAAAACAGAAGAAAATATATATGCTCTCTGTCCTGTCAAAAGGCTTTCGCCTTATCTTGAGAGACTGTCAGGGCAGGAACATCAGTGAACGGACAGGAGTCTATTAAATTAATAAGCTGCTGGATGGTGTCTGGAGAGTTATGATGCTCCATAAATCCAGTTTGATCATGGTGGACAAGGTTTAAATCTGCAGACTTCTAATACACATCCAGTTCTTGGATTGGATTTGAAGTTTTGTGCCGGAGACACAGAGATAGTCCTGCAGCATGTGAATTAAGATTTATCTTTTTTTCTATCCTTTTTTTTTTTAAAAATGAAAGCACCTTAGGGATCCTAGCAACTGTTACTGCTGGAAATGAAAGAACTGTTGTCAAGGTGAAACTGTGACCTAGAAGCCTAAAATCAAACCTTGGTCATTCTATTCAAGCAGCTCCATCAGAACTGAGTATAAAAGGTCTGTGTGGAAGGAGAGATGCCTGAACTTATCTATAACCTATTTTGTAGTGACGCCTGTCAAATTACATTCATCTATATTTATGACAGAAAGAAAACTAATGGTGTCAGATCTGCCTTATAGTCATAAAAAGAAAATCAGAAAATATTTTCTTCACCCCATTAAATAAAGTCCTCTGATACAGCCTTTTCTATGATATAAAGTTTATTTGAATTTTTGGCTTTCAACTACATGAAGCCAAATAATTTTGTTTTAGTACTCAGACAGATTCCCAAATAAACTATTAATTTTAGATTGCAACTTATTTACATAGTAATGATAAATAAAATCCGAGGAATAAAATTTGAATTTGTCCAGAACCATAAAATTCTCCTTGTTGAGTTAGTTTATTACACTGGTTATAATATTCAGACCATGAGGAAATTGTTAATTGCATGTTTATTTCATCGACTCACAATTATAAAGTTAAGCATTATTTTCTTGCATTGAGTCTTTTTTTTTTTTTTTTTTTTTTTTTGAGACAGAGTTTCGCTCATGGTACCCAGGCTAGAGTGCAATGGGGTGGTCTTGGCTCACTGCAACCTCTGCCTCCTGGGTTCAAGCGATTCTCCTGCCTCAGCCATCTGAGTAGCTGGGATTACAGGCATGCGCCACCACGCCCAGCTAATTTTGTATTTTTAGTAGAGACGGGGTTTCTCCACATTGGTCAGACTGGTCTTGAACTCCCAACCTCAGATAATTCGCCCACTTCAGCCTCCCAAAGTGCTGGGATTACAGGCATCAGCCACCACCCCCAGCCTGTTGCATGGAGTCTTAACATTAGAAAACTGTTGAATGGCGGACAATGCTTTGTTATAACCAATGATCCACACCCATTTCAACTTATTTAAAAGTCATCATTAAAACGCTTTATCATAGAATCATAAAATTCACACAACCCTCTACCATAACAACATGTTAAATCACTGTAGGGTTCAGAAGAGTGTCTATGGAAGAGGAAGTCCACCTACAATCAGTACACAGTACAAACAAAGCACTGTTCTGGACACTGAATCTTTAAATACTGACAAATATCCTCTAAAAGCATTGTGATTATCGTTACTTTTATGATAGGGCCATTGAGGTTCCTGGAGCTTAAATGTCTTGTTCAAGGCATAAAGCTAACAAATGGCACAGCTCAAATTTAACCCACATTGGCTTTTTTCATTCATTCATTTTTTTTTCTTTCTTGCATTAATTTATTCCTTCACTTACTCAACAGCCATTTATTGTGGGCCTACTGATACATGCCTGGCAATTTCTAGACACTGGAGTGACCAAAACAAACAATAATTCCTATACTCATGAGCTAACATTTTTGGTTAAGGGACCAAAAATAAATAGTAAACCGATTCAAAAGTCAAATTTTTTCATAGACAGACAGAAACACACACACACACATACACATATCCCTCTTTGCCTCCTTTACATAGAACCAACTAAGAAGAGAAAACAAGCAAGTGATGAAACCCTCCTGGTTCCTAAAACTATCTGCTGTGTTTTCTTATTGACCCCTGGAAACTATTGAATTTTTTAGTGAAAAATTATTTAGGTTTTTCTTCTGTAACTTACCAGTACATTTCTGATCATTGAATCCTGTCCTATAACACCAATACACTATCCATTATTGTCAGAGTTTAAATGGATATTTTTATAATTACCTCATACAGTTCAGTTATAAATAAATCTCCTCTGTGTCACTGTCTCCCCCCACCAACCACATCAGTATTACGTCCCTAGGCAGGAAATGTTTAAGAAAACAGATGAGTCCCAAACTGTGCCCTACAGGTCAGAAAATTCTGGCTTTATGGGACAGAGAGGAGGGGTAAATCTGCAAGGCCGTGACTCTTAATGGGAACTCCTTGCTTCTGGTTTTTCGAGTTCAATCTTACAGGCTGTGTCAATAGAAGAATCTCAGCTGCTCTCAAAAGCAGGAAGGAGCCTATTATCATGTTTGCTTCTGTTGAGATGCTAACAGAACTTTAGAAAAGAATACTGAAAAGTTTTAAAAGACTTTTATCTAGTGAACATCCCACAAACAGCATTTACTTGTATTCTGATTCCTGATTCTGATTCCAGTATATAGAATACTTGATTCTAGAATATAGTCCCAGGAACAAAGAGAGTTTGGGAATCAATGCCTGGCTAATAATAGGAAGCACTCGAGAAATATTTGGTGGATGAATAAATGCATGCTTTGGTTTCTCTCTTCTCTCTTTCCCTTTTTTGTTGCCCTAGTTTCTTAAGTCTAAAGTAGAGAAAATAGATTGGTTTAGGAAGCAATGAAATAGATAACAATTTATATTTAATATATTTATGGTTAAGGAGCGAGATAAATTGATAGCTTTCTTGCTATTAATGCTTTTCTATTCTTTTTCTTTTTTTTGAGATGGAGTCTCACTCTGTCACCCAGGCTGGAGTGCAATGACACAATCTCAGCTCACTGCAACCTCTGTCTCCTGGGTTCAAGCAATTCTTATGTCTCAGCCTCCCAAGTAGCTGGGACTAGAGGCGCCTGCCACCACACCTGGCTAATTTTTGTATTCTTAGTAGAAACGGGGTTTCACCATATTGATCAGGCTGATCTTGAACTCCTGACCTCAGGTGATCCATCCGCCTCGGCCTCCCAAAGTGCTGGGATTACGGGAGTGAGCCATCGCACCTGGCCGTAATGCTCTTCTATTCTTAAGAGATTTTGCATTATACAGGACTAGCCTTGTTTTGCATCCTCCTGATGTTTCAGTCATGCCAAACAGAACTGCATTGGAAAAATGCATGAGCTCAACATCTAGCCTTCTATACAGATCAACATCTAGACTTCTATACAGGCTGAACTAAAGGGCAAAAAAAAGGGAAACACATTTTTTGGGCACGTACTTTATAAGCAAACCTTGTATGCAGTATCTCCTTGTAGCTACTTCACAAAAGTTGCTGTGATTATTACAGGTGAGGAAACTAAGAGTATATTTTGGCCAATGTTATAAAGCTGGAGAAGGATAGAGTCATAATTTGGATCTAGGTTTGTCCAAGACACAACCTTGCCTACAAATAAAATGATGTTCATTTCCACCCATGCATTTATTTTTTAATCATGTTAAAATTTTACATGCCTACCAAATTAATAGAAACAATTCAGCCCACAGTGGTTCAAATCTAAACAAAAAATAATTTATTTTGAAAATCACTAAGAGGTAGGAGACTCATTCATGTTTTTTTGTGTATCAGCCATTATTCTTTTCATTGTTGACCAGTGCTTCCATTGTATGACTATGCCATTTTTTTATCCCTTTTCCTATTGGCGAATATTTGGGATATTTTCTTCACATCAACAGCAATGGATTCTTCAAAAGAGGAAAGCAGTTTTTATTGAAAGAGTCTGGAAGCCTCTGGTGAGTTATGGCATCAAATCAGGGGACATTTTGACTGAACGAGTTCTGCCAGAAAAGGAAGGACACAAGTCAAAATCCTTTGCTTTTGTATTTCAGTGACCTTTGAATCTTATTGACCCCAGTCAGTCTTTAGAAATCAAAGCAGACGGCCGGGCGCGGTGGCTCACGCCTGTAATCCCAGCACTTTGGGAGGCCGAGGCGGGTGGATCACGAGGTCAGGAGATCGAGACCATCCTGGCTAACACGGTGAAACCCCGTCTCTACTAAAAATACAAAAAATTAGCCGGGCGAGGTGGCGGGCGCCTGTAGTCCCAGCTACTCGGGAGGCTGAGGCAGGAGAATGGCGTGAACCCCAGGGGGCGGAGCCTGCAGTGAGCCGAGATTGCGCCACTGCACTCCAGCCTGGGCGACAGCGAGACTCCGTCTCAAAAAAAAAAAAAAAAAAAAAAAAAGAAATCAAAGCAGACTGCATCACTAGATTTTCCTGTACCTTCAGTCTATCTGTTATCTTCTTGACTGTCTAACCAAAGTGATCCAAAGATGAATGAATTTAAAGATTTTCTACTGGTCTTGGTGTGTGAATATACATGGACTTCTTCACTTTTCAGGTCTTTATTTCTCTTTGTCTTATTAATTGCCTTCCACAAAGCAATAGAGCTATCTTAAAAGTACTTTGAAATCCCTGGATGAAAACAGCCAAAGCCCTGAAAAATATCAGCATTATTATATCAGTTAATAGGCAATTGAAGCTATGAAAGGAATAACCAGAAAGACAAATGAATGGCCAAGAGGTAAAACAATTATTTAAAGGAGAAATAATGGGTAACAGTAACCAGGGTTCTGAGAACAGGAATAAAATGTATCAGGAGGAGATGGATCTTAAAGGAATGTGGTACACTTAGACTTAATTAGAGAACTGTGAAAATGGACACTTCCAGACAATATCAGATAGCTTTGGTAACTCTTTATGTGAATTAGTTAAAGCAGAAAGAACAGTCTTAGAATATGTTTTGATCTGTATTTTATAGAAGCATTGCCAGAGAAATACATTTTTAAGAAACTTCTCAAAACCTAAATGGCTGATATGTTAAAAAGAAAAAAAAAAGCAAATAAATAATAAAATCCTGAGAAACAAGAAATCATACAGTGAACAGCAATTGGCTGTTATGCCCTAACCTTCAACTCTGAAAGTATGATGAACTAATGTGGTTGATCTCTTAGTTGAAACAAATGTTCAGAAATGTTGGAACGGAAGCACAGGAGACATGAGGGAGTGTGCTGGTTTTCTGGCCAGCCAAAGCGTCCACTGATATTAGAGGATGAGCAATTCATTTAAAAATACAAAATCAAATAAATTGTTTTTACCATAAAAGTGAGAGGGGTGGCATAAAACAAACATAATTACAGAATTACTAGGTTTTACAAAAGGTTTCTTTTTTTCTTGGAAAGGGCTATACAGATATTTGTATGGAGTTAAATCACAAAATACATTTAAAGCTCTCACTAAAGAATAGAAGAACTCAGACCCAAAATTCAGATTCAAACCCTTGCCGGAATATAATTTTATAGAATTATGTTTTTTATTTGAACAAATTCAATCTTTTTAGACAAGGATAATAATTTCTGTAATAGTTTTACATGAGTTTGCAATTAAAGTATAGGTATTTACTTACCAAAGCATCCTGTTCTATATAAAAAGAGATTACGGATAAATAATAGTTTTTTTCAAACATTAACATTTCTTTCTTGAAACTCTTCATAAAGGTTAAGTAACCACTAGCATTCATTAGGAAACCTAACTGCCTTGGAATGGAAAAAATGTCTTTTGTTTTATCCTGATACTAACAAAGAGTTTGAAAAAGAAAGATAAACACTTTCCAGAACTATTTAGGTTGCTCTTTATAATAACTTGTTTTGTGAATAATCAGCCAATCTTTTAAAACTGCCTTGAATAAATAAACTGGAAACTGTTAGTCAAGTACATTTTTTTTTTTATTAAACTTAGAAGTCATCCTTGGGCTTAAAGGACCGAGGCTGTACTGTTTAGGGTATATTTTTCACTTGTTTTTTTCATTGTTTGGTTCCTAACAACATCTGACAGTGCTTCGAGTATGCTTTCCAGAGGGGAAAACCTTCCTGGAACCCCAGCCAAACTCCATCTCAGCTGCATTTCCTTTCTAAGCATTAGAGCTTACAGTCTTGTCATGCAAGCCCAGAATAGACAGCACTTTCTCTTTCTGTACTAAAAAGGCTGCAGACCATAGTATATAATAGTGATGGTGAAGAATGAATCCCTGCCCCACCAATGGATTAAAGCAAGACAATAATGGTAAAAGGAAGTATCATACATGTGTAAAAAAATGCCTTTGACAACAAGCATAGTGGGTCAAAGCACATATTTGCACATATACACATGTATAAATGTGCGTATATGAATATCTATATCTATCTCTATATACACACATACATATATGTACAGACAAACATGCTCTTCTTTAATAACTATGCTAAATTTGCTAATTCTGAAAATGTAACTTCTGGTATCACCATGCCCCCTAGCTCCACATTAAAGTATTGTAGGAACTTTGAATAACCAGATGGTTATTGTGTTTCTCCTTAAAACGTAGGTATCTCTTAATAAACTCCTACTAATACTACATAGTGTTTCAGAACAAATATATCACATTTCAGATTACATATAATATCATAGAAAGCATCATATTGCAGACACAAAATAAATGACAATCAATAAAAAACAGAAAACAGTGCCTTAACTATATATACCCTAGTGGTCTAAAGAAGCCGTCTATCCATCTAATTCACAACACCAGCAGGTGGGCTGGGGACCAGGTAAAAGGTGCATGGGGACATGTGATGCTTTGAATTGCCGAAATTCAAACGCAGAAAAATGCCTCAAATATCAAAAACAGTGTGGTTGGTGATACAATAAATATCTATAATTTTGACAAAAAGAGTTTTAGTCAAAATTTTGTAAACCTGTGTGAATTGCTTAATAAGCTTCGAAATCCCAATTACATGAGTTAAGAGGAGGATTGTCTCTTGGCAACCCAGATTATAAATAAAAATTGTAAAAGAAAATGAGGAAGCAAAATAGAAAGACTTTGTTTCTATTTAATAAGAATTTGGAGGTTTTTCATGGATGTGGAGTCATTTTTCAGTTTTATTCAATGAAGAAAGTAACTCTGAAAGGACTAATATATTCATTGGGCTTTTAAAATTTCTGCGAATATAGGTCTGCATAAATCCCTCACCCTAAGGACTTGTATGTTTTTCTAATATGTATTCTGGGTAATATAATGTTCTTGATAAGGAGGAAATCTGTAAAATTTACCTGCCGAAAATAAGGGAATTATATTTTCAATTGTTAGACCGCAGACCTTTAGAATACTTTTCAGCTCCGAGTTGTCTGTTGGCAGTATAGTTTCAATAAAGGCTTCAGGGAAGTGCCAAGACCAGCTTCACTTTTCCCCTTTTTCTCTTTTAATCCCTGTGGGGCTCTGTGATTTTTTTTTTTCCATGGCTGGACTAAAGTTGTGTCAACGGGAGACTTGCACCATAAAGACTGAAATGTTAAAGAAAGCTGCAAGGAACAGCTTTGAGGCAAGGTTTCAAGCTTTGTCATCACGCTTGAAGAATTTTCTGTTTAATGTACTGTAATGCAGTATTCAATGGGGACACGTTTAATTGAGTTTTACACAACCCAGTTGGGAGTAGCGCTGCAAGGTAGGTGATGTCTAGGTTTTTAATCTTCCACTCCGGAGAGGCTTGTTGACAGAGAGGTTCTTTCTCTTTGTAAGAAAAAAAAAAGGAAGCATGAGAAATGATACATCCGTGGATAAAACCAATTGGCAACCCCCAAAGGAATGGGGGCGATAAGGCGAATCCAGCACTTGTAAGAAATAAAAGAATCCAACTGTTCATTTAAATGAGAAACAACACGCGTGATGGAGGAGGCAGGGAGGCTGGGCTCAGGAATGCGGAGGAACTGAGACTGACACATACACCCACTGATGCAGGAGGAAGGAATCCCAGCACACAGTCAGGGGCTTGTTAGGGGGATTAGCACGGACATACTGACAGGTGTGTATTTTTAAGGAAAAGGAGACGAGAAGGGGGCATTTTTACATTAAGAACAATGAATAATGTGGCAGGAGTGGGTGGGGAGGGAGCTGCTATTACACAAACAGTACTTAAAATAAATCACCATTTCTTTCTAAAGTCCTAACCTAACCCCTGTATCAACTTGGGTAAAAATAGCACCGGACCCTGTCAAAAAGACAAAATAATACCGTATATATCAGCTCCAAGGTATTAAATTTTCTTAGCTCTGGCAGTCCTTTTTTTTTCTCCTTCTTTAGCAGCATAAGCTGGCAAAAGCACGAAGCAGCTGCAGTATCCAAAGATTGCATTTCTGTTTTGTCTCCATGACACTAGGCCTAATATGTAACTCTGAAGTTGGTTCAAGCACAACCACAACCCTTTCAAAAAAATTTTTTTTTAATATTTCTTATCAACTTTCTGGTCCCCAGCAGAGGAGAGCAACTAGATAAAGGATTACTCAATATACTAATATATTTAAAGCATCCACTTACAAAGGAATCCTTGTATTTGACCACTTCTTTTGTCCTGTGTAATCTTTTGGGGCTGTCCCTTCTGATGCCGTCCCTAACGGCGATGGCTAGTTTTTGGTGTGCCTGTGATTCTATCCTCAGAGAAGAGTGTGCATGATAACACAGATTCCCCTGAATTCCGGCACTCCACCTGCAATGAGAGACAACACTCGAAGAATGTTCTATTATCTTTCATCAGTGTTTGTGGCATGCAGATAACTAATGCATTGTTGCCTGTCAAGGTTGTTGCTAATTTAAGGCTGCTGACATGGTGCCTGATAGCCTGCTCTTCAGTATATTATTACCATGAGAAGTACTGCTTTCTTATCCTTTAAAATTAATTGGCTTTATTCAATAAATATCTCCAGCACTAGGCACTGGGAATGAAATGGATAATCATTCAGATTCTGTTCCTGGCTTCATGGAGTTTACAGTTTAGTCGTGGGGGGCAAGGGAGGAATAAGCTAACAGTCACGCAGATAATTATGACACTTTTAAATGAAAAATTAACTTGTGATTGGGATGTGGATAGTAAGTACACAAAAATAATTTTTGTTTTATTCACAGAATTGACCCAACACACCACTTGGATCATTTATAAAGATCACTTTGCTTGTTACACATGTTCATTCAACAAATGTTTATCATGCACCTACTATGTGTCAGACATTGTTCCACATCCTGCATGTAAAGTAGTGACAGAAACATGAACATTTCTGCTCTTATGGGGCTTACAGTTCAGGATTTTCTCACTCACTTCTTTTTGCAACCTTATAAAATGGCTACTATTATGATGATATTACTTAACACTGATGAAGCATATTGCACTTCTCAAAGGACATTTGCTTTTACCATCTCATTGAATGTATGCGTCAGTCATATGGGGTAGGTGTTGACCCATTTTACACAAAAGAAATCTGAGGCACAGAGAGATAAAGTAACTTTGCCAAAGTTTCACAAGAAGTGAAAATTAAATGTGTTAAAATTAAAATTAAATTTCCAATTTAATCAAGTATAATGTTCACTCTAAGATGGTCTCTGTCATTGTGATTTGTTTTTCAGTAGTCTGGAACAGCGTTTCAATTTTTTGAAAGGCAAAGGTAATTATGAGAAATTGGGAGTCAGTTTGTCTAAGTAAACACCCCCACTTGAAATTTCCGATACGTGTCCCCTTGGGATTCTCAGTAAAAATCAGCTCGTTATGGTTAAAGGAGATGAAGAAGATTTAGCCTCACACAAACATATAAATGGAAAAGAGGAGTATTTTAATAGCCTTTTAAGATAATTGTGGATATTCCTTTATGATTGAGAAAATCAACAAGTAATTTCTTAAAGGTTGGTAGATTTTGAAACTGTATCGATGACTTTTGTACTCCATTGCATTACAATTCATTGGTCTCTCTTATGCATTGGTTGTTTTGAAAATAGTGATTCACTAAGTTATGCAGATCTTGCAAATGCTAACACATTCATTATACCATATCAAATAATCACTTTCATTACACTTATACTGATTTAATCATAAAATTCTTGTGTGTGTGTGTGTGTGTGTGTGTGTGTGTGTGTGTGTGACAGAGTTTCGTTCTTGTTGCCCAGGCTGGAGTGCACAATCTCAGCTCACTGCAACCTCTGCCTCCGGGTTCAAGCGATTCTCCTGCCTCAGTCTCCCGAGTAGCTGGGATTACAGGCATGCGCCACCATTCCTGGCTAATTTTGTATTTTTATTAAAGATGGGGTTTCTTCATGTTGATCAGGCTGGTCTCCAACTCCCATCCTCAGGTGATCCGCCTGCCTTGGCCTCCCAAAGTGCTTGGGATTATAGGCAAGAGCCACCGCACCTGGCCATAAAATTCTTTAAGTATTGGTATACTGTCAAGTTTTCTGAAATTCTCATTTTTACTTGAAAGATGGAATTTTATTTTTGGCATAAAATACTTTAAATTGTTTTTGTTCTTTAAAAAAATCAGTTCAGAGGGACCTGATTAGTAATAGGCAGAGACCTTATCAGTTATGTTTTGGAAGAGTATAAAGGCTGAAGTACTGTGGTTTTATTATAGAAACCATTTAATACTAATCTGATGGCAGTTCTCAGTGGCTTGAGTTTGCAGAGCACAAAGCAAAAAAAGAAAAAGTACTAGGAATTATTAGGATAATTAAGGGCAAAAATTCACTGTTTTAGTTCATTTTCTCTTTCTATAGCAGAACTACAGACAGATAAATTTATAATGGTAAGAAGTTTATTTTGGCTCATGGTTCTGGAGGCTGGGAAGTCCAAGAGCATGATGCAAACATCTGGTGAGGGCCTTGTGCTGCCTTATAACGTGGTGGAAGGTACCATATGGTGAGAGAGGAAGCCAAGGAATGCCAATTAGCTTTTTATAACAATCCACTCTCATGATAACTAAACTGTTCCCCCAAGAAAGGCATTAATTCCTTCATGAGGGTGGTGCCTCATGACCCAAACACCTTTCACTAGGGCCCACTTGAACACACTGTTGTATTGAGAAATTAAGGTTCCAACAAATGAACTTTTGGGGGACATACTCAAACTGTAGCATCTAGTTAATGCAAAATTTATTTAGATAAGCTTATTTATTATATTGGTACAAAAATGATAATTGTTGGATTTTGTGTTTACCTTAAAGCAACCCTGCCATGGATTTCAGAGCCTCTCTCTGAGATAGCCTGAGTTTTGATAAAATCATAATTTCAGGGAGGAATCTATGAAATGATTGCATTCTCTGTTCAGGAATGGTTTGAAGATTTACTTATTTTTGTAAAGAATCAAGACAACCTATAAATGCTACAATACACTAAAAGAAAGATCTGCAGGAAACTCATTTTAGGTTTTGTTTCACTTCTGACGTAGTGTTTAAGTTTATAAACCACTTGGTACCAGAACAGCTCGGGTTCTATTCCTGGCTCCCCATTTATTAGCGATGAGGCCTAATGTAAATTATCAAACTTCTGTTACTTCATTTCCTCATTATAAAACAGAGAAAACAAAAATGTCTACCTTATAAGATTATTTGGGGATTAAATAACTAAATATAAGTAAAGGAAGGGCTTGTATGTATATGGTTGGCACATGATAAATGGTATACAATTGTGAACTAATGCTGCCTTAAACAAATTTGTACATATACACAACAGAACAATATGAACCTAAATCATAAAGAATCATAATTATTCAAAATTAAGGAGATGCTTAAGTGAATTGTATTAATTGTTATTTGAGTTGATATTATTTGAATCATTGATATTATTTGAATCATTGATATTATTTGAATCATCAATCTTTGCATCTATAGGGTGATTTTAGTTTCAACTACATATCTCTGAAATATATTTGCATTTCAGGGATGGGGGCAGGTGACTTTGTGACAAGCCATGGTTGAGACCACTGCCATCTCACATAACTTCCCATTTACTCTATTGTTTCAGGCCCTCTTTAGCAAAGAAAGAAATTAATAAAACAATTCTTCTTCTGATATAATCAAGAAAGTACTTGGAGGGCCAAATAGCAATTCAGTGTCTGAATTAAAAGGAGAGTGAAAATTATCGATAACACACCTGCTCCAAAGAATACCTTTCTATCACAGTGATTTTGTGTGAATGCTCCCCAAAAGCACCACCTGCAAGATTTTGATAGATGTTCAATTCTTCCTTTCCATCTGTTGCTTTACACCTCAAATTCCCAAGCTCATACTTTGAAAATCACTTTGGAGACTGTGTAGCCTATGCAGAACTGGCTCTGTCTATGGTCCTTCAGATAGACCTGCAGTTCTTAAAGTGTGGTCCATAGACCACTAGAGGGTCCTAAGAAACTTTCTAGAAAACCATAGGGTGAAAATATTATCATAATATTACTAAGAGGTTTTTTGCCTTTTCCATTGTATTGGCATTTGCACTGATGGTGCAAGAGCAATGATGGGTGAAACTGCTGAAACGTTAACATGAATCAAGGCAGTGGTACAAAATTGTTCTAAAAGTCTGCATTTTTTTACCACCAGACACTCAAGCAAAGAAAATCACAGTGTTACTTAAGAATGTTCTTGATGGAGCAATAAAATTTAACGCTCCCACTAAATCTAAACCCTTGAGTGCATGCCTCTTTAATATTCCATGTGACAAAATTAGAAATAACTACAAAGTACTTTTGTTTCATATTAAAGCACTATGGTCATCTCCAGAAAAAACACTTGTATATCTGCCTGAGTTAAAAGTGGAATTAGCCACTTTTTCATAGAACACAGTTTTTATTTGAAAGAATGTCTGACATACAAATTGTGTTTTTCAGATCTGAGTATTTGGCAGATATTTTCTCAGAAATAAATGAAAAGAAGCCTATCGCTTCAAGGAAAACAATTGTCATTACTTAAAGCCAATGATAAAGTAAAGCTTTCAAGCAAAAATTAGAATTTTTGAAATTCACGGTGTCTGCCACTATGGGCTTATTAACAGCTTTCCAATACTTGAAAGTTTATCTGAAGAGATTAGTGGTGATAGTAGTGAATGTGATCTTTTGGTAGTATATGATGAAATGTACCAACAATGGGAAGATCTGCATAACTCAGTGAACCAATATCAATCAAATGATCAATGAATGACACTTCAAAATTGTGCGTAGGTAAAATGATTCATTCAAAATGCAACCTATGTGAATAGATTTAAAAATAACAAAGTAGGAAAAGTTCTTGATGTGGTGTCAGATTGCACACTGCAATTCACCTTTAGGAAGGTAATACTTTTTGAGTTTTAGTGTAGTATCAAAGAATTCCCAAATTATCTGAAGGGCTATTAAAGTACTCTCTTCTTTCTAACTACACATCTGTGCAAGGCCAGGTTTTCTACATAGAGTTCAATCAAAACAACATAGGACAGCAAACTAAATGCAGAAACAGATATGAGAATATCTTTCCTCTATTAAAGCCAGATATTAAGGAGATTTGCCCAAATATAATACAGTGCCAATTCTCACTTTTTTTGTTTTAAAAGATAGTTATTTTTATAAAAACATTTTATTTGTATTAAAATGCCATGTGTTTACTATTGTTATTTTTAAATGGATAAATACATACATATTTCTTAGCTTTGATTTCTATTGTGATACACCTCAGTAGAATGATATTGCTAGATAAAACCAAAGCTTAAACCAAAGCTCTTCGGTAGACTTAAGCCACATAAAACAAAGCTCTTTGGAGTCCTAAATTTTTAAGCACGTAATGAGGCCCCGGGACCAAAAAGTCTGAGAATCACTGAGACAAATCCCATAGGAGGGACTCAAGAAAGTTTAATTTACAGGCTGTGTAGCTTGGGCTTCAAGCCCTAGACAGATAGGCCATTGGCTCTTCTCAGCTCCACGTACCTTAGGAAGCAGTTGCCAAATTGGGAAATGGCTCAGGTGTGCTTGTCCTTCACTACCCATTCTGATCTTTACAAACCTTTACATGCTGTTCTTTAATTCATTCAAAATAAAAAGGATTTTTAAACATGTGCTGGCCTAATTTTGGATGAAAGTGAAATGTCAATTAAGAAGTCTAATTTAGCTCTAGCTACTAAATTAGCTTTTTCTACCTTGCAAAGTAGCAGTGTGGAACAGACATGGAAAAGATGACTGAGCTGACATTTCAGCATGCCAGTTTTGCTGACCTGCATTTTCTTAAAACAGAAAAAAGTACTTCAGGCAGTAGAAGTATCCCTTTCTTGAGAAAAAAAAAAGTGGGGGTACATTTTTGTCCGCATCTTCTTTTTCAACTGTACCTCCTTTTTTAGAATTATAAGAATTGTTCAGGATGGAAGCCATAGTTATAAAATAGCTGGATTTATATTAATATTAGGTTTTAAAATGTGCAGAAGTTTTCTGAACAGTTCACCAAACCTGTTAACTTTACTAAAGAATGAATCATTATACGTATTTAATTATAGATGCTTAATACTCAGCAAGAATGTGTTGTTTCATTTTCTTATTACAGAATATTGCTTTGGCATTACAACATTGAGGTGAGATTACTTTAGTTTCTCAATTAAATTTGGATCTAGCAGGATAATAATCATATTTTAACTTTATTTTTAGATTTCAAACACCTAGCAGAGTTTAGAAGGTTTTTAAAATTTTTTAAATTTTGAATAAATGAGTAAATTGGTAAACTAGTTGATGGAAACATAACTGATCCCCTTACAGTGTGAAATATCAAGTTGTTTAAATATTTCATTGTTTTTTATATGCATTATTCAACCTGAGGACTACATTTGGAATGTTTCACTGCTATAGGATAGAGTAAAAAGAGTAATAAACTAGCTATGTTAGTATATATCTTATTCTTACAATGACTATATTGCAAGCAAATGTTATAACTAATTACTGGGAAAACTTTGGAGAGATTTGGTGAATATAGGTTCATGAAAACAATATTGGACTCCCCATGGATATAGACAGTCTTCAATACATATATACGTAATGTCTTGTGATTTATTCTGGTTATATTTCCTCTAAAATTCTCATAGCTCTAGGTCTTATTACTAAATACTCAGTACATTTTAATTTTGCCTCATGTCCTGCGCTCACCTACTTTCGCATTTACTTTTAAAATAACATGGTTTAATGTCTAATTTGGGGCAAATATATATATATATATTTATATATATACACACGCATATAATGATAATGTATATATAATGATAATGTTGCTACATTACAATAAGTATTGTTTTCCTTTGTCTCTATTTTAAGCTGAAAGTGTGCATGTGTGTGTGTGTGTGTGTGTGTGTGTGTAAATAAAGATTACTTTGTAAAAATCTGGTTGAATCCATCATTGTATTTATATTTAGATCCATCAGCTTAGGATAGACTTTTTTGATAAATGTGACAGGGTCAGTAACGATAATCCTCTTATGATCCTTCAGGCAATATTTACAAATATTATTCTTCTCTCTATTGAAGGATATGGGACTCCAGCTCTAGAAGCAAAGGTCTTGCAAGCAACTCCGACTACAGCTATGTCATGTAGGATAACTTTATCTGCCTCTTCTTCTTGCCATTCCCATCCAACTAGCTGGCTACTTCTTAAATTACTGAGAAGGAATAGTGAAAAATGACTTTACATAAAGTCACTTTCCAATTGCCTGAGTTCTTTTTCACCATAAACTTTGAGAGCATGCAAGCCTGTGTAACAGATAAATAGAGAAAGTGCAGAGAAGTCAGTGGTGACATTAGCGAAGAATGACAGCATGTCTCTAACAAAGGCAAGAGTCAAACTTTATTCTTTTTTATATCTTTCTGAGAGATATATGTTCTCTTATGCCTTTAAAAATATTATTTCATATGTGAGATAAGCACAAGAATAACTGCAACATATATAGATTGTGAAGCAAAACCACAAAGAACATCCATGGACCCACCACTCAGATTAAGAGCTGAAACTGGCCAGGCACAGTGGCTGAAGCCTGTAATCCCAGCACTTTGGGAGGCCAAGGCGGGCGGGTCACAAGGTCACGAGATTGAGACCATCCTGGCTAACACGGTGAAACCCCATCTCTACTAAAAATGCAAAAAATTAGCTGGGCGCGGTGGCGGGCGCCTGTAGTCCCAGCTACTCGGGAGGTTGAGGCAGGAGAATGGCATGAACCCGGGAGGCGGAGCTTGCAGTGAGCCGAGATCGTGCCACTGCACTCCAGCCTGGGCGACAGAGCGAGAGTCCATCTCAAAAAAAAAAAAAAAAAAAAAAAAGCTGAAACTATACAACAACATTCTGTGTATGTCTGTGTATGCGCGCCTTCATCCTTGTCAATCCACCTCCCAGTAAACTTTCCCTTCCCCAGCAATAAGCCTCTACCCTGTACATTTTATACATTACCCTGACCCCATCTTTTAAAAATAGCTTCATTGCATATGTATATATTTCTAAAATACATATTGCTTGCTTTCACTAAATGACTTATCTTTTACTTCTTGGGCAGTTCACTGCCTTGCTAGTAGAATTAAGAAAAACCGGACCCATAGAGACTACCTTTAAAACCCTTTGTATTATAGCATTTTCAAATATATTAGCTAGAGATTGTATTTATTACAGAATTTCAGTTGATAAACTCAGTATTGGCAGTAGATTAGATTAATTGCAACTGGCTACTTTAGTAAAAGTCATTTTTTTAATTTCTGAATAATATACTATATATGGAAAGGCCAAAATTTGCTTGGCCATACTTCAATATTGGATGTATTGTTAGTTTACCATTACTGTAATATAAATAATGCTATGCTAAGTGTTTTTATGAAAGATTTTTGTTTCACATATGTATTCATCTCTTTAAAACAGGGAACTAGAAATAAAAATAGTGGCTTAAAGATAAATATTTTTAAAAATCTTGATACATATATTTTGCCATACAATATTGTAGTATATCAGAATTTATTCATAGGAACCATGAGTAATTTCCTTGATTCTCTGTCTCTTGTGAGATTAAAATATTACCAATTTTTTTGAACCTTCAATATTTAAGTAGGTTAAAATGTTGAGCTCTTCGAATTGTCTTCCATTTTATATTTAAATAAAAAAATTAATTTTTATTTTGTATTTCCTCTTTTTTGTATATAATCTTTTAGCTATAAATATATCAATTTAAACTAATAATTATTCTACAACATCTCGTGTTGTTTTAATCTCATTTCTCATAATTTTTCATCTGTACATTATCAGAGGAAAAAAAAGAATTTTTAATTTTCTTTACTGAAATTTTAATTTTTGATTACTGAATTTTTACTTTTGAAGGTTGTCAAATTCATGCATCTTTCCATTTTATGATGTAGTTGCTTCCTGTAAATCTTGGAAAGATCATTCATTTGGACATTAAATAAATAGGTGGTTTTTTTTTACTTTTAACATTTTTATTTTTAATCACTGTATATCTTTAATAAGTAATAGCAATAAATATAACAAGTAAGTACAATAGTTTAGTTGCCAAGACTTTTGGGAACTTGACTGTGTGACAATTTTCTAAGCATTTTACAGTGCTATAGCAGTGGTCACTATCATCTCTTTTTAATAGTTGGCAAAACTGAAGCCCAGAGAGACTAAGTAGCTAGCACAAAGAGAGTACAGAATTGAAAGCAAAGCAATCAACTCTTAATTACTATGTTATGATGCCCCTCTAACTGATTTTGAACTGCATTACATCTTATATTTATGTTAGTAAATGGCTTTAAGTGAAACATTAACTAATTTTTACTTTTCAGTAGAATGAAATGTTTCCCAAACTGATTTGTTTCATCAAATAAATAAAGTCTTATACATTCTAGACTTTGTAACAATAGTTGGTTCTATCTATACATTTGTTATTTCTTACTCATATAGCATTTTGCTTTGATTTTATACTTTAGTAGCATGTTTTAACATGTTATCTTGTATTACTCCTTTTCAAATTATTTTATTTTTATCTGTTTATTCTATTAGGTAAGAGAAATAATATTCTTTGGTTCAAGAAAAAAATACTTGATAGGATTTTGATTAACACTGTATTACATTTATAAATAATATATTGGCATTTATAAATTATATTGGCAATTATAAATTGGTATTCAACATTTTTCTCTGTTTTCAGTCTTTCTTTATATTATGAAATTCAGATCAATACATTTTTCATACTTGTCTCCTATATTCCTTGTAAAGTATTCCCATTTAGTCAGCAGCTTTACTATAATTGTGAGTGAAATTTTGTAGCAATTATTTTTTTTCTGGTAATGCTATATAAGAGTGCCATTGATTTTTAAAAATCTGATATGAATATTTAATTATTGGTAATCGTTAAATAATGACTTTTTGATCATCTTTCTCATGACTTTACAATTATTGTTGTTGTTTCCTGCCTTATTACAATGGCTAGAATTTCTAGAAAAATTTCACTAATATTGCTGATAGCAGATGACTAAACTTTTAAAATCACATTTCAAATAAAGTATAAAAATTAGGGACATGTACCATGGAATTGTTTTTGACTATATTTGTTCAACCTAAGCCATGTCCTTCGAGAAGCAGATTAGCACAGTGAATCATGGACGTTAGTTTTCCTGTTACCAGACTGGTCTGGCTAAGCTACATCTTTCAGGAAAACCTGCTGTGGAGTTAATCTGCTCTATTGCAGCAAAGAGAGTTATTCTAATTCGGATTGCTGTCATCCAGATAAGGAAATTAACACAGGGGGAAATTGCTGAAACGCTTTACTTGGAATGAAACCTTGCCTGTTAGTCCTAGATTTATTATTTATTTTATTCTAGCTACGATTTCACAGAACAACTAAGGGAGAGAAGTGAACGAGAGATTGGAAGAGGAAAATTTGTGCCAGGGAAGAACTTAAATATATTTTTTTTCATATTTCTACTTCTATTTTTTCAAATAGCATGCTTTTTTTTTTTTTTTTTTTTACCGATCGTACTTACTTATATACCTTGTCTAAAATTTAGTAACAATCAAGTCTCATTTTTTTTTTGTCAAAAAGCTGCACATTTTGTAACAGCACCCAGGAAAGATAAATTTCTTAGTAAACAATTAAATTAAAAATGAAGTCTACACAGAGGTATAATCTTCAAAATGATAGTCAGCAACCACTCACTGTAATAAGTTTTAAATCATTCATGTTGGCATGCCTATCACATAAAATTCTGAAATGTTCAAATAATATACATGTCTATGAGAACTGAGCATGACTCTTTCTGGGAGAACACATTATATGCTTCTGTTACTGCCTTTTTAGCCACAAAAAGGAAGGAAAATTACATTTCCTTCCTTTGGTGAACACTGCCAGCTAGGTTCATAAAGATCTCTGCCCTCCCCAAGAGTTCCTCCACTAATATTTTTAAAACTTAACTTTTTTTCTATTCAAGAAAAATACGCTCATTACTACATTTATACTGCATTAGGCATTATGCTCAAAACAAGAGTTTATTTAGGATGAGAGATAGAATTCCCTTAACTGAAAGCCACTTCTTTCTGAGCCTTATTCTATTGCTCTTAATGAAATGTATGACAACTGTTGTGTCAGGGAATTAATGATATTGAATGAGTAAAGAATGGGAAACTGGCTGGATGAATTATGCCTGTTCTTCAGTTCTTTCCAAAGAGGAAAATTGGAAGATCCCATAGCATCACGCTTGTTATGATATTAAAACTATGAGAATTTGATCAGATAAAAGAAGTGTTAAATGAAATCCTCTGTCTGAACACTCATGTCAAGAAAGGCAATTTTAGTTATGCAGTGGTGTAGCATTTTGTTTTTTCTGCAATAAAGCCATCAGATCAATAAAAAATTATGTAGCAGATTATTATTACACTGTGCTCACCATAGCTCTAATCGTAAATAATACAGCAGTTTTCCTGGTTATATTAATTATAATTAGAATGCAGATAATGCAGACGCTCTTTTATTACTAGAGCCAAATCAATTTTCCAGTGTTATTCAATGCAAGGTCACACAAAGTTGTGGAAGCTTTCAGACTTCTTATGAAATGGCCTGCCTGCCTGTGAGAGAGAGGGTTTGACTCAGCTGTGCAAGACACATTGACTGGGAAGAGCATTGAAATAATTACAGCCATGAACCCTTGCCTATGATGGCAGAATTTCATTTTATAAAGTAAGCATAGCCGTAATCCAGCCTCCTTTATGGTAGGAAACCTCATAAATCTTTCAGAGGAGACCAAGTCTTGTTTTTAGTGGTAAAGAGGAAATCACAATGGGTTGGTTTGCATTGTTCATTTCTCCTCATTGCCTTTTTGTTCCGTACCTTGGCATCATATTTTTAAAAGGCATTCCCTATGTAATCATCTTGTAATGATGAAGGGGAAACCACCGAACAACAAACTAATAGAAATACATTAAGTGTTCAGCATTGGTGGATAGGATAGAGGCTGATTTTACACACTCTTATATTAGGTCTTTTGTGAAATTGTAGTTTGTCAAGAAGAGGATATAAAATGAGAAGAAAGCAAGAGAATGAGAGAGATTAAAGTCAGAAGAAATCATTTCATGGGTGCCTTTACTATGGTTGAGGGGAAATCAAAGACCTAGACCCCAAAACTTGTGGAGCCAGAGACCATGGTTCAACATAAACCCATAGATCTAGGCACCAGAAAGGGGTGGAGTGCTAATTCTGGAACCTGTGGTTGAGCAAATTTAATGGTGATGGATTAGACGTTTGTATGTTCCTGATATTTTCCACTTGACAAAACCCTCAGATGATGAAGCCAAGGTGTACAAGGTCATGAACTCAAGTGAGGTCAGGCAGGTAACTCATGGGGTAAAGCGGACTGGGAGTAAAGTAATAGAACTGGTAGAGAATATGTCAAAATATAGATTGGAAAATTCATGACTGGCATGAAGGCATTGGTGCTCAAAAAATGTTTACTCACTGCTCTAATATATCTTTGGTACTAGTGTGTCCCCTCAACCATCAGAGTTTGACCTCTGCTAGAAAGATATGTTCATTCCATGGGTAATTTGGAAACTTGTGCACCCAAGCCATTAGGAAAATTTCTTCTGAGAATTTGACCAAGTCAATAGTGTTTAGGAGTGATATCAGTAAATGTGGGGAAAGGGAAAGTTATTCAGAAGACCTGAGTCAAAATGCTGCAATGAAAGGGGAATGAGGCTGAAGGCCAGGAATTCACTCCTGAGCAAAGAAGAGTTAGGCACTGTGGATAAATCTAGCTTTAATATTCTGGAGATCTCCTTGAGATGGCCTGAACAAATGGAGGCATAGAACTCAGCAAGCTGGTTCTTTGTGGGCCAGAACGTGGAGTTGAGCAGTGATCTCTGACTGTCTGCAAAGAAAGAAGGGGCTGCCTCAACCCTTGGGAATCTTCAGTCCTGGGAGGATAAAGGCAAGGTGTAAATAAATAAAAAGCCCAATTTCAGAGGCGGAGATTGTCAGAAGGAGGAAGCTCTAAATATCAGGCCACTAGATTTACAATACCAGAAATAAGTAGTAATAGAAAACTTCTAATTTCCATTTATTAAGCTTATGAACTGCATACCCTCTTAGGCACTTTATCTGTACTTTATAATCTTTCTTTTTATTCATAGCAATCTTTGACGAACTGCATTATTCCTAATTGTATTTTATAGATGTGAAAACTGAGGCTTTTCAAAGTCACACAGTTAGCAAAATGTGGAGCCGGAATTCAAATACAGGTTTCCGTGGCTTGAGATCCCAGCTTTTCACCATTAAACAGTGTCACCTTCAGGTTAGCAAATCTTACAGATGTCTAAATTATAGGCCAGATGCCATTGCATCTTTTTAGGACTCTTACTAGGTAGTATTTTTCCTCAGAATCTGGGAGAAGGTAAAGGGAATGTCTCTTGCTTTTTAATAAACAGCAGTGACTTATGGTCCTTTGTTCAACAAGCATTCCTAACTATTTTGACCATAACATTGGAATCATAGTTCATCTACTCACCAACACATTTATATTTTAGCACCACCAAGCTTTAAGAAGTGCTTTGTACCACCTAGTGACTTTGGCATATTGTTTGTAAAAAATTGAGTTGTGGAAGATAACTCAAGATAGTAAAATTCCCTGCTTCACTATGAACAACCCCAATTGTAGTACTGAAATTTGTATTATCTTCACATTTGTCAATGAAACTTTTTTCTTCTCCTAAAACTTCAGTTTTATTTAAACACATAGAAGAGAAATTCGAGTTCTGAATGTTTCTGACCTGGAACAAACAATATATAGTATTTGACTGTTTCAGCGTCAGCATTCTTTTCATCTGTTTTGTTGAAAAAAAGAAGTTGTAAAAATACGCATGGAAAAAATGACCATTGATTATATTTTTATATTCTGATATTTAGAAAGAAATATATTTAAATATATAAGAGCAATATTTGAAAATACCAAAATATCTGAATGGACAAGTACCAATGAAAGATGGGACAAAGAGAATAAATTTAATAAATTAAAAATAAAGGGAAATTTCATGCTTCACTATGAAGTAAATGTCTTAGTTCATGATTACTTTCTGAAAAAATGGTTAAGAGTTATAGACTGGGATTGACTAACTTTTGTGAATGAAACTTTAAACTTGTCAAAAAGTGTCTAAAATGCATAAAATGTTTTTAACATATTTGAGTTTAATTAATATAGATTCATTTCTAATATATGAAAACTTGTTAAAGAAGTATAGAAGAAACCAAAATATACTGTACTTTAAATACAGAAAAAATATTAAAGATGGACTAGTTTTTCAGTCCAGGTATATTAGATATTTCACATTGAATCTCTTATCATTCTCCCTTTGTCACCAACAGAACAACACAGCTTACATCAAATATGCTCCCATAATATTTCAAGATTTCAAGTTCAATTCTTTCCTGACATAATATGTTAGAATATTTCTCTTTGAAATATATTTTCTCTTGTACTGTGAAATCATGTCTTTTTTTTTTTAAGACAAACATAATAATGGCTAATTCTTAACACTGCTTACTATGGACAAGATGCTATGCTAAGTACTTTACAAATGAGGTTGAGGTAGATACTTTTATGTACAGATGGGGAAATGGAGGTTCAAAGAGGTTTAGTAAATTGCCCAAGGTCACAAGGCAAATGAGGTTTTAAACTCACACATGCCACCTCCAGAGTCCACACTCTTAAATCCAAAACTATTCTGCTTATCGAATCATCACAAAACAATGATATTGCTAAAATTAAACAATTCTCTTCAACAAATAAGTGTCTCTGGTTTCTTTTCCTTTCTGAAAACACCATGAATTCCATGATCTGTATTGTAGAGGGTTTTTTTTTTTAAGTAGCTATCTATCTCAGAGGTACCTTGAATGTGAACAGAGCCATGAATTGCTATAGTAACTTCCAGTGCTTTGAATAATAGGATTTGGGAATTATTTTTCAGTGCAAAAACATAAGAAAAAAAAAATAAAGTCTAAATGTGACCCTGTCAACTGAATTAACTTCTAGGAGATTCCTCTTTTAAATGATATGTCTAGCATTATCATTTTACAGCTGAAAACTGGGAAGCTTTCCAAATTTTAACTGACGAAGTTATTGTACTTCCAAATGAACAAAATGTGTTTTGAGGTATTTTCTTTTTGTTGAAGACTGTAATAGATGGCTCTGTAATATCCTATGCAAATAGCCAATGTTGTATATTGGAGCTGCTCATAAGATGTTATCATAAATTGGGCATTTCAGAGGATTTTTTTAAAGTATTTACTGTGCAGTTTATGTGTTCTGCCCTACCTGGATTATTTACCATTGACTGTTTTATTAGCCAAGTTCTTTACACCTTTTTCCTCCTCACACACTGACTTCCTGTCATTAGCATGTAGGAGATACAGAAGTTTGGCACAAAATTAATTCTGCAGTGAAAGAAAGAAGCAGTGTTTCTCAAGTAGAACATTAGGCTTCTGTTGTGCATTTTGTCAGCCCTCTCTTTGCTTTTCCAGATTTTATTTCAGAGCCTACATGACCATGGAATCTATCTAATCAGCTGCTAGTCACATGCAATAGCACCTCTAGCAACAAAATCTATAAAAGATGCTCTTTTCTCTCCCTCTGCCTCATCAATTGCCCCTGTCAGTAATAGAGAATTAGTTTTAAAAATATAATCTGATTGAGTACGTTATGTTGACCAGTCTTGAGCATTTCCACCCTGCACTTACTTTCATTGTCTCTGTTTTAGAAATGGCCTTTATGCCTCCTGGTCTCAACATAGAGCAGAAAGGACCATCTGGACACCACATATGAGGAAATCAGACATCTCTAGGTTGAATCATGCCCAAAAGGACAATTTCTTGTCAGATAAGCTGCTGTGTACTAAGTCTGATAACTAACAAAATTGCTATATGGTAATTTTAACTGGAAATTGTCCACTTTTATCCTCCGGTTTTCTCTCTTATTCCATTGGTAACCACCCTGGGAGTTCTAATACCATGTCCATGTACAAGTGCTTAAATCAACCCTCAGGTTGTGACAGTCAAGCTACAGTGGCTGTGAAATAATCTGCACAGCAGAGTATGCTATGTCATTGGCTCAATCAGCATAATGCAGCATAATAGAATAGAAGCACACAATTATATAATGCCATAATTTGATTTCTCTCTAATTTCTGGACACATCACAAAATAATCAAGGCAGTGAAATGAAGTGTAAAGAATAATGGCTGAGTTTGGAGTCACATCACTGCCACTTGCTAGCCTGTGTGACCTTAAACAAATAAAAAACTCTTTCTTGACCTTTAGTGTTTTTCTCTGTAAAATGGGTTATCTTTTCTCATTTGATTATCAGATAGGAATATGTACAACAGAGGAGATGAGTTGATAGTATACTTTCTATGTGCCGCCTGCAAATGCATTATGCACAAATTTTAATTATTGCCATCATTTAAAAAAATTCAGAAGATGTTATACCTTAAAAATTAGTATTTCTGCAGTCTCTTTAAAGTAGGATGATTGGGCAACATTAGTTTCCTAATCCCACATGGCAACAAATGATTGTGAAGTAGCCCCTTCCCATTTAGACTGTGGTCTTTGCCGGGAGTTCATGTCATTTCTCATCTAACCTGATTTGCACATGTATGTTGACCATCTGGCCCCTGTAAGCATTTGAGTTTGTCACCTCTGTTGTTTATAAAAGCACTTTTAGATTTAGCTGCAATGTGCTTAACAAAGTCACTCAATTTGGAGCTTGAAGACGAGCTTTCAAATACTGGTTCTCAAACTTGGGTAAATCATGGAAACGTACTGGGTGAGAGTGGTTTATTGAAAGTCCATACATAATGGAATTATAAGAATAAAAGCAAGTCTGAGCAACATGGCAAAACTCCATCTCTCAAAAAAAACAAAACAAAATTAGCCGAGGGTAGTGGTGTGTGCCTGTAGTCCCAGCTACTTGGGAGGCTGAGGTGTGGGGATCACTTGAGCCTGGAAAGTCGAGGCTACAGTGAGCTATAAGCATGCCAGTGCACTCCAGCCTGGGCAACAGAGCAAGACTCTGTCTTAAAAAAAAAAAAAAAAAGAAAGCAATATGTATAAAAACATTTTGTAATAACCAAATTACTAAATGCATAATAGTTATTTGGTACTTTGGGCTTTTTAAAAAGGAAAATAGACTTTATATTTCTTCAAGAAACTTTACTCATGAGAGCTTAAGTTGACCAACATTTCAAAACTTGATGCTGCAAGTTTGCATAAGGTAAATTACATATAATATTTGATTTGTTCTCCACATTTTGTTACAGGGAAGTCTATTAAACTGCATTTCCCTCTATTATTTGAGTCAAGAAATAGAGATGATGAAAATATTTTGAAACAAAATATTTGTCAAGAAGCTACTTGTATTAGCTTGAAGAAGGGTTGAATATCAAACATTGGAGGCTTGAATACTACATTGTCTGTTGTGGACCTTTCTTCAAGTCTTCCATTTTCTTTTTTAGGATGTTTGGGTAACAAATGTTCTTAAATGAAAAAATCTATGTTGTAGTGGATTGAAAATGCCTACTACTGGCCTTGCTTATTTTAAGAGTTCAAAGAATGTAAACAGTGAAACAGAAGCAAAGAAATAGCAATCAGAAAATTCTGTCTTGCTATTTGAACTGAGCTGCTCTCCGTTCCTTTGCTTTAAGTATCAGAAATAAATTATGATTTATAATGATGCCTTGGAATTGATAATCTCCTCCTCCAAAGCACAGGGAATACTTTATTCTGCTTCCTAATTATGTATGTCATTATCTGCTTTCTAATTCATCTCTTTACTATCTTCCATGAGACAAGTAGGAATTGGGTATGTAGTATTGCCTTTATTTTGTATGTGATAAAAGAAAAAAGAGAAATTATGTTCCTTTTTCATGGTCAGTCAGTGATATTTTGGAGAAACTGGAACTACCAGTGAATATGCCTGGACCTCTAATTCACTTCACAAGAAAAAGAATATCTTGGGTCCTTGATATACTTTAAGATTTGGAATATTTTTATAAGCTCTAAAAGACTTTGGGATCTCTAAAATGCTTCATGAAACCATATAATTACTATATTCTTATAACATGAAAGTAAAAATTATTCCATTTATTCGTTGAAGTTGTTTATTGACTACATGAAAAAAAATCACACAAAAATATCAAGGAGCAGACAACAAACAATATAAAGTAATTACCACAAATACAAAAAAGCATCAGTATCTGTATTTATTTACTATGAAAAGAACTTAATGGGTAAGAAAACCACTAAAAGTGGAATGGAAACCTTTATAGTGGGTGTGAAAATATAATTTGCACATGCAAAATAATTCAAATCATTAAATAGGTATGACCAGAGCATTCTTTATGATAATCAAAACTCATGAGTCATCAGTGACTTCTCATTATTATGAAGATAGGGTTATATAAATTTTTTATATTATATGACTCCTTGTTAGTTCTTCAGCCATACCTTTCTCTGCCCCATGTCCTCATGTCTCTACCCTGCCCTCTTGCCATCAGTTCCCAGAATCCATCCTACCATGCTGTCTCTTACCTCACTACAATCCCATTCCTCACAACCCCTTTCAGAATGCACAGAGTGTAAATTAGTTACAAAGCATACCATTTAGTTCTGATGACATTCTTTGTAGCAACACTTTTTGGAGAAAGGAAACTGTACATTGATTTATATTCTGCCATACAATAATAGTTTGTCTGTAGATTATAAGTAGCACTGTGATAAGGTACATGATTGTGTGTGTGTATTAAGAAGAGTTTCATCCTTTAATTTACTCATCTTTATAGTGGGAATAATAATGTTCATCTGAGTGTTGGATTCCTCATATCTGAAAGTAGGAAGAGTAATAACTACCTTGTGGTGTTGTAGAGAACCTTCTGGTATGTATTCATGGTACACCAGGCATTGAATAACAGTTAGTTCCCTCTCTGGTCCCTTCCTTTTTCCCCCTGTAAATAAGTAGTGTCAGAATATACTTATAAATTACTATGGTCCAAAGGACATTAGGGGAAACCAGTTGGCATAACTGGACTCTATAATTACTCTCTTGTGTGTGCTTTGTGTCTTTTTTTTCAACACTGACATTTATAATTAAGGTTTAGTGTCTGCCTTCCCCAGTGGATTAAACTCTATGAAGGCTGTTACCCTGTGCAGGAGGCCTTCTCAGTCACTGCTCTATCTCCATTGTCTGATACGTGCCTGATACAGTGTAGCTTCTCAACAAATAAGCGGCAAAATTAAATAAATGACTAAGTGAATAACTCAGACATGAGAAAAATGAGGGCCAGAAAGTTTCACAAATGACGTACAAGAATGATTGAAATTATAAGGGAATAATTAAAGCTACATATCTTCCGTTCAAGCCATTACAAGCAATGTGATTAATATCAGCATCATATTGCCACTCTGTAATAAGTATCATGAGGAAACACAAAGCCAGGAAGGGAACCAATTGGTGGAGGCACAAGTCACAACGTAAGGAGGGGCCAGTTTGCTCTTCCAGAAAGGCATCATCATTCTCGTGTCATTTGAGCAGGAATCTGAAGACAGTGAGTAAGTGACCCATGATGGACATCTGGGGAAACAGTTCCAGGTGGAGGGAAGAACAAATGCACTTTGGGAATAGCAAAGGAGCTAGTATTGCTGGAGCATTTGAACTATGAGATTTTATAGAATACAGAAAATAAGGTCACAGAAATCAGTGCTATGATGGAAGAGATCAGATAGATCCTTGTAGGCAGTTGTAAGAATGGAAAACTATTGGAGAGTTTGGAGCAAAGTTTAACATGATTGGATTTATACATCTTGGTAGATTGTTCCTTCTGCCTTGTAGAGAATAGGGAGACAGGACAGAAGAACGGAAATAAGTTAGAAAATTACTACAATAACCCTAGAGAAGAATGGCCAGAACTCAGTCATATGCTATATCTACTTGCAAGGGAAGCTGGGGAATGTAATCCAGCTGTATGCTCTAAAAGATGAGTAAAGCTGTTTTGGAGAGCATCTAGCCAGTCTCCATCATGGGATTCTTTAAATCCCACTTCACATAAGTAGTTTATTGGTAGGGTTTCTTCTGGGATGTGGCACAAGAGTCAGTTCAGTTCAATCACTTTGAGTGTTATCTTAATCTGTTCAGGCTGATGTAACAAAATACCACAGACTGTTGGTTATAAACAACAGAAATTTATTTCTTACAGTTCTGGAGGCTGGGAAGTCCAAGATCAAGATGTTGTCTTCCTTATAGAGGGCATCTTCTTGTTCTGTGTCCTTACATGGTGGAAAGGCAATTGAGTTCCCTTGGGCCCCTTTTTATAAGGGCACAATTCTCATTCATGAGGGCTCTGTCCTCATGAGTTAATCCCTTCTGAAGGCCCTACCTCCTAATACTATTACTTTGGGGGCTAGGATTTCAACATAAGAATTTTAGTGAGACTTTAGCATTCAGGTCATAGCAAGCACCTGTGTTGTAATGAGACTGTGGAATTCTCTACCTCTGCCTGACCCCATTGGTATGTGACCACAGAGGAGCAGTGGTTTTCTGGTTTTCCAATGCACATGCAAACTGCCGATAAGCTCCCAAACAGGAATTTGCTTTGCATTTATAAAGTGAATGTCACCATTCAAACAGCCTCGTGGAATCAAGACAAATTTTTTTGGGAACAGGGAGGATACAAAGTAGAGAAATTACACAATGGATGACTACAAGCCTATTTCTGTGGTCTTTTTCTATACACAAAATGTCTGAGTATACTTTGATGTGTGTGTGCACAAGCAGCCATTCACCAGCCACACACACCCAGACAATCTTCCCTCCTCCTTCACAGCAATATTTCTGGCTTCTTTGCCATGTCTTATTATGTCCACGCTAACCAAAATTACCAAAACTACCTCTTTCCTTTCTTCTGATTTATTCTTCATCATCATCTCTTAAGAATCAGCCCTGAGATTACCCTCTCTAAGAAGCCGACTCAAATTTTTCCAGGTTGAATTAGAAACTCTTTCTCTGACTTTCTAAAATAATGTGTGAATATCTTTATTAATACATTTGTTAAATTCTACCCAATTCGTGTGTTTAGCACTAGAATTTAGCTCTCCGTTGTCAAAGACTGTGTGTTCATTTTTGTATCCCCAATATTTAGTGTTGTTCAGTACATGGCAGGTGTCTGTTAAATGTTGTTGAATGAGTGAATGAATGAATGGATGGATCATTCCAAGTTGAATAGGACAAAGAACATAAAACACCCTGAGGACATCATGATAATGTAGAGTAATGTTCACAGCACACATCTAAACCTTACAGATAGAGAAATCATTGATGCGCTTATTCCTCTTATTTACACTCAGGGAAGTATATTACGGCTTCCCTGAATAGGGATGTGGCAGGCCACATTTATACATCAGATTTGAGAATAACCGAGTTATACTTAATATAGAAATGACTCCAGTTAGTTATTACTTAATTTGTTATATACGTCCCTTCCTTTTTTCACAAAGGACTTGAGATTTTGACATGAAATGCATGAATTGTAGATTTACTTTTGTCATGAAAGTATAGCCATGTATATTTTTTTAAGTAGAATGAAAATTGGGGTGTCAAAAATTACCTTAATTTTCACCTTGAGATATTGGCTTCTATTGGGTGGGATATTTTTGTAGATATTAGCACAAACAGTCTTGCAAAATCAAAGCAGCGGGTATGGGGAAAAGGTGGCAGGGAGCCAAAAGAAAATACTGCAATTTGGTTGAAATTAATAGGCAGCTGTTAGGTCATCTCTAAGATAGCACTTCATTAGGCTGAAAATTTAGCATGGGTTAAAACCAAAGCTAATTCCAAACAAAACACGGTTAGTTGAATTTTCAGTATTGTTAAAATAATATAGCAAATAATGAAATGAGGAGTATGATTTTTACAGTTAGAGGAGTGGGAAAAGTTAGTATCCTGGTACTTACTAACTCTTCTCAACTAACAGTTTCCTCATCTGTATGTATGCATTTTTATACCAGGAGCGTGTAAAAATCTCTAGTGCTTAGCATGTCCCAGTACGTGGTAGGACATTTTAATCTTATCCCAGAAGTCCTTTTTGATGCTTTCCAACTATATCGACATAAAGAATTTACCTGCTGAGGTCAGCGGACAAGTTTGTGATTCTTTATTCCTAAAACAACACAAGAATTCTGTATTTAGTAATAACTTTATCATTCACACTGTTGATTATAAAATATATACAGGCATGCATTAGATAGGAAAAGTAATTCCAGTATTAAACTACTGTCTTGAATTCTGTTTTAGAAAATGAAAACAGTATAAATTTGATTGAATATAAAGTATTATTAACTAAAAGCAATGTCCAGCAAAGCTTTCTGTGACACGGGAAATGTTCTATTTTTTTACTGTCCAATACAGTAGACACTAGATGCATGTAGCTGTAGAGCATTTGACATGTGGTCAATCAGATTAAGGACTGAATTTTCAATTTTAACTAATTTAAATTGAATTAGCCACATGTAATTAGTGGCTAACATATTGCATAGAATTTTACAGTCAGTTCACTAAGCAAATAAGTAAATGGAAAATGTATCAGATGATAAATACCATGCAGAAAATAAAACCAGCAAGGGGACCATGAGTTGCCTCATAAAACTTTTTAAAATTTTTAATGTCCTCGTTTATTGAAGATCTATAGTCTGCTTACCTACGTTGCATTTTCAGTCAATATATTTTCTACTCAAAAGATATGGAAGCATTGCTTTTTTTTTAAACACAAGTGATTTTTTATGACACTTTATGAGGAACAAATTTGACTTTTTTTTCCCAGCAATGCCCTAGTATCTTTGTTTATTTCAGTTTAGTCAGTCTTTCGGCAGCTTCTCTAATATGTCTTGAATCCGAGTGGAAAAAGCAGATTGCAACTTTTGCATTTCACTTTTGAGAAGTTGATATAGAGTGTAACTCAACTAAAATGTAGAAGCATACCTTTATCCTCACAGGATTGCCAAGAACTTGATTTATTTTTGGAAGTGTGTCTGTTAAAAATCAAAGGGATATTTCATTTTGGGGACATGAAGACTCAATACTATATAAAAATAGACAAACTAAAATTCAGACTCAGTGAACTCATTGTACTTAAAATAATGCAGATAATTCTAGTATTTTCAGAGAAAGTAATCCTTCCGGGAAGCTTTGTGTGATATATAATTTTCTAAGTATTAATGTAAAAATAAATCCACTTTTGATTGGAAGCTCTTCTGAAACCCAACTGAGAGAAACTGAGACTATCCTAATGATCATAATATTGATAAACACCTTAAACTTTATTGAATTTCTATATTTCTGTACTAAGAAGCTCAAAGCACTTCTCATATTTTATCTTACTTGCCCTAACAACATTCTTGTACAGTAGGTAGGGGCAACTGTAATTAGAGATTAGATGTGTCCGTTTTCCATTGTTATGAAAACACAGTAAACTGAAATCCATTTCAGTTCCTAGTTCAGCTTGCCAACCAAGACAATTAAACAGTCGTTTTGCTTATCAAAGTACCATTTACTTGATTTTTTTTAATATCGTAATTTCCTTTCCATTTTCTCTGAGACTAATGCTGCATCTTCCAAAACTTTAGTGTTGAACCCTAGTAGCATTTTTTTGGAGGCTCCATGTTGTGAAATTTCCTTAATGGCTCTTCTCTGGCCAGCAGTTTAAGTTCATGTGAGGGCATCAGGGTATAAGAAATAAGTGTTCATTTCTTCCGAGTTGACAACACATGTTTGAAACATATGTAGGAAATATAATTATTTCTGAACATTTCTTGGCTTACCTCAATTTTTTTCTTTTTGCATGCTTAGGTCTCCCAAATTGCATTATATAGTACAATGTATAGTACTCTATAGCACAACTGCTTTTTAGACAAATAACTACTCCCACTTTATTATTTTATAAAGTTTTAACATTCATAGTTAGCACACGGTATTGACATGAAAATTTTAAAAAATCATATAGGTGGTCATCCTAGACAAGGCTTAGCTTTAAAGTGTTTCTACAGAAAATTCATCACATCACATGCCTTTTAGTTTTTATTATTTCTTTTTGATTTCACATTTATTATTTACAGTCTCTGCCAGTATTGGAAAATATAGTATTTCCTTCACTTTGTGTGGCAGAACTGCTAGCTGCTTGCCAAAACCCAGGCTCCCCTCTTCCTTCTACGCACACAGCTAGACCAAATTTCCCAGTGTCCTGTGTAGTTAAATGTGGTGTGTGAATGTTTTTACCAGTGAAATGCACATGGTGGTGAGAGTTACTAACTGCAGGTCACATGCTTCTCCATGCTGTTTTTCCCTTTGTCTGGCTAAAATGGAGATGGTGCTCAACATGACTGTGGAAGCCACATATTGAAAGCATCAGACTCCATCAGCCTAGGTTCTTGAATGGCTTTATGGAGGAAGGTCACACTGCCAGCCTATTCCCCTCCCCAATGCATAAGAAATATATGCTGTTGTTGTTGAGTCATTATACATATTGGGGTCCATTTTTTATAGCAGTTAGCTTATGAGAACTATTAGACTGCTTAAAATGAGTTTCACCACAAAACTATACATTTGTAAGAGAATCTTGTCATCTCAGGGAAATGTATTAATAAAACCCACTGCCATATATTTATTCAAAGAAATCACTTTGAACTAAAAGAGAATGAAAAAGCCAAGAAGCTAAGAGATTACTTTTTGTATTAAAATTGTCTAGAAACTTGTGAAGAAGATGTAAACTGTATAAATAAGAAACCCAGAACAACACATATATAAACCCAGTTCTAGTCTTTCACAGTACAATTATGTGTGTAACTGATAACAAAACCTGACATAATATTTGGACTTTTAAGGCAATTATTTAGAATACATAAATCAAATAGATGAAATATAAAAATGGATATCAAAATCTAAAGCAGTAAAACAGGAGCATCAAAAAATTAGATCCTGAACTTGAAGGAAATTAGAACATGCTTGTAAGCATCATGTTCAATTAGAAAACTTAGCTGCATAAAGGACGTGGCATGGGAGGATCAATCAAGAATTAGGAACATAAAAAGAACACATTATGAAAATGGAGAAGGGAAAGAAATAAAAGAAGAATACATAGTATATTGAATATAAATTTTTAAGCTCTGAGGGCTAGAAAGGGCAAAAAAGAAAATAAAGTTGAGTGAATTAATGTTGGCTAAAAGGGGTAAGTGGCATCAAAGGGGCACTTACAATGATATCAGGTGAAAAAGAAACACTAGAAAGAAAATGGGTTCATGAATAACCTGAAAAGCAGATGAAATCAATAAGGTTTAAATGGTTGAACTACTCAACTTTAAAATGTTTTAACTAAAATAATGAAAATTATAGAAAATTAAGTTATGAAGAGCCTATAAATATGGCTAATGGGAAAATTCAATAAAATAACACTGGGCCAATTAAGTATAAGTTGCTCAGGAGTTCTGATGATCTGTACAATGGGGATCAAAGGATTTTACTAACAAATTTACAAGCTGCTTATGACATGTTTAAGTCATAATGAAGAAAATAGTAAAAAATAAAAGGGAAATGTAAACATGATGTAAGCTTTAAAATATTGAGTAGTTTTATAAATCAGGAAAATTATTGTAGGTGGTTTTATTCAAATAAAAAATAACAAAAATTATTTGACACTAGTTGCTTCATTTATGGAATATATAAACATGTAAAATTTAGGCAAACTTTTGGGTGGAAGAAATAAAATATTTAATGGGCGAAAATAATTTAAAATGTTGAGCAAGACATTTAACTTTTCTATATGTATTTGATCTATAAACTATTCATAGATTTTTTTGTTGAAAACAAATATGATAGCACAGGAAATCCTTTGGAACACATCAGAAGGAAGATATTATATAGTCTTCTATACATTTACATACATATACACACAAATATTTTTCAAGGCATATGTTTTTGAATAGACATTATTTTCAAGGCTCAGACAATAAGTCTAGATCTTTGTGAATACATTACACTCTTCTCATTCTCTATCATGTACTTAGCAAATATTGTCTATTATGTACATAGTAAGCATAAATTACTCAGAAATATTGTATTAATATAGCAGCTTTAATGTGAGCATATGAGAAGCATACCAATACAGAATAAATTACTCATTAGTGTTCAAATAAATTGCCTATATGGTGGCTCCACCCCACCTACTATTCACCTTCTACACTGACCTTTCTTCCATCCTTCATATTGGTGAGAATTTGTAATATCCACAGCCTTTGCATATGCTGTTCATCTCTTATGTACTTCCATCTCTCATCATCCACCTCCACTCCCTTCCTGACCTAAGCATTTTCTACTCTTCCTTCCTATCTCAATCACAATATAATTCCTTATGGAAGCCTTCTGTAACCACCTCAACCAAGTTAATTAGCCCTGTACTTCCTAACATGTATTCTATCAAGTCACACATCACACTTTTTAAAAAGAGTAAGACATAGATGTTGATATAATTGTTAGAGTTGAAAAGGAACTGAGACTTCAGTACCTTTTTATTGCAAATGCTAAAATATTTCATTATCTTTCACAGACATATTATGTTTTGCAGACATATTATTACAATACACTCCAGTTAAAAGGACTTCATCAGTTATAATAAATGCTAAATTCACATAAGCATTTCTGCTGATACACAGACAAACCAAATGCTATTCAGATTTTTTTTGTTGATGGAAATAACTGGGTTATTATAACTTGGTTATTAAGATGCTCATAGAAAAACTTTTTTTGGCAAACAATCACACTCTGTCATTATTTTATGTATAAACAAGTTGAAAACTGTTGAATCAGGGACATGATTAAGTTGGTGGTGTTCATGTTGGATGGTGATGCAGTGGCAACAGCAGTGGTGATGATGATGATGATGGTGATTGTGATAAACATATTCTGCATGGCATTTTTTAAAAAAGTGATTAGATGGAAACTGCTTTGGTTTCATTTTTATATTTCAGCAGTTCAAGACTGTGTGCAGCTGAATAAATAATGGTGTTGAGAGACTTATTTTCCTTTTTAACTTGGAGGCTTTGCTGCAGAGTTAGAAGGATCAATAGGCTGTCCATGATCTAGAGGATACAGACTGAAAGAGAGAAAAAGTGAAACAGATGATTTATCCCATTAGCTTCTTGATCTTCCTTATATTTACTCTTCCAGTGACATCATTAGGTCAATTTGAGATTAGGAGGCAGAAGAACCTCTAAACTTTTATCCATCTCTGTATCCTGCACACTATAGAATATCCTAAGGAACTTGCATAGCCTTGAACTAGTGTTGCAAGAATGGCACATGACATATACCTCAATTAGGATGCCAGGGAGAGGTTACCGTCTTCACTTTGATGTTTCCCAGGGTTCACCCTGAATAAGGCAGTTATCTCTCTAAGCTGAACATGTAAAAGCATAATAAGACTAATAACAAAATAATTCACAGTTATAGAATCATTTGATTGATGCTGATGCTCCGCAAGAGCACTATGTTAAAATGATGTTCTTTAATTCTCAGAATAAGCCAGTGCTGTTATCGTTCTCACTTAACAATTGAGGAAACAGATTTAGCTGGCATTGACCATCGGGGCCAAACCTTCAGACTGAGAAAACTACCGTAAGCTACACTGGGCCAGTGTATCGAGAAGGACACCGGACAGGAACCACAAGCTTCCGCACCAGGGATTCCTGTTGAGTAGGAGTCCTTGCAGGAGTCTAGACACCAGTTCATTCTCTAGCCATGTAGCTCCTCAGGAGATATCTTCTCCTTTGGTGGCAGCTCAGGTACAACGAAATGAGACTCACCTTGGACACCTGTGGGAGTAGCCCTGACTCAGAAGCCTCATGACCCACAGAAACTAATATCTCTCATAATAACTCACACCGCAAATCCCCAGGGTTATGTCTTTTATGAGCCACCAAACTGAAAAGCCCTAAGTATGGCCTCCTCATCACATATTGAATAATGTGTTTATACTCCCCCACCTCCGTTGCCATCTACCAATCAGTGGTCATTTTTACCAAAAGCACTATTACCTAATAATATCATTAACATTCCAACTTTTATCAGATTACTAGGGAAACTATCTAGAGAGTTAAGCTCAAGTTAATTTCACATGCAGAAGGTAAGAACAGTTTTATTAATCTTTTGCCTAAGAGTAACTCTTCCAAAGTCACAGAGTTGATAGAGGAGATGGCATTTGACCCCAATCTGTCTGACTCTAGAGCTCCTGATTGAAATTCTTATTATCCTCTCCTACTCAATAGCCCCCAAGGTATGTTAGCCTTCTTTTAATTCCTCAGACATGTAAAGCTTATTCCTCTTTCCTTAATTATTTTGTACTCTCTCATTCTACTGTTCACATAGTTGCTTCTGACTGTTCATTCAAGGTTGGCTCAAGCGCCCTGTTCCCAAAGAGACTTTTTTTTTTTTTTTTTTTTTTTTTTTTGAGACGGAGTCTCGCTCTGTCGCCCAGGCCGGACTGCGGACTGCAGTGGCGGGATCTCGGCTCACTGCAAGCTCCGCTTCCCGGGTTCACGCCATTCTCCTGCCTCAGCCTCCCGAGTAGCCGGGACTACGGGCGCCCGCCACCGCGCCCGGCTAATTTTTTGTATTTTTAGTAGAGACGGGGTTTCACCTTGTTAGCCAGGATGGTCTCGATCTCCTGACCTCATGATCCACCCGCCTCGGCCTCCCAAAGTGCTGGGATTACAGGCGTGAGCCACCGCGCCCAGCCCCAAAGAGACTTTTTGACCACCCTCACTATTTTTGACTATACCTTCCTTCCCCACAGTTACCTAATAATTTTCTGTTTTTATCATAATGTTTTGTTTCCTTTCTAACACTTATACTCTCTGAATTGTCATGTTAGTTTAGTTTCTTCTTGTTTATTGTGTATCTCTTCCCATGGAGGTGTGAACCCTGTGAGGGTAGTGATTTGAGTTACTTGCTCACTGGTGTTTCATTAGTACGTAGAATAGTTCCTGACACATGATAGGTCTAGAGTGATTGACGGAAAAACTATGCGCTCCTTTAGAGTTTATCTCATACAACTCTTGTGAATTTCAAGGAAAGATAGGCAAACATGTTTCTACTTATTAAAAACTATAAAAATACAAATTGTAATTCTACTCAAGTAATAAACTAAATTGACTTTAGGCAAAACATTTAGGCAAAAAGCTAACAATCTTCTTTGATCTGAAAACATTTTTAGTAGCTATTGATTCTGTACAAGTCATGCTCTTTTAGAGTCTATAGTGGACTCCAAAGAAACAGAATCATGAATCTACTATGAACATAGTGAGTTGTGATTTATTTAGTTTTTTACATTATCTTTGGACCTGGTTTATAAGGTGACTAAGTCCTTGAAAAACATTTGTTTAATTTGTATACTGCTAGTGTCCAGAATGGTCTCAAAAGTTGGGTGCATGTATTTCAAGGAAAACAAATTGTTAGAACACCTATTAATCTCTCTTTTTATAATGTCCATATTTGTATGTGTGTTATAATGACTACAATGTGTTCATATAGTGGATTATGCAAATAATTTAAACACAAATATCTATATGTAGGGGGTGCAAACTCAAAATTTTGCTTATGGATGTGCAAATACATAAAAATTTTAAAGACCACTGGCATGGAAGATTCAGTTGCATTATTATTATTTTATTATTGAATCACATAATCAGATTCGTACAAATGGGATGTTCATAAGTATGTAATTCAATGTAGCATGCATTAAGTGCTTTATGAAGAATGCAGAACATCTATTGGAATATGGATGAAGAAAAGATTACTTCTGCCTGTACAAAGCCAAAGGGTTGGAATTGGCATTTGCCTTAGAAATATGGATGTGATTTACCAAACTCCAGATAGGTACCATGCTCATTTTGGAATTTGTTGTAAACAAACACATAAAAACAGGACAAAACCACTTGTATTCAAGAAATGGAAAATTGTTCAGGATGGAAGAAAATGTTTATGAGTAGGAGAGTAAAGAAGAGCACTAGGAAGCTACTTCCAAGGCATGTGTGAAGGGCTTTGAATACTAGGTTAAAGATTTTTTTCATTGATGAGTAGACCATAGAAAGCTAGAAATTCTTTCTGCACAGAGCAATGACATTTTTTAAATGATGTTTCCAGAGAAAGTATGGGAGTGTGCAGGATTGGCTGGAAAGTAGAACGCAGACAGAGGTGATAGGTGGGCAACTACTGAAATGGGCAGAGCATGACATGAGAAGAGCCTAAGCTACGGTCGCATGGTGCCCTTCTGTTGAGTTGGAATAGAAACACAAGTGTGGAGATATTAGAGAAGAAGGTTTATTTTATGGACTCTGTTTTTCCATCATAAAATTGTCACATAAAGAGAATACTGATCCAGTCCTCCATGGAGAGAACCAGTGATTCTTGGATGAGCAAATAAGTTAATGGAGTAACAGCAAAGCCCCATGAATAATGGCTTTGCCCTCACAAAAATAACCTTGTGTAGAGAAGGTCAAGTGTACGTGCATTGGTGCAGGCTATTCCGCAGCTTGTCGGCAACTCGCGTTGGGACTTCTGACAAGCAGCTGCATCCTAAGTTACATTTTGAAGAAGACAGAGAAAGAGGAGCAGATGAAGTTGTTAATGCTGAGGTCTCAGCCATTTATTTGTTGTTGTTTCTTTGCTCTACTACACTACATGCCCAACATTTAGGAAAATATACTTAGGAAAGCATAGCCAAGCGCACTGAAACACAGAAGATGCACATATCCAGATAAAATATTTCAAAATCAAGAATATACTATATGTGCTCATCATAAATCTAATTTTGTTATCCATTTTAAATTTTTTTGAATTCCAATAGGCCATATATTTTCTATATGGACAGCTGTAACATGTGCTTCTTGCTACTAAATCTGACTAAAATTTATCTTTTAAATGGTGTATTATCCAATTTTTAAAATTTTAGTTATTTTTATTAATAACTAATATTTGTACATATTTATGGGGTACATGTGATATCTCTCTGTAGTCATACAATGGGTAATGATCAAATCAGCGTATTTAAGATATCCATTACTTCAAACATTTTATTATTTGTGTTGAGAACATTTCAAATATTATTGTCTAGCTATTTTGAAATATACAATATATTATCCAAATTTTTTTCTTTTCTTTTTTTCTTTTCTTTTTTTTTTTTTTTTTTTTTTGAGATGGAGTCTCACACTCTGTTGCCCAGGCTGGAGTGCAGTGGTGCGATCTCGGCTCACTGCAAGCTCTGCCTCTCGGGTTCACACCATTCTCCTGCCTCTGCTTCCCGAATAGGTAGGACTACAGGCGCCTGTCACTACGCCGGCTAATTTTTTTGTATTTTTAGTAGAGACGGGGTTTCGCTGTGTTAGCCAGGATGGTCTCAATCTCCTGACCTTGTGATCTGCCCCCCGCGGCCTCCCAAAGTGCTGGGATTACAGGCCTGAGCCACCGCGCCCAGCCTCTCCAAATTTTTTTAAGTTTCATTATTTGCTTCATTGACTCAAATAGAGTTTTCTGTTTTCTTGGAGTTTAAGAAATGCATAAGTAAAAAAATCACAATTATGATTTTTTTAAAGAAAAGTCTCTACTTCCTAATAAATGTGGCTAATTTTTCTTGAATCATTCTACCATAAAAATATCGAGCAAGTTACTTTACTTCTTAGAGACTCAGGTCTCCAATCTGTAATATGAAAACTGTGTTAGTAACTCTTTATGAATATTGTCTAAAAACTAAATAAGATATTCATGTAAAGTGATTATCACAGTGCCTGGAAGTTGATGAACAATCAATTCTTGTTTATTTGATGAATTGGATATTTCTGAGCAAATGGTTTAAATTACTCAATGTCTTTAGGTCCTCCTTTCCTTTTAATTAAATGAATTAAGTACATTAATTTTACTAAGTGATACGATTCAATTTTCATTGAGGAAGTTGGACTTCCCTCCAAGTAGGTCATCTAATATAAAATTATAATTTTAAGAAATTTCAATTACTATTAAGATGTTTTCCTATTTCTTTACATTAAGAACAAATTTCAAACATACATCTTTATCAGTGGTATTCTAGCATATTAACAATAATGACTGTTATTGAGAATTGACTCTGAGCCAGGACAATCCATATGACTCAAATATATTATGTCTCATTTACTTTTTAAGATAACCCTCTAAAACAAGTACTGTTTTTATCCCCACTTAACTAATGAGGAACCATCCTCAGTAGAATCAGAATTTGAATCCGGATCTATCTGTCTACATAGGATCAGCATTGAATCATTAGCCATATTGCCATACTTTATAAATGTAATATAATTCAGTCATTAAGAGACATAATATGATAGTATTTTTAAGAAATAAAGATTCCTGTTAATCCTTCCACGTACAATTCCCTGTAATATATTAGATCAAATTACTCTATCTCCTGAGAAAATACGTAATCATGGATGATAACCTTGAAGAAGAAAAGAAAAGTGTATTTACAGCAGTGTCTTCGCAGATTAAAGCCCTGTCTATATTACTCCAAAATATTTAAGTCAGGCAAGAATGGTTTGTATTTTTTTTTTTTTTTTTTTTTTTTTTGCTGTACCCGAAATTGTTTTGTAAACTTAGCTCATGCTTCTTTTTGTTTAACTGATGGAGATCAACTCATTAAATACTCAGTTTCAGGAAAGCACTTGTAGTAGCCTAGCTCTGAAGTTGATGTTTAGATTTGGGTTACATCTGGATGATTATTAGAGTTGGATTTCTGTTTTCACATTTCAGTGTTTTGTTAAGTGCAGTCACCAAACACATTTGATGAAATCAGAATTACTCATGCATGCTGAGAATCACTCAAAACCAAAGAAAAGAAAGGTGCTTAAGATATTTTTGCAGGTTGGAGACATTAGAGAAATAAAATATTATGAGCAGAAAATAGGTAAATGTACTATTATAGAAATATATAGCGTATATTTTTACATATTTAAGTCATCTCTACATTGGACTTAGTTAATTTTTCATTTTTTCTTCTCTTTTCTAAGTGTAGATGATCCCACTTTAGAAATGAGAAAAAAGAGTGCTTTTGTAAAGTAGATGGAAATGAAAACAAAGCAGTAACCTCAAAATGTGATTTTCTTGCTCTCTGCAGAATCTTTGTCTTACTTTTCATGTTTAATGTTGAGGCCTAGATTATATTTTTCCCACTTTCTTTCCATAACTATGAATCTTGTCAGTAATTAGGGCTCATCTCTAACAGTGCAATATTAATATAGCATCCCTGCTGTGAACATAACAGTAGGCACACATGGATCTACCTTATTTTGAGAGTCTCTGCTGAACACAGTGAGAAGATTAGGGATTCACCAGGTCTACCCCTTTGGGCCCTGCCGTGCACCATCCTGGTGTTCTCAATGGGGTCACTGTAGGAATAGGTCTAGCTAAGGTCGTATCCTGGGCAGTGAGGCGGAGAAATTGCCTACCAAATCGAGTAAGTCTTTTAAGAATCCTTCACTTACCCTTATATGATCGTGGACATCCTTCCCCCTTAATCCCTTTCCTCTGTCACCTGCGTAATAAAGTGTGACTCTCATTCAACATGGGTATGTAGCATAAAATTTAAGAATTTTCATTTCTATTAACTTTGAAACTGAGGATTATGACCAGAAGAGAGCTTTATTTCTGAGCACTCATGTATAGGCTCACTTCCTTCCACTTTATTTGCTACCAAAGTTATTAAAAATTAGAGAGCTAATTATTTACGAGATAATATTTTTTCACCGAGGATATGCGTAAAGAAACAATAGCATTCGCATAGCTGCCTCCCTTTTTTAAGAGTCCCTTTTATTATCAGAAAACACAAATATGAAATATTTTTATTCTACTCTAACTTGGGAAAACTTGGAAAGACAACTTTAAATTATATTTCTTTAAATTTTGTTTTGCTGTACTGATAAACTATAAATAATAGCATTATTTCTGGCAGTTTCTGCATGTAATTTTGAAGCAGGCTTGCATACTGTTAGTTTTTTTACAAGTTTGTTATTCTACTTAGTGATCTAGCTCACCTGAATCTGTTTGAAACTGATAATCTCTAAATATAAATCAGATAAATAAATTGGGGTATCGGTGACCCCTGATGAACTTGATATGTATTTGATTATGAAAGTCTTATAATTCAAAATTAGAATAAAAGAATTAAGCCAAATATATATTCAGATTTTCAACTTTTAAATCTTAAATTCTCTACCCAATTTTCTGTGAACACATGATTATCTGCTAATCTGACAAATGCGGAAAATCCGAGTCTATGAGATAGAACCAACTTCATATAATTTAAAAGATGCAGTCTTACTGTGATACTTTATAGTTCCACTTCTGTCTTACCTACCTCCCAAATTTGAAATACACAGTCCATAATGAAGGTTAGAATGAGCGCTTAATCTTAATTATGCATTTTGCAGTATTATAAATGCTGAAAGATTACTTCCAATGTTTGGTACAATCTTAGACGGTGCAGATGTAGTTGCCTTTGGTATATGCCATCTTTACTGAACTAACAATTTCCATAATGCTGTCACATTCTGCATGGGAAGCAGATTTACAGATAGGTAATCCATGTAAGGTATTTTAAAGACAGCTTATTAAAGGATTGAGGACTGCTGTTAAATTACATATGCTTTCAATTGCTATGAGGAGCAAACAGCATCAAGAAGTGTAGTAATTTAGCCAGGCCAGAGAAAGGCCTATTTAAAGTTTGATGATATATCCTTTAAACTTTTACTTCAAGCCCTCTTTAGCTTTATATTTACTCTGGTATAACTGTATTTCCTGCTGTATAATGAAATTTTCACGGAATCCTAAAGTATGCACATGAAAAAATTAGATATATTTTTCTTAAAATTTACATCCTTAGTTTACAATTTTAAAAATTGTCTTTTTCCATGATAGTGGCATTACTTCAAAGGAGGCCAGACTGTATTTTTAACATAGCTAAATATGAATGGCTAAAGTAATTTCAGACTCCCTGCTGGTGTTAACTGTTATTCTTCTGCCATATCCCTTATATTCTGAGAGCCATAGAAAAAAAACTGAGTTGAAGAAGGTCTTATCATAGTCTCTGATAGTTGTGAGTTTGTGTTTTATCTTCAAACAAGGAGAAGAAGGGTTAGCTGGTCCTTAAATTCATTTTCAGATCTCTGAATCACATATTTTGATATATTGTAATATGTTCCTAAAATATATGTATTTTCCCTTGTATTTCTCTCATGTCTTTCACAATGCCTAATTTTGCTCTATGCAAATGGTGTGTACTCAGTAGAAATTGTTGATGTGGCTTGAATTGAAATCAGTGCTAATTACCTTTGAATACTAGTTCTACCTTTCCCTTAATCATGAGCCAGGATATACTTTCCAACTTTCACTAGGTAATCTGTTCTCAATTTCTACATTTCTTGGATTCCAGACCAGGGCTTGCAAAGCGGAAGAGACACTAGGGAAGGTGGCAGAGGTGGAGAGAGAAGGGGTATCATCCATGGTGAACACACTGGGCAAGTCACTGGGGACTGCAAAATGCATATCAACATATTCAAAGCTCCAAGATAACTTATAGCAAAGAAACCACTTTTCACTTTCTTAAATTCATGTATCATTTGTTATTTAAAAAATAATAAAAATGTTCTCGTTACTTCTTAGCAAAGTCAGTGCTTTAATCAATACAAAAAGGAATATATTAATTTGAATTTTTTGATGCCTAGTTTAACTGTTAATTTGGGACATTTTTATTTTAGTAGAAATAGTCCCAAGTTGGAAAAACTTGATTTAGCATTTTATAGCTTTTAGACGAACAAAGTTCATGGATTATACAGAAATTAAAACAAAAAGACTTTTGAAGAACAGAGATATAAAAATATACATTAGACAGTTCCCTGACAATAAACATTGGTTATATAGTTAAAATAATAAAAATTATATGGCTTTATGATTGCAACAAGGTTACACAGCTTCAATTTCAATGTTGTTTAGATTACCTGCATACTGATATTTTGACTTATAATATCTTTTCATCTAGAACATTTCCATTTCCAATTCCCATACAATCAAAATCAGTGTCATTTTCTTCTCTCCTTGCTATATTCTTTTGAGGGCCTGGAAAAGGTTGGCAAGATGCTATTTTAATACATTGACCTAAGCCAACGAATTTTAGAATTATGCAAGTAAAAATGAGCACATAAGTTATTTAAAAAAGATCTGCAGTTTAATTTACCTAATGTCAGACTTAAGCAATATTAAATCTATTTGAACTTAATTGCAAATTTGGGTCTCTCTATAAGGTGTAATTATCTGAACATCTTGCCATTAAAATTAAATGTGAGTGAATTTTGACATATTCATTTTCCTTTGTAATAAATGGAGGGTAATATTTTTATTTTGAAATATTTATAGTGTAAATTACTAAAATGGTATTTCTCTCCTATTCTAATAAATCTGTTTTTACATAAGTTCTAGAGGTTAATGGCTAGATTTTAAATTGCTTTCCATTTTGATAATAAGTGGATTTCCAAGAGAGATGATGTTATTAAAGAGACTTTGGTCACTCTGATTCTCTCTTTATATGAGAATAATTCATATTTGTACAAACTTAAAGGTATAAGATGAAGCCACACTGGTATTTTTCTAAACATATAGTTTGGAGTATTGTTTTGAAAGGAATTTCTTTTTCTTAATGATATAGTTCTTTTGTTAAGCCTCTATTCTAAAATGTTTTTCTTTTTATAAAGATTGGGTATTTTTCCTGATATTCATATAACACCTCTCAAAAGTGAATAATGGCAATGATTCCACTGAAAATTAACTTTGAATTAATGCGCTGTAACTGTGATCAAATATTGATCAGTTTTCTTTATTTTGTGCATGGTTGCAAAGTGAGAAATATAATGCAAACTCTCAAATAATTAATTTGATTACATTGAAAAAAATTAATCTAAACTAGCTACACAAAGTCATAAAATAAAAATGTTGAACACTCAACATTCAACGAATATTATTTATTGTTGTCTTAGACTAATTTCATTATTGTTTATGATAAATATTTTTAAAGAGCAATATTTTAGGTATTTTTGAAAGGTCTACTAAACTCAGAATTATTATTGAAAAATGAAATGTAAATACTTAGATCTTTGATAACAAAGTAATTAAAATGTATGATTTTGCCTACTGTGTATAATAAGGGCTTATATTTGATCAACCATAAAAGTTATTTAATCATTTTAACCTTGGAATACTACCCCACAAAACACTACTTAATGGAAGTTAGCTGAGACGCATTAGGGTATCAAAACATCAAGTCGGCAAAGCAAGAGGGCCTAGAAAATTCAAGCCCAGCTTATTCTGCCATAATGCTACAGCAGGTTGCGTGGCAACCAGTGGCTATGGATTTTGAAGTTATTTTATCCGTATTCAGTGAGGAACGACTTAGCCTGAATTGATTTTAGTAATTTTCAGAATTAATCAGGTTTTCAAGAATTATTACATTAGCAGACATTTTCTAGGTTTCCACATTTAGAAATACGTATGTACAAGTCTAGTTTCCAAAATAGCACTAGTTACTGGTTGCCTGGTTATTTGATTAATAATACATATTAGATACCTGCTGATAAATTTGTTACATCTTGTGACTTGTATTAAAGCTGGTTATTGTCCAGAATTTTAAAGCTGCTTATTTTATGTGATTTTCCACTGTTGACCTTATCCCTAGGAGTTTTTTGTTTGTTTGTTTGTTTGTTTGTTTGATTGTTTGTTTGTTTTTTGAGACTGAGTCTCCCACTGTCATCCAGGCTGGAGTGCAGTGCAGTAGCATGATCTCCACTCACTGCAGCCTCCACCTTACGGGTTCATGTGATTCTCCTGCCTCAGGCTCCTGAGTAGCTGGGATTACAGCCGCGCACCACCACGCCTGGCTAATTTTTGTATTTTTACTAGAGACTGGGTTTCACCATGTTGGCCAGGCTGATCTCAAACTCCTGACCTCATGATCCAGCCACCGCCTCCCAAAGCGCTGGGATTACAGGCGTGAGCCACTGCGCCCAGCCATCCCTATCAGTTCTAATATGACACCACATTTTTAAATTTTTTAAATTACATTTTGTTTTTGCCATAACCTGCCATTGTCTTGCATTGTTGAGTACTTCCTTGATTTTATGATAAATAGTGTGTTTTGTTGGTATTTTTGTTGGGATAATTAAATACACATTAAACTTAATATATCAATAACATTTTGGATTGTGTAGAGAAATAAAGTGTTTTTCATTCTCACATTTTGTTTTTCCTTGTTTTATCTTGGAATGGGAATAGAGAAACAGCAGAGTTGGCTATAGTTAATATTTGAAATATATTTTTAGACATCTGACAAGCAAAACCTATATTCTGTTAGGATTTTCTACTTGGAAAAAGACAGAAATTTCTGAAATGCTATTATAAAGTCAGTTCTGTTGATATTTCTTTGACTCAGTGATTATGTGGAGCTTTTCAAGACATTTGATCTTATGTGGAATTTCCTACCCTTTAGTTTATATTCTGTCTCTATCTGCTATTAGTGGTGAATTAGAGTTATTCTAAAAGCATATGTAATATACAACCTATTTTTGAATAACTTAGATGGAAAGTAAACTTACTATTCTGTATAAAGCAATCTTGTATAATCAAGCAAAAATGAAAATGTGTCTTTAAATCACAAAGGCTAAAACACTTTCTAATAAATCTGCTAAACAAAAGGTTGTAATATGTGCCATGCCATCTTCAGACGTACCATTAATACCACATCTAAACAGCAGGAAAGTAGTGGTAGAAATATGCATAATTTAACGTTACAAAATACATGCCTGGAAGTTCATTCCTTAGGGATTTGTGAATATTACCTGAAAATATAGTCTTCATGGTGATGATTGTAAAGTTTCTACTATAAAGAACTGTGTGTTAACCTGAAACTACAGTCATTTTTCAAAAATGAGTATATATATTTTTTAAGCCAGGGGAATTTTCGTTTAAGCATAAACAAATCACCAGTCAAACATAGCAGCAGGTTTGATGTGCTTGCACTATAGCAGTCTTTCTTTCTACATCTTTTCTAGACTCTAGTTGATTTAACTCTTGATCACTCATTTTATAATCAGCAGTGTTGGATTAAATGTAACATAATTAAAACATCTTGGATTGTGTGACATTTCACAAATAAATTCCAAACAAAATTGGTTATCAAATCACAGCTGTAGTATGAATAAATCCATCTTACAATGTGGTTCATTATTTGACAGGAAGTGTCTGCTCAGCTTCTTAAAGGGCTGCTTCTTTGTGTTTGTTTTGTCTTTGCTTTGTTTTCTTTGTTTTGTTTTGTTTTTCAAGAACAAGCAGGTTTCCAACTATCAGCATCCTCTATGCATTAATTTTAAGAAACGGGTTTCAACAAACAATAGCTAAGGCATTAGCCACAGAATGTAACAGCAGCCTGTGTTAGGTCTTCCCATGAGAATAGTCATCACCTTTATTACAGGGAGATTTATCTTGGGCATCAAATGTAGGTGAAAAGTACTTTGAAAATCACAAATTGCTGTGTTGCATCAAGAAATGGGGTGATAGTAACAGTGTTAATGGCTGTGTCATTTGGTAGCTTTTCCACTTCTACCTTTTCTTCCAAAGCAGGCTTCAGTGCAAAATGTTTGGTTGCAGATTTTTCCTCTCAGATTTTAAGAACAGAGCTTTTCCCAGGAAAATGTTCTTTAACGGCAAACCAAAATTATCTCCTTATTTTACATTAGAAGTCAAGTGTTTCAGTGTGGTAAATAAAGAAATTGGTTGTTCATCCTCAACCCCAAAAGGGGACACGTGTATAAGGGAGTTGGGATTCTACCTCAGTGCCCCACCTATTTGCCTGACCCTAGAAAAATCGGATCATGGATTTGAAAATGGGTATGTATTTTGGCATTGTGCCTTGCTCTCAGTTTTGACAACCAGATCAGCAGCAGGAGAAAGTGAAGGCACTGCCTTGCTTTTTGTTTCTCTCTGACATTGTGGAGCCAAGAGTCACAAATGTTGGGATGGAAGGTTAGGACAGGCAGGACTCACAGAAAACTTCGCATAGTGTAATCTAATATTATCTAAAATAATTATGCCAGTTCTGTAGCACTTCTCCTGTGAGAAAGTGAAAAGAAACAATAACCAAGTGAATGGTGAGGAATGAGTTTTGCTTGGACTCCTTTCCTGCCCCCCGCCCCGCGCCCAACATTCTTATATTCTGTAGAGAAGGTTCTAGACCAAGGATTAGCATGATGGTAAGAACCAATGAGAATGACTCACATTAAGAAAAATGTGTCCATTTCAGATCAGAAGAAACAGCTTTATTAATAGTATTATTTATTAATAATAGATAATACCATAACATATATGGAGCACCCACTGTCTACTTGGCACTGCACTTAGTGCTATCCACACAAAGATTTAAGCTTTAGGGCCATTTCTTTATATACTGAGGTAAATAGAAAAACACAAATTACAGAGAGATCTACTGGGGAGAAAATCCGTATTAAGGAAACAAAGGGGATAGTGGGACTCACCACTTGGAAGGATTTGGCAGTAATTCAGTAAAGGAAATTTGCTAGACGGAGAACGAAGGGAAGGGCAATCGAGGTACACAAAGTAGAAAGTTTTTTGTTGTTGTTTTGTTTTTTTTAATAAGGTCTTGGCTTGTTTAGGAAATGGGCAGAATCTCAGTGTTATGCAGCATGAGAACAGATTGTGTGACATGGATGCTAGAGAAGTAAACTGTGCTCAGGTGAGGCTGGGCCTTCATTACATATGGCAACCTGAAAAGCTGTAGATGTTTCTCTTGGTTTTCCTAAACTAGTTTGCATTCATATATAGATCAATAAGTTCTAATATTTCAAGCATTTCATTATAAAAATCATTTCTTTGCATAGGAACACTATCTTCATTGTTCAGGGCAATATGGCTCAGGTCATATTTAAAGAATCAACTGTTTTAATATATGTCTTTCCACGATTATCCTGTATCACTATCCACCCGCCCTTCATTTTTATAATTGTTGATATGAAGAGGAATGCTGTTACCTTTTCTTCATGTTTGACTGTTGACAGTTTCTAGGCTTCACCTCTCCTCTTCCACTTATGCCCCACATCTGGGCAAGCAGGTAATAAATCCTGAGTTCTCTCTCCTTTAGCACCAGTAGTGAATTCAAACCACATAAGCCCCTTGCCCACACAAGAGGACCTTCACCCTGACCACAGGGAAAACACCAAGCTATCTCTCTCTCTCTCTCTCTCAACATTTGGAATCAGAGGACTAAGTTCTGAACCTGCTAAAGACCTAACATTGCTAAATTGGTTTTACGTGGATTTTGCATTACTGAAAATTTGGCAGAAATAAAACTACATATTTCCTCCCCCTTTACATATATTGGACTACTTTAAATCAACAAAAATTAGAAAACTATCTGTTCTAAATCCTGAATCTGGCAGAAAATTGGATGCAGCTTAAAGACTGACGCTGTCTGAAATGTCATGGCCTCTTCCGTGGCTAGAGTTCTAGTCTGATTGATTTGGTATCTTACATTTGAAGTACATGGTTCTCTCTGTGCTTGAAAGATGCAGAATTAAGCTATATCATGTTAATTCGGTAACTACTTTCGCTCTTCCAACCCCCACCCCTGCCAAGGTGAATGAATCCCAGTTTCCTTAGGAAGGAATATTATCAAAATATGTGGGCGATTCAAGCTAGCCAAGTTTAGCTTGATAGAAAGAAAATAAGTAGCGGGTGTGTTGCATTTAATTATGGAAGGCTGCAAGATTCCAATGACATATTTACCTCATTTACCTAGATGATATTCTAATATTTATTAGGCCATTTGAGAAACATCTGCAACACTTAGATAAGATGTGCTGCCTCATAAGGGAAAGTGGACTACAGTTCAACTCCACAAAAGCACTGTATCCCCTGTATGAATCCCAGTTCATTTTCTGATGAGGTTTCCTTCTTGACCATTTAGTTCACTGGTTAGCACAGAATACCAGAGAGGCTCAAGTTGCAAGTTAAATTCTCCTCTAGTCAGTTAGTCTCGTCTTAGGGATCTGTGGCTGCAGCCCTTTACCTTAGGCAACCTGGTCAAATGGAGGACAAGATGACAGGATCAAATGATCATGGATGAGAGAGCATTTGTAAAATCTAAGCCAGTATATAATTAAGGGATTATGTTTTAATCATGATGTTAATACTGGAAAGCTAGTCAAAGCATGTTATCATATTAAATTAGTATAATTGCCTCTTTATGTGTTTTCTGAATTGATATATATATATATATGTATTCTGATTCTAAAATCAGTATGTTATGTGAAGATATTTAATTTAATGTAGTGTATATTTAGGGAATAAAAATTTTTAATAAAAGAATGAAAGCATTGTGTGTATGCAATATACAAATAAGATTAAGTTTAAGACTGTTTTATACTTCAAAAGAAACTAAAAACTACAATAAATACCAATATATAACGTGTCATTCATATTTTCATTACAGGACCTTATTTCTGTTGGGGTTTGACCAGAAACAATAAATCCATCATTTTTTCTTATCCCAAATTCTCATTCTACCTATCAGGGAAGGGTCTATGTAAAGATGACCAAATAATTTACTGTACAAATTGGGACAAATAAGTAGTACTTCTCATTCCTTCCTATTTGAAAGGTAGATATGACATATGGCAAATGAAGATAAAAATATCAGCTTTAATGGATCAAAGTGATTAAAGATAATAGTGAACATGTGTGACCAAGTGAGCTACCTCAAAATGCATCAAAGACTTTGCTAGGTTTACTCCCAGAGCCACACAGACTGCAGTGGACGACTCCCTGTTACCCTGGGTGAAAATGGACCCAAAGGAAGGTCTATTCTTGGGGCATAAGCTGGCTCCCAAGTGAAGGAATAGAAGAAGCGTCAAAACTCAGTTCTTTCTCCAAAATGCACTTGCTAGAAAAGTCAGCCCTTTTCTACTGAGGCGAAATGAATGATGGGGCAGAGAGACTGCAGGACTGTTTGACTAATAGATATCCTTCCTTCAGAAATGTGGAATAAGTTACCCCAAATCTAGTATTGAATTACTTCACATGCAATTTCACTTTCACATGCACCATACGATTTATATATTCCTTAATACACTACCTAATTTAATTCTCACAGCATTCCCAGGCATGTGAGTGTATATATATTTATCCCCATTTTATTGATGAAGGAGCTAAGTCTTAGGGACATTAAATAAGCTGAGTAGAACCACCCAGATAGTAAGAGAAAGAGCCAAAACCAAGTTGCTTAAGTCCAGTGATCAACTGCTATATTGCTTTTAAAAGTTATGAAATAATTCAAATATAAACATACATAGGATTTGTGAAAATTCTAAGTCCCTGAACAAGGGTGACTTTGGCAACGTCAAGATTATTAATAGTGCCTAAAATACAAAAATCAGAATCAATGCACAAAAGCGTATGACAGTATGCAAAAATGAAGACTATTGTGTAAAATCACATTGGAAATGAAATTCATTTTAGTCAACTTGATTAAAATGCTCAAAGGATTACTCTAAAACAATATAAACATTCCTCATTTTATTTTTTTGTGTGGAACTGTGATATGGTATGTGTTCTAGAGATTTTGTTTTTATATTTTTTTGTTCCTGGTAATGAGGATAGCAAAAGTAAATAACTGATGATTCCTCTTGTTTCTTGTTTTTGGGTTTTTTTTGGAAATAGAGTCTCACTGTCACTCAGGCTGGAGTACAGTGGCATGATCTCAGCTCACTGCAACCTCCGCCTCCCAGGTTCAAGCGATTCTCTTGCCTCAGCCTCCCAAGTAGCTGGGACTACAGGTGTGCACCACCATGTCTGGCTAATTTTTGTATTTTTAGTAGAAACGGGGTTTCACCATGTTGGCCAGGCTGATCTTGAACTCCTGACCTCAAATGATCCACCCGCCTCGGCCTCCCAAAGTGCTGGGATTACAGGCGTGAACCACCACGCCCTGCCCCTCTTGGTTTTAATCACTCATTTAATAATGGTTTCTTATGAAAAATACTTACTGGTAGTGTAGATTAAAAAGTATTTAGGCTGGGTGTGGTGGCTCATGGCTGTAATCCCAGGACTTTGGAAGGCCAAGGTGGGAGGATTGCTTGAGCTTGGGAGTTTGAGAACAGCCTGGGCAACATAAGGAGACCTCATCTCTATTAAACATTTTTTGAAAATAGCCAGTTGCTGTGGTGCACACCTGTTGTCCAACCTACTTGGGAGGCTGAAGCAGAAGGATCACTTGAGCCAGGAGATCAAAAGTGCAGTAAGCTATGATCATGCCACTGCTCTTCAGCCTGGGCAACAGAGCAAGACTTTGTCTCAAAAAAAAAAAAAAGAAAAAGAAAAAAAAAGCATCATTATTTTTTCTTACCCCAAATTCTCCTTCTACTTTATCAGGTGAGGCTCTATGTAAAGGTGACCAAATAATGTACCATACTAAATGGGACAATTAGAAAGCAAAAGAAGGTGTGCAATTAGTGTGGGATGACAAGCATAAACTGTCACATACTAGGAAACATATCTAATTATAAATATGCATCTGATGTACCTCATTTAACATGGCATTTGGGGAATACACAACTTTCACCTACAAGCTCTGTCCCTACCTTGTAGGGTCTTTGTCTGTTGGTCAGGGTAGGTAAGACCAATCCAATTCAGTGTATGGCCTTGTACTGTTGCTATCTGTTGAATTGTTCGTTACTGGTTTATAACAAGATAAGGAATCTGTATCAAAATGTAAATGTATTAATACTGTGTCAGGAAGCACATTGTTTAGTCAGGTGACATTGTTTTGTAGCAACACTTTTTCAATGAAGGAAACAAAGAATTAAATTATATTATGACTGATAGTCTGGCAGTAATTCTTTATTCCCCACAAACTGACTGTTTCACATAAACATCCAACATATATGACCAAAAATAGGGAGAGTAGAGGCACCTTACCTCATGGACATTCAGGTTATAACTCTCCTTTCATCTTGGAATGCTGCTTTTTGAAAGAATAATCCCTTGAAGAAAGCTTTAGGGGTTAGCCTGAGGAAAATAATTTTTAACTCTTTAGTCCACAGCTCATTGACTAGAACTCGTCATATGGTTCCACCCTAACTGCGAGAGAGGCTGGGAAATGTAGTCTTTTGGGTTGTCAGCTAGTCCCAACAAGATTAGGAGGGATCTGACAGTTTTGACTTTCTCTAATTAGCCACAAGTATGATCCACTAGAACTAAAAAATTGACTAGCTCTGGGATTATTTGGGCTTTTAAGAGTAAAACCTGTGTCATCGACCTCCATATTCTTATAATAATTGGAGAATCATCATATTACATCACATTAATTATGAAATATGAAAAATTAAATATTAACTGGTCTAGTAATTTTAGGATTTTGTATAATAAAGATATCTAATTGTGTATGTTGTTTTACCACTTAAAAACAGCTTCACTGTTCTTTATTTCCTTTAATGTCATTATGATTCTGTGAGATAGGAGTTTTCTTGGGGTTTCGTTGCCATTGTTTGTTTGTTTGTTTGTTTGTTTTGTCTCCCTCCACTGCCCAGGCTGGAGTGCAGTGGTGTGATCACGGCTCACTGCACCCTCAAGCTCCTGGACTCAGGTGATCCTCCCACCTCAGCCTCCCGAGTAGTTGGGACTACAGGTGTGCACCATCCTGCCCACCTAATTTATTTTATTTTATTTTTGTATTTTTGGTTGAGATGAGGTTTCGCCATGTTGCCCAGGCTGGTTTTTAACTCCTGGGCTCAAGCGGTCCACCCGCCTCGGCCTTCCATAGTGCTGGGATTATTGGCATGAGTCACCGTGCCTGGCCTATTATTAGTAGATAAGAGTTTTTATATCCATTTTACAGATATAGAAACATTGAGTAGGAAGAATACAAAATGGCAAAAACCCATTATTTTGGCAAATAATAAAGTACTTCCTGTGTTATAAACATATGCCATGGGTTGAATCAAAGGTGATAAAGTAAAATCATCCAAGGTTTCTTATTTACATTTTCGAACTCTTTTCATAGAGCACAACTTCTACATTGCAGTAGGAACATATTTAAATTAGAATTGTTCATTACTTCAACAAAATTTGGAGCTCAAAGCATAAACATGGTGCTGACCAAATAACTATTCTATTTTTTGGTAGTAGAGAAAGGGGAGAACCTGAACAAGATGGGCTCTCTGATGTGCCTTTTGATAGTGTGTATTATAAAAGGTCAGAAAGGGAGAAAAGGGATTCCTGGAGTATTATTCCTAAGGAGACATGACTCACAATTTTTTGCCTTTGATTTAAAGTAAATCATTGAATGCAACATTTTCACTCATCAATCTGGTTTTTACTATGGAAATCTTCAAATATAAACTCATAAAATTTAAAAACATGGCTATTTTTGTCCAGTTTTATTATAGTCTATATTACTGGCCTTAGGCATATCTTAATGGAGTTGGTCAAAAGATTAGACAGGTGTTCTTGATGTTTTCTTTTTTCTTCTAAAAGTCATCTCACTGGGTTAATAGCATGGAACTAACAGAGCTAAGATTAAGAGGTTCGTTCACCAGAGATATCTTAGCTCCCAGGCTTCCAGATTACACAGCTCAGCTCAACCAGATTTTTAAAAAAATGTATGCCACTACTTACAGTACTTAAAAGTTTGGGGCAAATAAATTGTAGTCCAGGATCAACCAGAAATTAAAATTAACTGAGAGTGAATACTTAACTGAGAGTAGGTCAGTGATATTATCTTTGTACACGAAGAACAGCAGAGTATTCTGAATTTAATAGAATTAAGTAAATAATCATTATTTATTTAAAGAAAAAAATTTTAGGAACTTTTTGTAGTCTGATACCTGAAAAAGATACGAAAGTTTAAGCTGTATGAAACTTTCAGGGTGAAATGTGAAACTCTCTTCTAAGGTTTTGGATTTCGCTATGAAACTCAAAACTCAGACCCATTTCAGAGGGGTTTGCAAACCTTGGCTACATCTAAGCATTGCACAAGGTTTAAATGTATGCTAGCCTTTCAATCTGTTCCAGAAACTGGGGACATTATTTTTTTTAAGTCTGCTTAATTCTTGGTAAGTCACATACTTTTTAAAGTCAGCTTTAACAGAATTACATAGTTTCATCATAAGACTCATAAGGTTCTTTAGCCATTATTTAGTCTGATCCTTTTTTTTTTTTCATGAAGAAGCATTCTTAGTTCAACTGAGATAAAAAAAACTTTACGTTTGTGAAGTAATTGGCATAAATAAAGTTATGCTGCAGTTATAAACAACTTCAAAATCTCAGTGGTCTGTAAAACCAAGTACTGCTTTTCATTTATGCAACATGTCTAATGTGGTCACCAGGGAGGTTCTGTCGTTTGTATTCACTCAGATATTGAAGATAGTAGACCTCAACATGGGTTTCTTTGACCACTGAATTAGAAGGAGGGGGATATATGGTAAATTGCCCATTGGCTCTTAATAAGCATATCACTTCTGCCTAGATTTCATTGGCCTAAGCAAGTTATATGAACATTCCTAATTTGTAAGCAGATGGTGAAAGGAAATTCTTTTATGTGCATACGACATGAGAATTGCATTTATGAGCTCCCTATAGTCTATCTTCAAATTGAGAGATATGCAATGAGAAAGAAATTATCTTGGTAATCAATTTTACCCTAGAAAATATAAATTTATTTTAAATATTGGAACTCTGTCATAACCTCAATCTTAACATTTCTAAAAATGCACAAAATTGTGTGTGTGTGTGTGTGTGTGTGTGTGTGTGTGTGTGTATGTGTGTGTGGGGGGGTGTATGTGTGTGCAGTGGTTATTAGAGCTGACTTCCAAGCCAAAGCTTAGATTGTCCATATACTAGAGGGATGACTTTCAGAATTTTCTTAATTTCTCTGTGTCTCAGTTTCCTCATCATTGAAGTGGTTCTAATAATAGTAACTTATTCGTAAGGTCATTATGAACATTCACTTGGAATCCCTTCAAGGGAGTGAGTTATTGTGATGTTGTTTTATCTTTACATTGTGATGTTGCTTCATTCTCTCTTTTTGTTCATCCTCTCAACCAGCCAACTTAATATCTTGATGTAATTTTTGATTCTCCCCTCTTCCTTACACATACTTGGTCATTAAGGTTTTTTAAAAGTATTCCTTTAAGGTAGGTGTCAGCAAACTATGTCTCTGTGGGCTAACGATAGTTTTAAAAAATATTTTTAAAGGAGTTTAAAAATAAAATGCCAACAACAAGAATATTTGGGACACAAAGTCTAAAATATTCAGTATATGCATCCTTACCCAAATAGTTTGCCAAACTCTGCTCCAAAGTATCCGTTAGAGCTGTTGCCTTTTCACAACTAACAGCTATTGCTATCTTATATTCCTCTTACTTCCCAGCCAGTTTTCTGGCTCCAGTTCATTTCCCAATGCATAGTTTGCCCAACTATCTGTATTATTACACCTCAGATTTCTGCCTTAAATACTTCTGGATATATAAGCTCTCCACTTAAAAGAATAGATCTTTAGTTGTCTCCCTGACTCTTAAGAGAATAATTGCTTCCTTAGTAGGTTTTGTCACCTGGCTCAAATCCTCTCTTCTAGACATACTCTTTGTAATTCCTATATATGAACTTGTTACTAATTTATATATGTGTTTATTAATTTATCCAGAAAATATTCAGAGTGCATACTATATATACCACTGTACAAGGAGAAATAAGTTCGAGTCTCAGCCTTCATGATTTTTACCCCCAGAAGTGTGTCTTTCATTCTTCCTTGTTTCTGAATATCTCCTCCATAAGAAAGTCCTTTCTTCCAATGAAAATAGTACATATGCTCCGAAGACCAGATGGAGTTTTAGGTCTTTTCATAAAGCTTCTCCTAACCACCTAAGGCCTCATCAGTCTTCCTCCCCTGAACTTCTTTGCTACTCAAAGTCTCTGCCAATAAAAATCAAAACTTTTATTATGAGGCTTCTTTCTATGGTTTTATATATATCTATTGTGGTCTTTTTGTGTATTTATGCCTCTTAACCCACCTGAAACTTGATTTAAATTCCTAGAGGACATATCTTATACTGCATTTTGTTCCAGAGTTAATTCAGCAACAATAAATATTTGCTGAATTCTTTTTCTGGTAACTGGGTTAATTTAGTTAGTACAGAGGCTGTTAGTGCAGGATTGTTAACTGGGGGAAAAAGGCTGGTGAGGAACCAGTGGAGAGTTATAAGATGTTGTTGAAACAAAAAAAGATAAGGAACAAGTGATGGAGAAAGAGAGGAGAAGAAAGAACATTATGCTACTAGAGGAATGTATTCATTGATTCTACAAATATTTAGTAGTGACATGCAGCATAAGCATTGTCACAAGAAATGAGACATAGTGGTGAACAAAAGAAATAGACTAGGCCATCATATAATTTAGATTTTGAAAGACAGACCATAAACAAATAAACAAGTAATTAGACTCTATCTTGTAGATTGGAGGCAACCTTCATCAAATTAACGTTGTGAGGTAGACAGTATTACCTCAATATTAACTGTGAGGAAACTGATGCGGAGGTATGTCGGAATCAAATCTTACCAGCTTGTAAGAGCCAGTCATTAAATTTGGGGCGACTACAAGCCATTTTTTTTGTGTTGTTTAATTGTAGTTTTAGGTTCAGATTCAAGGAGTGCAGTGGTAGGTTTATTTTAAGGTTATATTGCGTGATGCTGAGGTTTGGGCTTCTACTGATCCCATCACCCAGATAGTGAACATAGTACCCAATAGGAAGTTTTATAGACCTTTCCCTGCACTCTCCTTTTGGAGTCCCCAGTGTCTTTGGTTCCCATCTTCATGTCCAAGTGTATTCAGGGTTTAGCTTCAAATTGTAAGTAAGAACATGCAATATTTCGTTTTCTATTTTTGTGTTAATTCACTTAGGATTATGGCCTCCAGCTGCATCCATGTTGCTGCAAAGGACATGATATCATTCTTTTTTTATGGCTGCATAGTGTTCTGTGGCGTATATTCACCACAGATAGGCTCTTCAGTTGATTCTGTCCTAGTGGAATAGTGAATAGTGTGGCAATAAACGTATGAGTGCAGGTGTTTCTTGGTAGTACAATTTTATTTTCCTTTGGGTATATATCCAGTAATAGGATTGCTGGGTTCAGTGGTAATTCTATTTTTAGTTCTTGGAGAAATCTCCAAACTGCTTTCTATAGTGACTGAATTAATTTACATTCCAGTAACAGCATATAAACATTCCTTTTTTCTTCATAGTCTCCCCGGCATGTTATTTTTTGACTTTTTAATGATAGCCATTCTGACTGGTGTGAGATGCCATCTCATTGTGATTTTGATTTGCATTTCTTTGATGATTAGTGATTTTTTCATATGTTTGTTGGCTGTTTGTATTTCTTCTTTTGAAGAGTATTTGTTCATGTCCTTTGCCCACTTTTTAATAGGGTTATTTGTTTTCTTCTTGTTGATTTAAGTTTCTTATAGATTCTGGGCATTAGTCCTTTGTCAGTTGCATAATTTGCAGATACTTTCTTCCATTCTGTAGGTTGTTTACCCTGTTGATAGTTTCTTTTGTTGTGCAGAAGCTCTTTAGTTTAATTAGGTCTCACTTGTCAACTTTTGTTTTTGTTGCAAGAACTTTTGAGGACTTAGTCATAAATTCTTTACCTAGGCTGATGTCTTACATTTAAGTCTTTAATCCATCTTGAGTTAATTTTTGTATGTGGTGAGAGGTAGGCATCCAGGCTGCATATGCTTAACCAGTTTTCCCAGCACCATTTATTGAATAGATAGTCCTTTCCCCATTGTTTATTTTTGGAAACATTGTTGAAAATCAGATGGTTATAGGTGTGTGGCTTTATTCCCAGGTTCTCTATTCTGTTCCATTGGTCTGTGTCCATTTTTGTACCAGTATCATGCTGTTTTGGTTACTGTAGCTTTATAGTATAGTTTGAAGTTGGGTAATATGATGTCTCCAGCTTTGTTCTTTTTGCTTAGGATTGCTTTGGCTACTTGGGCTCCTTTTTGTTTCCATATGAACTTTCGAATAGTTTTTTTCTAATTCTGTGAAAAATGACATGGAAAATTTTATAGCAATGGTGTTGAATCTGTAGATTGTTTTGGGCAGTATGGACATTTTGATGATATTGATTCTTCCAATCCATGAGCATGGAATGTTTTTCCATATGTTTGATTTGTCTGTGATTTCTTTCAGCAGTGTTTATAATTCTCCTTGTAGAGATCTTTCACCTCCTTAGTTAGATGTATTCCTAGGGTGTGTGTGGGGAGGGACAGGGGGT